>NC_000020.11:62483525-63100405 GCF_000001405.40 Homo sapiens | reverse complement strand
ACACCCCAAACCCACCCTCCCCATTCTGTTAAAACAAAGCCCCTCTTAGCAGGGTATGTCACGTGGCGCTGCCGAATTATTCCATTAATTTATTATTCATGATGAAAAATTATTCTAATAACATTTCCATACTATTAATATTCCAAAGACGAGCCGTTGAGAGCCCCTTCCTGCGGCCTCCTCTTGGCGAGAGCCAACTCTATTTTTAACAAAGTGTATTGAAATTTAAATCTAATCACCCACAATATGCTACGTTTCACAAATACGCTCTCAAAGAGTCTGTGAGAGGAGCCAGGCCCGGTGGTCCCGGAGGAGGCAGGCGGGTGGGCCCCTGCCGTGGGCGTTGGAGGTGCCATTCTCGGCTGCCCCCAGCCCTGCAGATGGAATCTCTGTGCCACAGCCCCTTTCCTCACTGGGGGAGCCGGGCCAGGCGACCCCTCCTTGCTGCTTCTCTCCCTCCCTCCTTCCTTTTTTTCCTTGTCCCACCCCTCAGTCCATCCAGAGACTCTCAGAGTTTGGCTCTAGGCAGGGGGTATACGGGGGTCTCTAACGGGAGCTGACGTCTGAGGTCAGGCGTCCTCAGGAGAGGGTGGAGCCGCTCCCTGGCTGAGACAACCTTTTCTGACCACTCCCTCCTCCCTTTGGCTGCCTTCTCTATGTGGAGGGGTCTTTGGCCCCACCCCCAATGCACACTGCAGCCCAAGGTGGGCTGGAGTCCAGCTGCCCAGGGAGGGTCCTCATGGGCACCTTGGGGGACATCTTGTCTTGTTCCCTCTTCCGAGGTCGTGCCACATGCCTGCTGCACACAGACACCTCCGTCCATTGCTCAGTCATACGTGTACACACAGGCAGCCTCAATCATCCATCCGGCAGGGGGGGACCTCCTTCTGTCTGGGCTGGACATGGAAGAATGTCTGTGGGAACGGGAGGGTATGAACGTCACAGGAGACAAACAAGGTCTGCAGAAAATACTGAGGGAGCTGCCTTGATAGGAGGTGAAGGGGCAGGGGGAGGTGAAGGGCCAGATGTCTCCCAGGAGGGAAGGGAGGAAGAAGGACCAGGTGCCTTCCTGAGGGGAAAGACCAGGCACCTCCTTGGGATGGGAGACTTCTACAAGAGAAGAGAAGCAGCTCTTCCAGGTGGGTCTGAGGGAGGAAGGGATGGGGGTGAGAACTTGGGTTGGGGAGGACACTCTTGTCTCCATTAAACTGGAAGTAGGATGTGAGATATAGGGGCCAGTGAGCAGGAGGCCATGGAGGAGAGCAGAGCGGCTCATGGAGAGCCTGTCATCCATTCATCCATCCATTAATTCATTCACCCATTCATTCATTCATCTATCCTTCCATGCATCTGTCATCCATCCATCATCCATGATCCATCCATGCATTCACCCATCTATCCATCCACCCACTCATTCATTCATCTATTAATCCATTCACCCATTCTTTCATTCATCTATCCTTCCATGCATCTGTCATCCATCCATCATCCATGTTCCATCCATGCATTCACCCATCTATCCATCCACCCACTCATTCATTCATCTATTAATCCATTCACCCATTCTTTCATTCATCTATCCTTCCATGCATCTGTCATCCATCCATCATCCATGATCCATCCATGCATTCACCCATCTATCCATCCATCCACTCATTCATTCATCTATTAATCTATTCATCCATCATCCATTCATTTATCCATCCATCATCCATCCATCAATTCATCTATCTACTCAATTCATCCATTAATCTATTCATTCATTCATCCATCATGCATTCCTCCATCTACCCATCATCCATCCACCATCCATCATCCATCCATCTGTCCATTGCTCACTGCACCGGCTACCTGGCTTTCAGTAGGATGGGACCTTGAGGGTTCCAGTGTGTGTTGGGGTTTGGGGTAGATCTGCATTCCTAAGTAAGAGCCGGAAGAAGGGGCTGAGTGGAAGCCACATGAATTTGATCAGGGAGAAAAGGAAAGCAGGGAGGGGCTGACCTTAGACATGCTCAGAGCTGCTGTTTTGTGGGGGCAGCCAGACGTCCCCCTCTGTTAGGGAATGCACAGCCTCAGTCAGGGCACGGTCGCTCATGCCTGTAATCCCAGCACTCTGGGAGGCCAAGGCAGGTGGATCATGAAGTCAGGAGTTCGAGACCAGCCTGGCCAACATGGGGAAACCCTGTCTCTACTAAAAATACAAAAAATTAGCCGGGCATGGTGATGTGCGCCTGTAATCCCAGCTACTCAGGAGGCTGAGGCAGGAGAATCGCTGGAACCCAGGAGGCGGAGGTTGTAGTGAGCCGAGATCGCGCCACTGCACTCCAACTTGGGCGACAGAGCGAGACTCTGACTCAAAAAAAAAAAATTAAAAAAAAGGGAATGCACAGCCTCTGTGTAAAGTCCTCTCTGGTACCCACTGCACAGATGGGGAAACTGAGGCTAAAAAGAGGGTGACGCCCCCCCAAGGTGTGCAGCCAAGCAGCTCTGTCCGCATTCTCTAACCTGCCGTGGTACAGTGAGGGTGGGTGCTTGGAGAATTCATTCTCCCAGGCCTGGCCTTCAGAGGAAGAGGAGTTAGGAAACTCCCCCAGGGACCCCTGTGTGTGTATCAATGGTACCTCGGAACTGGGAGGACACAGGTGCGACAGCCCCATCCCCAGGGGAAGCCAGGGACCTTGAGGCTATGGATGGGATGCCCCTGGGCCCTGGGCATTGGGGATTTAGCCGGCCCCGCACTCCTCCTAAGCAGGACGTGGAGGGTGAGCGGCTCGAGCTGTGTCTGAATCCAGCCTATCGCCAGCCTCAGAGGCGGAGGCAGCACCTCACAGCCATGCATCTCCCCACGTGTGGGGGAGGGCCTGTCCCCTTCCCACCCCCATCCCCACCCCACTCGCCTCGTCGACGTTCCGTTGAGAGGTTTCTAATCCCTCCCCTGTGAACCCAGCGGCGGGCGGATGTGCGTCCAGGGAGTGGGCAAGGGTCCCAGCCTGGCTGCCCAGGGGCATCCTTGAACTCAGCAGCCTGCTGTGAGGGTCAGGGCTTGGCCGAACAACAGGTGGACAGTCCGAGGGGAACATGCCACCATCTGTGTCTGGGGAGTGTGGACCCCAAGCCAGGTACAGGGTTGTGACCTGGAGCAGATCTGGGCTCCATGGGCTTCCTGCATGCAGCCCGCCATTCCACCCCAGCCCCACCCTGGCCTCAGCTGTCCCTTAAGCAGGGGGGATGCTAATCCTGACCTTGGGCTTCCCTGGGGCAGAATTAGAGTGCAAGCCCCATCGAGGGGTCAGCTCGCAGGAATTTGGCAAGTGTCAGACCTCACGCCAGTGCCACCCCCTGTTGGGGTCCCAACGACGGCCACCACACTCGCTTTGGGGCCAACAGGGGCCCTGGGCCTGGGGTCGTGGCTCTGTAGGGTCCCTCTGCTCATCCTAAGCCCGCACATCCTCCAGTCATGCTCATCACACTGATCCCCATGGGGCCAAGCAGGCCTCCCGCAACCCCACCTGAGAGTGGGCACAAAAGAGCCCAACCCAGGGCTCCTTCACAGGCAGGGCCCAGCCCTGGCAGAGGCCAGCACAGCAGGGCAGGCCCCTGGTGCAGCCCCATCCCCACTGTGGCCACTCAGGACTGACTGGCTTGGAGATACATGGTCAGAGACAGAAACCAGGAGGCAGACGGGAGAAGCCATGCTCCTGAGGCCCTCGTGGGTCTCCCGGGCCGGGCCACTGTGTAGGGCCCCTCCACAGTTAGGTACAATTCTATTTGCTGAGCGGAACCAGCAGTTACAAAACAAAGTCCAGGTTTTCTAACGTGTGGAGGAGACGTGGATGCAAATGCTGGCTCCGAGCAGCTATTCTGGGCCTGGAGCCCTCCAATGCAGGAGAAGCAGGCAGCGGGCAGCAGGCTGGGCTTGTCCTGGGACAAGAGGAGTGCCAGCGAGGTGGAGGCTGGGGCCACGTGACTATCCCCATTGTTCCTGGGGCTGCCCTGTGCCCACGCCCTGCTGCTGTACATTCCTTCCTTGCTTGCTCCTGGGGAAGGCAGAGGCCCCAAGGAGCCTCCGATAGCCCAGGACCTGGGACCTTGGCCTCCTTGAGAGTCTCATCCCTCCTCCTCCGTGTGAGGCCCCCAGCCAGAGCCCAGCCCCAGGGTCTCAAGGGTCCCCTGCCTGGTGCATTATTTTTTATGCCATTTAAGCGGCCACTTTCTTCCCCAGGAAGGAACTTCTAAACTAAAAGCTGGCAAGACTCAGCAGAAAAAAAATATCGAAAGCTGCTTCTGCTGCCCCAGCTTCACTCAGGCCCTGGCTGCTCCTTCACTGGTCTACACTGCTGCCTCCTGGAACCACCCACTCTGCAACCAGGTCTGATGCCCGGTGTGGACATTCAGGGATGAGGTCCCCTGGGGCTAAATGAATGAACAGATTCTGAAAAGCAGAAGCTACGTCCGGGGGTCTCTGGGCCACAAATCACTTTCTGACCTGCAGCCGTGAGGCGTGAGGCTCACTCGGAAGCTCCCGGAACCTGGAGACTGCCCTCACTCAACACTTGAACAAGCAAGGGGCCAGGTTCAATGAAACACCTGCCCGCCCGGCACACCAGGCTCAAAAGCAAGCAAGCAAGCAAACAAACAAACAAAATCAAATCAGGCCTTCACAACTCCCCAAATCATGTGTGAGTTTCTACAGAGCAGAAGCCAAAAATATATGTTATCTAACTAGGTCCTATTTACATATATTTTTATGGCTGCTCTAAAAAATTATCACAAACATAGCGGCTTCACCCCGTTTCCCCTGTTGTGATTATTACACATTGGATGCCTGTATCAAAATATCTCATGGACCCCATAAATAGCAACACCCTGTATGTACTCATGACAATTTTTTAAAAAAGAACACTTACACTTTCCATTTCTGCAGGTTAGACGTCTGAAATGGTCTCCCTGGGCTAACATCAGGTCTTGGGAGGGCTGGTTCCTTCTAGAGGCTCCAGGGGAGAACCCCTCGGCCCTCAGTCCCATCCTCCGTCTTCAGAGCCAGTGGTGTCTCGTCACTGAGACCTGCTCTGCCCTCCGCCTCTATGTTGAAGGGCCCGAGATTCTACTGGGTCCCCCCGGATAATCCAGGGTCACCCCTCCGTGTCAGGCGGCTGACTGGCAGCCTCATGTGTCCACAGTTTCCGTGCACCGGGAGGTGGGCATGTTTAGGGGCCCCCATTCTGCCTCCCATGAGTCTGCAGGGCCTGACTTTGTAATTTGGGATCATTCTTAGGGTACCCAGATACAACAAACAAAAACGCAGCAAACAAAAACACAGGGTGCCCAGCTCAACAGGAAGTTTGGAGAAGCAGTGACTGATTTTTTAGTGTAAGTCTGTCCCAAATATTGTAGAATCCATCCAAACGCTGCCGGACACCCTGTGTCTCAGCCGCAGGATGGCCACGCTGCACACTTAGTGCGGGCCCGGAGCTGCCGGTGCAGAAGGGGGTTTCTGAGTTGGAGGGATGCAGGTGCGGTTCCCCCCCAGCTTCCTTGGGATGCCCAGTGTGGACATACAGGGATGAGGTCCCCTGGGGCTAAACGAATGAACAGTTTTTGAAAAGCAGAAGCTACGTCCAGGGGGTTTCTGGGCCTCAAATTGCGCAGACTTGCGGTGCTGGGGAGACGTTTTGCCTGCAGGCAGCAGGCTCTGAATTGCCCTTTAGCTCCCGACCTGGGGTACAGCGAGAAGGAGGAGACGGAGGCAGACCGGCACGGGGTGGTCAGGGACAGCGGTGCTGACACACGGCTGCTCAAAGATGACTTGGAACTCGAGGCCCAGCTCGTTATTCTGGGGGTGACTGGCTCCCAGTGTCTGGACGGGTCTGAGCCCCACCACAGCTGGCCTGGACTGGACTGGAAACCGTGCCCATTAACGACCCCTGGGCCACCCAGAGCCCCCAGCTCCGGAGACCCCGGGGTCTGGTTTGTGGCTGTTTGTCGCCCACGGGCCCCTCCACCAGCTCCTTTCGGTGAGTGTTGATTCAGGGAGAACCGGACGGTCAGGCACTGGTTTACTCTCTGGAGGAAAGCAGGAAGCTGAGAAAAGCACTTCACTGCTGCCACACTGAGTGTGGCTTGTTTCCTAGAGAAGCCTCTGTGTGGTGGTCCCGGCCAGGCCGCGGAGCAGCGCAGCCTTGGGGGCGAGGCACCCTCCCCTCCCCATGCCCATGGGGCTCTCCTTCGGGACTTCAGCACCAGGGGAAGTTCTTTCTCCAGAGCAGCCGTCTTGGCCTTCAGGCTGGAGTGCGGCTCACAGAGGCCGGGCAGCCAGGAGACAGCGGCTCTGGGATATTCCAAACATACTGGAGAGCTCACGTGTGTGCACAGGGAAGGGCGGCCGGTGAGCTTGAACTGAGGGTGCGGTCACCAGCCAAGTTTTCCAAGGAGGCGCCCTCCAGATTCACACCTGGGTGCAGCTTGCGATGTTTACATTTTTTTATTTTTTTGAGATGAAGTCTTGCTCTGTCGCCCAGGCTGGGGTGCAATGGCACCATCTTGGCTCACTGCGACCTCCACCTCCCAAGTTCAAGTGATTCTCCTGCCTCAGCCCCCTGAGTAGCTGGGATTACAGGCGTGCGCCACCACGTCCAGCTAATTTTTGTATTTTTAGTAGAGACGGGGATTCACCGTGTTGGCCAGGATGGTCTCAAACTCCTGACCTCAGGTGATCTGCCTGCCTCAGCCTCCTAAAGTGCTGGGAATACGGGGGTGAGCCACCGTGCCTGGCCAGCTTGCAATTTTTTTAGAGCCGTCTCTGAGTTCTCCAGCCACCAGAACCCTCGTAAAGAGGGGGTTGAAGCTCCCTTGGCCACAGGACATTGGAGGGTAACGTGTAAGAAGACCTTCTCAGGGAACCCCCTAGTCCCGAATTCTCTCCCTGGATTCAGTAAGAAATTATAATTAATTTCTTTTTCAGTAAAAGGCAAAGCTATTTTTAAATTGCAAGCCTGATTGAATTAACAAAATGTTAGACAATTACCCGTCCTTTTAAAGTTTTTCATGTTCTTTAAAATGCATCTTGAATTTATTTATGTATTTTTTTCTGTTTCCGTCCTTTTCCTGTGTCCTGGATGTTAGGTAAAGAGTATGGCCTCCTAGATACCGACCTCATGCCATACGGATGCAGTCAGGCTCTGGCGGTCAGGAAGGTGGCTCCGGAGCTCGGCTCTGCACCGCATCCTCTGCCCCCTGTTTCCCGAGATTGCTCCTGGACACACCTTTCTCTCCCGCCCTGTGGGGTACACAGCACCCATGACAGCTTCTGTGGGACAAGAAACGGTGCGGGGCGAGGAGGGCGGGAGGCGGAGGAAGCAGATCTGGGTCTGGGTTCTGTTTGTGGAGTGGAAATGTAAGAACCAGGCGAGCTGACCGGGTGGCTGGGCCGTGTGGACCCAGATCAGCACTGTGCCATGGTGCTCTCGAGAGCCAAAGAGCCAGCCCACCTTGCAGGGCTGGGCCCGTCTGTTCCAGAAACCACATCTGCAGCCATACGGCAGCAGCTGCCTGTTGACGGCAGCGTTGGATCCTCTGACCACAGCTGAAGCTTTGACCAACAAAAGTCCCAGGGAGCTGCTCAGGGCGGGATCAGAAAAGAGGGTGCTTAGCAAGCCACACGCCACACACCCTCCCTGGGAGGCCCTGACAGCGCTTCTCTCCCTCCCATTTTCGCTCTGGCAGCCATCGTGGCGCAGACCGTGGAGCAGGGGCAGCTCTTACCCCTGGGTCTGGCATCAGGAGCGTGTCCCACCGGCTCTGTTGCCGCAGCCTCAAAGCCCCACGTGGGGCAGCAGCCGGATCGGCACTGGGGGAGCCGGAATCCATCAACCTCGGCCTCAGATCAGCATCCGCCCAGCCCTCCTGCCCCACATCCGAGCCATTTCAAGGGCTGCAGGGACATTGGGATGATGGGGAAGTGGGCCGAGGACAGCCCCAGGGAAGGCTTTGTCTGAACTCCTCAAATCACCGGGCGCTGACATTTGGGATTTTTGCCTTCCTGGCGCACCCCCACCCCACATGCACACTCACGTGCATGGCGTCGGCAGGATGTGGGTGCTGCAGAGGTGCCCCCACTTCTGTGTCTCCCACGCAGCCCCGGGAACCTGGGCCCCACAGGAGCCAGGAGCTGCAGCACAGGTCAGGAGCAGCCCTGCAAGCCTGCGGGGAGAAGGGAGCCGCCCCTGGTCCCCTTCTCCAGAAACCCCAGACTGGGGGTGAGGGTGTCTGGTGTGGGTGGCCGGGAGTTGGTGCTACACATTGAACAGGGTCGTTCCGGCACCGTCTCTGTCCGCTCATGCAGACAAGGATCAGATTTGCACACCCCAAGTGCAAGGGGACACCTGGGGTGCCCTCTGCAGCGCCTCCCTGCGGGGCAGCCCTTCTGTGGGGTGCTCTGTGAGGAGGGCCTGGGATCCGGTCTGCAGGAAACTGGATGGAGCGGGCCAGGGCCTGACCGTCTCCCCCACCCCAGCCCCAGGCCTTCCCCTCCCCATGCCTGTATGGGTGATCCCACCCCAGTCCACCTGGCTTGCCAGTGAGGTTTGCAACGCCTTCTCTTCAAGCCTTTGAGTAGACTAATTTGTACAGAATTTGCCAGAATTGACAACCTGCAGGTATGATTTCCAAAAATTTAACTGGCTTTTATCACCTGCCCTAGGACCAAGAAGCTTGACCTTTTCTCCCCAACTGCTAAATCGCCAGTCCTTTGGAGCAACAGTGTCCTCTACATAAAGGAGCAGTTAGACTAATTTAAAACAGTATTGACCTTTCCTTCCTGCCCTTTTCATTTTGACTAAATTACAGGGTGCGGCTCTGCAATTCGCCTTCCGGTCTGTGAGTGACTCCGAGTCAGCACCCACCTTGCCTTGCTGCTTAATCAAGGAGAGTGCTGCTGCTGGTGATGCAGGGCAGGGCACCAACGCCCTGGGGCGATGCAGGGCAGGGCACCATCCACCAACGCCCCGACCCAGCGTCTCTCGTGGGGTCAAGGTTACAAGGAAGGCGGGCCAGGGGCGAGGCCTGCCTCTGTCCACAGGCAGACACGGATGCCGAGGCTGGAAGGACCTTCCTGGCCCTCTCCTAACGGAGGCCCCGAGAGGGGAGGAGGCTGCAGGGATCATCCAGCCCCTCAGGGCAGCACTCAGACCAGCCTCAGGGCCATCAGCCAGGACGGCCGGTATCCTTGACTCTTGCTTCAGGTCCCAACACTCTATTTCAAGGGGATGCTGGGCCCTCCCCAATAACTCCCCACCGTGTCCCAGGAGAGCCTCCAGCTGGCCAAGAAGCCTCACCTGGCTCACAGCTTTGCTGCCCTTAAACTGAGGTCACAACAGGCCCTGGTGTCAGTGCAGCCTTGGCTCCCAAGGGTGACACATCCGCGCCTTTCCGTGGATCCCAGGCTGGTGTGGGGAGGGTGTCAGGTGGGCAGGTGGGCTGCCAGGATGGCTGGCACAGGGGTTCCTGGGGCCTGGGACATCCAGGGATGGGAACGGGCAGGTGTCCTGGGGAAGGGAAGGCTGGCCCGAGTGTCGCTGAGGCCTTGAGAATGCCCTGAGCAGAGGGAACAAAGTGTCCTGGAGGGCGGCCCAGCCAACGCCTCCCGCAAGGGTCCAGTGGAAATGTAAAAGCATCTTGGGGGCCAGGCGCAGTGGCTCACGCCTGTAATCCCAGCACCTTGGGGTCCTGGCGCAGTGGCTCACGCCTGTAATCCCAGCACCCTGGGAGGCCAAGGTGGGCGGATCACAAGGTCAGGAGATCGAGACCATCCTGGCTAACACTGTGAAGCCACGTCTCTACTAAAAATATAAAAAATTAGCCAGGCGTGCTGGTGGCATGCTCCTGCAGTCCCAGCTACTCAGGAGGCTGAGGCAGGAGAGTTGCTTGAACCCAGGAAGCGGAGGATGCAGTGAGCAGAGATCGTGCCACCGCACTCCAGCCTGAGTGACAGAGTGAGACTTCATCTCAAAAAAAAAAAAAAAAAAAAAAGCGAGGCAGGGGGAGCGGCCAGGTCTTTCGTCTAAGAAACATGCTCAGCTGATGACAGGGCCTATGAGTCTCAGTGGCCTGGCATGAGCATCTACTACATGCCTGAGCACCTACTGTGTGCCTGAGAGCCTACTGTGTGCAGCCCCCTCAACCCCAGGCACTTCCCAAGCAGAACATGTGACTGAGGGCTCCCAGATGTGGCTCCCGCCACCTTGGCAGCTCACTGATGGCTTACAGAGCACTCCTGGTCTTGGCGTTTAATACATATAATGAATTTATAGCACCCAGTGTATATTGGAAATAGTTTAACTTATCAATTCCCTGAGTCACTCACAATCCCCTTTTTCAATTTCCTGAAGCTACTTGGTTTGAGCCAATACTCCAGTCATGACCCAGCGTGGGCAACCTTTTCCTGTAAAAGCCAGATCACCAGTCAATGTTTGTCCCCGGGGGACATTTGACAGTGTCTGGAGATATTTTTAATTGTTATAATTAAACGTATAATAGGGAGAGGATGCTACCGCCATCCCATGGGTGAGGCCGGGGAAGCTGCCACGCTGCCACAGTCAGAGCAGCCCCCACCAAGACCCTCGGTCCCAGATGCCAGCAGCGCACGGCTGAGAGCCTGGCCCGCGGTCCTGAGGGCACACTGGGAGCTGAGTGTTGCACCGCATAACAACGGGGGCTTTGGGTAAATCTCCCCAGCCTCCGTCTGGTCGCCCGCACCCAGGGACGATCTCCCCAGCCTCCGTCTGGTCGCCCGCACCCAGGGACGATCTCCCCAGCCTCCGTCTGGTCGCCCGCACCCAGGGACAATCTCCCCAGCCTCTGTCTGGTAACCTGCACCCAGGGACGATCTCCCCAGCCTCTGTCTGGTCACCTGCACCCAGGGACAGAGATGGCATCTTGGGTGGGTGTGGCTCATCGCAGCATATGTGTGAGTGACTAAGTTCCGGGAGGACGCAGGCCTGCCTGACAGGTGCTGGTACTTTTCCAGGCCTGGGGGTGGCGTGACTGACACACAGGTGCCTCCCGCTCTTGGGGTTACCTGTGGGGTTGCCGTGAGGCCGAAGTCACAAGTGAGTTGAACAGCCTGGGGCACAGGTGTGGTGCAGGTGGCCCAGCCTGCAGGCCAGGTTGTGACAGAGGCAGTCTCTGCAGCCAGTTCTCACCCTAATGTGCTGGCAGCCAGCCCTGCCGAAACCCCAGCGTGTCAGGAAAAGAACAACTTTCTCAGAATGTGCTTCATGCTCAAAAACGGGCCCCATCAAGCAGGTCCCCTGGTGCGAGGTCTCGGGGCGCCCTGCCTCTGGGCTTCCGGTGTTGCTCTCGGGGTCTAGCCGTGCTCAGTAGGGAAGTCAGGGTCAGGTGCAGTGGGAGGCTTATCCCAAAGGAGGCCAGCTACTCTCCCACTAATGTATAATGATGTGGTCACAACGACTCCATATTTATACAGTAACTACCCACCCTAGGGTTTACCTGATGATTTTGCTTGGAGTTAGCATGTGAATCAGGGTATAATTACCCCGCATAATTGTTCAATCTCATAGTAACACTTTAATTTGCAAAGCAAAAATAACCATGTGATTACCCTGCAATTACATGATAGTTACTATTCAATTACTTCTATAGAGTTTGCGGTATGTTTACAGACTGGCTAATGCCCATGTGCCCTTCCCTGAGTAGTACCATGTTCTCAGGTGCCTGGGTGACAACTGTCTGATGAGCTATGTCTGTCATCAGCAAAGCTCAAGTCAGCTCTGGGTCCCCAGCTCGGGACCCTCTCCCAGCAAGCTCCGGGGGCTGCCTGAGACCCCAGCCTGCAGGTGCTCCCGCCTCACCACCACCGCCGCCAGCCTCCCCACCCCTTCCACTCTCAGGACGCTCTGAGCCTGAGCCCGGTGCTGGGCAGGTGTTCTGATCGCACCTGTTACACCACAGCTGCAGCCCAGGTGCTGGAGACGCTCATCATTGCAGCAAGAGGAACAATGGCAGCCTCTGCTCAGAGCCTCCACCTGCCTGGTCCTGTAAGGAAAGGCTTCCCCTGGAGGGGTTGCTTCATCCTCGCTGAACTGTGATCACGGAACTGCAGCCATTCCCGTCTGGAGGTGAGGAAACTGCGTCCAGACACGAATGCGTGTCCCAAGTCTACACGGCTGATGCGAGGAGGCCCATACCTGTCTAAATCCAGAACCCACGCCCTGGGTCCCTGCAGGCTGAGGTTGCAAGGGGTTCCCTGGAAGGCACAGCAGGTAAACCTGGGGCCGTGCTCCCTCCTGTTGGGCAGGGATAACTTCTGCACACCTTTGCCCATTTCTCTGGGGCATTCGGCTGCCCTAGCATGGAGCCACCTCGTAAGAAACGGAAGAGGACGCTGCCCAGGGGTCAGGCACGGGGCCCCGACGGTGACTGGAGCCCAGGCGCACAGAGCCCGGGAAAGGCGGCTACAAGAGGCTGTGAGCGTAGAGTCACCTCCTTTCCTCTCTTCGCTGATTTAAAAAGCGGTTGTAAAAACGAGCATGTACAGAATGGGCTCTGGTGCCGGTAGCACGTGGAAATGGAACACGCGTGTCATGCATGGGCCTGGAACCACACAAAGGTGGGAGGGGGTTGGGGCTGTACCAGGCTGAGGAATGAGCACGGACGGTGAAGGAGCAGCAGCAAACTATGGGCTCGCGGCCTCGCCAGTCGGGATAGACACGCCACACCACACAGAGGGCAAGGGTGCAGGGACGCAGGAGCGGCACTTCCCCTTCCCATGGGAACCCAGCTGATTCTGGCGAGGTGTCCGTGGGACCCCAGCGCAGCCCCTGAAAAACAACTCAGAAGGAAGAAGGGCCGCGTGCCGGGAGCCTGGTGGCAGCCGGAAGAGCAGAGACGTGAGGAGGGGCTGCAGGGTGGGGAGTGGGGACCCCCGCACCAGGAAGCCCACTTCCAACAGAGGTGAGGCTTGTTTTCCTGCTCGCTGCTTCCTGGGCCCAGCAGGGTCAACCCCGGAGTCACAGGGGTCCCGCGTGCCTTCACCCAGTGGGCCCAGACGCATCTGTGTACACCCTTGCTGAGCACTCAGCATGAATTTTTCTGCCCTTAAGAATCAGTGCCTCACTCAGCCCGGTGTTTGCACTTGGCAATCAGAGTGAGCTCTGGATGCCACAGACAGGGTCATGAACCTGGTGCAGCCACAGCTGGGCTCACCCCGGCCGACAGCACCACCCCCTCACGTCCCTCAGCCCCTCTTTCTCCACATGCGGCTGGGACAGGGGAGGGAGGACAGCCGCACAGCCCTCTGCCAGCTCAGGTCTCCTCCAGAAAGACCCCGGTGCGCACTGCAGGCTGTTAGAACAGCTGAGGTGTTCTGTGTCAGATTCACGCACACGCACACACGTGTGCACACACGCCCAGAATCACGCCTCCTGTGGACACAGGCCTTCTTAATAAGTGGACGTCCACCCACGGGAACGCGGCTTGGCTTGGGCCCTGTTTTTGGCCAGTCCGCAGGGCCAGGGCCTGATTCTGGTAAGGACCACGTGAGCTGCAGGGCCCCGGGACCCTCCCTGAGCAGTGCCAGGACCCTCAGCTCCTGCCAGGCCCTGCACTGGCCCACGGTGATGAGGCAGGTGCACAGGTCTTACCTGGGAGCAGAACGTCCTTGGCTGGACATCTGGTCTGAATGGAAACACTACTGAAGTGAGGCAGGACGCTGTGTGGGTCCCCCCCATAGAGGCCGACCTGCAGACGTGAACGCAGCTGACCAGGTGCCACAGGGGTGCGGTCGGAGGCAAGGGGGCTCTCGGTGAGAGGGAGAGCAGCCCTTGGGAAGGGTCCGGGGCACCCGGGAGAGGACCAGGGGAGCCTTAAACACGGCGCATTCCCAGAGCGCAAGGTTGGGGTGCTTCATTCATCTTAAACTCCTGTCTCTGCGCGGCCTCACAGGCAATCCCAGAGCTCCTAGCGCCTCCGACCGTCCTGGGCTCCCACAACCCCTTGAGTGATAGCCAGGCACCTCTTTCTAGAGCCCCATGGTTGAGCAGCTAGACTTGCATTTCAAACCATCTGAAATCCAAAATGAGAAATAATGATCTGTAGTCAGACTCAAAATAAATGACAGGATGAAACTCCCCATCGTTCTGTTTTATCCGGTCGTTTCCCGCCTCTGCTTCCAGGGGCGGCAAAGCTCAGAGACTGTCTAAATCCTCACTTTAAATGAAGGCCGAACTGACCACAGGCTCCCACAGATGTTTCTTCTAATTTGTAAAAGGTAAATGTTCTGTGCACTAGGAACACACACACACACACACACAGACACGCATGGAGACACAGACATGTGCACGCATGCACACACGGCGGGGAGAGGCTGCAAGGCCCTCGGATTCCAGGAGAAGCACATCCTTAATGATACATATGATAATTAAAGAATACAATAAACACAATTAGCGTATGTTTTAAACAGTTTATTAGTGAAGCTTACCATCAAATCAGAACAGAGTGCTCCAGGGTTGGTTGGGATAACAGCTTCTAATCCTCAGCGTCATAAAATCCCTGGCTTAGAAGAAATGGGCGTCTTTAAATGATGGAATCAGCAGGCCTGAGCAGCCCCGCCTGAATGTTGCCAGGCAAAGGTGACGTCGCTGAAAGCCAGGCGGGACGAGGGTGTGACGGCGGGACTGGGCCTCTGCCGTTCGCGGCTGGGAGCTGCAGGCAGCGTGCACGGGGGTGCTCTCGCAGGGTGGCAGGAGGACCATGAGCCCATGAGGGAACCAGGACACAGGCCTGGCTCGGTTTGCTGACGGCCTTGGCCAGGTGCACCCAAGGGCGGTGGAAGCGGGTGAGGCAGAGACCCCGGTCCTCTGCCCGCGGGGTCTGCCCATGGGCCCTGTCAACCACCCGCTGCTCAGATGTCCAGCCTCGGACTTGCTGGTTCTGTGCTGAGACCCCGTGGCCTCCCTCCCTCTGCTGTTCCTGAGCTCCAAGTGGCTCCGGGCTCAGCAGAGCGTCAGGGAAGGTGCTGGGCTCTGAGATGCCCTGCAGGCGAGGGCTGGGTTGGACAGGCGGAGGACAAACGAAGATTTGCCCCAGCTCAGACCAGAGCAGAGTGGATTCTCATCAGACATCATGAGTTCCTGCTTTGCAAAGCGGAGAGAGAGCAGCTGTGCAGTGCATGTCGGAACTCATTTCTGTAGGAAAATGGGAGCTTCAGATGGGAAGGAGCCGCTCTGTCCGGATGAACTTTGTGCCGGGCACAGCACTTCACACCTTCACTCCGAGCCTCCTCTCTACTTTCTGGAGAGGGTGTTTTTGTTGTTTTCTTGTTTTGTGTTTGGCCCATCTCGGGATCTCCTGGAATTTCGGGTCAGTGGGATGCTGAGGGAAGAGAGAGCTGAGGAGCTGATGCCACAGATATTGAAGCCCCCGGTGTCCAAAAATGGGTATGGGCCGGCGTCCAAGCCTCCAGGTTTCTTCGGGAAGGAGTGTGGGCCGGCGTCAGAGCCTCCAGGTTTCTTCCAGGAAAGGGCGTGAGCCGGTGTTGAAGCCTCCAGGTGTCTTCCGGGAAGAGGTGTGGGCCTGAGAGGCGGTAGGTGTGGCCAGGCCAAGGGTGAGCCCTGATACCCGCCAGGCACCGAGAAGGGACACCGGCAGCTGCATGCAGAGCTCATGACTGTCCCCAGACCAGAAGCTGCTTCCCCCACGGGGGTCCGTGATTGTTTTTCCAGTTTAACATCTCTGGCTGAGGCTTGGTGATGACGAACCCCTCAGTGAAGGGGGGCTGGTGGTCCGAAGCTGCCAGGGCCCCAACTCCACACGTTTGGAACCACCCAAAAGGGCAACGAACTGGCGCTCTCTGGCCTGACACACGAATGTTTGGAAATGGCCCAGGAGGCAGCTGTTAGGGCTGTTTTCTCCTGGCAGGAGCACAAAGTCCCTTCAAGAGAGGCCCCGCTGGGGGCGTCCGGGAGACACAGGCCCCTGAGCCATGGCCACCAGGCAGACTTCGCAGGCCGGCTCCAGCCCGTCACACGCCACCTTTCCTGCGAGTGAGACTCCTCAGCCGGACCACACCCGGGAGCACCCCCCCCCGGGCGAGGAGGGCACTGGGGGAGCCTCTGGAATGGCTGCTGTGGCCCCATGGCAAGGTGGCCGCCCACGGAGCTAAATAGTCCACACACAGCAAGAGGACTGCAGCCTTCACCTGGGATTGGGATCCTGAGAACAGCCAGGCAGTGGCTGCCGCCAAGACACCACACCCACCAGGCACCGCCCCGTGGGACAATTGGCCCTCTGTTGGGGCTCCGGGAACACAGTGACCACGGGAGAATGAGCGAGCCTCCAGCTGCTCAGGCTTCAGGCTCCCGGCCTGTCCACCTCCCTGGCCTGCCCGCGGGGGACAAAAGGCCGCTCCCGTCCTGCCCTCTGGGCTCCAGGGTTTGAATGATTCCTGTTGTTCCTGCTGTCAGGAAGCCCCGGGGCCCTGGTCCGGGCACTCAGTGGCCCATGGACTACGATGGTTCCCGCTGTTTGAAACGCAAAGAGGAGGATCCGGTTCATAAAGCCTCGGCCAGAACCTCCTGAACCCCTGGTCCGGGCACTCAATGACCCAGGATCTGGTTCACAAAGCCTCGGCTGGAACCCCCTGAAGCCCTGGTCCGGGCACTCAGTGGCCCATGGACTAAGATGGTTCCCACTGTTTGAAATGCAAAGAGGAGGATCCGGTTCATAAAGCCTCGTCCGGAACCTCCTGAACCCCTGGTCCAGGCACTCAGTGGCCCATGGACTAAGATGGTTCCCGCTGTTTGAAACGCAAAGAGGAGGATCCGGTTCATAAAGCCTCGGCCGGAACCTCCTGAACCCCTGGTCCGGGCACTCAGTGACCCAGGATCTGGTTCACAAAGCCTCAGCTGGAACCTCCTGAGACCAGTCTGGTTACTCAGTGACCCAGGATCCGGTTCACAAAGCCTCGGCTGGAACCCCCTGAAGCCCTGGTCTGGGCACTCAGTGATCCATGGACTAGGGCGGCGTGCCTATTCTGTGGATAACCTCACCTGCTGGGCCTCCTGGGCTCCTCCAGCTGGTGTTTCTGTGTCTCGTGTTCATAGATCCAACCTGCACAGCCAGAAGGAGAGATCCACGTGAGAGTCCGGCCGGAAGGAGGAGGAGTGTAGGGCTGAACTTACCTGCCCGCCTCAGTGCCATGCCTGGTTTTCCCACTGGAGGCCCGCTCGCCACCCTCTCCAGCCTGCTTCACAGTCCCTGTGGCACCCTTGGAGCCAAGCCCACCCACTGCTGGGCCAGCTCACACTGTCACCAGCCCCCACAGAGGCTGCTCCTGCCTTCTGTCCATCCTGAGCCGGGGATTGGGCCCAGACCACCTGCCTCACGGGCCACCCTGCCATCGCCCCCTCCTTGGGACCTCATGGCTCTGGGTGTCCCCCCACTCACCCTGGCATTGATTATATGCTCTCTCCTTTTCTAGGCACCCCAAATGTAAGCCCTGGTGGAGACAAGGACTTGGACGAAGGTAGTGTGTTTGGGATGTGAGACCAGGAAGCTGAAGTGAGGGACGGAGCACACAGTGAGACAGGAAGAGAGAGCAGCCCATGGAGGGCAGTTTCACAAGAGCTGCTGCTCAGGCCTGCTGGGGGCCCTCTGGGAAGCCATGGAGAATGAATGCACTTCCAAACTGTCCACCGACGCTGGGGAGGCTGGGGCATTTATCTACCCGCTCCCATCCCCATTGGTTGGTGATGGCCCCGGGTAGGGTGGTGCCTCCTCTGCACCCCACCCCCCACCGCCCCCAAGCACCCATGCACAGCAGCAGCCGCTCTCCTCCCCCGACAGCCAAGCAGAGCGATGATGCGGGGAGGGCTGGAGTCCTGGATGGGCGGTGGCGGCCACAGTGAATGGAGCTGTCCGCCTCCCTGGTGCTGAAGCCCAGAGAGCAAGGTGGTGCTGCGGTGCAGCTCCCTTGATGTTTTCTCTCAATTTTGGGGGTGTGAGGTTTATCCCTTCAACCAGCCTCTGAGGTCTTTAAAGCAAGGGCCCCACATTCTGCTTCCACATAGCCAGCCCCTTTGTGCCAGCGCAAAGGTGGGCACAGAAATTCAAACTCAGTACCCAACACCAGTGATTCCTGCTGCCGAAGGTGTCCCCAGAGGCTGTTGATGGATGAACGGGCAGGAGGCTCTTACGGATCAGAGAAACACCTGACGGAAACAGGAAACAAAAGCATGCTTGTCTTTTTGATACTTTGTGTCTCTGTTGGGGGATGACCTCTCCCAACTAGAGGGGCTAGAGGAGCCCCAGGCAGAGGCTGGAGTGGTGGGGAGGCCATAGGAGTCCCACGGTGGGAAGAGCAGGGCTCCTGGCCACTCGGGCTCCTGCAGGCACCACATTCCTTCATCCCATGGCTCACTAAGCTCCTCCCTCATGCCAGCCACGGTTTCTACGTCTCTAGCCCTTTATCTGCCGTTATTTCTGAAGTTGCATAAGTTTAACTGCAATCGTGCCATTACTTGGGGACGTAGTTCATTTTCATTGAGGCATGCTAATTCTGTCCAGTGATCTTAGACACATGTGACATCTGTAGCTCAGCGTTTATGGATTTCAGGAAGGTCAGGCCGTGGATGGGGCTACATGAGACCACACAGCACCACATCCATAGATGGCACCTTATTCTGCTACAGCTGGGGACACAGACATGCCCAAGGTCCCAAGAAGAGGAACGGTGCTCCTTAACTTCTTCTCACCTGACTCACTTCCTCTAGGAAGGCCTTCCTGCCCTGACCAGTGCCCCTCACAGCCTTCCCAGGTCAGTGACCCCCTTGTCCATGTGTGTCCACATATGGTGAGCTCGGCCTTTGAGGCCATGACCATGCATGGTTTCGCACGCCTGGTTCCTGAGCCCCTAGCCCTGTGCCCAGCACATAAAGAATGTTTAAAGGAATCACTCGCCCTCATTCACTTAAGCCCCCCAGGAACAGGAACCACTCCACAGGGGCCAGCATGCTCTGAGTAGATTTTGAGCATCTGTGTCCAACAGGCCAGGCCTCGGCAGGACTGTTCAGGACCCAGACCAGGTTCTGCAGGGCTTCAGAGGGGACTCACACAAGGAGGGGGTCCCCCAGGAGGCAGAGAGGAACAGACCTCTTCCCATGGCAGGGTCCAAGTGCAGCCCCTCAGGTGGGCAGAAACAAGAGGGAAATTTCATACTCCTGGAGATAACTGGGAAATGCCCCTCGATTTCACCCCAGGGAAGCTGAATCTGCCATAAGGAAAAGGGGTCAAGTGGAATGGGGCTCCCTCTGGAGCTGCTTGGGCTCCTGCAGGCACCACCCAGAGCTCAGATTTCAGCCACAGCAGCCCCTTCAGCAGCTTTGCATGGGACACCAGGAGGGTGGGTGTGCTGGTCCTCACTCTAAGGCTTTCAAGCATACCCCACCTGGTTGTGCTCCCAAAACTCCTGTGAGAAGGATGCTGTGAACAGCTCCAGCTGCTGAAAATGCAAGGCCGGAGTCTGTAGGAAGTGCCAACCTTATGGCCATGACACCAATACTGCCGCATGGACACGCCCTCTGATGCTTGCAGCCTCTGTCCACACTGGGTGTGTCTCCATCCACCAATGGAACGAGTTTGTCCCACCGCACTGAGACCCTCCTGGACCAGCAGAGGAACTCAGACCTGGGGAGATGGCTCGGGGCGAAGCACAGGAAGCCTGCAGGGAAAGCACGCACTGTGCCTCCCACCTGTGCCCAGAGCTGGGAGAAGATGGACCCAGCTGCTCCCACTGCCGCGTCTGTGCCTCCCGCATCTGTGCCTTGCCCCGAGCCTGTGAGCAAGCACCCATGCTCCAAGGCAAGCCGGCCCACCTGTCCTTAAGGGGTGGCCCCCTGGTTGCTGTGCCATCAGATGCTCCTGCTGCTTGTCCATTCCCATCAGGATACAAACATGCTCAATCTCCCCTACCTAACAAAGCAGCAGCGCCTTGACCTCATGTCCCCCTCGCTGTGCCCCCAGCTTCTTGTCTTTAATGCAAAACTCCAGGAAGAGTTGTCTGCATTTGTTCGTTGATGGGGCCTCTGCAAACAGATGGGGGGAGAGACACTGAGATTTGCTGCAGGGGCTGCTGGGGACTGAGTGTCCTGGGGCTGCTGTAACCAAGGACCAAACTAGGAGGCTTCAAACAACACAGATTCACTGTCTGAGTTCTGAGGCCAGAAGCCCAGCACCAAGGTGTTGGTAGGCTGGTTCCCTCCACAGGCTCTCTGGAGAATCTGTTCCTCACCTCCCCCAGCTCCTGGTGGCCCCACACATCCTTGGCTTGTGGCGGCATCTCTCCAGTCTCTGCCTCCATCTCATATGGCCTTGTCCTCTGTGGCTGTGTGTCTCTTGTCTCCCTATAAGGACACCAGGGATTGGATCAGGGCCCATACACTTCAGTACAACATCTTAACTAAGTATTTCTTCAAAGGCCTTATTTCCTAATAAGGTCACATTCCGAAGTTCCGGGAAGCTCATCGATTTTGGTGGACACCATTCAATCCAGTATAGGGAGGTTCTTTCTGGCAGTACCCTTTGTTGGAGGGCAGGGCAGGGGAGAGGGTTGTCCCAGTTGAGGTAGGGGGCAGGGCTCCATGTCCTGGGATGGAGGCTGACCCTAAGGAGGGATGGCCCTGGGAAAGAGACTCAGCTGTGAGCTGCTAGCAAACCCCTGTGCTGAGAGGGGTCTGGGTGGCCCACTGTGTGCACCCACATGTGCCCTCCACACTCCACCTCCAGGAGGACTCTGGAATCTTGAAAGCACCAAGAGAGAAGAAATTTGTCACATACAAAGGATCCTCTATTAGATTGCAAGCCAGTTTTTCATCAGACACTTTGGAGGCCAGATGACAGTGGGCCAATATATTCCAAGTGCTAAAATAAAATTTAAAACAAACAAACAAGAATCCTATATCTGTCAAAACTGTCTTTCAAGAGTGAGGGAGAAACTAAGACATTCCCAGATAAACAAAAGCTGAGGGAGTTTGTTATCACTAGACCTTCCATGTAAGAAATGCTAAAGGGAGTCCTGCAAGATGAAATAAAGGACACTAGACAGTAACTAGAAGCTGTATGAAGAAATAAAGGTCTCAATAAAAACAAATACATGGCCAATTATAAAAGTTAGCATTATTGCCACAGTGGTTTGTAACTGCAATTTTGTTTCCTATATGATTTAAGATACTAATACTTTTTTAAAAAGTTATTAGTCAAAACTAGCACTACTGTAAATTTGGTTTGTAATTCCACATTTTGTTTTCTACATAATTTGAGACTAATGCACTTAAAAGAATTATTAGTTTAGATTTAATTTTGTGACATTAATAACTGAAAAGGGTAGGGACAGAGCTATAAAGAAGCAGAGTTTGTGTATGTTATCAAAGTTAAGGTGCTATGAATCCAAATTAGAAATTTAATATGCTAAATGTAATGCCATGGTAACCACAAGGAAAATAGCTATAGACTGTATACAAAAAGAAATGAGAAATTTAAACATTTCACTAAAATATGAACTAAACACAAAAGACACTAATGTAGGAAATGCAGGACAAAAACTCTAAGGCATATAGAAAACATAGCAAAATGACAGAAGCCAGTCCTTCCTCATCAGTAATTACTTTAAGTATAAATGGGTTTGACTCCAGTCAAAAGACACAGATTGAAAGAATGAATAAAAACATATGATCCAACTATATGCTATCTTCAAAAGACTCACTCTAGATCCAAAGACACAAATAGATTGAAAGTAAAAAGATGGAAAAGATATTCCATGCAAATAGCAACCAAACAGAGTAGGGGTAGCTATAGTAATATCAGACAAAATAGAGTTTACAATTTAAAAAGAGACAAAGAAGAGCAAAGACAAGGGCATCATATATTAATAGAAGGTTCAACACAGCAAGAAGATATAATGATTATAAACATTTATACACCTAACAACAGATAATCAAAATGTATGAAGCAAAAAACTGACAGAGTTGAAGGAAGAAATAGACAGTTCTATTAATACAGTAACAGTTAGAGACCTCAATATCCTCTCTCTATAATAGATAGAATAATCATACAAAAGATAAATAAGGAAACAGAAGAGTTAAACAACACAATAAACCCACAAGATATAACAGACATATACAGAACATTCTACCCAACAGCAACAGCTTACACATCCTTAAGTGCACATGAAACAATTTCTAAGATAGACTATGTTAGTTTACAAATTAAATTTCAATAGATCTTAAAAAGATAGATATCATACAAAATAACTTCTCTGACCACAATGGTATGAAATACAGACCAATATTTTTAATAAACACTGATGCAAAAATCCTCAATAAAATACTAGCAAATCAAATTCAGCAGTATATTAAAAGGATTATGCCCCAGGACCAAGTGGGATTTATTCCTGGAATGCAAGGATGGTTCAACATATGAAAATCAATCAATGTAATACACATTAACAGAATGAAGGAAAAAAACCACATGATCATCTTAATTGATGCAGAAGAAGCATTTGACAAAAGCCAATATCCTTTCATGATAAAAACCATTCAACAAACTATGAAACTATGTCAACATAATGAAATACATGTATCAGAAACCCACAAAGAACATCATATTCAGTGGTGAAATACTGAAAGCTTTTTGTCTAATATCAGGAAGAAGGGAAGGATGCCTGCTTTCACTACTTCTATTTGAGATAGTACTGGATGTTTTATCCAGTGATTAGACAAGAAAAATAAATGACATCCAAATTAGAAAGAAAGAACTTAAAAAAAGTCTCTGTTTGCAGATGTAAAATACACTAAATATGACACACACAAAAACTGCAGGAACTAATAAATGAATTCAGCAAAGTAAGAAGATGGAAAGTCAACAGATAAAAATCAGTTGTATTTCTATACACTAACAAGCAATCTGAAAAGGAAATTAAGAAAACAATTCCACATATAATAGCATAAAAAAGAATAAAATACTAAGAATTAACCTAACCTATGAGATGAAAGACATACAATAAAAACTACAAAATATTGCTGAAAGAAATTAAAGAAGAGATAAATAAATGGAAAGACATCCCATGTTCATGTATTGACTTAATATTGTGAGAATGGCAATACTATCCAAAGCAATATACAGATTTAATGTAATCCCTATCAAAATCTCAGTGACGTATTTTGCAGAAATAGAAAAACCCATCCTAAAATTTCTATGGAATCTCAAGGAACACTGAATAACCGAAGCAACTTTGAAAAAGAAAAAAAAAACAGAGCTGGAGAACTCACACTTCCTGATTTCAAAACTTGCTACAAAGCTACTGTAATCAAAGTAATATGGTACTGACATAAAATCAGACATATAGACCAAATAAAATAGAATGGAGAGCCCAGAAATAAACACTCACATACATGGTTAAATGATTTTTTTACAATGGTGCCAAGACCATTTGATGGGGAAAGGACAGTCCTTTCAACAAGTGTTTCTAAGAAAACTGGACATCCACATGCAAAAGAATGATGTTGGACCCTTACCCAACAAGATATACAAAAACTAACTAAAATGGATCAAAGGCCTAAATGTTCAACATAAACAAACTTTTAGAAGAAAACTGCTGTGGTTGGATTTGGTTGGTTTGGCCCTGCCAAGCCTCCTGTGGGGATCTGATCCCCAGTGTCGGAGGTGGGGCCTGGTTGAAGGTATTTGGGTTGTGGGGCGGATCATTCATGAACAGTTTGGTGCTATTCTCGGGGGAGTGAGTTCTCACTCTTAGTTCCCACAAGAACTGATTGTTGAAAAGAACCTGCTCCCCTCTCTTGCTCCCCATGCTCTCGCTGTCTGATCTCTGTGCACTAGCTCCCTTGCTTCCCCTTCACCTTTCACCATGAGCGGAAGCTTCCTGAGGCCCTTGCCAGAAGCAGATGCTGGTGCCATGCTTCCTGTGCAGCTTGCAGAACCATGAGCCAAACAGACCTCTCTTCTCTATAAGTGACCCAGCCTCAGGTATTCCTTTATAGCCACACAAATGAACTACGACAAACACAGGGCAAGAGCTTCATGATATTAGATGTGGCAATGATTCCTTGGATACAACATCAAAGGCACAGGCAACAAAAGAAAAAAACAGACAAATTGGACTTCGTAAAAAATAAATATTTTTGTACCAAAAGACTATTTTTTTTAAGAGCCAGGGTCTCGCTCTGTTGCCCAGGCTGGAGTGCAGTGGCACAATTACAGCTCACTGCAACCTTGAACTCCTAGGCTCAAGTGATCCTCACGCCTCAGCCCCCCAAGAAGCTAGGACTACAGGCATGGAGCACTGTGCCAGGCTGTTTTTTATTTTATGTTTTTGTAGAGACAGGGTCTCACTATGTTGCCCAGGTTGTTGACCCTCAAGTGATCCTCCTGCCTTGGCCTCCCAAAGTGCTGGGATTACAGGCAGAGTTAATATGCCCAGCCAAAAGACAATATTAACAGGGAAAAAAGGCAACCCAGAAAATGGGAGAAAATATTTGCAAATCATATATCTGATTAGGGATTAATATCCATAATATACAGAGGACTTCTAAAACTCAACAACAACAAAAAACCTAACTCAGAAATGGGCAAAGGACTTGGATAAACATTTCTACAAAGAACACATACACATGGCCAATAAGCACATGAAACATCGCTAACCACGAGGAAAATGCAAATCAGAACCACAGTGCGATGCGCCTCACACCCACTGGGATGGCTACTGTGAGAAAAAACCGAAAATAACAAATGTTGGTGAGGATGTGGAGAAACGAACCCTCGTGCATGGCTGGTGGGGGTGTAAAATGGTGCCACCACTGTGGAAAACAGGATGGCACTCCCTCAAAAAACTCCAAATAGAATGACCACGTGATCCAGCCATTCCACTTCTGAGTGCACCCCCAAAAGAATTGAAAGCAGGGTCTCAAAGATAACCTATAGCAGATGTGCATGCTGTGAACCCATGTTCATAGCAGCACTGTTCATAACAGCTAATATGAACCCCATATCCATTGAAGGATGAACGACTATACAAAATATGGTCTATCCACGCAATGGAATATTATTCCGCCTTTAAAAAGGAAGGAAATTTACCCATGCTACAACGTGGATGAAATTTGAGGACTTGATACAAAGTGAAATAAGACAGTCGCAAAAAGGCGAATACTATACGATTCCACTGGTGTGAGGTACTTAGTCAAATTCATAGACAGAAAGTAGAACGGTGGGTGCTGAGGCTTGAGGGAGGGGGGATGGGAGTTGTTTAATTCGGACAGAGTTTCAGTTTTACAAGATGAAGAGAGTTCTGGAGGTGGACAGTCGTGATGACCGCACAACATTATGAACAGACTCAATACCACTTAAAATGGCTAATAAGGTAAATCGTGTTATGCATATTTTACCACAGGCCCAGGCCTTAAGGAACTGGCACTTCCTGTCTCCTGGAACACCCACTTTCAGAACCATCACCATGCCACGTGGGAGCTCAGGTTGCCCGTGGAGACATCCATGGAGACGAACTGATGGCTGTGCCAACTCACGTCTTGGAGATTGGTCCCGCAGATAGGGTTGAACTGTCCCAGTGGACGCTGTGGAAGAGAGGCAAGCTGACTCCTCTCAGCCTTGCCTTAATCAGCTTTCTGATCCCAAGAAATTACCACTTTTTAAGCCATTCACAAGTTACATCAAACTTCAATATCTGCCCTGGTGTCCCACTATAAGCTGTCCACAGGATATGGCAACATGTGAAACTCAGAAACATCTTCTGTTCTCAAAATGTGCCTTTATTTTATTGTTATTATTTTGAGACGGGGTCTCACTCTGTCACCCAGGCTGGAGATCAGTGGCCTGATCACGGCTCACTGCAGCCTCAACCACCTGGGTACAAGTGATCCTCCCACCTGAGCCTCCCAAGTGGCTGGGTCCACAGGTGCGCACCACCACGCCTGGCTAACCTTTTTTTTCTTAGTAGAGATGCGGTCTCACTATGTTACTCAGTCTGGTCTCAAATTCCTGGGCTCAAGCGAGACTGGCCCGCCTCGGCCTCCCCTAATGCCGGGATTGCAGGTGTAAGCCACTGTGCCCAGCCACAAAGTGTGCCTTTCTTTAAGTGTGTTACCTAGGTACCAATGACTTTTTGAGTAGAACAAAAAAACAAAAACAAAAACATTAAAAAGTGTATATACCTAACTTTCCCACCTTCCCACAGGACTCCGAATTTAAGAACTGTTAGCATATAAAACTCTGTGGGGGTGGCCCCCTGCGGAGGCTTCAGGGAAATCGGCTGTGGTGACCGGAGACTCCGAGCCTCCTCCCTTAAAAAGAGGAAACTGTGCAAAATGCAGCTCCAGAAAAAAATTCCTGATCTTCTGAAGTTTCCTGATGACAGGTGGGGGACAGATTCCTGGGGACTGGAGAAGCCTCCGGGGAAGAAGTGTCCCTGTGTGTCCAGCCTGTGCAGGGAGGGGAGGGCACATCGCAGGGCTGCAGCTGGCCCCAGGGAGAGCTCCCGACCTCCAGGGAGCCCCTGCACCCTTAGACCAACAGCCCCCAGGGTGCACAAGGCCACCCAGGTCC
Organism: Homo sapiens; assembly: GCF_000001405.40. NCBI lineage: Eukaryota > Metazoa > Chordata > Mammalia > Primates > Hominidae > Homo > Homo sapiens. The sequence goes on along the minus strand of NC_000020.11, from coordinate 63,073,765 downwards.
TCCCAAGAGCCCTGTGAACACTTGGGCACCCAGCCCAACTGGGAGGGCAGCTGACCAGTCCTGGGGGACATTTCAACCGCTCACCTCAGTACCAGCCACAACCCGCAAGGTGCCAAGCAATCTCAGGAATTCCTGCAGGAATGGGCACTCAGGTGGATTCCAGAGTCCCACGTGCCAGGGCCCAGGGTCCCAGCCTTGCCCTCAGATTTGAAATGCACGTCTCATCTGTAGTATCATTTAGGACCCTCGATGAGGCTCCTCCAGTTCAGGTGGGGGCTGCCTGTCACCAAAGTCCACCCCCAGCTGGGACCCAGGGCCACTGGGACCTCTACATTGGGAAGCCCCTCCTTCAGAGCAGGCAGCCCCCTCTGGGCCGGACTGCCCTGGGGCCAGGCCCTCTCCTGGGCTCCCGAAGGCCTCAAACCATCCCAAGGCCTCATTCCCCATCCCTGGCCTCCTAGAGAGGAAGCCACGAGCACCCCGGGGGAGGGTAGGCTGGGCTCCCCTAGAACACACAGACCTGCCCCCCAAGGGAGGCATCCCCCTGAAGCCTCTCCTCTGCAGCTCTCCAAGGGGTCCAGGGGGCTGTCCAGTGGTCCCCGCTCAGGGCCTCTTGCAAAGGAAAAGCTGAGCTGCCAGGAGCCCGGCAACCGTGGGGAGAGGCGGCCTCCAGGCAGTCAGCAGGCCACCTTATCATCATTACGCTGCTAATTAATTCCCAGCTCATTGCATTTCCTGTGGCTAATTTGCACTCAGGCTGATTTGATTAAACTCATCTCTATGCTAATAAATGTGTTTTCCATTTGTTTTAGTGACTGAAGGAAGAGGGTTTGATATTTACATGTTTCGAGGTTTATCAGAAAAAATTGCAGCATCTGAATTAATTTCTCTCTGATTTACAAGTTTGTAAAAAGGATCACGGGGTCAACAGCTTCCCCCAGGCCCCTCTCCCCGTGCCCTGTACCGATCCCTCGGGTCCTGCCTGGCATGGGGGTGCCTGTTCCTCCAGCCCCCCAGGTCCTCCGTGGAGCGGGCCCCTCCCTTCCTCTGTGGGGAGTGGGCTGCCCCAAGCTCCTCTTTGCTGAGAAGTATCTGCGTTCTGGTGGGGGGTCGAGGGGCAAACCCCGACGTTCACATCGCCCCAAGCCTGAGCAGGCAGCTAGAACCGCGCTTTTCCCCTTCACTCATCCACCTAACCTCCTGACCGCGAGCCCCTGCACTGGGACCCGGGAGCCTGGGGGACGCCCCCACACCCCGTCCCGGCCTCGGGCGTCCTCGAGTCTCGGCCCCGCGTCCCCAGCACTGCCCTTGCGGGGTCTCGGGGCGCGCGCCGTAGGGGAGCTGAGACCTCGGCGTTCCACGGCTGTGGGTGCAAAGGGGGCGCCCGTTCCCGCCGGGCCTCCCTCCGCCCCGCGCCCCGCTGCTGCCCCCGGACCCGCGGCCCCCTGGGAGGGCGGGAAACACCACCGGCCCCGCTGCGCCTCTGGGTGGGCTCTCCCCCCGCCGCCCGTGGGAGGGGTCGGTGGGCGCGCGGCTCCAAAAGCCCGAGCCCGGCCCACCCGGAGGAGCCCGGCGGCCTGCGCGGCGCCCGCTGCAGGCTCTGGGGGACGGCGGGGCCTGGGGGCGCGGGCAGGTGTGGGACCTGAGCCCGGAGCCCGGAGCGGAGGGTCAGAGGCGCAGCCGCAATCCCCGGCGGGAAGCCGCGGGGCGGGGCCTCGAGGGGCGGGGCTGAGAACAGTCGGTGCCTGCGGGGTCGGGGGCCGTGAGAGGAGCGGCTTTGGGGGCGGGGGCGGGGAGGAGCGGGTCCTTAGAGTGGGTGGCAGAAGCGGTGGGGTGGAACCAGGCAGAGCCTGTAGGGTACAGACGCGAGATGGGCGGAGCTGGGAAGTGGCCTTGTGGGCGGAGCTAAGAGGGGCGGGGTCTTATGGGGCGGGGCTTGTGGGGCTTTTCCAGACAGAAGCACGTGGGTCCACACGGTCAGTGCTAGACCAACCTTTGAAGCTCCAGCTGTGAGTGGGAGCCAGCGTTTTCTCAGGAGCATTCCTCAGGGAGGAATCAGGGCTTGGAGGCAAATCACTGTTGATCTCATCCGGCCTGACTGGCCTCTGACTCAGTCTCCTGTACTTCCAGTGGGGTGGGCTCTGAACCAGGGATCTGTCCAGGCCCCTGTCACCGAAAACGGCGTGGGGCTGGACAGGGTAGCATGTGAGGAAGGTCCTCTCTGAAAGGGGAGCTGGGCCTCCCACCCACCCGCCTCTGGAAGAAGGAACAAAGTGAGATCTTCTTAAGATGACTTCATTGAAATTTGTGGTGCAAATTCACGGGCTGAGCTGCAGAGAAGGGTAGGTGTCCTGGGTCACCACCTTTGCAGAGCTGCTGCGCCTGGCGCAGTGCCCTCTCACCAGCCCGGGCACCTGAGAGCTGGGGACCGAGGCAACACCTGTGAAGCTGAGTGCTGACCAAGGGGCCAGAGTTTACATGAGACCCTAGTAACATGACCCCTTTACAGATGAGGAAACCAAGAAAGGAATGAGGGTTCAAAAATGAGCTCTTCAATCTTCTCAGCTCCCCAAGGTCACACCCTCACTGCAGAGTCAGCACTCCACCAGACACGAGTTGTCCAGGGCCCATGACCTAGCCCACCATGCTGGGCTGTTTCCCCCCACTCAGCCTCCCTGTCTGGCTCCAAATCCTTTAGGCATCTCTGTTTTACCAGCAGGGTTTGGCAGCTTGAGCACCCAGCAGAGTGTCTACTTCAGGTTGCCTCCACCCCTGCCCACACTCAGCTCTGGCAGCCTGCTCTCATCCTCCACCTGCATCTGTCCCCTCTCAATGACAAGGGCTGAATGCTGGGCAAAGGGGGACACAGTACTGGGCAGATGCCCATCTAATGTGGCATGAAAAGCCGAGCAGCAGAGCCACGCTGACCAACACAGGCTCGTAGTTTTGCCTCCTGCTACTAGAATGAATTCTAGGTATTTGCAAATAGACTCGTGTTGACTTCAGAAAGTGAAATAATTGTTATCCAGCTAAATATTTTGTTTCATTAAGTGGGAAAGGAAATAGGGGCCAGGCGTATTGGCTGACACGTGTAATCCAACACTGTGGGAGGCCGAGGCAGGAGGATCACTTGAGCCCGGGAGTTCAAGACCAGCCTGGGCAATATAGTGAGACCCTGTGTTAAAAAAAAAAAAAAAGAAAGAAAGAAAGAAAAAGAAAAGAAAAGAAACAGAGGGAAATGGCCCAGCCTCCTGGGACTCCATATTTCAGCATAAACACAGTGTCACACAGTCAACAGCGCAGGGCATGCAGACCTCCTCCTTGGGTCAGCAGAGTTTGGAATCACAGCAGGAAGTGTCCCAAGTACGTCTGTCCTCCCTGCCTGCCTGCAACTCTCAGGAGAATCTCTGACGTTTCCACATCCTCTTCTCAAGGGACAAGCAGAGGAAGGCTCTCCCTCTGCCTCTGCTCCTTTGGGGAATTGCTGTGGGAGGGAGGGTGGGGTGGGGAGGAGGAGCAGGGGAAGAACAGAGAGGCTGGATCAAGGAAGGCTGAAGGTCTGACTGAAGTTAGTAAAAAGACGTGTATTCCCAAAGACACCCAGACAGAGCCATTGTCCAGGGCTGTGTTCAAGGCAAGCCCAGTTGCGATGGGGTTTGTTAAAGCCGCTCGAAGGTCTCCCAGGCTGGCAGGAGTGAAGGCTGGAACATGGTGTCGTCAGCACCTTGGAGAGGGCCCCCAGGCACAGAGCTGAGTCCTGGCCTGATCCCAAGGACAGCAGACCAGGCCAGCTCAGGCCGCCCCGCCCTGGGGACTGGCGGGCACAGGGCCCGGTCCCTCTCCAGACGGTGTTGCCAACAGCCCGCAAGGACGCCGGGTCCAGCCTGCCTCCCTGTGCTTCCCAAGTGTTGGCTTTCCTCCACCAGGGCTTTCTGACACGAGCCTCTGATGAGAGATGGCAGCTCAGCTCCGATGGGGGAACAGGGGCCTCTCTAGGCCAAGCATTCTAACTGGCCTCTAACTAGCAGTTTCAGAAGGCCAAGAGCTCATGAACAGAGCAAGTCCAGCTGCCCTGAGAAGCCGCATGTGCATGCATGCAGGGCGAGGGGCCCTGTGTCTCCCAGAGCCGGCACCTCCACTGGGGAGCATGGACCCGGTCCTCCCTCCCAACCCCGCAGCATCTCCTTGGATGGTGCTGGCTCTGCACCCCAAAATCAGGAAGAGGTCTGACCTCTTTAAAAACTCCCTCCCGGCCAGGCACGGTGGCTCACGCCTGTAATCCCAGCACTTTGGGAGGCCAAGGCAAGCTGATCACCTGAGGTCAGGAGTTCGAGACCAGATTGGCCAATATGGCAAAACCCTATCTCTACTAAAAATACAAAAATTAGCTGGGCGTGGTGGTGTGCACCTGTAATCCCAGCTACTCAGGAGGCTGAGCAGAAAAATCACTTGAACCAGGGAGGCAGAGGTTGCAGTGAGCCAAGATCATGCCGTTGCACTCCACTCCAGCCTCAGTGACACAGCAAGACTCTGAAAACAAACAAACAAACAATAAAAAAACTCCCTCTCCCTTGGAAAATCCCTGAATGACTTGGACAAGGAGCTCCTGTTTTCTCTGGGAGGGAGGAGACATGCAGATTCCTCTCTGGGAGGAAAGGGGGAAGGTCCTTGTGCTGTCTGTGGGATGGCCAGCCTGCTATTTCTGTAGAAACACCTCATCGCACCTTCTTGCTGCCCACCTCGGCAGGCCCGGGCATCTCTGGGCTCCAGGACAGCAGATGGTTTCAGTGGGATGGGCACCGAGTCCAGCTCCCCAGAGCCGGGGGTGGTGGGTGGCAGCGCTGCCTCCTCCCATCCTGGCCATGGCCCCCGATGCCCTCACCCTCAATGCTATCCTGACCAGGGCTGGCAGGGCAGACAGGAAGCGGGAGGCCTAGTGGGGCTGTTGTTGGCAGAGGCTTCCTGGTGGCCCCTCCTTGTCTGGGGTCTGTTCGGCCCCCACTGCTGGGTGTCAATGCTGGGGCTGACTTTGCTGCTGTGGGGGTGGGGACTGGGGTGCAGGCCCCACTGCTGGGTGTCAATGCCGGGGCTGCCTTTGCTGCTGTGGGGGTGGGGACTGGGGTGCAGGCCCCACTGCTGGGTGTCAATGCCGGGGCTGCCTTTGCTGCTGTGGGGGTGGGGACTGGGGTGCAGGCCCCACTGCTGGGTGTCAATGCTGGGGCTGCCTTTGCTGCTGTGGGGGTGCGGACTGGGGTGCAGGCCCCACTGCTGGGTGTCAATACTGGGGCTGCCTTTGCTGCTGTGGGGGTGGGGACTGGGGTGCAGGGAGGGGACGGGTGAATAAACAGACACAGGTGGGCAGAGGCAGACAAAAGCCCATGAATTCAGCGTGGGGCCCAGCTCCCACCTCTGCCTCTGGGTCTCACACACGGCAACAGCCTGGCTGGCTCGCGGCCCAGGGGCTGGTGCTTGGTGGTCAAGGAGTGTGAGGCCATCAGAGCTCCACAAAGCGCTGTGGGGTGCTGCACATCCCAACCCTGCTCCCCAAAACGTCAGCCAGGTGTTCAACGCATGAATAAGTGAGTGAATGAATGAATGAATGAGTAATTTGGTGGCTGAACCAATGAGTGAATGAGGGAACAGGCGAATCCGTGAGCAACTCTGAGTGAAGAAGAGTGAGCCTCGAAGGAGAGTGATGTCAGGAGATGGCAGGTGCTGGCAATTCGTCCACTGGCAGCCCACGTGGGATGTTTCTCATCGTAGCCACAGGGCAGGCATAGGCCGTGCTCAGGCACACGGGGGTCTCGACGCCCCCGCGGGTCTCGACGCCCCTGCCTCCCTCCAGTCCTGGCCACACTGCCCCTTTGCAGGGAGCCCTTCCTGGTCCTCAGTGTTTATAGCTGCTGTCCCCTTCTACTGGGTGCTCCCCTGGCCGTGACCTCACCACCAGCCAGGCTGGCTTTTGTTCTCCTAAGCATCTCTCCTCCCCTCACCCACCATGAGCTCCACGGGCTGAGGTCTCGGCCCACCCCTCCTCCCTCCCACCTCTTTCTCTCTTTCTCCAGGTCCTTGTAGGTGCTTGGTGAGTTTCCTCATTCTACAAGTCCAGGCATTCATTCATGTGTGTGTAACACACTTAATATACAGTCCTTCATTTTGCTGAACCTACACAGGGGCATTCACCTTGACATCAAAAACAAAACGCTGAGTGGCCCCAGGTGGACATGCCGGTGCTGGCAGGCTCTGCATCCCACAGATGCTCCCGTGGGAAGGGCCCGGCACAAGGACTGTCCTTCCGGGTTGGGGTGGGGCAAGTGGGTATGTCCCAGCACCGGCCTGACCACTCGAGGCAGGAGGCAGACAGGGGCACATCCCCCTGCAGCCCGAGGCCCTGCCTTCTGCACGCGCCGCCCATCCACACAGCAACTTTGTCATTGTCCTCTTCCCCCACCAGGTCTTTCCAGGACTGGTGAAGGCAAAGTACTCACGTGTCAACATCTCAAACCTGGGAACCTTTGAATTCCATATTTCATGATCACGCTGTCCCCACAAGGTCGCAGGCACTCAGGGATCAAAGCCCTTCCCCTAACTGAAGGACGCCCAGACCCTTGTGCTCCAAAGCTCAGACAGAAGGACCTCCGTCTACACCCAAAATAGAAAAGACACGGGCCTGGGCGGCGCCAGGCAAACGAGCAGGAGAAACACGGTTACATAACCTGGTGCAGCAGGGGACCACGGAGAACCGCGGCTTGGCCTCTTGTTTGACACTTTAAATTAGCATAAAATTTAGCATTATCTAATCTGAGCCAAAAAAATTCAACCAGAAATGGCCTTGGTGGTGAGCATGTATTATTTTACTTAAAATAACAGAAAAGTGTCAGGGAAGTCACCGTTCCAGGCCCTCAGAATGTCGTATGGCCTGTGGGTCCCCACGAGATCCCTAGAGAGGTCAGGGAGGGGTCAGGGAGAGCCTGGAGCAGTCAGGGAGGGGCCTCTGTGGCACTGCCATATGAAGCCAGGTGAGAGGGCTGTGATCTTGCCCCGTGAAGTCTGAGGGCTGAAACAGGCTCTGTCCGGGGGCTGCCCAGGCGTGGCTGCCCTGGGGGACGGCAGCCGCAGCCTCGTCCTTTCCTGTCCCCATCCTTTCTTCCCGGGCCTGACCCAGGACAAGGCTTTCAGGAGAAGAGGGCCGCCTGGCTCTACCACTGAGCATTTGCTGCTGGCAAGGCCCAGGCTGCTGTGGTCTCATTTGCAGTGATTCCCACAAGAGGAAGAGAAGCAGGGGGAAAAGACCGCACCTCAGGCCTCCATCTCCGTGATGGTGACTGCTGGGCGGGAAAACAGAGCATCTCCTGGAGTGTCCGCAGCCTGCATGGGGCAGCGAGTTAAAGCCAACCCTAGCCTCTGCTTTGCAGCAGGCCTGAGGTCCAGTGAGGGGTTGGGGGTTTGAGATAAACCATCCCCCATCCCAAACCCTAGAGAAGCTGATGTCCACGAATGCACAGCCAGGATCCACCCCGGCCCAAACCAGAGCCGCCCAGCCCATGGAAGCTGCGGACCCAGCGTCCCTGCAGTTAGAGGACAGCACAGAGAACAGAGCATCCTCACCAGGACCCACCCTGGGGTTTGTTTAAAATGCCGACCTAAGGAAAGCCTGTTGAAGGCCAGTGGCATGCATGGCTGAGAGCAAGGCCTTGGCTGCCTGGACGTCCCCGGTTCCCAAGGGCCGCTGCCTGGCAAGCCCAGTCGGAGTCCTGGTAAGCCAGTGGCGCTCAGATGTGAGCCCCGGCAGCCACAGGCAGGAGGCTACCGTCCTCCCCTCAGCGCTGCCACGAGCCTCCGTGGCCAGTGCTTGGTTCAGGCCGGGTCCTCTCTTTCTGTCTGCATCCCGGCCTCCTCCCGGTTTGCGTTGTTATTTTAGCACCCTGACTCCACAACCATTCAGGACATTTTTAAGCTGTGGAAAACAGAGCCAGCTGATGAACAATGACTTCTAAAATTATTTCAGTTCTGAAGCTTGGAAGAGAATTAAAGTCTTGGCAGAAGGTGTGGAGTCTCATTTCCCCTGTTTTTGCTCCAAGGCGGCACCAGCCTCGGCTGATTCTCCAGAGACAATCAAACGGCTCCCGGAAGACACCCCAGTCATTCCATCGTCCTCGGTGGCTGGAGCTCGACCCAGGTGAGGCAATGTCACCTCTCAGAGCCTGGCACCGAGCACGGCCTCCGCACCTGCCACGTCCCTGACCCCAGGGGCACCACGGCCCAGGCAGCCGGATGCAGCACTTCCTGCGGGGGGTGGGGGGTGCTGTGTCTGCAGGACGAGGGATTATGCTGGAGCCCCCACTGGCAGGGACGTGCCTAGAGCCATGGCAGAGGCGGCCTCACGCACCTGAAGGACAAACCGGAGTGCAACCAGGCCTGGAACGCCACCTCCCACCACCCTGCTCCAGCAACGCCTGCTGGCTCCGGGCTGGTTCTGATGCACATTCCCGCTTGCAGTTTGGTTTTCCATTGAATTGGCCGCGTGGTACGCCCTTGAAACGTCCTTTCCCAGCCAGTGGCTGTTTAATTCCCCTCTCTCTGCTGAGCCCTGTGGCTGGCGCCAGGCTGTGCCGCCTCCTTGGGGTGGGTGCCGCGTGTGGACGGAGCAGAGGACGAATGCTGTGGCTTCTGCTTCTGAAAACTGAATCTGACCCAGAAACTGTTCTGGACAGACCATGAGAAAATGCCTCAGGCTGCACCAGGAGGCAGCTCCGCGTTTGGGGAAGGCACGCGGAAGTGAGTGTGAGAAGCTGTCTCTCATGAGTACTCAAGGTCATGACCCCTCAGGGAACCGGAGCAGGAGTCCAGGGCACCCGCAGCGTATTCTGACATCACCAGCCTGAGTGCCACAGGCCGGAACCCTGCCCTCCCAGCCCTGGTACCAGGAGAATGGGAGGGAACCTCGGGGGCCTGCTCAGGGTTGGCATCTGCCTCTCAGAGGGGGTCTCTGTCCCAGCAGGAAGTCATGGGGGACCTAGGTGTCTCAGCAGGAAGCCATGGGGACTGCTTAGGCCCTCATAGCAGCTGACTGGCAAAGAGAAGCTGAAAGCACCCAGCTCCCTGGGTCTTGGCTGGGTGCCGCCCCTGACATCAGCCCTGTGCTGTGCTGAGCTACCAGTGGCTTCCTGCCTCTGCCCACCAACCAGAGCCCGGGCGGCCTCCAGCCCCACCCCACTTCGCCTGGCTCCGCCCTGCAGGCCACGCTCACCACTCCCTTGGCCTTGCCCTCGGATTGCCCTGCTCTCGGGGCCACACGGAAGCCGATACAATGCCCGTGGGGCATGAAGCCCGATGGCCTCCAGGGTAAAATGGCATCCCCGAGATTGGAGGCTCCATCCGAAGCACAGCGTGATCCCCAGTGCAGGCATCCTGGCCCTCAGACGCAAATGGAGCCCGTTCTCTTGCAGGACCTCGGCCCATGCAGGTCAGTGGGGGCCGTGCCGAGGTCCACACCAACACCCGGGGAACGTGGCCTTCGGCCCTCAGAGCCCACGGCCCCAGAGAAGACCCCAGGTTGTGCAGCTCCCTGGAAATAAAGTAGAACAGCCTCACAAAGCTTCATGACCCTGGATTGGACAACGGTTCCCTGGATATGACACCAGAGGCACAGGCAATAAAAGAAAAAACAGACACACTGGACTTCAGGAAAACTTTAAATTATTCACCTTAACAGACAATCTCAGCAGAATCAAAGGCAACCCAGAAAACAGGAGAAAATATTCGCAAATCATATATCTGATAAGGAATGAACATCCAAAATGTACAGAGAACTCCTAAAACTCAATAAGAGCAAAAATCCCAACTCAAAAATGCATGGAGGGCATGGCTAAGTGTTTCTCCAAAAAGACACACACACGGCCAATAGGCACGTGAAACAACATCGCTAACCATGAGGAAAACGCAAATCAGAACCACAGTGCGATGCGCCTCACACCCGCTGGGATGGCTACCGTAAGAAGAAGCTGAAAATAAGAAATGTTGGTGAGGATGTGGAGAAACTGGAACCCTCGTGCACGGCTGGTGGGGGATGTAAAATGGTGCCTCCACTGTGGAAAACAGGATGGCACTCCCTCAAAAAACTCAGAATGGGCCGGACACAGTGGCTCATGCCTGTAATCCCAGCACTTTGGGAGGCCAAGGCAGGCGGATCCCAAGGTCAAGAGTACGAGACCAGCCCAGCCAACATGGTGAAACCCCGTCTCTACTAAAAATACAAAAATTAGCCAGGTGTGGTGGCCGGCACCTGTAATCCCAGCTATTGGGGAGGCTGACAGAGAAGAATCACTTGAACCCAACAGACGGAGGTTGCAGTGAGCCGAGATCGCGCCACTGCACTCCAGCCTGGGTGACAGAGCAAGACTCTGTCTCAAAAAAAACAAAAACAAAAAAACAAAACAAAACAAAACAAAACTCAGAATGACCATGTGATCCGGCCATTCCACGGCTGAGTGCACCCGCAAAAGAACTGAAAGCAGGATCTCAAAGAGACACTTTATACCCATGTTTGCAGCAGCATTGTTCATAATAGCTAAAACATGGAAGCAACCGTATCCATTGAGAGATGAATGAATAGACAGAATGTGTCTATCCACACAATGGAATATTATTCAGCCTTTAAAAAGGAGGGAAATTGTGACGGAGGCTACAACGTGGATGAAGCTTGAGGACATGCTAATGAAATCAGCCAGTCGCAGAGGACAATACTGTAGGTGTCCACTCACACGCGGTCCCAGAGCTGCCACATTTGTAGAGACAGAAAGTAGAAAGGGGAGGCCGGGGGCTGGGGGAGGAGGCGTGGGGAGCTGTTTAATGGGGACAGAGCCTGGGTTTGGGAAGGTGAAAGGCGTTCTGGAGATGGACAGTGGTGATGGCACAACCATGGGAATGTCCTTAGTGTCATTGAACTGTTCATTAAAAATGGCTGAGATGATAAAATTTTATGTGTGTTTTACCACAATAAACAAAACTTGGAGAAAAAAGTAGAACAGCCTTGAGTCCAACCAGCTCGAGACCACACTCCCTCAATCCTGGGGGACACTCCTAATTACACCCCGGAGTGACAGGGAAGGGCCGGGGGCGTCAGGGGGACCCAACTGCAGGAACCCCACATTCAAGCCCACCAGCTCCAAGGCTCACACTAAAAATCCCAGGAATGAGGCAGCCTGGCAAACCTCTGAGCTACTTTCTTATCTTCTTTAAAACGCCCCAGAATGTACTGTTGGGCTTAGAATGGGGATTCTCTCGGGGTCCAGCTGTACATGTAAATACCAAGTGGCTGGGAAGGGGGACAGGGTGGGGCCAAGCACCCCCGGCTCTCTGAGCAGAGAGGACTTTGAGCCTCCTGGGACCGGGGGCAGTGGCGCTCGGGGGCTTCACGCTCTCCCCCATGGAGCACAAGGGGCTTTTGTTTTTGTTTATTTTTTCTGGTCAAGAAATGTGCCTGCTTTTCCCTCTTTTTTCCTTTTCGGGCTGCAGTAAAGGAAAGGCCGAAAGAGCTCCCCCACATCAGGGTGAAGAAGAACACGGACAGGACACGGACATAGACAGGACATGGACACAGACAGGACACGGACATGGACAGGACACGAACACAGACAGGACACGGACATGGACAGGACACGAACACAGGACACGGACATGGACAGGACACGAACACAGACAGGACACAGACATGGACAGGACACAGACATGGACAGGACAAGGACATGGACACAGACACGGACAGGACATGGACATGGACAGGACACGAACACAGACAGGACACAAACAGGACACGGACACAGACAGGACACAAACAGGACACGGACATGGACAGGACACGGACATGGACACAGACACGGACAGGACACGGACATGGACAGGACATGGACATGGACACGGACACGGACAGGACACGGACATGGACAGGACACGGACACAGACAGGACATGGACAGGACACGGACATGGACAAGACACAGACACAGACACGGACAGGACACGGACATGGACACAGACACGGACAGGACATGGACATGGACATGGACAGGACTCGGACACAGACATGGACAGGACATGGACACAGACAAGACATAGACACGGACAGGACATGGACATGGACAGGACACGGACACAGACAGGACACAGACAGGACACAGACATGGACAGGACACGGACACAGACAGGTTATGGACAAGACATAGACAGGACACTGACAGGACACGGACAGGACATAGACATGGACACAGACAGGACATGGACATGGACACAGACACAGACGCGGACACAGGACATGGACATGGACACAGACACAGACACGGACTCGGACACGGACACAGATATGGACAGGACACGGACACAGATATGGACAGGACACGGACACAGACAGGACACGGACAGGACACAGACACGGACACAGGCAGGACACGGACAGGACACGGACATGAATAGGACATGGACACAGACACGGACAGGACACGGACACGGAGAGGACACAGACAGGACGTGGACATGGACAGGACACGGACAGGACACAGACAGGACACGGACAGGACACGGACACAGACAGGACATGGACACAGACAGGACGCAGACACAAACAGGACACGGACACGGACAGGACATGGAGGGCTTAGTAATGAAACCAGGCTCTCCCTTCCTCTTGGGAAAAGCACTGGAAGGTGCTAGGCACCAGAGGAGGGGCCAGGGAGTGCCAGGAGGTCCTCCAGTTCCCCTCCCGGCCCTGATGGGACATCAGGGGTCCCTTTTCTCACCCAGGCCCCTAACCACTGTGGTCACCCCTGCCAGAGCCCCCCACCCCCAGGGCCTTCCCTTGAGTGACGGATCCCTGGCAGCCTGTGTCAGGGCCACTGCGAAGGCTTCAGAGGGCAACTCTCTGATCTTTCTTGTGATGAAGGCCCCCACCCATCTGGTGGGGCTGTGGCTTGGGCTGGGATCCTTCCGCCTTCCGGGCACCCTGCCCTGGGCCAGGGCTTCTTCCTGCTCAAGGAAGCCCTTCTCCTGCAGCTCAGGCCCTCTTTCTTGCCAGAGCCCCGAGGCAGGAGGCTGGGAGAAGGGAAGGGGGCGTGTCATGCACAGGAAGTACCCCCACTTCACCTTTTCCTGGGTCGGGGACAAAGGGCCAGGCACTGCTGGGGGAAGCAGGACTTCCACAGAGCCCCAGGGCCAGCCAGGAGGGGACTGGAAGGTTCTGAAACAGCTTCCCAGGCAGCCTGAGGAGGGAGGCCACAAACAGCTGGGAGGAGGGACCAGGACAGGATCTGTCTCCCTCACTGAACAGGGATGCTCAGCCGCAGATGGTGACTCACCCTGTGAGCTCTGGGCGCCGGAGCAAGGCCAGCTGGCTGATAATTGGCCAGGACCGACTTCGCTGTTTTAATATCCCGAGTGCCACTCTCCCGCCAGCCTCAGGGAACCATTTCTGTCAGGGCTTTTCTAAGCTTTGACTCCCACTTTCTGCCAAACACCATCGGAAAACAGCCCGATTGTCCCACCTGCTGAGGACCACAGCCATTGTGAGCTTGCGTGACCCCAACAAGCCCTCTTAGGGCCAGGACCCCTCCGAGGACGAGGAGCTGAGTGGGGCTTAGAGCCTGGCCTTCTCCTCTTCCCACACGGGTGGGGGCTCGCCCCACACTCCAACAAGGGAGCCCCCGGCCAGGCAGACGATGGGGTCACATGGGGGCAAGAGATGGAATCAAAGATATCACAAACCAACCGGAGCCGCAGGCAGAACAAAGCAGAGCCAAGGGGGCCTCCGCGCCCCTGCTGACCCTCTCGGGGGCTGCACGCACAGCCGGGGTCCACCTGACCCACTGAGTTAGCCCCAACTGCCGAGGGAGCCCCAGAAGTTGGCTGAGTCTGCAGATGAGGGAAGAGGCCAAGTGCCTTCCCCACGTGGTAGCTGCACGGGGGTGCCCAGGCAGGGCACCGAAGGTGGAGGAATGACCACAGGCCCTCGCGATCAGCCCTCGCCCCTTGGCTGCAGGCTATGCTGTGGCCGTTGTCAAGGACATTTGGAAGCCGGGCGCAGTGGCTCACACCTATAATCCCAGCACTGTGGGAGATTGAGGTGGGCAGATCACTTGAGGCCAAGAGTTCCAGAGCAGCCTGGCCAACATGGTGAAAACCCGTCTCTACTAGAAATACAAAAAAACTAGCTGGGCATGGTGGTGCACACCTGTAATCCCAGCTACTGGGGAGGCTAAGGCACGAGAATTACTCAAACCGGGAGACGGAGGTTGAGGTGAGCGAAGATCATACCACTGCACTCCAGGCTGGATGACAGACAGAGATTCCATCTCAAAAAACAAAACAAAACAAAACAAAACAAAAGGACATTTGGAGCCAGCGCTCACAGTGGCCTGGCTGCCAATCAGTGTGCCCTTAAAAGCTGAATCCAGAACCAGGTAAGGGTGAAATGCAAGGACCCCAAAAAGGGAAAGACACAGACGGTGCAGCCTGGGACATGTGCTTGTTCCTGCGTGTGTCTACTGTGTCTGTTCGCTGGTGCTAAGGAGCTGGGGTTGATCCTGGAGGAGGCACCTCCTACCTCCTCCCATCTGGAGGAGGCACCTCCTACCTCCTCCCATCTGGAGGAGGCTTCTCCTGCAGTGGTGCCCAGCCCACCTGAGCCACAGCTGAAGGGCCTTCGCCAGCCCCTGTGGCCTCCCAAAGGGGAAAGCGGGCTCCTTAATGGGCGAGGAGCTGGATGACCAGCAGGCAGCAGCACACCCTCCCATGCCTCCCGCGCTCTGTGGACAGCCACCTCTGTGCGCTCTGGAGCCTGGGGCTGGTCAAGCCTACAGGGCCCCACCACCTGGGAAAGGGGGAAGTCACCTGTGGCCCTGAACTGGGGGGCCTCAAGCCATCTGCCAACAGAGGAAGTCAAAGGCCACCAACAGGCCATGCTGACCACAGCCTGGTCACTGCTGGCGCAGAAGAGGGGCTTGGAGTCCGAGGACTTCACCATGAGCACCGTAGGGAGGCAATGCCAGACCCCTGTTGGTGTGGTGTGTTTGAGGATGCACACAGAGCACAGGTGTGTACACACTCCCATGCAGGCACTCACAGAGCTGGTGCACACAGGGCAATCCACACACACGTGTACACACAGAGCAGTCGGACCTCTCTCTTGAAGCTGTATCCAAATATGCTTCCCTCTCACCCACAGATCCCCCAAGGCAGGGGCTTGGGGGTGTTTCCTGAACCACAAGCCGCTCAGGAGGGAGAACAGTTAACTTTGTTTCCCAGCCCTGTGTCTCAGCTGGATCCACAGACTTTAATAGAGTTTTACAAGAGCTTTGCCCTGATCTGTGCTGGCAACCAGAATTCAAACATCACCCATTAACGCCTCGTGAAAATGTCCTCAGTGTGAGTGACTGACAGGGTTTGGGGTGCGGCATTGCCTCTTCTCTTCTTGCATTTTTTTCTCTTCTCACCAGATGGATTTATTGAATTGGAAAGAAAGTCACAGAAATATTTTGTCTTATATTGGTAGTTAAGATATGAGATTAGCCAGGAGAGAGGGGGAAGAAACTTCAAAAAATGAAGGACAAGAATGTTGGGGCCAAGGCATGCCCCCTTCAGAGAGAACAAAGGAGACGCTGCAGCTCCAGGGGCTGCTGAGCTGCTGCAGGACCTTGAGTCCTGCTTAGACCAGGAGAACTGGACACTGCTTCTGGCAGCAGCTGAACAGGAGGGAAAGGTACCTTACTCTTTCCCTGTGTACAAAGGAGTGACTGAGTAAACAAATGAGTGAGTGAGTGTGTGTAAATAAATTAATGAATGTGTGTGGATGAGTGAGTGAACAAGTGAGTGCATGTGTGTGAAGGAATGAGTGAGCAAACAAGTGAGTGTGTGAATGAATGAGTGACTAAAGGAATGAGTGGGTGAACAAATGAGTGAGTAAACAAATGAGTGTGTGTGAATGAATGATTGAATTAGCGAGTGAACAAATGAGTGTGTGAATGAGTGAATGAAGGAATGAGTGAGTGAACAAATGAGTGTGTGAATGATTGAGTGAAGGAATGAGTGAACAAATGAGTGTGTGAATGAATGAGTGAAGAAAGGAGTGAACAAATGAGTGTGTGAATGAATGAGTGAAGGAATGAGTGAACAAATGATTGCATGAATGAATGACTGATCAAATGAATGTGTGAATGAATGTGAGTGAACGAGTGAATGAAGCAATGAGTGAGTGAACAACTGTGTGTATGAATCAGTGTGTCCATGAATGAGTGAATGTGTGTGAGTGAATGAGTGAAAGAAATGAATGAGTGAACAAGAGTGAGTGAACAAATAAGTGTGTGCATGAATCAGTAAGTGTGTGCATGAATGAGTGAATGTGAATGAGTGAGTAAACAAATGATTGTGTGTGAGTGTACAAATGAGTGTGTGTGAATGGGTGAGTGAACAAATGAGTGTGTGTGAATGAGTGAGTGAATGAAGGAATGAGTGACTGAACAAATGCGTGAGTGTATGTGAATAAGTGAATGAATGAGTGAACAAATGAGTGTGTGTGAATGAATGAATGAAAAAAGGAGTGAACAAATGAGTGCATGTGTGAATGAGTGAATAAGGAAATGAGTGAACAAATGAGTATGTGTGAATGAATGAGTGAATGAAGGAATGAATAAGTGAACAAATAAGTATGTGAATGAATGAGTGAACAAATGAGTGTGTAAATGATTGAGTGAAGGAATGAGTGAACAAATGAGTGTGTGTGAATGAGTGAATGAGTGAATGAGCGAGTGAATGAATGAGTGAATGAGCGAGTGAATGAGCGAGCGAATGAGTGAGTGACTGCATGAGTGAGAACCTGGGAGTGCAGGCGGGGCCGAGCCGCCGCGGTCACAGTAGCACTGGGGGCGGTGGGCGGGAGACCCCTCCTTAGAGGCCCACGTGCTGGACCCCTCAGCTCTGCCAAAGATGAAATGCCCCCAGACGGGCCAAGGGCTACCCCCAGTGGTTGCAGTAGTGATGGCGCCTCCCCATCCCTGTGGCTGTCGCCTGTCTGCTGCTTTCCCCAGAAGACTTGGGGGCCTGGAGACCCCAAAGTGTGGCGTCCACTGCCAGCCCCGCCAGCCCCGCCAGCCCCGCCAGCCCCGCCAGCCCTCTGCTGCCCTCTGCTGGCCAACTCGATCCACAGCGGCTCCTGGCGGTCGAGGGGAGGGGGACCAAAAGGGACCACAGGGGCGAATTGGGACGATGTCAGCTCCTGCCAGCATCACGGAGCCGGTTGCCACAGTGACGGGCTGCTGTGCGGGCCCTCTGCAAAGCAGGGAGTGCAGCCGTCCTCATTCCACCAGAGCCAAATTCCTCACGCTCTGCCTCCCAGCGAAACCCATGTGACCACGGGCCCAGGGAAGGGGGAAGGGGTGTGGGAGCGGCCGGGCCACTCTGTGCCCCGGGCACCCTGGGCATCGCAAGCCTGGCTCTGCCTGGGACGCCCTCAGCTGGCCCCTCATTCCTCCTTCCAGGTCAGGCCTCCAAATGCTTTCGCAGCCCTGTCCCCGCCAGTCAGACCCGGAGGATGCCAGGGGTCGCCAGTGGCTGCCCTGCCCAGCTCAGAGAGGAGACGATGTACTCAGCCAGAGTGGAGGCCGGGGGCCTGACAGAGGCAGGCGGCACCAGCCAGCCCCCCAGCCCTGTCCTGAGGCTGCTGAGCATGACACCCACTGGGGAGGTGGGCAGCTGACCCAGGGCCTGGCAGGGAGCCGGCTGTAGCACTGCCTGAATCAGGACCCAAGCTCCAGCTGCTCCTGCTCCAAGCTGCCCCTGGCAGCTCTGCCAGCATGCAGGGCACAGCCATGGAGAGGGGACACCCACATGCACTGGGCCAGCTGCAGGCCTGCAGGGCCACCGGGCATCTCACCCATCCTGCCACCCAGCGAGGACAAGGGGCAGAGGAGGAAGCATGGCATGAGGGAGGGTGGAGGGGGAAGAGGGGAGGGAGACCCCATGGCCTGGGCCCCAGCCCACCCCCAGGCCCAGAGCTGCTGTCCACGTGGGAGGACTGGGGCCCCAGGAGGGCGGAGGAAGACCCAGCTCCCGTGGGAGGCTGCCAGGGACTCCCCTGCAGGTTAGGAGCCTCCAGATGTTGCTGCAACATCGATCTTTCCCATTTCTCGAGTTATTACTTTATGTAAACAAACACGAGAGTTGCTGGTTCTAAATAAAGTTGTTTGTCTATGTAAATTAATATATCATATTCTCTCCTGAAATAGAATTATTTGTCTCTGGAGGAATCACGTTAAAGACTGACATAGGGTATAACTGTATCATTTACATATGCAGATATGTCTAATTATTCAACTTGCAATTAAAGGCTTGTGTGTCAGCAAATGAGACTAATTAGACACATTTATCTATGATAATCAGCTTTTTACAAACAAAATAGATCCCCCTTGGTTGATCAGGGAAAGCTGCTGGACCGGGGCCCTTCTCCCGTCGGGCACCTCTCACCAGCCTCACTCCACACCCCCCAGCTACACCCCAGCCCTGGTTTGTGGGGGACAGGGAGAGCCCAGGCTTCCCGCCCTTCAGAGGTGGATCTGAGGCAGCAGTCACGAGGCCTCTCAGTCCCCACTGGGGTTGGGCCCCAGCTGCCCAGCCCTCCACTGCCCTGGCCCCTCCGGCTGCCCCGGCCCCTCTGGTGTGCTCCTGGAACTGCCCCCTATTAACTCCACACACAAACCCTGGTGGGGCGTGCCCAGAGGGCTTGAGGAGCTACTACCTTGCTTTCAAAGCTCTGTGCCTTTGAGACCGTGACTGTGTGGTTCACACCCCCATCTTCAAGGCTGGACTCTCCTGGCCCATGGACCCCGCTGGTTCTCCCCTTCCTGGGCACCCCAACTCCACAGCCCTGTGCCCCTTGACCAGGCTGTTTCTGGCCAGGGTGGGCTGACATGCCGGGGACTTGATGGCCCCGGAGCAGTCTCCAGGCAGGTCCTGGGTGAGAAAGCCCTGGGCAGCTGAGGACCTGGTGAGGCTGAGCCCAGAAGCCTGGCCGTGGCCTGCCTGATGGCCGCCCTGGTCACTGGGCATCTCACCTCCCACTCACCTGCTGCTGTGCTCTCAGAGTCACCTCCAAAATAAACAACTTTCCCTCCTTAAGTAGGATGAACAGGGCCCCCAAATATGTCCACCCATAACCACAGAATGTGGCCTTATTTGGAATAAGGTCTTTGCAGATGTAATTAGGGTAAGGATCATGGATTAGAGTGGGCCTCAAATCCCATGAAGGGTGCCCTCATAAGAGATGGAGAAGCTGAGACAGGTAGATTTGGAGAAAAACGCCACGGAAAACAGAGGCAGAGATTGGAGTGATGCGGCTGCAAGCCGGGGACACCAAGGAAGGCCTGGAGCCACCAGAAGCTGGAAGGGACCAGGAAGAAACCAC
Organism: Homo sapiens; assembly: GCF_000001405.40. Classification (NCBI taxonomy): domain Eukaryota; kingdom Metazoa; phylum Chordata; class Mammalia; order Primates; family Hominidae; genus Homo; species Homo sapiens. The sequence goes on along the minus strand of NC_000020.11, from coordinate 63,054,322 downwards.
ACCCCCTCCCAGAGCCTCCACAGGAGCCAGCCCTGCCCAGAGCTTGCTTTCAGATGTCCAGCTCCAGAACGGAGATGGAATGAATCCTCGTTACTTAAAGCCACCCAGTTTGAAGTAACTCGCCGCCACGCTGGGACACCTCCCATTCCTGCTTCGGGATCTACTTCTGGGGAAGCCCAACCTTAACCCGTCATATTTTTCTTTAAGTTAAATAAACGAATTGATTTAAATACCTGTTTTAGCCTTTGACCTAAGCAAAAATATCTGTGAAATCATGGGCTTGATATACAAATTTAATTTTTCCAAATACACACTCAAAATAAGTACTCGTAAAATGTAAATGGTCATCGAAGCCTCCGCCACCTAATCTCCCTCTGGCTGCAGCCGCGCCATCCTCCGGAAGGAGGAATCACCATCACCGTAACCATCACAGACCAGCGCATATAACAATGCACTTTCAGATATCATTTCTAGATATTTATAGAACCTGTGGATTCCAGAGCAGTGTGCACACTGGTGTGTGTCTTTGTGTGTGCATTCACTGTGTCTGTGTATGCCTGGGCTTAAGGAAGAAGAGCGTGTCTGTGGAAGATGAAGAGGGCAGGAAGCCTCTTCACAAAGGCTCTCAGTTGCTTGGCGATGACTGAACCGAGAGCTGAGTGAAAGGGGTGGGCGTCAGCGGAGTACTTCTGTTGTGTGCACCTGAGCACGGGCTCACAGAGCTCCTGGAGGCCCCGCAACCCGACTGTTCAGTCGAACAGAGGACATACCGGGAGGTCCACCACTGTGTCCACCGCTGTATTTCCAGTGCCTGAAGGACCGACCGCCCCATGGGAGGGCTGAGAACTTGTCTGTGATGAGGTCACTAACAAACAAGTGAGCTGGACCCCTGGGGAGGGTCAAAGAAGGAGCTCTGACAAGGGGCAGGGGATGAGGTGAGCCTGGCGCTGAGAACAGGGACAAGCAGATGTAGGGCCCCTGACCCTCAGACCTGATAAGGAGGGCCCAGTCCCTTCCCACCTCCGTGTCCCGGATGACTCCATTGGCCACACCCACCCAGAGGCCAGAGACAGATTGCTGGGACATCCATGGAGGTCAGCCTCCTGGGGCCCAGAGCGGGGCTGGAGGGGTAGGGGAGGCTGGGCTCCCGGGGTCTTGCTACGGCCTCTGTTCCGGGCTCTGGGCTCATCTGTGCCGGGGCGTGAGTCACTGGTGCATGGGCTCGGCTCTCATGTCCTGGACTCTGTGAGCAGCAAAGCAAGGGGCTCTGCCAGGGCTTCCCCGCAGGGAGGCAGCAGACCCCTCACGCTGGTGGGCACTTTGGACCTTGGCTTTGCTTTCAAGTCCTGCCCTTTTTTAGCAAGTCGTTAGTATTTTAAGTGCCTTTCAAGAGGCTGAGCCTAATTAATTAGCCGTTTCTGAAAAAACAATTAGGGTTTCTGATAGGCATCATCCTGGAAAACAAGCAGAGTGCAAAGGCCAGGCTGAGGCCGGGAACCCCAGCAGCAAAGAGACACTCGCGTCCCCCAGCGTCAGGGAATTAGGACATTTGTGCCAGGCTGCCTGGCTAATTAGATTTCCAACAACTCCAGAGGGACCCGCTGAGGCAGCATCTAATTTAAAGCAGCCTCAGCCGGGCTTTGAGCTTGAGCATTTTGCAAAAAGACAAGACAGAGTTGGGCTGTCCCTGTGGGTGGGCTCCTGTCCCCTCTGAGCTCCAGGACTCCAGGCCCTGCCTGTCTGTCCACCTGCAGTTTCTCTCCCTGTCCCCTCCCTCCTTTCTGCCTCTTCCTCTGCCCCTGGCTCTCAGGCGTCCCCTTCCACCCAGAGGAAAGGGAAGTGACCTCCCAGCTCCTCACAGGGTCTACAGACGACTTGGCCTCCCAGTTCGGGTTGATAATAATTTGCTACTTAAAAATCTGCTCAGCTGAGGAAATTTGGTATGTCTTTTCCAAATAAAGCCTTCAATTGCCCCAAAATGAGTGACTGAAGAGGGGTCCTGCAGGGGAAGGAAGGGAGTGAGTGACTGAAGAGGGGTCCTGCAGGGGAAGGAAGGGAGAGCATGTTGCATTTCTGGGCATGCAGGGCGCTCTGTTGGCCTCAGTTCTCAGGAGGCCCCGCAGGGGGGTGGCGGTGACCTCCCATGACTGCAAGCTGAGTGTCCTGTAGGCACCTGCAGCATCTCCCCGACCTGTGGTGGGGGCGGTCTGGGGTGCCCTTGCCAGCACTGCCCTCTGTCTTTTCACCTGAGGAGGTCATAGGGCGCTCCCTTCGAGAAGAGGTGGCATGAGCTCCCTCCAGGCCGCCACAGTTGGGAGAGGGTCTAACGTTTGCTGTCTTCTGTGCTTATGGTGCCAACTCGCTCCAAAACTGCCGCCTTTGAGGATGCTTGGCTCAGCCCCCTTGGAAATGCAATTCCCCTTGTCCCCCAGCCATGGAGTGGGAGCAACTCCCCCTGCACCTTCCTCAAGGGCTTATGAGGCCACCTGCCCCTGCCCCTGGCCTGCCCCACAGGATCCCGATGGAGGGCCCGTCATTGTGGGCCCAAGAAGCCCACACCCTGCCTGGCACCCCTTGGTCTTGACTGTCCTCGGCCTGCCCGTTTGCTCCTCTGTGGCCTCTCTGTCCTGGGCACTGTGTTGCCCGCGTCCTCTGAGTCCTGCCACATGGACGGTCAGTGCTCCATACGCCACATCAAGTCCTGCAAGTTGTATAAAAAGTTAAATTTTGGGAATTGAGTTATGTTTTTGGATTCTCCAGAGGAATCAGCTGTTCGAAGGGATTCTATGGCTTCAGACTTTTGAGAGCAGCATTGTTAAGACTGGAAGAGACAAGCCTGCAGGACAAAGGAGGAACCAAGGAGGTGGGAGGCTGGCAGCAGCCAGCCCTGCCCAGAGCTTGCTTTCTACACTTGCCACGGGCCCTCAGAGGTGTGCAGGCACTTGGGCATCCGCAGACCTTCCCTGAGAGCCTGGCCTGGCAGCCCCTCCGGATCCTGCACCAGGGGGAGGACACTACAGAGCATGATTCTCTGCACCGGGGGGAGGACACTACAGAGCATGATTCTCTGCACTGGGGAGAGAACACTACAGAGCATGATTCTCTGCACTGGGGGGAGAACACTACAGAGCATGATTCTCTGCACTGGGGGGAGGACACTACAGAGCATGATTCTCTGCACCAGGGAGGACACTACAGAGCATGATTCTCTGCACCGGGGGGAGGACACTACAGAGCATGATTCTCTGCACTGGGGGCAGGACACTACAGAGCATGATTCTCTGCACCGGGGGGAGGACACTACAGAGCATGATTCTCTGCACCGGGGAGGACACTACAGAGCATGATTCTCTGCACCGGGGTGAGGACACTACAGAGCATGATTCTCTGCACCGGGGAGGACACTACAGAGCATGATTCTCTGCACCAGGGAGAACACTACAGAGCATGATTCTCTGCACCAGGGGCAGGACACTACAGAGCATGATCCTCTGCACCAGGGGAGGGACACTACAGAGCATAATACTCTGCACGAGGGGCAGGACACTACAGAGCATGATTCTCTGCACCAGGGGCGGGACACTACAGAGCATGATTCTCAGGGGCAGCCACACCCGCCACCCCTGTGGGGGTCCCAGCAGCCACACAGATGCCCCGGGGCCCAGAAGAATGTCTAGGGGAGCGTGTGGGGCCCGGGCGAGACTGCCCTCGATAGAGGAATGGCTGCGGGGGCGTGTGGGGCCCGGGGGAGACTGCCCTCGATAGAGGAATGGCTGGGGGACTGTATAGGGCCTGGGGGAGACTGCCCTCCATAGAGGAATGGCTGGGGGACTGTGTAGGACCTGGGGGAGACTGCCCTCGATAGAGGAATGTCTGGGGGAGTGTGTGGTTGGGGAGCAGGTGGGGCCCAGCAGAGACTCCCCTCGATGGTATCCCTCATGTACTCTCCCATTCACTCAGTGACACTGGACACAGCACCCTGTGTGGAGCACGGCATTGGAACCTAAAGGGGAGGCTCGAGGCCATGGAGGATTTGAGCCACTGGCCAGGGCACTCCAGGTGGGGGAAACACCATGGGCAGAGATGCAGAGGGTCAGCACCTGCCCTGCCCTGGGCCGGGCTTCCCTGAGCGGGTCCTCTGCAGCCCAGTCCCTTCCTGGGAGTGTCCCTGAGGGCCACACACCTACATCGGCCACTTCCCTTCCCGGGGCTGTCCCTGAGGGCCACACACCTACGTCGGTCGCTTCCCCTGCAAGCCCTGGGGGCGTGGAGCATTTCCACATTTCGTGCCCATGCCAGCCTCACCTCTGCTCCCAGGCTCCAGAAGGGCCGCCAGGCCAGGAGGGGCTGTGCAGAGAGCAACAGAGCCTCCAAATCCACTTCCCAGCAGCGCAGGCCAGGGCGGAGGGGAGGGGGTGGAGGTCTTGGCCTCCCCTTCCAAGGTCAGGCCTACCACACGGAAAGGCACGTATGTCTCAAAGCCTGGCCAGAGTCTGGTCCCACCAGTGACCTCTGGCCAAGCACAGTGACCATCCAGGAAAAGCTGAAGTTTTATGGCCGCAGTGGATGAGCCAGCCCTGGGTTCCCCTCTCCAGCAGGTGTCCCTGTGTCACCCTCGCCCCGGCGGCCACAGTCTCCCCTCCACAGTGAGGCTCCAGGTGCTTGCCTGATAGGAGCTGGGGTAGCCCAGGTGTGTCCCACGGCCCTGGTGCCTGTGTCCCCTTGGCCTCTCCTCTGAGCACAGCCTAGAGAGTGGTCACTGCCTGCAGGCTTCCTGTCCCTTCAAGTTGACCGCACTCGGCCTCTTGTACCTGCCACACATGGTCACTTTCTACCAGGCTTCTGGGTCCTGCCTGTGTCGCTGGGAGGCAGCAGCCCAGGGGCGACCCTTGCCCAGGGGAGTGGAGCCAGTGGTCAGCGTGCCTGGGGCAGACAGTCCTGGACGCTATTCTATGCGCTTCTCAGGGGTCCTGGAAGAAGGGTCCTGGCAGAAGGAGGAAGAGGACGAGGAGGAAGAGGAGGAGGAGGGGAGGAAGAGGAGGAGGAGGAGGAAGAGGAGGAGGAGGAGGAGAGGAAGAGGAGGAGGAGGAAGAGGAGGAGGAGGGGAGGAAGAGGAGGAGGAGGAGGAAGAGGAGGAGGAAGAGGAGGAGGAGGAAGAGGAGGGAGGAAGAGGAGGAGGAGGAGGAAGAGGAGGAGGAGGAGGAAGAGGAAGAGGAGGAGGAGGAAGAGGAGGAGGAGGAAGAGGAGGAGGAGGAGGAGTCTGCCCCCACATGACCTTGCTGACCTCCAAAACTGTGGCTTTTCCCACCCCCCTCTCCCCGGGCTCCTCCTGGATAAACCGTCTGCACAAGACTCTCCTCGCTCAGGCTGGTCTTCAGGTCCAAACAAGCTTCTCACCTGCCTGCACGCTTCTCTGGGGTGAACGCCTGGGTCAGTGGGGCAGGGCCATCCCTGTCACTCCAGAGACCTAAGTGCAAGAGAGAGGGCTCCTCCCTACCCGCCCCCTCCGCTGGCCTCATACCAGGGGCCTCCCTGGGGGCCTAGGCACCCACCAGCCATGTTGTTTATACACGCATGGAGGGCGAGAGGCTCGTGCTTACTCTGAGGCTGCCACTGTGGTGGGCAGTGTGAGATCCCTCCACCCGTGGAGTCAGGACACTTGCTGATGAGGCCTCCACCCAGCACCCAGGTCCTGAGCAATTGGACAGCTGTCCAAGCCCAAACAATGGGGTCCAGTTCTCCTCCCAGAGCCTGAGGCTGATCCTGTGTTCCTCTTTCTTCTCTAGAACTTCCCTCAGGGGCCCGCCAGGGAACTCACAGTTGTGGAAACCCCAGGAGTGAGGGTCAGATTGCCAACAGCCTGGAGCCAGGCCACATCAGAGGGCGTGCAGTGACGGTGAGCTCAGCAGGCCTGGGCTGCCCACACCCCACACATTCCAAATAAAAGTCCAGCAATTAACGAGCACCTGGGAAGCCATCCTGAGCCATTAGAACATTGTATTTTGGGGGCTTTGGGCCACGTTGGGTAGTCTAAGGAAATGATGGGATTTCAGGTTGGGGCCACACAGGGTCAGCTTGAGACTGAGTAACTAGGGTCAGCCACACAGGGACTCCAAGTCTACATGACTGAGCCCCAGTAAAAACCATGGCCACCAAAGCTCAGGCGAGCCTCCCGGGCTGGCTGCTGGGAGAAACAGTGCTGTGTATACAGCTCCACGGGAGAGCACTCCCAGCAGCTCATGCCTGCCGCCCATGACTGCTCCACAAGCGTCTCCTCTTCACTGAGTTTAACGCGTCTTTTTGTTTTAATAAACCATAATCGGGACTAGAACTGCGTTTCTCAGGTCTGTCTTTCTAGTGAGTCACTGAACCTGACTTGAACCCAAACAGAGGGGGACAAATGATGTTTCCAAGGTGAAGGCCGCACCCCTGAGGACAGGGAAGACTCGCTGTCACCATCACAGGCCCAGCATTCTCGCAGGCTCATGGGAAGCCACGGAGATGCCAAGACTCTGCAAGGCCAACATTCCTCTGGAGCCACCACGTGAATTCGCCTGTGTGGACGCTTGTGAGCTGCACCTTCATGCTATTATAATGGCGATTCAGTCATCAAACAATGAGACGCACGACACACCCACAGAACAGCCAAAGTGAAAGATGCGAGACCTGGACAAGAGTGTTCAGAAGATGAGAGACCCGGACAAGAGTGTTCAGGAAGCTGAGTCTAAAACAACCCAAAGCTGAGGACCACGCAAATGCCACCAACCAATGAGACGGCGGCACATCCACAAAACCGACCAATGAGCAGGTAAATAGATAGTGGCACATTCACAAAACTGACCAATGAGATGGTAGCACATCCACAAAACCGACCAATGAGCAGGTAAATAGACAGCAGCACATTCACAAAACTGACCAATGAGATGGTAGCACATCCACAAAACCAGCCAATGAGCAGGTAAAGAAACGGCGGCACATTCGCAAAACAGATACACAGCTTTGAAAGTGAACTGCAGTTGCACACAGCCATCTGACTACACCCTGAACATGTAAAGCTGAGAAAGAAAAACAGAAAAATGCTCAGGGCTGCATGCCAGTAGCGTCCTCTTGGGTGGTGGTTCTTGCCCCAGATCCACATATGACCCACTGGGAAAAACTGGACCCAAATCGTGCACCTGCCCTCTGACCCCAGGCCACTGGCATTGATCTGGGGACACAGCAGGTGCCGAGCAAATGTGTCACCATGAAGAGCTGTCTGAGAGACCACAGCCTGCATTTTCTTCCCAAGCCGAGGATCTGACACCACTCAGAAAGGGAGGGTAGATGTAGAATGTAAGAAAAGGCAGACATCCAGCTCCTCAGTTGCAGGAGAGTCTGTCCTCGGAGAGGTGAGGGAGGACTGTGCAGTACGGCGCTCACGGCGGGTTGCTGGATGGCAGGTGCTTCCTCCTCCTAAAGGGAGATGCTGTGCATGCCCTTCAGCCCACCCTAGACACCCCCCTCCATGCCAGGTTCTGAGGACCCTAGACACCCCCCCAGGTTCTGAGGATGCTTCACGAACACACCAGGCACCTGTGCTCTTCTGCCTGGGGGTGAGCTCCCCAGGGCGTCAACGCACCGAGAGATGGGATGGTGGATAAATGCCGGTAGAGCCGAGCCCCCTTTGTCCCAGCCTGGGCACTGTTTTCCTCCATCCCTCTCCTCCTGCAATCACCTGTCAGATAAACCCAACCCCCATTAGGTCAGAGTTGGCACTGGGGGAACCTAGACCAAACCGACCCCCAAGAGGAAAATGAAAGTGCCAAGAACTATAAAGCCGCCCACAGATTCCCAAAACCTCTCCCAGCAGGGCCCCTTCACACACTACTCCCTCTCAGACTCCACCTTTTCCCTGTTGTTTAATCAGCAGATAGCTTCTAGAAAATTCTACCAAGCTGTCTTAGTGTGTTTGTGCTGCTGTAACAGAACACCTGTGATTGGGTCATTTATAAAGCATTGAAATGTATTTCACGCAGTTCTGGAAGCCAGGAAGTGCAAGACCAAGGCACTGCAGCCTCGAGTCTGGGGACAGCGGCTCCTGGCTTCTGCGATGGTGCCTTGCTGCCGTGTCCTCTGGAGGGGAGCGGTGCTGTGTCCTCACATGGCAGAAGGGAGAGAAGGAACGGACTCATCCCTCCCGCCCTTGTATCTACTGGCACTAATCTATTGGTGAGGGCAGAGCCTTCCCGGCCTACTGACCTCCCGAAGGCTCCGTACTATGGCACTGGGGATGACGTTTCAGTGTGAATTTTGGAGGGACACAAACATTCACACCATAGCACAAGCTCATGGGAAGTACTTCCTCGAACTGAGGGCGATGTGGCTAAAATTGAGAAAAAGCAGCCCAGTTGGTGGATCCCAAAACCTGGGCAGCCAGGCTTGAATTGGTTTTATGATTTTTCTCCAAATTGACCACACTGCCTCATCCTGAAACCATCTCGGGGCTAGGGAGCAGGTGAGCCAGGTGGGCTTTGCCTGGTGGTATGGGGCCTGCTCTGTGCTCCGGGCTCCACGCAAAATGAACCCCTCACTTCAAAGAACAGCAGGAGGTTTGTGGGCAGTTTCTCAGCCTCGGGGACTGGGTTCCCAACACCAAAACCTGCCCCTTCTGCCCACTGGCTGTAGCAAGCCACCTCACGTTCAGTGTCTGCTGGGCCTGGGGCAGCTCACGTGTGTGTGAGTTCCCGTCTGTCCCCACACGCTCCAGTCTGTTTCTGAAGCACACGGTTCTCATTTGCACACATGCACGGCCAGAATGCTCTTGTGTGCCCAGATGGCTGTGTCTGTGAGGCCCACCACGAAGACGAGCGAGTCCCCCCATGCTGCCAGGCTCGACCTCAACAGGGGGCCTTTCATGCCCGAATCCCCACCAGGGCCACTGTCCCCCAAAGCCAGTCTCAAAACCAGATGGCAGGGATTTCTGAAGGGAAGGACCCGGGGTCTCCAGGCTCCGATAGGACAGAGGGTTCCCGCCATGCACGCCACCTCTGTGGAAGCTGCTGAAGGGAAAGACCTGGGGTCTCCAGGCTCCGATAGGACAGAGGGTTCCCGCCATGCAGGCCACCTCTGTGGAAGCTGCTGAAGGGAAAGACCCAGGGTCTCCAGGCTCCGATAGGACAGACGGTTCCCGCCATGCACGCCACCTCTGTGGAAGCTGAGGTGGGAGAGGGGAGGAGGAAAAGGGGAAGAGAGAAAGCTGCTCTCTCAGCAATGGATGCTGATCAAACAGGGTTTGGTAACTTTTCAAACAACATTGGAATCTGTTCCAGAGTTCTGGGAGGAACTCGTGGTGTAGAGAAATCCTGTTCTCAATTCCACTCCTGGTTAGCAGGGTGTCCCGGCCTGCACAGCCTGCACGGCTTCGGAACGGCATTTCTGCTGGGCTGCGTGCTCAAAACCCAACTGTGGCCAAGGTCAGAGCTTCTGGGCCAAGGAGATGCCTGCCCGCAGCCTGAGTGAGAGCCCCAGCCCTGGGGGTGAGGCCGGCACCCACTCCCTGAGGCGGCACAGTGGCCTGATCCTCACCGGGGCCTGGGAGCCCTGTGCACCGGGAGCTGGGCGCCGCGCTGAGGCCAGGAGCCTGGGCCTGACAAGCGCCCCGACCACCTCAAGTGTGGTGCCCCCAGACCCCATGCCTTGCAATCAGCCAAGTTAGTAAGTTACCCTAAACAAGTTAATTACATTATTGCTTTATGATGCTGCAATCACAAGATTTTTGTTTTGATGTTAATCCGGTGAAACTTTAAATTAGGGAAATTAAATAATTAGCTAAACATATGACAAGCTAGCAAACAACTTCCCTCTTGCCCTGACATTCCCGGTCCGCAGTGCCCCCGTTCTGCTGACATTCCCGGTCCGCAGTGCCTGCGTTCCCGACATTCCCGGTCGGCAGTGCCCGCGATCCCCTGACATTCCCGGTCAGCCGTGCCTGCGTTCCCCTGACATTCCCGGTCCGCCGTGCCCGTGTTCCCCTGGCATTCCCAGTCCACAGTGCCCATGATCCCCTGACATTCCCGGTCCACAGTGCCCGTGTTCCCCTGGCATTCCCGGTCGGCCGTGCCCACGTTCCCCTGACATTCCCGGTCGGCAGTGCCCGTGTTCCCCTGGCATTCCCGGTCCGCAGTGCCCGCGTTCCCCTGGCATTCCCGGTCAGCCGTGCCCGCGTTCCCCTGACATTCCCGGTCCACAGTGCCCACGTTCCCCTGACATTCCCGGTCGGCCGTGCCCGCGTTCCCCTGACATTCCCGGTCAGCCGTGCCCACGTTCCCCTGACATTCCCGGTCCGCAGTGCCCACGTTCCCCTGACATTCCCGGTCTGCAGTGCCCCCGTTCCCCTGACATTCCCGGTCGGCAGTGCCCGTGTTCCCCTGACATTCCCGGTCGGCGGTGCCCACGATCCCCTGGCATTCCCGGTCCACGGTGCCCGCGTTCCCCTGACATTCCCGGTCCGCAGTGCCCATGTGGGAAACGCTGCAGAGATCGAGTGTGTGCACCACGACCTGGCCTGGTCCAGAGACTGCGCCTGTCCCTGAGTTAACATCGTTGTCCCCAGGATCGCCGGCAGCCTGGGTTCTTCTTTTGGGATCAGGGCCTTGGTCGTCTCTATGTGTTTGGGATGGAAAGAAACAGAGCCCGACTCGAACTATACTGCGAAGCCCCCTTCTTCCTTCAGGAAGCCTTGCTGCTGTGGAGCCACGACGCTGCTGGTGTTGGAAACGGCCCCAAAACAGCCCCGACCATGATGCGCATCGCAGAGCTGCTCAGGCACCAGCCAGGCGTGCAGCAGAAGCAGAGAGCACCCCAGCTGCCCGAGCCCTTCAGGGTCCCTGGCTGCAGTTCACGACAGAGGCCCACGGATTCCCCGCATGGGGTCCCTGTGGCCTTGCAGGTGCCGTGGCCACCGGTGGGGACCCAGCCAAGCCGCACTCAGCCCCCACGCTGCACCTCTCCATTGCCCTCCGCCCAGGCCTCAGCCCAATGCTGAGCTTTGGAATGAAGGGGTCCTATGAATGATATGGTGTCCCAACCCCTCCATTTTCTTTTTTTCACAGCCGAATCTCTGGTCATTGCTTTTCTTTCCTGGCAGCAGAATATCTGCTCATGAACGTTTAATAAAGTAAAATCCCCCAGGAAAATCCACAAAGGGTGAGGGGAGTGGGAGACCGAGGAAAGCCCGGGAGAACAGGGGAGCTCCTCCCCAGGAGCCCAGGCCCTTTAATCCATCCCCAGACGAAGCCCCTAAATGCCCCATGAACATCGAGAGGAAGGGGAGGGTCAGGGCCACAGCAGGTGGAGATGCCTGCACCCATTGGAGTCCATGGGAGAAAACAGCACATACCCAGGGGTTCGATATGGGATGCCGGTTGAAGAGGTGTGAGAAGGTCCCCATGGGGATGAGGAGCAACTCGGAAAGTCTCAACTACAGGAAGCCAACGCCACCCTCAGGCTAGAGGGACACAGGGACAAACTGGGTGTGCAGTCACAATTCAGGCGGGAACGGCTCTGTCCTGGATCAGAGGTGACATTTTACTGGAATTAAGTCAGTATTCACCTGATGTAGATTGTAATACATTAAGATATATACTGGTTTCCTGGAGAATCACTAAGAACACAACTCAAAACATGGTTAACAATTAACACAATCGGCAGCAGAATTAGCTAACAGGGTAACTGAGATATATTTGCTTAACACAAAAGAAGGCAGTAAAGGAGGAACAGAAACAAAAAAGACACGAGACATGTAGAAAGCAAGGAACAAAACGTCAGAGACAAAAATGCCACTAAACCAACAACAACACTGTCGGGTGGCAGAAATTATTGGACTGGATAAACTACTCCAGGCCCAACTGCATGCCATCTATAAGAGACATGCTTTAAATTTCAAGATGCAAATACACTGAAAGCAAAAGGACAGAAAAATACACATGATGCAAATAACAACTGCAACAGAGGTGGAACACAGATATTCCATCTGACAAAATAGACTTCAAGGAAAAAAATACTAGAGACAGAGGACATTTTATAAGGATAAAAGGGTCAATATTGACAGAAAGACATAAATGTATATACATGCCTAACAAGAGAACTCCAAAATATATGAAGTAAAATGAGACAGAACTGAAAAGAGAAATATATTATTCAATAATTATCATGAGAGATTGCGATGCCCATTCTCCATAACGAATAAAGCATCTACACAGAGTACCAGTAAGGACACAGAAGACTTTAACAGCACTGTCAACCAACTTACCCAAACTCTTATTTATAGATCGCTCCCCATGATGACAGCACTCAGCAGCAGTGCCACACTTTTCAGGAGAGCCCGTAGGCTAGACCCAGAGCAAGTCTCACTCATTTAAAAGTATTTAAATCGTACAAGGTATGTTCTCTAATACAATGGAATTAAATTAGAAACCAAGAACAGAAATAGCCAGGCACGGTGGCCCGTGCCTGTAATCCTAGTGCTGTGGGAGGCCAAGGTGGGTGGATCACCTGAGGTCAGGAGTTCGAGACCGGCCTGGCCAACATGGTGAAACCCCATCTCTACTAAAAATACAAAAATTAGCTGGGCATTATGGCATGTGCCTGTAATCCCAGCTGCACAGGAGGCTAAGGCAGGAGAATCACTTGAACCTGAGAGGCAGAGGTTACAGTGAGCTGAGATCACACCACTGCATTTCATTCAGCCTGGGCAACAGAGCCAGACTCCATTTCAAAAAATAAAAATAAAAATAAACTGGAGAAATAAGTTGATATTTGAGAGCTAAACAACACATTTCTAAATAACCCATGAGTCAAAAAAGAAATCACAAAAAAGAAAATTAGAAAATAATTTGAACTTATGAAAACAAAACCACAACATACCAAAACGCATGAGATCTAGCTAAAGCAGGAAATTCATAACTTTAAATACCCATATTTCAAAGGCAAAAAGGTCAATAATATAATCATATTATATCAATAATATAATCAATAATATAATCTTCCACCAAAAGAAACAAGAAAAAGAAGAACAAATCCAACCCCAACCAAGCAGAAGGAAGATAATATAAAAGACCAGAGTGAACAGCAGTGCAGCAGAAAACAGAAAGCCGATACAGAAAACCAGCAGCATCAAACTTGATTTTTTGAAAAAAATCAACAAAGTGGATAAATGTTTAGCAAGAATGCCCATGAAAAAAAGAGAGAAGACACAAATTACTAAAATCAGGAATAAAAGAGAGAACACTGCTACTGATCCTATTGAAATTAAAAGGATTATAAAGGAGCATTATGAACCATTTTATGCCAACCGTTTGACAACTTAGATGAAATGGACAAATTCCTAGAATGACACAAATTACCAAAATGAGTTCAGGAAGAAAGAGAAAACCTGAAGACACCCACAACAAGTAAAGAAATTAATGCCCAAATAGCACTGGCTTCACTAGTAAACTCCATCACATATTTACAGAAGAAATAACAGCAATCTCACACAAAATCCTCAGAAGGTAGAGGATGAGGAAACACTTTCTAATTCATTCTATGAAACCAGAATTACTCTGGTATCAAAGCCAGGCAAAGACACGAACAGACTATAAGATATTATCCCTCATGAACGTAAACCAAAATATCCTTAGTAAAATTTAGTAAATCAAGTCATCTATGAAAAACCCACAACTGACATTACAGTCAATGGTACGAGACTGAAAGCTTCTCCCCAAGATCAGGAAAAAGACAAGGATGCCTGCTTTTGCCACTTCTATTCAACACAATACTGGGAGTTTTAGCCAGAGCAATTAGGCAAGAAAAAGGAACAAAAGGTATCCAAGTTGGAAAGGAAGAACTAAAATGGCACGTATTTGCAGATGATATGCACCATGTAGAAAAGCCCAGAGAACCATTAAAAAAAAAAAAAACTGTTAAACCTAATAAATGAACTCAGCAAAGATTCAGGGTACAAAATCATTACTTAGAAGTCAGCTGGACACTAGCAATGAGCAATCCGAAAAGAAAAGAACCCCACTTACGATAGCATCGAAACGAATCAGATGCTTAGGAATAAATTCAACCCAGGAGGAAAAAGACTTGTATGCTGAAAACTACAAGACGTTGATGAAAGAAATTAAGAAGACACAAATAAATGGAAAGTCACCCGTGTTCACAGACTGGAGGACTTACTGTTGTTAAGATGAGAGTACTACTCAAAACAATCCACAGATTCAACGTCATCCTTATCAAAATCCCAACAGCAATTTTTGCAAAAATTGAAAACCTTTATCCTAAAATTCATATAGAACTTCCGGAACCCTAAATAGCCCAAACGATCTTGAAAACGAAGAACAAACTTGGAGAACTCACGTTTTCTGATTTCAAAACTTACTCATAAAGCTACAGTCATCAAGATAATGTGCTGCTGGTAAAAGGATGGATGTAGAGGCCAATGGAGTAGAACAGAGAACCCCCATATGAACCCCCATATACATGGTCCATTGACTTTCAATAAGGGACCAACACCAGTGAGGAAAGGGCAGCCTCCTCAACAAACGATGCTGGGAAAAAGGTATTTACACATGCAAAACAATGAAGTTGGACATTTATCTTACAACATATACAAAAATTAACATGAAATGGATCAAAGACCTAAATGTAAGAGCTAAAACTATAAAACGCTTAGAAGAAAACATAGGGGCAAATTATCACGACCTTCAACATGGCAATGGTAAATGGCACAGAAAGCATAGGCAACAAAAGAAAAAAGACAGGGCCAGGCATGGTGGCTCACGCCTGTAATCCCAGCACTTTGGGAGGCTGAGGCAGGAGGATCACCTGAGGTCAGGAGTTCAAGACCAGCCTGGCCAACATGGCAAAACCCTGTCTCCGCTAAAAATAAAAAAATTAGCCAGGCATGATAGTGGGTACCTGTAATCCCAGCTACTCTAGAGGCTGAGGCAGGAGAATCGCTTGAACCTAGGAGGCAAAGGTTGTAGTGAGCCAGGATCGCACCACTGCACTCCAGCCTGGGGGACAGATTGAGACTCTGTCTCAAAAAAAAAAAAATTTTTTTAACAGAAAACAGATAAATTGGATTCATCAAAATTAAAGTTGTTCTGCATTAAAAGACACTATCAAGAAAGTGAAACGTCAGCCGGGCGCAGTGGCTCATGCCTGTCATCCCAGCACTTTGGGAGGCCGAGGCGGGCGGATCACGAGGTCAGGAGATCGAGACCATCCTGGCTAACACAGTGAAACCCCGTCTCTACTAAAAATACAAAAAATTAGCCGGGCGTGGTGGCAGGCGCCTGTGGTCCCAGCTACTCGGGAGGCTGAGGCAGAAGAATGGCGCGAACCCGGGAGGCGGAGCTTGCGGTGAGCCGAGATCCCGCCACTGCACTCCAGCTTGGGTGACAGAGCGAGACTCCTTCTCAAAAACGAAAAAAAAAAAAAAAAAAGAAAGTGAAACGTCAACCACAGAGTGGGAGAAAATATTTGCAAATCATATATCTGATAAGGGTTTTAATACCCAGGATTTATAAAGAACTGCTACACTTCAACAACAAAAAAATTCCATTTAAAAATAGGCAAAGGACTCGAATAGATGTTTCTCCAAATAAGATATAAAATGGCCAATAAGCACATGAAAAGATGCTCAACAGCACTCACTGGTCACTAGGGAAATGTGAATCAAAACCACAGAGACACCACCTCACATGCGATAGGACGGCTGCTCTCCAAAAAACAAAAAATTAGTTGGGTGTGGTGGCATGCGCTTGTAATCCCAGCTACTCGAGAGGCTAAGGCAGGAGAATCGCTTGAACCCGGGAGGTGGAGGTTGCAGTGAGCTGAGATTGGACCACTGCACTCCAGCCTGGGCAACAGAGTGAGACCCTGTCTCAAAAAAATAAATAAATAAAAATAAAATAACAAGCCTCAGAGAGGATGTGGAGAAGTTGGAATTGATGGCGGGAATGTAAAATGGAGCAGCCACCGTGGGAGACGATTTGGCAGCTCCTCAAATAGTGGAACACCGAACTGCCTTACGATCCAGCAATTCCACTCCCAAGGGTAGGTCCGGAAGAATGAAGACAAACACCCAAACAGACACTTAGGCTCCCATACCAGCGTTACTCACAATGGCTGAAAGGTGGAAACAGCACAGTTGCCCCCAGCAGATGAATGGAGGACAAAATGCGGTCCATCCACCCATGGGAATAGGATTCAGCCAGAAAAATGAAGGAAGTCTGACACTCGCTACCAGGTAAATAACTTTGGAAGCGCTGTGCTGAGCGACCTCGGAAGCACTATGCTGAGTGACCTCGGAAGCCCCGTGCTGAGCGACCTCGGAAGTGCCGTGCTGAGCGACCCCGGAAGCCCCGTGCTGAGCGACCCCGGAAGCCCCGTGCTGAGCGACCCCGGAAGCCCCGTGCTGAGCGACCTCGGAAGCCCCCTGCTGAGCGACCTCGGAAGCATTGTGCTGAGTGACATAAGCCAGAAACAAAAGGACAAATGTTGTATGATTCTACTTGCATCAGATATCTAGAAGAGCCTAATTCACAGACAGAAAGTACATTCTAGGTTAAGAGAGGCTGGGGGTGGAGAGGAATGGGTAGTTGTTATTCATGGAGACAGGGTTTCTGTTTGGAGTTGGGGATGTAGCTGGTGGTGATGGTGACACAACATCGTGAATGTAATTAATGCTGCTGAGCGGGACACTTACTTAATTTTTTTAACTTAGCAAACCAAATTCGACTATTTATTTATTTATTTTGAAACAGGGTCTCACTCTGTCACCCAGGCAATGGCACGATCTCGGCTCACTGCAGCCTCGACCTCCCGGGCTCAAGCCATCCTCCCACCTTGGCCTCCCAAAGGGCTGGGATTACAGGCATGAGCCACCGTGCCTGGCCAAATCCAACAATTTATTTTAAAAAGATAATACTGTACACCATGATCAAGTGGGATATTTCCCAGGACTGAAAGATTGGTTTAACAGCCAGAACTCAATTAATGTAATAAATCATATTAATAAAATAAAGGACAAAAGCCACATGATCATCCCAACTGATATAGAAAATCCATTTGACAAAATCTGACACCCATTTATAATTAAAAAAAAACTTTCAACAAACCAGAAATGAGAGTGAACCTCCTCAACCTAGCAATGGAATCTATGGAAACCTACAGCACGCTTCCTGGGGAAAGCCTGACCGTCTCGAATCTATGGAAACCTACAGCACGCTTCCTGGGGAAAGCCTGACCGTCTCCCCACGGAAGGGAGCAAGTCAAGGGGACCCTCCCCTCCCGCTCCTCCCACACTGCACAGCGGGTTCCAGCCAGGGCAGTGAGGCAAGAACATGGAACTCAAATCACCGAGATTAGCAAAAAAGATGTAGAAGTACGCCTCACGCCGTAGGTGGAATCGCCTAAGGAATCTACAAAGATAAAATAAAATGAAGTAAAACCTGATAAGATGATCGAAGGAGTTTAACAAGATCATGGGGCGTAGGATATTTCTGCACTGACAGTGAACACCCCAAGATGAAATGCAGAAAGCGTCCTGGTCAAATAGCATCAGAAAGAATAAGCTACTTAGGAATAATTTCGCAAAGGAAGTGTGAGACTTGTACGCTGCAAACTGCGAAACATGGCTGGTAAAAAGACCCAAAGAAAACCTGAACAGATGGAGAGACTTCCCACATCGAGGCTGAAAGGCTGAACCCTGCGCAGACGGCGGGGCTCCCGCGGTGCTCCGTGTGGCCTTCATCCCCCTCTGGCCGTGTTCCCTCCCCGGCTCAGAGCCACTCCTCCTAGTTACCACCCTCGGCCCTCCCTCTGCAAGCCCAGGATGCCCGGGCCACAGGCCGGTGAGCTGGGGATCCAGCCTCTCCTGGCGTTTTACCCACGTAGGTGACAACTGACGGCACTGGAGCAGAGAGGCTGACTGCCCGAGGAGACCAGGGAGGCTTGGACCCCAGGCTGGAGGGGGCCGGGGACCCAGACCCACTCACTTGATTTGGAAGGACACAGGGCTGTCAAACCTATGCAGGGTCATCACACCCGGCCCTTCGTTTGTCCCTTTTCGGCCAAGCTCAGGACCCTGTAACCCAGGAAGACAAGCTCGTGGTTCTGAGATGACCCAGGGAATTGGCCAATCCCACCCGAAACCCTTGTTCCTTCCTCTGGTCATTGACGTTCCTCCCAGACGGCTTCGAGAGCCCCGCAGATCCTTCCACTACTCCCCAGCCTAGAAGATCCAGGTGTGCGGGGGACCCTGGCAGGGGACATACCTGCTCGGCGCTGGCCTGTCCTTTACTCAGAGAGGCAGCCGAGGGGGGTTGGGGTTAAGGGGGCCATAGAGGGAGAAGGGTGAGCCGCAAAGAGGGGGACCTCGAAGAAAGCAGCACCTTCCGCTCCCGCCGAGTCAGCTGCCACCTTCTCTGTGTCCCTGTGTCCTCCTGCTCTGCCCTGCCCTCAGCCAGCTGCCATCTTCTCTGTGTCCCCGTGTCCTCCTGCTCTGCCCTGCCCTCGCCAGCTGATACCTTCTCTGTGTCCCTGTGTCCTCCCGCTCTGCCCTGCCCTCCAGGGACAGAAGCCCTCGAGGTTCTGGCTGGGCCCACGTGCTGAGATGCCTCTGAGAAAGCTGTCTTTCCATGGTGGATCCCGCTGGATGCCCGTGAACACGGGGCCAGCTTGCAGAGAGCTGGAAGGAGGCCTCCTGGCGGCACCCAGGCCTGACACAGGTGACGGAGCAGGGGAATGGCTCAAGGTGAGGAGGGTGGCCTGAGGGCAGCTCCGGCCGGGTTTCAGAGCCCCGTTCAGTCCCCTGCAGTGCCATCTGGATTGGATCGTCCGTTTGTCCACAGGATGGCACAGCAGATGCAACCGTGGGCCTGGGGCCTGGGGTTCCTGGTTGGTGGCCAGGAGAGGCGGCCAGAAGACTCCATGGCTCCCAGGGCCCAGTCGCAGCTGAGAGGCTCCCCGTCACGATGGCCAATAGCCCTTTCTCCAAGGACAAGGATGGGGTGATGGCACAACATGTGTGGGTCGAGCACACCTACCCATGTGCACACATGGGTGTGCATGTCCTGCTGGTGGCTGACCCGTGACCCTGCATGCGTGTCCTGCGGGTGGCTGACCCGTGACCCTGCATGCGTGTCCTGCTGGTGGCTGACCCGTGACCCTGCATGCGTGTCCTGCTGGTGGCTGACCCGTGACCCTGCATGCGTGTCCTGCGGGTGGCTGACCCCTGACCCTGCATGCGTGTCCTGCGGGTGGCTGACCCGTGACCCTGCATGCGTGTCCTGCGGGTGGCTGACCCGTGACCCTGCATGCGTGTCCTGCGGGTGGCTGACCCGTGACCCTGCATGCGTGTCCTGTGGGTGGCTGACCCGTGACCCTGCATGCGTGTCCTGCTGGTGGCTGACCCGTGACCTTGCATGCGTGTCCTGCGGGTGGGTGACCTGTGACCCTACAAGCATGTCCTGCTCACGGGCACACCGTCTGCCTGTGCACAGGCCTCTGCCTGCCCACCTGGCGGAGTCCTGCCTGGATGCTTTAGCGTCTCCAGCCTCTGTGCGCTTTGCTTCTTTGCTCGGATTTCATTTCTGATTGCGGAATTTTACTCTCAAACCAAAAGATGCTACATGCCGCTCCTGACGCCGTGGCACGGAATCACGCTGCGCGTCCCTTGTTTCCGGATTTCTCTTCTGTGGCTTATTGATGGCACTCAAGCACCGCACAGCAATGACGTCTGTCCTGGCAGGGCACACGCACTCTGCGTCTGAATGAGTATTGAGCTAATTCCAAAGCCCAGCAGAGACGTGGGCGCGCGTTTATCTGGAGGAGACCAGGCGCGCCATGGTTGGCTCTGGCCGCGGGACCCTGGGCTGAGCACCGACCCAGGCCACCCCAAGTCACCAAAAGAGGGTAGGGAGGGGTGGACAAAAGTATTTATTTTGCCTATTTTCTTGCCAGTGTCCAGATTCAAATGTACTGTTTTTAAACTACATTAGCACTTTCTGCCCTGTGGCCTGCAATGATTGTGCTGTGATTATTCAACACCATAAATAATAATGCAGCATTTCACCATCGGGTGTCACAATGAGTGGCTGCTCCTTATAGCCTGAGACGCTGGGCGCCCCGGGGTCTCCTCTCAGCGCCATCCCATCTCCTGTGTGAGCCAGGCTGTCCCAGAGCCTGCAGCCTCCCAGGCCACCCCTGCACTTCCCTACGGCCAAACTCTGTGAGTTTGAGAGCCCCCCACAGGGTGACTACGCAAGAGGAAAGAAGCCCCCAGCAAGCAGGGCCTCCTGGGCCTGTTCCTCCATCATCCATCACCCGTGACCCAAGACCTCCACCTCCCTTCCTGTTCTCAGGTCACTGCCCACTCCCTCCCACCCCACCCCCACCCCCAGCCCCGTGACCCCAGGCTTGGGCCTCCTTTGTTTCAAGAGAGTCCAACACCTCCCCGACCCCCAGCGGCTGATTCTTCTCTGGGGCTCTCATCAGACATTCCCATCTTGGAGAACAGGGCAGGGGGTGTGAACCTGTGAGCAGAGCTCCTCGCTGGGAGGGACCAGCTCTGCACACCCCCTGGAGACACCAGAGAACATTCTAGAGTCGATGGCAGCCAAAATGTGCCTGCCCCAGGGGCTTGGCAGAGTGATGAGGAGGCCACGTGAAACACAGCTAGTTCACCCATCACTGACGATTGTTCCTCCACAACCAACTGTCACCACCAAAGTGGGGGAGGTGCGTGGGGGAGGGGCCCACAGCGCTGGGTGGGGGTGCTGGAAATGGAGCCCCAGACCCGAGGAGGCCCGGGTGGCTGCACGGTGCAAATCTGCACAGTGCAAAATGCAAATGCAGGAGGAAAAGTGCCCTCAGAGCCACAAACAAAGCCTTCTCCTTCCTTCCGCATTCTCTCTATTGACTTGCCGGCTGTCTTTCATTTGCTATTGAATGTCATTCTAAGTAATGCAAATATAAGTCAAGGCACACACGCACACGTTAGCTGCGGGGCAAAGCCACCGAAACCTCTGCACGCGTGCTCTGCGGCTCCTGCACGATGTGCATCTTGTTCCTGCAGCACGGTGGAAACGCCACGCAGCCTCAGCGTCCTGCTGGCCATTCATACCCTGCCGGGACGCCCTCTCAGTTGCTGTTGGGTACGAAGGACTGAAAGGAAAAGCCGCGGTCTCCTGTCTTTCTCTCTCCTTCCACATCGTCATCTGCAGTGCAGGTGGCCAGCTCACATGGGAGTCCCAGGGAGACGGGGGGGATGTGTCCTTGGTTGTGTGGGCATCTGAGAGCAACACCACCTCCTTTCTGCACTTGGGGCCAGCTCTGAGTCAAGGGAAAGCGTGGCCTCTCGAACCACTGGCACCTACTGGCTCCGCAGTGGACTCGCACCCTGACCATCTCCAGCTTCCTTCAGTCATGCTCACGCCACCATCCTTAGATTGCACTTACAAAGCGAGCATTCAAAGATAAAATTACTAAGAATTTCAAGATTGCTGCAGCAGGGCATCAAACTGCATGCAGGTACTTCTGAGCAGACCACGTGGCCTCCAGGTCTCTCCGCTGAAGACGGCCTTGCCCCTGCCAGGCAGATGGACAGTCCTCCTGTACCAGGGAGGCTGAGGAGCACAAGGCTGGCTGCACCCAAGCCCCCAAGTCCAGCAGCGCAGGGACAGTGTGACCACCCGGACAGTGAGGAGCCCGGGACACAGGTGTGCACAGATCTGAGACCCCACCAGTAGCAGGTGCTTTCTGTGGGTCAGGCGCTGCCTCCCTGATCACACACAAAACTGAATGTCCCGGGACCCCAAGTCAGGGGTTGAGCTCCCCACACTCGGAAGAGGGCGGTGGGAAGGAGGCCCATCAGGACCCGCTGAGTGCTGGGAAGACGCTACGTTCTGTGGACACTCGGCAGGCAGCTCCTGAAGGCGGCTCCTTTTATTTATCCCACGGCAGCTGTCCTGGGGCTGCTACTGGCTCCTGATGGATGAGGGAAGGGTGGCTCCGAGGGGAACAGAGTTGGGATCAGAGGCCAGATCTGAGGCCCCGAGGTCCCCACTTCTGACCATACACCACCCAACAAGCTGGATCCTTCTCCACACTCCAGAGCTGAGGCTCTGCACTCCCCACCAGGAGACCATCCTCTCACCCTCCTCTGATCCAGATGAAATCCAGCCAGCGTGTCCCCACCTGCTCTGTGCGGACAGCCCCAGGAACCAGAAAGGGACGAGAGGGGCCACAGCACCCTGCTCTCCGCCCCAGTCTTTCCCTACAAACAACAAATCCAACCCTCCCAGGCAGCCCCATCAGAGGGAGTAGGGCTGCTCCTTCCCCGAAGGAGAAGCAGAGGCCGTCCTGAAAACTTGGCTGGGGCACGCCCAGCAGGCTGCAGCCCTGACGCCTTCATCGTCGTGGCCCAGTCATTCAGGGAAGCTCTGGATGCCCCGGCCACTCACCTCTGCAGCGTCACCTAAGATGCAAACAAAGGGCCCCTCAGTGGCTCTTGCCCCCACCCTGCCTGGACCCAACGACCAGCACCCCTGAGTGCCCGTGTGGCAGAGGAGCCCCCAGGGCAGCTGTATTCCTGCTGCCAAGGGCAACGGGCCAAGCCAGGTGGCCCCACTCCAACGACACCGTCCCTCCCCAGAGTCAGCAGCAGCCTCACAAGGAAACTTCAAGCACTCTGGGTGCCCGCCGCACGTGCCCACTGGGTGGGGGTTTATTCTTTCACCCAGCCCATGGGGCATGAACTGCACCCCCACCCTAAGGACCAGAGAGCAGAGGCTCAGCATGGGGCATCACCTGCCCAGGTGAGCACAGGTGGAGCTGGAGGGGCCCGGGCCTGGCTCCTGAGGCTGGGAACCAGCCTCATCCACAGTGACATCCTCCCTCCTCCCCCAGCCCCAGGCTCCCACGCCCCCTCTCCCCCGACTCAGGGTCACCTCCTGCCCGAGCTCTGCTGGTCCCTGGACAGGTCAGCCCTGCCCGCCTCCGGCTGCAACACTGGCCATGTTACCGGTGCCTCTCGTCCCAGCACTGACTCTTTATTTATTTTTTTTTTTTGAGACGGAGTTCACTCTTGTTGCCCAGGCTGGAGTGCAGTGGCACGATCTCGGCTTACTGCAACCTCCACCTCCCGGGTTCAAGCGATTCTCCTGCCTCAGCCTCCCGAGTAGCTGGGATTACAGGCATGCGCCACCACACCCGGCCAATTTTGTATTTTTAGTAGAGAAAGGGTTTCTCCATATTGGCCAGGCTGGTCTCGAACTCCCGACCTCAGGTGATCTGCCTGCCTCGGCCTCCCAAAGTGTTGGGATTACAGGCGTGAGCCACCGCGCCCGGCCCCAGCACTGACTCTTGCTGCTCCAGGTCGTCTGTGGTCCTGGAGACACGGTAATTGAGGATGGGCTGATAGTTGCTTTAGAAACGTGAGCAGGGAGCCACGCCAGAACATTCTAGAAGGGCTGCCAGGAGCTCACGAGACAGTCAGCAGGGAGCCGGCATGAGGGAGGCCAGTGGTCTCCCCGCGCACCCGAGGCCAGGGCACCGCCTGAGCTGACTTTTGAAGCCCATCCTGCGTGGAGGTCCCCAAGCCCTTCGGGTGACACGTTAGCAATGGGAGGGCTTTCCTGAGCCACAGGGTCCTTGAGGAGCAGCAGCTGGGACCCCTGGCTCTGGGTCCAGCTCCACGATGCCTGGCAATGCCCCAGCAGGCACTGGGCTCTGCCACCCCCGATGCTGAACCCCGAGAGCAGCTCCTGCTACAAGGCCGTGTTTCCCAAAGCGTGAGCGGGACACACGTCCTGCTGGTGACTGCGCCACGGGAGAAAGGGCACGCCACGAGCAGCGCTGAAGGAAAATCGGGAAGCGGGAAGCAGCCCCAGGTCCCCCATGGGAGCGCGTGGACGCCCCGCTCGCACTCCCTCTCGCTCGCAGGGCAGTGGCGTGGACAGAACGAGGTCCTCTCCAGGGAAAGCCGACAGCTTTCCAAGGGGACTAACGGGACCTAACACAGCATCGTGCTTGTCCTGGGACGGAGTCACCTGTTTTTAACTAAAAGTGGTCACTTTTGTCCCCTGTCTTGACCTGTGAACTGTCTGCACCATTTGTGAAACACTCATGCCGTTCTTCTGTCTCCAGAGCCCCGAGCAGGGTCGGAGCAGCCTCTGGTCCTACACAAGGGGCCTGGAAGCGCTCCCACCTCCAACATCCCCAGGCCTGCGTCCGGCTCCCACAGAGGGGTCCTGAAGGGCCTCTCCCAGCCCCAGGCTCTGCCTCCACGACCCGGGCAGGGGGCCCTTGGTGAATCTCAGGGCTCTGATTCACCGGCTGGAGGCGGAGTCAGGACACCTGCCTGCTCCCAGCACGGGCCATCGGCCTGGCAGTTTGCAGCCTTGCCTTAAAGGGAGGAAGAGAACAAGCCCGGAAGTGCAACTCGCTGCCTCGGGTGGGAGGGCCCGCGCGGCACGGAGGATGCAACTCGCTGCCTTGGGTGGGAGGCCTGCGCCGTACTGAGGATGGGATGCGCTATTGATTTCCCTCTCTCACCGACCCAGACCATGAAATATTTATCTTTCCTCATTGAGCCTCTGCTTGAGTGGCCTCAGGCCAGTTCCCCTCGGGACCCGAGAGTGAATTGTTGGTCAATAACTCAAAACAGTGGAGCACTGGCAGCGCCAGGTCAGGCCTGGTGCCAGCAGCACCGCCTTGTGGGCAGGACGCAGGACAGGGAAGGAAGCCTTTTGGGGGGGGTCCCCGCACCTTCACGGCAGCACACGCGTGATGAATGCACTGGACGCCGCCCTGAATCCAGGGAAGGCGTGTAGCGGGTAGAATTTAAATGAATTCCCGAAGCCCAGTTGTCCAGTCCAGGCTGAGAGGCTGAGACGTGCATGGACGTTGGCAAACTTGAGCCTGCACACAGAGACGCAGAGGCCCGGGGGACCTGCACACGGAGACGCGGAGGCCCGGGGGACCTGCACACGGAGGCGCGGAGGCCCGGGGGACCTGCACACGGAGGCGCGGAGGCCCGGGGGACCTGCACACACAGACGCGGAGGCCCGGGGGACCTGCACACGGAGGCGCGGAGGCCCGGGGGACCTGCACACGGAGGCGCGGAGGCCCGGGGGACCTGCACACGGAGGCGCGGAGGCCCGGGGGACCTGCACACGGAGGCGCGGAGGCCCGGGGGACCTGCACACGGAGGCGCGGAGGCCCGGGGGACCTGCACACGGAGGCGCGGAGGCCCGGGGGACCTGCACACGGAGGCGCGGAGGCCCGGGGGACCTGCACACACAGACGCGGAGGCCCGGGGGACCTGCACACGGAGGCGCGGAGGCCCGGGGGACCTGCACACGGAGGCGCGGAGGCCCGGGGGACTCGGGTGCGTTTGGAGTCATCATGGGAAATAACACAAACCGTGGCCTCGCCCCTGCAGGGTGGGCCTCGCTCAGCCTCCTGCGCCTCCCAGCAGGAGCAGCTCTTCTACTCAAGCCACTTGTGCATTGTTGAGAGCTGAGCTGCTTAAAAAGGCAGGCGTACCTTCTAAAAGGTAGGACTGCACCGTCTCTGAACAGACTCCCTCCCCCAGAGCTCGGCACGGGAGCAGTTTGGGGAGCTCAACGGAGCGT
This sequence comes from Homo sapiens, assembly GCF_000001405.40. NCBI lineage: Eukaryota > Metazoa > Chordata > Mammalia > Primates > Hominidae > Homo > Homo sapiens. Next base: position 63,028,655 of record NC_000020.11, on the reverse strand, counting down.
TCTATCCCAGAAGAGCGAGGGGACTCCGCTCCCACACACCCAAGGAGAGAGCCCCACTGGGCCACCATCTTCCTGAGTCCCGGCCGCTGCCCCACCCGCCCCGGGGGAAAGGGGGTGCCCAGAGCAAAGCCCCCATGGGGGAGAGGCTGCGGGCGGCCCCCTCAGGGAAAGAGTCATGGGCCGGGGTTTCCAGGGCGTGGGAGGGAGGCAGGAAGGAGGGAAGTGGATCAGAGTGGAGACCCCCCAGCCCAGCAAAGGACTTTGTTGCCAGGAGAGGAGGAAGGAGAAGAAAAATGGAAAACCTGCTGTCAGGAAAGAGGCTGAGCCTTAATCTCATGCCACATGAGGGCACTCTGGCAGGCAGAGCCCGAGAGCAGGCACGGCTAATGCCCTCCTCCACCGCCAGCGCCCTCCGCTAATTGAGAACCTGATGAAGCTGCAGAAAGAAGGCCCTGGATCAGCTCGACTTGACTCGCCGACGCCAGGCCCGCACCTGACGCTACTTCACCAGCCTCCTCCCCACCAAACCACTCCCCGCCGGCCCCCTCCCCACCGGCCCCCTCTCCACCGGCCCCTCCCCACCGGTCCTCTCCCCACCGGCCCTCTCCCCACCGGTCCACTCCCCGCCCGCGTTGGTTCTTCACTCTTCACAGGGAACAGGGCAAGGACAGCTGGGACCTTGGAGAGGAGGGGCCTGAGCACACAACAGACATCGTGAAATCAAGAAACGCAAAACAGCCATGATAGATGCTGGTCCGTCCCGGTGCGCAGGCACCCGCATAAATTACCCTATTAATAAGTCGCTTACTCTCCTGGTGCAGGCAAGGGCTGGGTCCCCGGGAATTCACCCGCCCTGGCCTGGAGAGGTGGGCCTGGTTAATTTCAGCGTCTGGTTTTAGGTGAACAGGTCAAGACCGCTCAGAGGGCCGTAGTCCACGCCACAAGGCCCTGTGTCACACCAATTCTGATTCCATGAAGTGTCCAGAACCAGCAAGTCCACAGGGACAGCAAGGAGCTGACAGGGGCAGTGGGGAGACTCTGATGGGCTCCTTTCGGGGTGGTGGAAGTTCTGGAATGAGTGGCAATGGTTGCGCGATGTTGTGAATGTGCTGAAGGCCGCGGGGCATCCCTTTCAGATGGGAGCATGTGCAGTGTGTAAATTCTATCTCAGCGAAGGTCAGCCAGCAGGTGCCCTGAGATCCTGGCATTCTCGTGACCAGGCTGCAGGGGGCTGGCATTTTTTTCTGTTCTGTATTTAAAAAGATTGCACAGGCGTGATCTCCAGAACAAGGCTGGAGGAGGAAACCCATTCCTCGGTAAAGCCCCTCCCTCGCTCCCGGCCAGCGTCCCTGGTGTCCCGACGTCTGCGCTCAGAAGGCTGCATGCTCCGCCACTGCTGTCCCAGAATTCTTCATTTTTGAGCAAGAAGCCCAACGTTCTTATTTTGCGTGGTACTCTAAAATTTCTGAGCTGGTCCTGCCCCCCCATACGGAGGGGGTCGGGGCAATAATGATTAACCTAGTGCCACCTTCCTGGTAGACCCAGAGTGAAGCCCACCAGGCTCCCTGCCCCACCAACCCCCAACCAGGCAAAGGGGCAGCCTGGGCACTGGGCAGGGCTAGCAGGGCTGATCTGCAGGCCTCGGACACCAGGCCCCACCCAAGACACCAGCCCCTGGGACCTGCCACCGCCTGCACTCGGCTGAGCTGCCCCAGCTGTGCGGGGCTCCACGCGCTGGGGAAGGAAGGACGTTCAAAGGTGAGGCTCAGTGCAGGGAAGCAGGTTGAGGTCAGGGAGAGAGGCGGCAGCATTGGGGAAGCCTGTATCCAAGACAGGAGTGCTCAATGCCCAAGGGGGGGTCTCAGCTCCTTCAACCTGCTCCTTAAATGGGAGGCACCAGGCAGGAGAGAGGCCCGGGGGATAGAGCTCCAGCCTGTCCACGACAGACCTCAGCTCAGGCATCCCTCTTAGGGGTTGAATTGGGTCCCTTAAGAATTCTAGTGTGGAAGGCGTCATCCCGGTGCCTGAGATGTGGCCTTACTTGGGAGGAAGGTCACTGCAGGGTCATTAGTTAAGACAAGGTCAGGCTAGAGTAGGGTGGGCCCTAATTCAATGTGACTGTGCCCTTAGGGGAAACGTGGACACAGACACGCACGGGAGAGGCGTGGAAAGGTGAGAAGATGAAGGCAGAGGCCAAGTGATGGTTTCTCGAGCCAAGGAACACCAGGATCGCAGCAAACCTCCAGCACCCAGGTCTCCCACTTCCGGCTCCAGCACAGTGACACTGAATTTCTGTTGTCAAAGCCCAGTCTGCGGCCCTGTGTTGGGTGGTCCGAGGACCCCACCGTCCCTCCCACCGCAAGCTGCGTGTCAGTGTACTTGCAGTGCCTTGACACGGCCGTGCTGAGTGAGCGTGAATGAGCCTCCCTGTGTGTGAGCGACGCTGCCCAGGGAACGCGGCACCGCGGCTTCCTCAGGCCCCTCACCTCCCACCCCGCTGCGTGGCCACCCAGCCGCCCCTCTCGGCTTCCAGGGTCCCTGCAGGGACTTGGCACACAGAGCTAGGCGGCAGCTGAGCCGCATCCTTCCTGCTCCTGCCCCGGGCCAGCCTAGTGAGGGTCCTTCCCCCAGGGCGGCAGCTGCCCAACACTCTCAAGACACACCGGCCCGGAACGTTCCTTCCAGAGCCCACAGAGCACAGAGCTCTTGCCGTGAGGAAGGCCGGGTGCAGCAGGAGACAGCGGCCCACACACATGGCTGCAGACACACATTTCCTCCTGCACACGGGGAGCAAACAGCTTCCGGAAGCTCCCGGGCCGGGCGGCCAGCATTTGCTCAGAGACAGGAGGAGCCTGGCATAAGCATGGCTCAGGAAGGCGGCTTTGCTGGCGCAATCATCCTTAAAGCACATGCCCGTCCCACGCTGACAGCTTAAATCCTGTGATCTTCACAGAGGTGAATGTGAAGTCAGCATCTCTCGCCGGGGTGTGGGCAGAGCCAGCCCGGACGCAGCACGGCCTCTTCCTCCAAATCCCGCAGGATCCCAGAGCCCGTGACCATCTGAGCACTGGGCGGGGACCTGATTCAGCAGGCAGGGGCGTCTGGGGCTTAGGAGCCTGGCTTTCCCCGGGATTCGCTGCCTCCACCATCAAAGTAGCTCAAATGGTTATTGGGTTTGGGGATTTTTTTGTTTTTTTGTTTTTTCCTATCTAAAAAATAACAAAAGTCTCTCCAAGGTCATTTTGTGGGTGGTGTGTTCCTGTCCTTGATGGGAAAGAACATCGTGGAGGGTATAAAACTAAGTGAAACAAAGTCCCACCTCCACCCCCACAGCCCCATCACTCCCCCTCTCTGCCCCTAACCCAACTCAAAAAACCAATGCAGGTCCCTTGGGCCACAGAGAAACTGCTCAGCCAGAACGAAACTCACCCAGGGCGAAGGCTCTGCTCACCTTCAGGCTCGGCTCTGGTGTCCCCCCAGGAGACCCTCCCCACCCTCGTTCAACTCTTCCCGATAGGACAATCTGGGTCCTGGAGACAGACACCCCCATCCTTCTGCTTCGGAGCCCTTCCCAGGGGTGACGCTGACAACTTACACCGTCCCTGAAGCCGCCTTCCCAAGGACCACGGGAAGCTGCAGCTGGAACCACATCACCTGCCAATGCCCGGGTTCCCAGTCACAGCACAAAACACTCGGGGTTCACCTGAGTGCCATAGCTGGAGTGGGATGGTCCCAAGACACCCGGTGCCCGTTCAGGGGAGGATGGCTCCCCCAGGGAACCCTTCACAGCAGAGTTGCAGACACCTGGAGCCATGACGATGTCCCCAAAGGCAGCGGGATTGTGAGGCGCTTGGCCTCACAGGCCCCTGGCCTCACAGGCCCCCTCTGAGAGGAATAAGGGAGGTGGAGATGCAGAAGGGAAGCTTAATCCCATCAGAGCTTCGCCATCATGGTGTGTGATTAAGCGACAGAGCCTTGTGCCTTGACAATGAGGCCTGGCCCGTGAGCACGTCGGGCTCAGCGGTTTTAAATCATCACGCAGGCACCGCGGCATCAGAACAAAGATGCAATCTTATTGACGGCCTCGTAAAACTTCTCGCTTGCTGAACTTCCAGCTACAGAGAAGTGAGGGTTTGCCTCCCACAGGAGGCCCAGAGGCTCCAGCTCTCTGTCTGCCATACCCTAGATCCACCTCGACCCGGGCTGGCCAGTGTCCAGCGGCGTGGGGGCCAGGAGCTCGCGGAGCCCAGCTCCCGCACTGCAGAGTGGACTGGGCGGCCACCGCCCCCCACCGCCACGGAGCAGCGGAGTGGCAGCCACAGATCCAGTCCTTCCCATCAGCCGCTTTTGCCCGCACGAGGGTGGCGGCTGTTCACATAACTGACATCGCCGTGCTGCACCATCCAGTTTTCACGTCACTCTAGAGCCTCACTGTATTTGGAAAATGTGAAATAGTTCCGATCTCCCACCCCGTTCTTAAAAATCACTCAAATCTGCCTAATTTCAAAACTCTGGGTCTGAGAAGCCCGTGTTCTGTGCTATCCCCGCAAGGTGGTGCCACCGTGGTGGGCGACCACAGGACCCCGGGGCCAGGGAGGGTGGGGGCCGGGTCAGGGGCCTGGGGCTACACAGCCCCCTAGGCTCCGGGGCCGCGGGCACAGCTGTTGTTTCAGGTTGGAAGGCCTCACGTGTGCTCAAACACACACACCCTCATTTTCTCAGCCACGCTGCCGTTCCCCCTAATTAGGCAGAACTTGGGTTGACAGTGAAAGCAATTGTCGAGTTGACCCCATCACTCTGCCTACAGTGGCCCAAGGAGGGGCCAGTCACCGTGGGAAAGGTTGGCAGATGCCGACCGTATTGACAGTTAAAAGAAGTGGCATCGGGTGGACATGCTAAGCCCAAATCCCTCCCTTTAGAGCAGGCAACGAGGAGCAAAGGAGGCAGGCAGGGGAGGGGTCCGTGCTGGGAATCCTGAGATGGCAGGAGCCCCCCGGGGCAGCCCCGAGTTAACCACGCCACTGACCAGCCTCAGCCGGGTTGGACCAGGTGCTCAGGAAGAATCTGTCCAGCTCTGGCCCAGGGAGCGGCAGGGGACAGAAAGGAGAGGCATGGCATGAAGAGTGTGTGGGCAGCTCACAGCCTCTACATGGGACCCGGTCCTCCAAAAAGACAATCTCTGCTCCATCAGGACACCACCCAAATGCAGCCCCCTCCAGGAAGCCCTCCTGAAACTAGTCCGGATTAAGTGTTCACCCCGCAAACCTCCCCCGGGCCAGGGTGCACCTCCTTTCAGACTTGCAGGAAGCACCTAAAGGGTGTGAAGAGGGAAGAGGGGAACCAACAGACAGAGGTCCACCTGCACGGGCCGGTTCCGAGCAGCCTTTGGGGGCGCCACCACGCAGGTCCAGGGCTTGGCACTGACCAGCCGGACCCAGCTGGGTCTCCTGTGGGCGGCGCGGGAGATTCTGATCAGCCACTCAAACCGCCAGGACTGAGACCTGGGAAGGAGACTCAGGACGGAATTTCCAGGCCAAGAGAGAGCAGATGCTGGAGGAAGAGGTGCTCGTTTTCCTCCGGGGCTGCCGGCAGCTCCTGCCACGCTGAGGGTTCCACTGCCTCAGAGTCAAGTCAGCCCAGGACACAGCAGAGCTGAGGGATGGAAGGAGACCCAGGCTTTGTGCCAGCAGTGGCACCTGGACTCCACTGTGCCTGAAGCCGTTCTCGGTTCACGTAACTGAAAACTCCAGAGGCCCTTTTCCTACTTTAACTAGTTTGGCTCAGTCAGGATCCTTCAGTTGCAAGTGACTGAACCCCAGCTCAGAGGAAAGGCCGTGCGGTCCTGACCCTGCAGGTCACAGCACGAGAGAAGTCAGACAGACGAGGAGCTGGCGCCAGGAAGCAGAGGTGACGGTCCATTCACCAGGGAGAGGGGAGCACCCTGCACAGGGCAGCGGCCCACACCCCATCTGCCCACCTGGCTCGCTCTCTGCTGACCCACCTCCCCCACCCCCTGCAGCCGCATGGGAGGCTCATGGAAACCTGGTTTACATCAAAACGGTGGATGGGCTAGGGGGCTAGGGTCTCTCGTCAGGGGCTGCTCCTGGTATTTGCGGGTCTGGAGCAGGGGCACCAGGGCAGCCTGCCCCCTCATCTTGCCTCAATAAATAGCAGATGCCCGCCCACTGCAAGTGGCCATGCCACACGGCTTCCCTCTCTGCGCCCCCTCAAGGGGCCTCCCCTCAGCTCCAGCCCTCACAAATAAGACTCAGGCCAACAAACTTGCTCCTAAAAAACATCATTCATTTGCCTTTTAATTGTGCCATAAACAATTGTTTAAAGGGCTGAAAACTCTTTTAATGTTCAATGTATTAATATTTAATCTCAGCCAAGTACAAAATCACGTGTGCAATAACGTGGGAGCCACGTGGAGAAAATCAATAACAGACACATTCACTCTGCTCCCAGCGCAGTCTCTGTCCCTGGGCTTCTCCAGGCGTTCACGCCTTCTCAGACACCGCAGGCGGCACAGGGCCCCCGCTGCAGCCAGGACGCCCCTGTCTGAGAGCAACGCGGCTGGGGCAGCTTCCAGGGGCCCTCGGGACCCGGGCCAGCCTCCTGTGCAGCTTGGGATGTGTGGAAGGGGAAGTCGGCGAGACCCAGCTCAAGACGTCCAGGTCTCCGCCCCATACAATGCTGTGTCCAGTCAGGGCTCAGAAAGCATGGCCCTGCGCCGTGCTCCCCTCACTCCTCCCCGCCTGCGCCCACATCATCTGGAATCATCCACACTGCAGAAGGACCCACCACCTGCACCCACGTCGTCTGGACCCATCCACACTGCAGAGAGACCTACCGCCTGCACCCACATCGTCTGGAACCATCCGGGAACCCAGAGGGAGACTCTGCACTCAGTGATGGGGGGGATGGGCAGGGCCCACGTGGACATCAGGGAGCCCCACGCTTGGTGCCCTGAGGTCTTCCCACAGTAGGAGAACCCAGCACCCACCGCCCAGGACTCTGGACACCCCCCCTCACACACCAGCTCCCAAGCTCTGCAGACAGACAGACGGCAGCACATACTCGGGCTCTGCCTCAGCGGGCAGAGTGCTCTCCAGGCGCAGGTCCCCGTCTGTAGGACAGGAGGGAAGGAGGCCGCTGAGTGCTTGCACAGAGCTGAGGCTTTACAGAGCCGGTCCCCTCCACTGCTCAATAAACGTCACCACTCAATAAACATCACCGGCCCCACCAGAGCCTCTCATGGTCCCCGGCCAGTGGAGAGAACAGGGACAGAAGCAGCCAGACTCCGGTGCCCGTCTAGGAAAGGGCCCCTCCCCTATAAACAACTAGAAACCGACAACACACGTGGACAGCAGCCTTCAGACTCGGGGTCTGGAGTGCAGGACCATGACCCCTGAGAGAGCAAGTGAGGGGCACCCACACTTGCCCGGCTCACCACCTGAAGACAGCTCCCATGCTGCGACTCAGAAGGGGCTGCAAACAGAACCCAGACATCTCTCTGAGCTGAGGAGACAGAAGGCATAGCCACGGGGCAGAAGACCAGAGACAGAGGGCTGCACAGAGAGGGAGCACCGAGGTCCACAGAGGGCTCCCCGAAAGCCTTAGAAAGGTACCAACTTGCACGTGCCTGGGATGAGACTGCAAGATGGGAGAAAGCCCTGGGGAATGGAACAGGGACAGCACCTGGAACTCACACAGGCCAGGAATAAGCTGCATCCCCACAGGGAGGGAGCGTCACCGGGAGAGCCCTCCAAAGGGAACTGCTACGGCGCTGAGATAACCTGCATCCGGCCTGCCAGCACCCAAGGCCAGCCTGGAAAGGGTCATCGGGTTCCCAGCAGCTTCACCACATACCAGGACTAAGCCCAACACTCTCTAAAGGGTTACAACAAAACCTGGCACCTAACAATGTAGCACTCACAAGGAAGCGTGCAGCCAAAAATTACCAAGGATGCAACAAAGGGGGAAGTATGACCCAGGATCAGGAGAAAAAAGAATCAACAGAAACAGACCCAGAAAGGACGGCGGCGATGGCATCAGCAGACAAGGACATTAAAGCCGCAGTCACAACTAGGGCCCACATTTTCAAGGACACAGAGGAAAACATAAGCGTGCTGAAGAGTGCAATGACAGATCTTTAGGAACCTAAACGCAATTTCAGAGGCGAAAAATACATCGGAAATGAAACACGATGGACAGGAATAACATCCAATGACATTTTTTAAGGAATGTGAAGACATAGCAATAGCAAATATTCAAAATGAAGCCCAGTGAGGGAAAAAAGACTGGAAGACCAATGGCTGGGCGTGCTGCCTCATGCCCGTAATCCCAGCATCTGGGGAGGCCAAGGCGGGCAGATCAATTGAGGTCAGGAGTTCGAGATCAGGCTGGCCAACATGGCAAAACCCCATCTCTACCAAAACTACAAAAAAATTAGCCAGGCCTAGTGGCAGTGCCTGTAGCCCCAGCTACTCAAGAGGCTGAGGCAGGAGAATCACTGAACCCGGGAGGTGAAGGCTGCAGTGAGCTGAGATCGCACCACTGCATCCCAGCTTGGGAGACAGAGCAAAACTCCATCTCAAAAAAAAAAAAAAAAATCCACAATATGCTGCACACAGCTAATGTGGTGGAGGGATCAAGAAAAAATGTTTAATAAAGTTTTTCAATTGGACAAAAATCTAGACAAGCTCCATGAACTCCAAGCAGAATAAACAGAAAGAAACCACGGCACGGCCATTGTAATAAAACTGTAGAAAACCAGTGACACAGAAAAATCTTAAAAGCAGTCAAAGAAAACAGGCATGTTACATAGAGAGACAGGAATTACAGCCGACATCGTGTGAAACGTCGTGAGCTGGGAGACAGACGACGCGTTAGCACATTTAAAGGACTGAAAGAAGAGAATACCTGTCAAGCTAAAACTCTACATCGGGAAAAATATCCTCACAAATGTAGGCAAATAAAGATTTTTTTCAACAAAAGGCCGAGAGAATTTATCACCAGCAGACGTGCGGTACAAGAAACATCAAAGTTATTCAGGCAGAAGGAAAATGACACCAGATGAGTCTACACAGACAAAGAAAGTGGCTAGATAGGGAAAATATGTGGATGATAAAAATGCTGTTTTTCTGGCTGGGCGTGTTTGCTCACGCCTGTAATCCCAGCACTTTGGGAGGCCGAGGTGGGAGGATCACTTGAGCCCAGGAGTTCAGTTTAGGCTGGGCAACACGGTGAGAGCTGTCTCTTTAAAAAAAAAAATGCTGTTTTTATTACTTTTCAAATTTTGAAAGATAATCGCCTGTTAAAGCAAACGTATTCATAATACACTGTGGGGTTTATAACATATGTGGATTTAGTAAAACGTCTGACAACGATAGTACAAAGGGCAAGCAGGCGGGTGGGCGGGCGGGTGAGTGGCGAGCGGGTGGGTGGCGAGCGGGTGGGCGGCGAGCGGATCTTATGCTGTTATGAACTCATGGTGCTCTTTAGAGCTACGCCTTGGTGATCTGGAAGCACGTACCAGAAGCCTACCTACTGAAGAGGGTGGCCACTAAGACGTAAGCCAAAGGGCCAGGTGCGGTGGCTCACACCTGTAAACCCAGCACTTTGGGAGGCCGAGGCGGGCAGATCACCTGAGGTCGGGAGTTTGAGACCAGCCTGGCCAACATGGCAAAACGCCGTCTCTACTAAAAATACAAAAATTAGCCGGGCATGGTGGCTCATGCCTGTAATCCCAGCTACTCGGGAGGCTGAGGCAGGAGAATTGCTTTAACCCAGAAGGCAGAGGTTGCAGTGAGCCGAGATTGCACCACTGCACTCCAGCCTGAGTGACAGAGCAAGACTGTGAAAAGAAAAAGAAACAAAGAGACAAAGAAAGTAAAAGAAAGAAAGGAAGGAAGGAAGGAAGGGAGTATCAAACAAGCGGGTAGTGACAGTAAGCACAGAGTCATGTGAAAGGTCCGTTAGTCCCAAACGATACAAGAGAAGAGGCAGCAAGAACAGGTGGGACAAATAGGAAAATCTCACAAACTCTGTGGAAAAGCCGCATTCTGAAACCACAAGGCATTGAAGAGAAAAATTCAAGACCTAAATAAATGGCAAGATGCCTTGTTCCCAGACGGGACGACACTGCATCATTGCGACAGTGATACCAGCGCACCCCAAATCGGGTTCCACCTTATCCGGGAGGAACCCTTGCCGAGCACGGCCAGGGCACACGCACCAACTCCGCAAACGCCGAAAGGAGACAGTGAGACTCTGCAGGTCAGAGCTGGGGACTGCAGCTGACAGCAGGGCCACCACATGGCAGCACCCAGTCCCCAGCCCTGAGTCTCGCAGGCCGTGAGGGCCCTGGTGGAGCCCATGCCCCAGGGCTCAGCTGCTTCCACATCAACACCGCAGAGCTGCGCTCTCAGCAGCAGGCGTCGGCCACCACCTGTGCACTCCCTGCTCAGCCCAGAGGACCTCTCGGGCAGCTCAGACGGACCCTTGACCCTCTAGGGCTGGGCATCTCATGGTCACAGTGGTGGCCCCGAAGGACGGCCTCCTGCCCGCTGTCTCTGCGGGGGGCACTCCAGTCCGGGGCCGCTGTGTGGAGCCGGGGCATGGCCTGCCTGTGGACATCACGCCCTGGTGCAGTGTCAGGTGACTGCACCACGGACCGTGTGCTATGGCGGCAGGGCTCGGTTAGAAGTTCCGAGTGCTGTGGCCAGGGCTAAGGGCCACAGAGAGGGAACCTGGGCTCAGGGGCCCTCAGAGCCTTCCCACCTCCACTGGCCAGAGGGGGAAAGGGTCAGCCCGCAGAGGGTGAGGACACAGGCGGTCGGAGTGGGGCTGGGGTCCGTGGGTGCACCTGCTGTGGTCCCAGCAGCGGGGATGCACAGGTGAGTACCCGGCCTGACCTCATTCACCTAAACACACGGCAGGAGGCAGGCGCCATGACTGCACCTCGGTTTACTCACTGTGGGGCAAGGAGAGAGTTAGGGGTCCAGGTTGGGCCACAAAATCCAGGCCTTGACCTCTGTCCTGGGGGCTGGTCCCCTGTGCCTGATGTGGCCTTGTGGGCACAGACCCCCCAGCCCTGCCACTGTGGAGCCCAGCCCTGCACCAGCCCTGCCACCATGGAGCCCAGGCCCCCTCTGCAAGTCCTGCCACTGTGAAGCCCAGCACCGCCCCCGCAAGCCCTGCCAACATGGAGCCCAGCCCTGCACCAGCAGGCCACCACATGAACCACACTCCAGTCCCTCCCCGTCCTCTCTCACCGTGGGAGGCCCCTCTGCAGCCCACTGAGGGCTCTCCTGAGGCAGGGCTGCCGGCCTGGGGGATGGGACGGGCCCACTCCATCACCGCCAGGCACCACCCCCTTCTTCAGGCCCACCCTGCACAGCCCAGCACTGGCGCCCTCCTGGCTGCCTCCCGGGTGCTTCAGGGACCCCAGGACCCGTTGATGTGGCCCCAGAGTGGCCAAAGACACACTTGGCCGCTGCACCCCTGCTCCCCGAAAAGCCTCGCCCAGACTTGGCCACTGAGATGCAAACCTGGGGCCTTGCTGCCTCCCGGCAGCCAGAAGAAGAAATGCCCAGGTCAGCCGCCCCGACCAGCCTGCAGAGCCCTGGAGACACTGGTCCCATCATCTGGGGAGGCCCTGGACCCCAGCCTGTCCCCAGACAGCACCGAGGGGCTGGGCAGAGCTAGTCAGACCATCTCCCCAGGCCTCCCCTCCTCCTTCCCAGACTGAGCCCCCACTCATGTCCCCATAAGGTGCTCAGCAGGGGCTCAGGACAGCATGGCCCCAGCAAGGGCTCAGCAGGTGCCAGGCTGCCCTGTGCCCCTCCAGTCCACTCAGGGCACCTGGAAAGAACACAGGTGGACAAGGATGAGGACAAGGAAGCGCAGCCACAGCGTGGGGGTGGCGGGGCCTTAGAAACAGAGCAAGGGAATTGGGGACTTTGTCGAATGTGCTGACGTCAGCGTCTGCACATGGTGAAGGCCGGGAGGCCGAACAATGATATTCAGGAGGCGGAGTGCACTGAGTGCCTTTCATCTGGAGGCTTTCAACTAACATTGGGTTTATCAGACGTGACCCTGGCATGATCCAGGAGCCCCCATACAGGGGAGCGAGTGCAGAAATGGGGAGTCCCACAGGGCAGTGTCTCAGTCACCTGCTGCCTGGAGCAAACTACCCCAGAGCTTGGTGGCTTAAAACAACCCCCACTTTACAGTCACAACTCTGGGTGCAGGACTAGAGAAGGGTCGGGGTGGCCGTGTCCGCTTCATGAGGTGTGGCTGGGTTGACCTCGTGGCTGCATCCCGTGGGGCTGGGCTGGGTTGCAAGGTCCAAGCAGGGTCACCAATACACAGGGGACCTTGGGTGGGCCATGGGCTGGGCACACCCTCCACGTGGCCTCTCTCCATGCTGCAGGAGAAGCTGGACTGGAGATGCCGGGCAGTGAGCGAGCAGAAGCCGAGGCCATCACACCCAGAAAGGATGTGACGCCTCTGCGGCATCTGTCATGGCCACGGGGGCCCCAGCAGCCCAGATGCAGGGGTGGAGCACCGGGTGAGAGGAGCTGCAGGCCTGGGCGGGGCGGGGGGAGGTGGAGGCAGGGAGAGGCAGGGAGAGGCAGGGAGAGGCAGGGAGAGGCAGGGAGAGGCAGGGAGAGGCAGGGAGCCCTGTGCAGATGGGACCTGTGATGCGGCTGACTGGGCAGGGGTGGGGGAGGTGGAGACAGGGAAAGGCAGGGAGCCCTGTGCAGATGAGACCTGTGATGGGGCTGACTCTGGGTGTCGGGAAGGTGGAGCACGGGGATTTCAAATGCACTGGATGAGCGTGAGCGAAGGCACTCAGAGTGGTGGCGAGGCTCTCGCTTGAGCAGCAGGAAGGAAGATGGGGCTGCCCCAGCGCGCCAGGGATGTGGGGAGGCCCAGCTGCCCAGAGGGCAGTGAGTGGGAGCCCAGGAAAGCCCAGGACCCGGGGACAGAGCCAAGCCCGACCCCACCCCAGGTGAAACAACCTGGTTCACAGCTGGGACCCCAGAGGCACACCCGTCCCCCAAATAGCAAGGAGCCAGGCAAAATCTCAGGTCCCCTCTCCCACACCACCCACCAGTGGAGACATGAGGCTGCCTCAGGAGCCCATGTGGCATTTCTGTGCATATCTGTTGCCACACAGCCAGGGGCACCCTGCCCAGAAAAGCCTGGCGTGGTCCCGCGTCCTCAGGCGGTGAGGAGGGGCCACCTGCAGCTGCCTCATCTCATCCCCAGCCTCTCTAGAGTACTCTACATCCAGCCCCGTAGTCAAGACCCTAGAAGCCCACCCAGCTCTCCACACACAGAAACCCACCAGGCCATTCACGGAGCACGGCCGAGCACAGGGAGGTGACGTGGGGCTGGACATCTCATCTGACTCCCCCAGCGGGATGCCTCCTGTCTTCAATGAGGGCCGGGTGTGTCCCCGGGCCCAGGGCCCACAGCAGCAGCTGCCAGGCCACGTCTCTCATGGAAGACACCCTCTCTGGGCGTGGGCATCAGCTTTGAAAAGATAGACCCCACTCGCCTGCAGTGCGGCGTCCACAGACTGCCTGGTGGGATTTCCCATCCGGGACCTCAGAGGCTGTGAGCTCGGGAGGCAGGAGGCAGATGGGGCCATTCACAGTCTAGTCTTTGTTGATGACAGGGGAGGGGCTGAGGCAGGACTCTGAGAGGGAGAGGCGTGACCTGACCCTGCCTGAGGAGGACCTCACAGCTGCTGTGTGAAAGGGAGGGTCTGGGGATGATGGGAGGGCAGAAGCCATTAGAAGGCTGCTGTGCTGACTGAGGGCAGGCGGGAAGAGGTGGGGAGCGGCCGCATTCCAGATGAACGTGGGAGGGAGAACCAACAGGGTGTGAGCTGCGAGGAAGCATGATTTGCCCTCAACAGAATCTGGGGGTGGGGGTGGGCGGGTCTGGGGGAGGCCGCAGCTCCATCTGGAACGCGCTGCATCGGAGGCGGCCCTCACACATCTGACATTCTGCGCTCCGCTGAATCCGTGAGTCTGGAGTTCAGCACTGGGGTCTGGGTAGGCTGTGGGAAGGGTATTGGATGAGATCCCCGAGGGGGCAGACACAGCTAGGAAAAAGGCCAAAGGACTGAATCCCAAGCCCTCCAGAATGAAAATGTCGGGGAAAAGAAGAACCGGCAAAGGGGGCTGAGGATGAGTCACCAGGAGGTCACTCTAAGTATTAGCTGAAATAGTGATGATTTTACAAGGGGGAGGAAGGTCTATTGCATGAACTCTAAACTGGTCACCGCAGAATCAATGTTGTTCAAGACTGAAAACAACCATCAGACTTCCAGTTTCTGGTTATTAGGGACTAGTTAATCTGGACCCATCACTTTTCTGATGGTGACTACAAAAGCTGAGCAAAATGTTAAAAATATTTGCTTGGAATGCAAACAAACAAAATCCCAGAAAGACAAAGATCCAGAGTGAAAAAAGCCTTCGGGACGCTCACTTTTCCCCCAAAGCATTTGCTGCTTCAGATAGCTCACAGCCCACTGAGGAGCCAGACAGCGAGAGATTCAGCCCACCTGAGAGTGGGGAGTTGGCGAACATCCCCCCGACCCCCACCATTTTGAGTTGGGACAACAAATAACCGCACCCTAGACATAGGGGTGGATAGAAGGAGACCGGCTCTTGCAGCAACTCAGGGCCTTTTGCACCACTGCCAGGGTAGGAAAACCTAAACTGTAATCATCTTGAAATGATTTCAATCCCTGAAACTAGAGTAAGATGATCCAGGACCCCTAGTGCCCCCATGTCTCGCAGATGCAAACATAAACCCTCTCTGGAGGAAAATAAAATAGACCTCAAATGATTTCTACAAAATAATTTTACAAATACAATGTTCAGTCCACAATAAAAATTCTAGACAATTGAAAAAACAAATCAGCAAGAATGAAAGCAGCAGAGACCATAGGCAGAAGATCTACCAGTCCAGACACTGGAGTCGCGAGACAGAGACTGGAACAAAACTGTGCTTACAGCATTTGCAGAAATAGAGGTGGAATTTAGAATTTCAGCAAAAAAAAAAAAAAAAACCTAGAAAAACCAAATGAAAATTCTAGCACTGAAAAATAAAATCACTTAAATTATAAACTTAGTGGCTTTAATAGCAAATTCAGCTGAAGAGAGAATTAGTGAAGTGGAAAATAGGTCAGTAGAAAATATTCAGAATGAAGTATGGATAATACAAATGGAAAATACAGGTGACAGGTTAAGATACACAAAGGATTCAGGAAGAAGGACCAATATATTTGTAACTGGATCCCAGAGAGGAGATGAGAGAACATGAGGTTGAAGCAATACTCCAGAGTTAATAGCCAGGAAATTTCTAAAAGTAATCAAAATCATCAAGTCACAAATTCAAGAACCCCACAAACCCAAAAAGGATAAATGAAATGAATCAATTTCTAGTCCACTGTGTGAGAAGCTTGGAAACAATCAATCTTTTCACAAGAACAAAACGTGAGCAAACTGAAAGTCAATAATATTTCTTATATTCAACAGATGATGAGGTCACAGGGCAAACCACTGCCCAAAAAAGTTGTAGAGACGACAGACAGATGCAGAGAATCCCAATTCTGCAGAGCAGACACCTCCCTGGGAACCACTGCCAGGTTGGGAAAACCTAAACTGTCACTGGCAGATTGCTGGAGGCTGTGTGGCCAAGCTTGACAGTTAAAAACTCCAGGGCCCAGTCTTAGGGTGGAGGCCACACTTCTGTGAGTTTTACCTGCACAAACTCTACCAGATCCCCCAGGTAAATACCAGAGAAAAATCCCCTTGTGCTTTGGACAAGGGGAGGGGAGAAGTAGCACTTTCGAAATATGCCAGAGCATTCTGTTCTTCCTCTGCCCTCAAGAGAAACTATTTTTAACGTACCAGAGTTTAATCAGAGTCTAACCAACCTGGAGGAAGGGAAGTATCAACTCCAGCTCCCTCCAGTCTTTTATGTTGGGAAGGGAAACACACAGCCCCATTCTCTATCCCTCTTGTCTCATTTAAGAAGGAAAAACAGGATGGGCATGGTGGTTCACACCTGTAATCCCAGCACTTTGGAAGGCTGAGGCGGGTGGATCATCTGAGGTCAGGAGTTCAAGACCAGCCTGACCAACATGGAGAAACCCCGTCTCTACTAAAAATACAAAATTAGCTAGGCATGGTGGTGTGCGCCTGTAATCCCAGCTACTCAAGAGGCTGAGGCAGGAGAATCACTTGAACCCAGAAGGTGGAGGTTGCAGTGAGCCAAGATCATGCCACTGCACTCCAGCCTGGGCTACAGAGAAAGACTCCGTCTCAAAAAAAAACAAAAAAAAAACAAAAAAATGTCCAACTGAAGAAAGTGTTGAGTGAGCTTGTCATGCATTCCTACACAAAGAGTACAACCGCAATATATTCTACAATAGCAAAGCAAAATAAATAAAATCATTCCAAGTAAACTAGCTAAACAGAAAGGCTTTCCAAGAACTGGGCAGCTGTTGGAACCAAGCCAATAGAGGACTGACTGACAGCTCATCAATGGCAGAGACGTGAGCTCTAAAGCTCTCATAGCCTGGGTAATGGTCTGGAACGTAAAATCCCCACAGACTTAGGCTGGCCAGTTGACTATGCCAGGGCAACCCAGAGGTGGAGGAAAGTGGCAATTCTCCACATACCCAACCGTTTATGTGATTATGTAGACAGGCTAAAGTCTGTGCCTACTCAGTAAATAAATCACTCTCTGCATGATTCCAACTTGTGCCTAAAAGTAGAATGCCAATCCAGGTATTTATGCCCCCCATCCCTCTCATTTCTTAGGAACAGGAATCAGAGGTCACTGACTGGCTCACGGGAATAAACGGGATCAGTCTCTTGTGTTCCGTTGGCCTGTGGGGCTTTATAAGAGACAGGTTTAATTTGAGATAAGTGGACCCAGCTGTTTATTCCCAGAAGTTTAACTGTAGTTGGGGTACTAAGGAGAACTTGATAGAGTCCCCTCCACTTGGGGGGAAAGTTGATCTGCTGAGGATCCTTCCTTCCAAGTTTGCAATAGGACCCAGTCTCCCAGCTGGGTTGGAACCAGATTGTCTTCCTCAGTGGGGGAAGGGAGTCTCTGATTTCCATAGTCAAGGAGTGCGTTTTGCACTTGTCCTAAGTTGATCACATAATTCTGTAGCTTGAAAGTATCTATGTCTATTAGGAGGTCTGTAGTTAAGAAAGGCCTTCTATACATTATTTCAAAAGTGCTGAGATGCAGATTTCCCTTAGGGGCCATTCGAACCCGTAATAAGGCTACAGGTAATAAAGACCTCCAGGTTTCTGATGTCTCTTGGCATAGTTTAGCAAGAGTCCTTTTTAGAGTTTGATTAGCTCTTTCTACTTTCCCCAAAGACTGTGGCCTCCGTGCCGAGTCAAGGCGGCACTGAATTCCTAGGGCTGAAGATGTGTTTCGGGTAACTGTCGCTGTGAAAGGTGAGCCATTATCGCTCTGTAAGCTCTTAGGCAGCCCAACTCTAGGAATTATTTCCTTTAGTAGGAGTTTAGAAACCTCAATTGCCTTTTCAAACCGGGCAGTAGCGCACGCCTGTAATCCCAGCACTTTGGGAGGCCGAGGCGGGTGGATCACGAGGTCAGGAGATCGAGACCATCCTGGCTAATACGGTGAAACCCCGTCTCTAATAAAAATACAAAAAATTAGCCGGGCGTGGTAGCGGGCGCCTGTAGTCCCAGCTACTCGGGCGGCTGAGGCAGGAGAATGGCGGGAACCCGGGAGGTGGAGCTTGCAGTGAGCCGAGATCGCACCACTGCACTCCAGCCTGGGCGACAGAGCGAGACTCCGTCTCAAAAAAAAAAAAAAAAAAAGAAAAGAAAAAAAAACCACATAAAATAGTAAATGTTTGCAAGAATACGAAGAGATTGGAGCCCTTGTCCGTTGCTGTTGGAATGTACAATGGTGCAGCTGCTGTGGGAAGCAGCGTGTGGGAACCTCTGAAGACCACGTGAGAACTCCCTGAAAGAACTGAAAGCAGGGGCTGAACAGGTGCGCTCATCGCTCCCACGGGCCAAACGCTGGAAATAAACAAGATGGACGCGAACGTGCGGAGACCGCATGAGGTCATTTCCTGAGGTACTTGGAGCAGTCAAATGCAGAGGTGGGCGGCGGAGTCGTGGTTTCCAGCGGGTGGGGGAGGAGGGGAGCCGGGGTTACTGGGGACAGAGTTTCAGTTTGGGAAGATACAAACATTCTGGAGTTGGATGGGGGCGTCGGCTGCACAACACCGCGGTTGTGTACAATGCCCCTGGGCTGTGCACCTGAAAATGGTCACAACGATCAACTTCATGTGATACACATTTTGACAGAGCACATATACACACGAAAGAAAAGGTGGAGTCTTCAAATCCCAGGGCCTGGGCGTTGTCCCTAGAAGCCAAACAGTGTGGGTCCCAGGGTCGGGGCAGGGGCCTGCGGTAGGATTTCTTTCCTCCTCCCTGTTTTGATCTCTAGAAGACCCTACGTCCTGTGGAAGGGGAGCACTGAGGAGGCGCCGTCTCTGGGAGAGGCAGGGTGGGTTGTTCCAGTTACTAGCACCATTGCCCTGCAGGCAAGAAGCTGGCTGGCCCAAGACCACCCAGCGGGGGCTCCCTCCCGCTCCCCCCACCCAGCCTGACCTCCTGGTGCGCCCACTGTGCCCCACCAGACCTCCCTTCCCCAATCCCAGCAGCATGGACAGCAGTGACGCCCACAGGGTGCTCACTCGGGCCACAGCACACCCCGGTCTTTGGGCACCCCCAGGGCCAGGGCGCGGTGGGAGCCAGGGGCCGCTGCAGGGGCGGCTGCCGGCCACAGGTGCTGTCTCCTGGGAGGGCGGGGGAACCACCGGTTCAGAACAGCCCGGGACAAGTGAGTCCGCAGTTACAGACCCACTCCGCAGGGCCGTCGCTAGACCACACGTGTTGTGGACAGACCCCACTTTACAGCTGTGGAAACTGAGGCCAGAAAGGCTGAGCAGCTGGCCTGGTCAACGCCTCCGCCGCTTCGCAGCCTCCACAGCCTCTGCCCAGAGGAGGTTCGAGAAGCTGGCCAAGGTGCGGGGCTGCTTCATCGGCTGGGACCCCCGCTCAGCCCTCAACCCCCCAGGCTCACCTGCTGCTGTGCAAACTGGCAGCGTCCAACCCCAGCTCGGAGGGGCGCTCGATGGCGGAGACGGCAGGTTCCTCCAGCTCCCCTATCATGTGGGCGCCTGTGAAACAGCCCCCAGCGTCCACCTGCGCAGAATCCGGGAGGGCCTGGGAACCCGCAGTTTCGCCCCTCCCGGGCCCTCTGAGAAACACGGGTTCTGAGCCTCTGGGTGCAACTCCCAGACAGCCAGCAGGTGGCAGCGTCGCACCGAAAACGCCGCCTCTGAAGCTGGCGGGGCTGAAGCCCGGAATTCGTGGCTGGTCCCGCAGGGGCCGCAGCAGGGGCCTCACCCGGGTGCTGTTTCGTGCGCCTCACCCCTCACCCCCTGCCCATCCCTGCCTCCAACCCTCTGAGCCAAGGTCGATCGATTCTACTGAAGATTAACTGGGCCTGGGAACTGGCCCAGAGCCCTGGCTCCCTGCTGGGGAGTTCGGACCTCCCAAAGCCCCGGCCCAGCCCCAACCCCAGCCCCATGGCGTCAGCGTCTCTGGCTTTAATGGGGACCCTGCTCCAGCCGATGCTTTGAAAGCCACTCTCACCCACACCCGTGATGTCAATTACCGCGTACCCCTCAGAGGCCTCCCCACCAGCGCTGGCTGCACCTCCCCTCGGGGGCCTCCTGCATTCTCCAGCTCCATAGCTTTCCCTCCTGGTCAACCCCATCCTCCTGCTCCCCCAGCTCCGGGGACCTGTGGAGCCACCTTCCCCCATGGCCCCCACCAGCCCTGCAGTTCAGGCCCAGGAGGAGGCCCCGCAGCCCCGGACCGCACCGGCAGCAGTGCCAGAGTGGCTCTCCGAATGGCCACGGCGCCTTTCTTCCCATAAAGACCAAACTCCCCGCGTGATTCAAACTGTCCCACAGGCCTGGTCCCGCCCCTCTATCTCCTGGCCCCACCCGGGCCCCTCACTGCCCTTCCCTGTGCCAGGCCTCCTCCGGCCACCTGAATGCTCCCCCGACCCCGGCCCGTGGCCACAATGACACCCACTCACCCTTCAGACCCAGGCCCAAACACAGCGGCCTCCTCCACACCAGGTATCCTCAATTCCCGGTCTGTGCATCAGCCCCGAAGGCGGGGTGGGGTCCCAGGACAGCGCCTCAGACAGACGCTTCCATCCTCGGGGCCCCTGCGCTCCTGGCGGGCGTGTGCTGGGGGTGAGGCCGGTGCTGCAGGACGCGCAGCCAGACAGGCCGCCAGCCCGGCAGAGGCTGCCTCAGACCCATTCCCCTCCGCCAGGACAAAGGCCTGAGTTTCCCACGGAGACTTATCCATGCATCTGTCTCCTCACACCCCGCACCTGGCAGGGAACCACCGGACAGGCCGGTCACTGCTGCGTTCCCAGAACCTTCCAGACAGCACATCCGCCCCACACACGTGCAGCTCCCACTCCCCTCCCGGGGCTGCGCACACTGCCCCATCGCTGTGGCTCCTCCTGGGGCGGAGCCTGGAGAACAGGGAGGGTATGCGGCCCTTCCCAGGTCACACAGAAGGGCCCGACGGGCCGCTCCACCTCGTGCCATAGGCCAGGGTGGCCCAGTCTCCCACCCAAGCCAGGACCGGAGAAGCCACTATCCCTCAGCACACTCTAGCCTCAGCACTCGGCCGGGCCTCCAGGCAGGTTCCCACCTGGGAGAAGGGCTGGGGTTCTGGCCTTCATGCGGGGTTGGAAGAGGACTGAAAAGGCGAGTCCGAGGCTGGCCACATTCCCATCCAGTGTGGCTGGACCCCAGGGGTTCGGAGGCTCCGGGAAAGCCCACCAAGCCTCACGCGTTTCGCTGATAGATGCCCAGGAAGCGGCTGGCAGGGAAGAGGCGGTCCTGCAGCTCACAGAGCTCCCCTCCCACCCCCGGGGAGCCCCAGGCCGCGCTGCCCTCCACCTTCCCGCCCTCCCCGGCCTGCAACGCTCGTGGCGTTTTTCAACAGGTTCTAGAAACTCCCTCTCACTCTGCCCCTCAAGCCTGGCCACAGGGCGCCCCGAGCAGGGAGTGTGCGGGCTCCGGGTACACGCTGCGCCGCGGCTGCACCAGAGCGCCCACGACCCTGACCCCGACCCGAAGCGGCCCCTCAGCGGGACAGGGTGTTGGCGCTGGCGCTGCTGCTATTGCGGCGCGCCCCCCCGCTCTGGCCCCTGCGTGTCGCCAGGGACTCTTGCGCTAGGGTCAGACTCAAAGACGGACCGAGGCGGGTGCCCACCTGGGACGCGTGCGTTTGGTGGCGGAATCCCCGGGGCGGCCGGAGGCGGCGGCCGGGGAGTCGAGAAGCAAGTACTAGCGCTCCAGGACCGCGCGCGCCGCCCCGCGCCGCCCCGCGCCGCCCCTCGGTCCAGAGCCCCCACCCCCGGCCTGTGAGCCTGCGGCGCTGGTGGAGCCCGGCTCCAGGAAGAGGAGCTCACCCGGTCCCCCCTGATTGGACAGCAGCGAGGTCCCACCGGGCGCCTCCGCGGCTTAAAACCGAAGCGGGGGCGAGGGGGAGGTAGAGCCCGCCCCCTGCGCGTCGCGGCTGGGAGGGAGAGGAGGTGGGAGAGAAGGAAGAGGCGGAGGAGGCAGCGGGCGCCGAGGCTCTGGGACCCGCAGGCAAGCCAGACCGACGCGCAGAGCCGGGAGCCTCATCGCAGCGGCAGCGGCAGCGGCGGGCTCGGGCCGGCCTCGGGGGCTGCTCACCCACATGAGCATCCGCCCACCCGGCGAGCCCCCGAGCCCAGGCGGCGCGGCCATGGCCGAGCTCAAGTCGCTGTCGGGGGACGCGTACCTGGCACTAAGCCACGGCTACGCGGCGGCGGCTGCGGGTCTCGCCTACGGGGCGGCGCGAGAACCCGAAGCGGCCCGCGGCTACGGCACTCCGGGCCCGGGCGGCGACCTCCCCGCGGCGCCTGCACCTCGCGCCCCAGCTCAGGCGGCGGAGAGCAGCGGCGAACAGAGCGGGGACGAGGACGACGCCTTCGAGCAGCGGCGGCGGCGGCGCGGGCCAGGGAGCGCGGCGGACGGGCGGCGGCGGCCGCGAGAGCAGCGGTCTCTGCGGCTCAGCATCAACGCGCGCGAGCGGCGGCGCATGCACGACCTAAACGACGCGCTGGACGGGCTGCGAGCCGTCATCCCCTACGCGCACAGCCCGTCGGTGCGCAAGCTCTCCAAGATCGCCACGCTGCTGCTCGCCAAGAACTATATCCTCATGCAGGCGCAGGCCCTGGACGAGATGCGGCGCCTGGTGGCCTTCCTCAACCAGGGCCAGGGCCTGGCCGCGCCCGTAAACGCCGCGCCCTTGACGCCCTTCGGCCAGGCCACTGTGTGCCCCTTCTCCGCAGGCGCCGCCCTGGGGCCCTGCCCTGACAAGTGCGCCGCCTTCTCCGGGACGCCCTCCGCGCTTTGCAAACACTGTCACGAGAAGCCGTGACCGCGCGGGCCCCCGGCCCTCCCGCACGCGTCCTCCGATCGCCCCTGTGACTGTCTCTCTGCCCGGACAGGAAAGGCCTGGAGGGACCCTGCAGACCAGGAGGAGGGGGCCCGACTTCGCTTCCAGCCTGTGCGCGGTGGACAGTTTAGCGCAGCGGGAAGCGCCAAGGCCGTCGGGGCGCGGGATTGAGCTCGAGAGCCGGACGCTGGACTCTGCGCCCGGGAACTCGCGGCACCCACTGGGTATTGTCGGGACCCAGCAAGTCTAGGAACGGGGGTGGGTAGAGCATCCTTCGGGCACTGCCGTTCGTCCCCAAAAGAAGACCACCGCGGGGTCCCAGGGCCACGGCGAGGACGGGCACTGGTCAGATTCCGGACAGGCGGTCCTGGCCCCGGGCGCACGAAAGGTGGAGACGAAGAAAAGCCGGACTTACTGGCTCCTGATCCTCTTGCAGTGGGCCTCGCGCTCCCGCTCCAGCCGGCCCTTCGTGCTAAACTGCAGGGCAGTGCTCTGTTCCTGAGGACGCGCGTGGCCGGCACCTCCCACCTCGGTGACTCCGAGACTCCGCAGCCCTGCGGAGAGCCCACGATGGCCGTCTGCAGAGGAGCTGGACCGCGGGCGCAGGAAGACCCCGGGGAAGGCCTTTTCCAAGTAGGAGTTTGTTCTATTTATTTGGGAATTGGACGCCGTCGCCGGCTGCCTCGAAGTCTGAGGAATTTGTCCCCTAAATGTCCCCTGGCCTCCCCCCCCCGCCGCCATCCGCTGCCTGGGACGTCCGCGGGGTGGAGTTGGATGGAGACCGCTTTGCGGGCCCTCTGCCTCGGGGGGCTGCGTGGAGGAGGGTCCTCACAGCCCGCGCCCTACTTAACCCTGACGGTCAGGGGAGGGCCCCGTCTAGCCCTGGTGTCCAGCAAACCCCCTCCCCACCGATCCCCTCTCCCTTCCGAGGGAGGAGGCCGGGCTACGGGTGAGTAAGCTGCTGCGGGCCCCGTGCCCCGCCGGGTGTGAACGGAGATGCGCTGCGCAGTGCCCGTCCTGCGCAGCTCCCAGCTCTGCCACCATCCGGGATCCAGGGAGCCGGGCAGGGTGCCCCCGGGGACCCATCTGTCCGCGCCGGTTTGCGCCCCGCGGCCCCGCCGCAGTATCCGGCTTTATTAACCCAATTTCCTCGGCTGTCGGTAATGCCAAGGGGAGAGGGCCGCCGCCCTGCAACGCGCCTGTCTACAGCGTTTAACTCTGATTAATACATTCCACAGGGCCTTCTGTACTTGCAAAATCAAGTGTATGGTTAAGTCTTATTCATAAAGACATATGCCTAATACTGGTTTCTGCTAATTTCCACTTTTATTTCTTCATTGTCTTTTTTTTTTCCCCTAACAGACTAGTTTATCAGTTTTGCACATTCGAAAAGCTGAGTGCCAGACACCGTTTTTCCCCTTTTAGATAAAGTGGGAAAGCTGGAAACTCAAATGCCCTTCACTTCTAGGGTCATTTCAACGTGATCTTAAATAAATTACCTGCTTATCAGAATTTGAAACAGGGGTGTTTATTCTGGTTAAAATCAGAGACATTGGTACATCATTTATATTCAGAATAAAGCATTTTATTGCCATTTATTTTATAAAAATAATATGGTTAAATTTTAATATCAAGTGAAATAGTGTTCATTTGTAGCTGAATTCACAATAATTTCAATTTTCAGATACTTGTGTCCACTCGAAACCAGAGTCTGAAGAGTCTCTGAGATGCTAAAACTCATCTAAAAGCAACCACTTATTATAGCACATGTGTGAAATCATAAGGAAAAGGGCAGAGGAAAAAAATCTCTCTTTCTCTCTTTGGGTGGAGAATAAGTTTTTGAAAAAACCACTTCACTAATCAAAAATTCTTCCGATTACTTAATTTAAATAAAAATTCAAGTTACATTTAAACTTTTTTGTACATGACAAAGCTGTGTGTCTACTGTTCTACAAACGTCTGCATGCTTCTCACTTGGCCTGAGTGGAGTGGAGTGTTTCGGAGAATTAGCTCGCCTTCTCTGCAGTGGCTGCTCGCGAAGCCACCTGGGCAATCACAGTGTCATCTGGCCTTTCTCAGATTTGCCCAAGGATCTTCTCATTCCAAGACAGCCCTCCACGGCCTGTGTGCCCACATCTGGCAAACAGCAAAGCAGAACCCACGTGGGTGCCTGTGCAAGCCCGTGGCTCCCGAGAAACGTGGGGGGCTGCTCGTCTTTTCTCTGACGGCTGTGCTCCTGCAGGTGTGTTGAGAATGGCTGGGGATCACCGGGAAAGAACTTCACCGTCACCACCCACCAGGAGCCACCCTTCCCCCAACACTCAGGGAGGAACCAAACACGAAAGAGCTTTGCTTCCAGCTGAGCTTTTCAAGACGCTCACTGTGTTGTTTTGTTTTGTTTTGTTTTTTAAGACAGAGTCTCGCTCCATCACGGAGGCTGGAGTGCAGTGGCACCATCTTGGCTTGGCTCACTGCAGCCTCTGCCTTCCGGATTTAAGCGATTCTTCTGCCTCAGCCTCCCTAGTAGGTGGGACTACAGATGTGCGCCACCACGCCTGGCTAATTTTTGTATTTTTTTGTAGAGATGGGGCTTCATCATGTTGGCCAGGCTGGTCTTGAACTCCTAACCTCAAGTGATCTGCCTGCCTCGGCCTCCCAAGTGCTGGGATTATAGGCTGAGCCACCACGTCTGGCTAAGATGCTCACCTTTAGATTCCTTCTAGGTAGAGATGTGCAGGCTGTGGGAGGTGGGAGGCAGCGTCCCCAGAACCGAGGTGTTCACACCACCCCGTGACCAGTGTTGCTGTAGGGAGAGAACGTGGTCATGTGTAGAATTTTACATTTTCAAGTGGCCATATTAAAAAAGGAAATAGAAGCAGATGAAATTATTTTTATTGATAACTTAATACTTATCCCAATACATCCAAAATATCATTTCAGTGTGTCATCCATATTTAAAGTTATTCGATATTTTACTTTCCTGGCACTAAGTCTTCAAGTTCCAGCATGTGTTTAAAGCCCAGCTCAGTTCATACCAGCCATGTTCCAATGCGTTTCAGTGCTCAGTGGCCACGCGTGGTTTGGCAGCCTCGGGTTTTGCAGCTCTCGGCCGTGAAAACACCAAGCACGCAAAGTACTCCTTGCTTCTTTCTCTTTGTTTAATAATAACCAGGAAATGCCTATGGACTTAAGGAGTCCATTCTAGAGCTGGGCAAATAGGAAATGTCCCATCCTTGTTTCTTTTCCAATCCTGATTCATCGAGCCTTTCTCCGGAGTGCGGGCTGGGGCTGGGGCTGTGGCTGGGGCCTGGGCCGGCAGCAGGAAAGGCAGAGGCTGTGCCCACTGAGTCACTGGGTCCACATGCCCCTCCAGCCTCACACGCGCCAACCACACCCAAGCCTAGGAAACGGGAGAAAGCGGATTACAAGGCCACAGAGTAAAGGTGTGGGCCCTGCTGGCTGCTGCTTGAGCGACTCACAGATCAAGACCTGTTCTTTTTTTTTTTTTTTTTGAGACGGAGTCTCACTCCGTTGCCCAGGCTGAAGTGCAGTGGTGCGATATCTGCTCGCTGCAACTTCTGCCTCCTGGGTTCAAGCTGTTCTTCTGCCTCAGCCTCCTGAGTAACTGAGATTATAGACGAGCGCCACCACGCTCAGCTAATTTGTTTTTCGTAGAGACGGTGTTTTCCTATGTTGCCCAGGCTGGTCTTGAACTCCTGAGTGATCCACTTGCCTCAGCCTCCCAAAGTGCTGGGATTACAGGCGTGAACCACCACGTCTGGCCAAGACCCATTCTCTTGATGGCTTGGCCTCTCTTTGGAAACGAGTTTTGTGAAGCTTAGTTTGTGGGAGCTTGGGGCAGGCTTCTCCGAGCCCAGTGGCTCTGTAAGGGTCCCTCGTGCGGTCAGGAGATGCAGGTTGCCTGACCTAGGTCCCACTCTTGTCTTCATGCACTGATGGCCATGCCTGCTTCCTTGCTCCCCAGGGACTCTCCAGCTTGCTGGGTAAAAATAGAGGGCCCAGCAGGTTAGAAAACAAATGTGGGGTTCACAAGGCCTCTCCTTTTTTCTTTTTTCTTTTCTTTTTTTTTTTTTTTTGAGACAGAGTCTTGCTCTATCGCCCAGGCTGGAGTGCAGTGGCGCGATCTCGGCTCACTGCAACCTCCACCTCCCAGGTTCAAGCAATTCTCCTGCCTCAGCATCCTGAGTAGCTGAGATTACAGGCGCCCGCCACCACGCCCAGCTAATTTTTTTGTATTTTTAGTAGAGACGGGGTTTCACCATGTTGGTCAGGCTGGTCTCGAACCCCTGACCTCATGATCCACCCACCTCGGCCTCCCAAAGTGCTGGGATTATAGGCGTGAGCCACCGTGCCTGGCCTTTCATTTCTTAAAGAGACAGACACTTCTCCTGCATCTCCACGCGTTTGGATGCCCTGTGGTCAGCGTACCTCAGACAAGGCAGCCCTTAACACGCACTTTCCTGCCTGAAACCAAGCTGCCAAGGACTTTCCCACCCCTGGGTGAGGCACTGTGGCCCGAGCACTTTTGGTTCCGCTGGTGCCTGGTATATGTTACAAAGAGCTTTGCTTCCCCCAGTTAAGAAATTCACTCACCTACAACTGCATCCCCGGTTTTCAGTAACAGGCGCTCGGCCTCCTATGTCAGGGCAAAACTGCCCCAGCTTCACCTCCACCCTAGGGCCTGTCTGGTGCCACTGGGTCCATCCGGCCCACAGCAGTTCATGGGCAGACCCTGGTTGACCAGGCACGCTGGCTTCCAGCAGCTCCTTTTAGCTGATAATTTCATCCCAACAATGGGATTTGTTTTCATGTGCGCAGCTGTCACTAGACTCATTGGGGAACTTTGTTTTACCTTATGGTTAAGTCAATGCCCAGCCGCTTGCTTTACAGACGCTTACTTTACCAAATGCGCGTGTCTGTTTCCCTTGCAGGATGGGAACAGGAGAAGAAGAGGCACCTCTTCGTAAAGGACAAACACCGTTCTCCTAAGAGGATGGGTGAAATGCACAAACCGTCTCCAACCCCCAAGCCACTCTGGTTTCACCATCGCTCTCCAAAAGACTTCCTGATGGAACCAGCCACCAGAGGCTCCTAAACCCTGGTTAATCCAGCAGAGAATGATTACAGCAATTTTCTAATGTGAATTTGTTTGTGGTATGTTTTTAGTCTTTAATCGCTTTTGGCATCCCATTTGAAGAGATAGAAATAGAGGATTTGTGATGTATTAAATTATTTCTCCAACAATTACCTCTTTGAACTCATAACCCTGGATACTGTGTTCCAATACTCCAACCAAAGTCTGTTTCATAAAATTAGGAAGTTGATATGCATTTGCAAATTTAATCCCAAAGGGACAAAACCTGTGCTACCCCGAACGCAGAAAAGGTTCAAACAGTTAGCAAAGTCACCTTTGATTCAACTGTTTTATTTGCTGTAAAAAGTGATTTATGCTGTATTATTTCCAGTCTGACGTGCCTGAGGCATCTTTACTCACATAAATGTATAAAAGCTGTTGTGTAGTAGCTGAATGGAAAGACGGTCAGAATTATCCTTGAAGTTAACGTAAGAGGAGGAGCCCCTCTGAGGGGCATGCATGGAAGGGGGTCTCTGAGCACACCGCACACCGCCGTGGCCTCTCCTGTCTCTGTCCTTCCCTGGTGTGTCTTTGCCCAGGCATCTGTGGGCATCCTCCGAGAGCCACCCTTGCAGGCAAGCGGCCTCTGTGGCTGTGCGTTTCTGGGGGCCATGGTGGTCGGAAACAGCGCAGAGTGCGCACGAGCCTGCCAATGGTCTCTGTTGCCCGAGACACACAGCGCCACCATGCATGCCTGCCCCACCCGGGGCCCCTGGGGACAGGACCATGATCTTGGCTAAAGTGCTCCTCAGAAAATGTCTGCACCTCTTCCTAGCCAGCCTCGTTTTGCCTCCAAGCTGGGTTTTGTTAAAAGTAATGAGCCCACAGTCAGTTGCTGTCCCGGGAACCCCTGATTGGCCCTGACGGGGGGCCAATCTCCCCGTGCACGTGGACGGCCCTTGCTGTCCTAATGAGGCCTCCACCAGTCCAGATCTGTGGCCGCAAACCCCGAGACACAGACAGGACCCACGATGCTGTCTGATGGCCACAAGGCATCTGACAGGATGCATTTTTGTCGCCGTCATCCACAGCCTCTGTGTGCTCTCGGCGTCTGGAGCTGCTTCTGGCCCCCAGCACTTCCTGCTTTCCGACCACGGATGACACCAAAGTTACCAAAGTTACAGGGTCAAACCGTCTCTGCATTTCATGCACGGAAATAAAACCATCCTCCACAGCCCAGCAGACTCCTGGGGCATTGCGTCCCGGTGGGTCCACGTAATGCAAACCGGTGAGAGACTCGTCACAAGGGTGTTCAGTACATGAACACACCCACAGCTTTAGGGACTGGGATTCAGAAACCCACCGACTATGAACCAGTGAATGCCAACAGGCCCATGCTGCTGGTGGAAGAAACGGAGGGGAGAAGCTTATTCTCCTCCAGACCCCACACCAACCAAGCCCCTGAGCAGAACCATCCCACCTGCCGGAGAGTGTCCCCACGGCCCTGAGCCGAGAAGTCAGTGACACCTGCTGGAGAGAGTCCCCACGGCCCTGAGCTGAGAAGTCGGTGAAGCCCTCGCTTTCATTCCAAGCACCATAGACAAACGGGAAGATGTTGATTTCACATTCAGGAATCTGGGTTTCCAAAATAAGCGTCTTCACCTGCTGCCGGGAAGAGACGAGCACTCCCCTGCTTTTACCCTGGATCCGCCCTCAGGGTGGTAGCATCAGCGGTGTGTCCAGAATGAGCAGATGCATCCAAAGCCGTCTGCTCTCCTGCCTTCTACCTTAGCAGCTTCCAGGGCACTAACAGAAGGAAAAGCACTAGGCTCGCCCTCCCCTCTTCCCTCTCCCCTTCCCCTCCCCACTCCTCCTCCTCCTTCAAGGCTCTCTGCAGAAGATGGGGTGCTTCTGCAGTGCACCCCCTCTTGTCTGGGTAGCTCTGCTCCCCTAACCATCAACCCATGCTTTTAAAAATATCCCAAATGTATAGCAGGTCTCAAGCCCCTGGTCACCTCCCCCAGCCCAGGTAGGTGCTGGTTTCGTCCGGCTTGGGGAAGGCCTGGCGGGTCTGGAAAGGAAAGACTGGCCCTGGTGGGGCAACTGAGCGCCTGTCGTCACCCTAGTCTTGAGACAGGCAGACATCAGATGGGGGCAAAAATTATCTCTGCCCAAGTGTGTTACCCAAACTTGTGTTTGTGTGTGCTATATGTGTGTGTCCATGTGGTGTGCCTGTGTGGACACGTGCATATATGATGTGTGTGTGCATGTGTCCATATGTGGTGTGTGTGCGTGTGTGTGCATTTGTGTGGTTTGTGTGTATGTGTGTGGGGGGTGTGCATGTGTGTGGATATGTGTGGTGTGTGTGCATGCATGGGGGGTGCATATGTGTGGTGTGTGCATATGTGTGCATATGTGGGGGGTGTACATGCATGTGGGGTGTGTGCATATGTGGGGTGTGTGTGCATGCATGTGGGGGATGTGCGCATGTGTTTGGCATGTGTGTGCATACACGGGGGTGTGCATTTGTATGCATATGTGTGGTGTGTATGCATGCATGTGGGGTGCGTGCATGTGTATGCATATATGAGCATGTTTGTGGTGCGATGCTGCATACAGCTCTCTTTCTGTGTGGGTTTCCAGCCCCCTCGCCTTCGTCCTGTTACAGCACAACTCTGACCTGCCAGGACAGCCCTGCTGCCCCCACGTCCCTCCACCTCCAGCCCTGAGAGATCTCTGGGGCCCTCCTTCCCTTTCTGTCGAGTTTGCCTTGTGTGTTTCACCGAGGTGAGACGTGAGCCACCATTCCAATTCCCAGGACACAGCCCTTTCTGTCTTTCTTAAACCCTGGAAAGCCCTGGCAAACACGATGAGTTGGGTGTCCCAGAGGTCAGGCCCTGTAACCCTTTCTGGAAGGAGAAGAGAGAGTTGGAGCGTGGGAGGTTCCCGGGCTGTCCCCAACTCTGAGTGCACCCGGCTTCCCCGTGCTTCTCCTGTGCGCGTCGGAGGGGTGAGCATAGAGAGGGAGGGAAAGCCGGGGGCAGGCCAGCGCTTCCTCATTGCCCAGCAGGAAGGCTGCATGGCATCCAGGGCACACCCCACTCGCAGACGTCACAGCCAGAGGCACGTGTAGCCTCCCTGAACCCAGACACAGGAGGGCAAGGAGAAGGGAGCGCCAGGGAGGATGACGGCCTGTCCTCAGTGTGGGGGTCCTTCGGCCATGGTTCCCTTCAGGCTTTCTCCCCCCAGGGAGGGAAACTGGAGTGAGACTGAGTCACAACAGGGCCAGGGCAGGGAGGGGCCAGAGTTAGGGGCTGCGGCTGTTTCCTCCTGAAATCGAGGACTCCCACCGCAGGCATGCAAGGCGAAGACCACACCCGGCCTCAGGTCCCTCCAGGGCAGGCTTTGCTATCAAATGAGTGTTTTTTTTAACATTTCCATTTTCAGAGCCTTTTGAAATGGAGGCTGTGGACTTGAGACAACAGGCCTGTGGGATTCCATTGACCATTGACCATTTTTTCAGAAGGAGAAACCGAGGCTGGGGGAGAAGGTTACTCTTTCCAAAGCACCAAAGCTCAGATTTAAAACTTGACTGTCAGGCTGGGCGCAGTGGCTCACACCTGTAATCCCAGCACTTTGGGAGGCCAAGGCAGGCAGATCACCTGAGGTCAGGAATTCGAGACCAGCCTGGCCAACATGGCGAAACCTAGTCTCTACTAAAAATACAAGAAAAAAATTAGCCGGGCATAGTGTGCACCCATATCCCAGCTACTCTGGAGGCTGAGGCAGGAGAGTCGCTTGAACCAGGGAGGCGGTGGTTGCGGTAAGCCGAGATCGTGCCACTGCACTCCAGCCTGGGTGACAAAGCAAGACTTCATCTCAAAAAAAAATTAAAAATAAAGTAAAAGAAAATAAAACTTTACTATCAGCCCCTGAGACCACAGCTGTGCCCACTGTGAGCATCGCCCCAAGACGCAGTGTAGAGATGTGGCCCGAGACCAAAGAGCATCTCGTGGCTGTGGCTCGGAGAAAATGGGTGTCAGCCCAGGAGAAACGCCTGAGCCTTCGTGGCTGTGGCTCGGAGAAAATGGGTGTCAGCCCAGGAGAAACTCCTGAGCCTCACCCAGGGTGGGGTCACCCCTGCCTCATGGCTGTTCCAGAAGGTGGGCGAGAGCCACTGCGCCCGGCCAACGGTCAGCACCTTTCAGTGAGCATGGGTGTAGCAAGTCAGCTCTGACTTTCTGCTTAATGAGGCTTAAAAGGTAACTTTGAGGAGACATGGCTCCCCCAGACCTGCTGGTTATCAGTGAGGGACCCGTCTCCCGCACAGGTGGTGGTGATGCTGTGGCTAATTGATATTGTGTGGGATTGCAGCTGTGGGGACAGAGGAGGGGACAGGGGACAGATGGACTCTCCAGGATGCAGTGTCACTAAGCAGCCTCTGTACAGCCTGCAGCAACAAAATGTGTTGTGGAAAGAGGACGCTCCCCACGCCTTGCCCCCATCATGTAGTTGAACAGGTGTTTCCAAAATAATTACAAATGAACAGACGCGCTCAGAGGCTGGTGTGCTGGGGAGGGAGGGGCGTGTCCAGGGCCCTGCTGTGGTCCAGACACACTGCCCCACAGGCTGAGGGTGAGGTCTCCGCCCGGGCTCCGACCTCGGCACTGTGTCCCTGTCCTTGGCAAACTCCACGCCAGGTGGCCAGCTGAGGTCTGCACCTGCAGGCTGGGCCCCCGCTCCCCTCGCCCATCCGGCCACCTTCTCTGCTGGGGAGTGACCGTCATTGAGCTGCGTCCTGAGGATTAAGGGGGGGCCTCCCCACTCCAGGCCCGCATGGTCACTGCATCAGGGTCAGCTGCAGTCCCACAGACGCAGCAGCCTCCAGCTGGACCTGAGTCACGCGGCTCCACGCCACATGGGGGTGACACAGGCACCACAGCCCTTCACTAGAGAGCGGCAGCCGGAAGGGGCAGGTGCGGCCAGTTCTCTGCCTGAAGAGCCTGCAGTGGAGGAAACGTGGAGCTCACCGTGGTAACCATTTCTAAGTGTATAGTTCGGTGACATGAAGGACATGTAGTGTAGTGCAGCCAGCGTCACTCTCCATGTCCAGGACTTTGCTATGATTTGATCGTTTGTCTCGTAAATTGAGGTGTAATGTATGTACGGTGACATTCACCCTTCTGAAACACCACGGCCACACGGCCCCCACCACAGTCGAGACAGAGAACACTGCATCACCCCACAGGTCCTGCTGTGGTCCCTGCCCTGTGCCCCTGTGACCCCTGGCCTGTGTTCTGTCCTGAGTTCTGCCTTTTCCAGAATGTCTCATAAACGGAGTCACCGGACTGGGGCCTTCAAGTCTGTCTTCCTTCCCTCCCTGTGCCCTAGACTGTCAGCACTAACGTGGCTGCACTGGGGGGTTGAGGAGCTGCAGGAGGTGTTTCTGTAAATCCTGGAGTGGGCCAGGCCGGGAGTTGCTGTCATTCTTATTCTGCTGCCCCACAGGGGCCCTCACTGAAGCTCTGAAAGTCGTATACCGCCTTGATTTTTGCAGGAGGAGCCCTGCGTGAGCCTCTGGATGTGAAAGAGACGTTTGGGGAATGAAGTGATCGGCCCGGCCTTAATCTTGCTGGAAAGATCCATGGACCTGTGTCAAGATCCTGCCTGCAGTTCTGCGGCACACGGAGAATCCGCAGTGCGATGCGTGCTTGGCAGCCCTTCGGAAGCAGCCCAGCTGTCTCCCACAGTTCCAGAAACACTTCTCCAGATTCCAGCCACAGCACAGCACACCGGGCGCCGGGTTGACAGGGTGGAGACAGGCAAGGGGAATGAGTTGGCCAGGCACGCACGGGCGAAGGGAAGGCTGCGTGGTGTGGAAAGGCCTGGGGCAGCTGGGGGCTCAGGCCCTTGCAGGACTGACGGATTGAAACAGCAGCAATGGTCTGGAGGGGACGCCAGGGAGGCCCCTGTGAGCTCAGCCCGCAGGGCTGCCGCTACGCTGCCTGTCACTTGGCATTAACCTGGAGACGTCCCCAGCCCTGACTACAAACACTGCAGAATATAAACCAGTCACGAAAGGCCCACGCGATCTTGCAACGAACCAGCAAATGAGAAAGGACCAGACTAGCAGCTCCTGAGATGGAACAGGCTCGGCCAGAGACACGCTTTACCGTCCTTTGTCTCTAGAAGGTGGAACATGGCGGGTGGGTTTTCCTACTCAGATCTCGTCTCAACTTTTTTCTCTTTCACGCCTTGATGGACAGGCCTTTAATAGACAAGCCAGGTTTAGGGTGCTTCCACCAGGGGAAGTCATGATGTCAGGACGTCAGCACCCCAAACGGAGCCTGGTGCATTGCTCCCAGCCACCTCCCAGGCCAGGCCCAGACAGCGGGGCTGTCTCCACAAGCCCGCGTTCCTAATCCCCCTCTAGGCAGCTCAGTTATCTGTCGGGCACTGTGGGATGTTATGGATGAGCTATGATTATATATTCCCCGTAACACCCTAAGTCAATCTTCGCAATTTTCATTTTGCCGAGACTTAATGTAGATTGTGCCCTGTTGTTGACTCCCATTTTAATCCAAAATCGCTCATTAAATGGAGACCAGCAGGCGTCGGTGGGCGAGGCCTGTGGGCTGAGCCTTGGCCGAGAGAGACCAGAGCAAGTTCCAGATGGACAGAAGCAGCTGCCCTCGTTACGTGCTGGGCGCTAATCTGAAACGCTGACCCGCTCCTCTGCACATTACAGTTATTAAATGCAACCAAAATTCCAGGGATGACGTGGTCCCTGGATGCCTCTGGACCAGGAGCCTGCCTGGGGCTGCACTCCTGCCTCAGAACCTCAGCGGGAGGAGGACAGGCAGCTCCGCACAGAAGCGGCGGTCTGGCCCCCAGGGTCTACTACAGGCAAAGGCCCCCCACTCGGTGCCCACGGACAAAGCCCACCTGGAAACCCCTGGGATTCCCTGCCCACCTGGCCGAACACGCCCAGCTGGGGTGCCAGATTCAAAAACAGTGACTAGGTCCCAAGTATTGCATGGGGCATATTTACCCTACAAATGTATTTCTAGTTATCTGAAACTCAAAGTTAACTGGGGGCATCCTGTGTCCTTACTTGCTACATCTGGCCACCCTCCCCTGCCTCCCAGCCTCCCCTGCCTCCCAGCCTCCCCTGCCTCCCAGCCTCTCCTGCTCCCAGCCTCTCCTGCCTCCCAGCCTCCCCTGCCTCCCAGCCTCTCCTGCTCCCAGCCTCTCCTGCCTCCCAGCCTCTCCTGCCTCCCAGCCTCCCCTGCCTCCCAGCCTCTCCTGCTCCCAGCCTCCCCACCTCCAAGCCTCCCCGCCTCCCAGCCTCCCCTGCCTCCCACCCTCCCCTGCCTCCCAGCCTCCCCTGCCTCCCAGCCTCCCCTGCCTCCCAGCCTCCCCTGCCTCCAAGCCTCCCCTGCCTCCCAGCCTCCCCTGCTCCCAGCCTCTCCTGCCTCCCAGCCTCTCATGCTCCCAGCCTCCCCACCTCCAAGCCTCCCCTGCCTCCCAGCCTCCCTGCCTCCCAGCCTCCCCTGCCTCCCAGCCTCCTCTGCTCCCAGCCTCCCCTGCCTCCCAGCCTCTGCCTGCCTCCCAGGCTCCCCTGCTCCCAGCCTCCCCCGCCACACTAACCAGGTAAAATCCTGCAGCTGCCAGCACCTTAAATGTGGTTGCAGTTATTAAATGCCACCAAAGTTCCAGGGCTGACCCTGCCCTGCGGCCCTTCCTCCAAAGGATGCTGTAAACACCTTTCCAGTGAGTTTCCTGGGGGCAGGACTGGCTACAGAATTTGCAGTCCCAGCACAAAATGAAAATATGGGGCCCTTGTTCCAAAACTGTTAAAGATTTCAATATGGCAACTTCGGAGAATTAAACCAAGCAGAGGTCCCTTCTCATCACAGGGCCCTGGGCAGCTGCTCAGGTCACGCACGGTGAAGCCAGCCATGCCTGGGGAGGGGAGGGGTGTACCTCACACCCCAGTCAAGCAGCACAGCAAGCTAGGCCCACGACAGACCCACTTCTTAGCGCCCTCCTCTTCCTCCATCCCTCTTGGCCCCTTCATCCCAGTACCCGACGGTCACATCCATACACGTGTGCACACGTCTGCACACACACCCAGGAGCACACACTTCCACACTTCCACCTGGAGACTGCTGCCTGTGTGGGAGGTGGAGACAGGCCTGGTTTAGCTGCTGCTGCCCTCGCTCCCGTCCGTGGAACACAGTCTGTCCAATCTCCATTTGGAGAGGAGATGGCCAGTTTCTATCTCATGGGAGAGGCATGGGTTTCCCTGTGGGTTCTGTCCCTCAGCACGGGCAGGCCAGAGCATGAGTCGGAGCACTGCTGTGCACACAGGTGACATGGCCCCATCTGTCTTCACATCACCTTCTCCTCTGTGTGCGTTCGTCCCCAAACTCCCCTGCCTCTCTCTTCTAAGGATGCATGCAGGCCAGGTGTGGTGTTACACACCTGTGGTCCCAGCTACTCAGGAGACTGAGGTAGGAGGATCGCCTGAGCCCGGGGGTGTTCGGCTGCAGCAAGTGAGCTACGATGGAGCCACTGCATTCCAGCCTGGGCAACAGAGCAAGACCCTGTCTCAAAAAAAAAAAAAAAAAAAAAAAAAAAAGGATGTATGTTGTATTAGTAGTTCCCACATTGCTATAAAGAACTACCTGAGACTGGGAAGTTTATACAGAAAAGAGGTTTAATTGGCTATGATTCCCCGAGCTGTACAGGAAGCGTGGCTGGGGAAGCCTCAGGAAACTTACAGTCATGGCGGAAGGTGTAGGGGAAGCCAGGGCGTCCTACCTGGCTGGTGCAGGAGGAAGAGAGAGTGGGGCGTGGGGGCACTTTCAAACCACCAGATCTCGTGAGAATTCTATCATGAGACAGCACTCAGGGATGGTTAGAAGCCATTAGAAGCCACCCCCATGGTCCAACCACCTCCCACCAAGCTCCACCTCCAACACTCAGGATCACAATTCAACATGAGATTTGAGTGGGGACACAGAGCCAGACCATGCCACAGGTAATGGCATCAGGGGCCCCTCTGATGATCCAGGATAAGCCCCTTTTCTTGGGACAGTTAACCTAATTATGTGTTTTACCACATTTACAGGCTCTGAAGATTAGGGTGTGGACCTACCTTCTTGGGGGCTACCACTCAGGCCACTGCGGGTATTTTCTTCTGTTAAGAATGTTCCCAGTGGTAGAGGACGGTTTCCGTAGAGATGCAGCTCTGGGAATCGGGCCTCCCTGTCCTCCTGCCTCCTGGACAAGCACCTTCCTCAGAAGCCGCGCAGTGGCTGGTTTCTCATCTGCCTACAGAGACAGTGTGTATCTGAGTAAATATCCCTTCCCTAAAAAGCAGAATGACAGCCTGTTGCAAACAGTGCTTCTGGCTACTTGCTTCCTTAGTCGATCTGGGAACTGTCTGCATCGTGTGTGTGACTGAGCCCGGCTCCTCTGAGCAGCAGCTCAGGTTCCATCTCTGACTTCCTGGCCTTTGCCAGCAGCTTGCAGTGCTGGGAGCTGGGATTGACGGCCACCACCAGACGCAGAAAGAGGCAAGGAGAATCCCCCTAGGAGGACTCATGCCCTGCCCACACCTTGATTTGGGGCTTCTGGCCTCCGGGACCATGAGGGGATCAGTTTCTCTTGTTTTAAGCTGCCCAGTTTGTGGTACTTCACGGTAGCAGTTCCAGAAGATGAAAGCAGCACCTGCCGTGAAAAATCCTAAACTTGGGCTGCGGCGTGGACGTGTGCCCCCACGCCCTTTGGCATCCTCCTGGGGTGGTGGCTTTCCTTTCCACTTGGGCCTGTTCACATCTTTCGTGTAAGTTTTTTTCTCCCAGAGGAATGAGAGGAGAGGGTGGGCGAGCTGTCAGTATGAAATTCCATCAAGTGTGCATGGCAGCAAAGCTGCCCCCACCCCACAGGTCAGCCAGCCAGGGTGCCCAGAAATTGGGCACAGAGACCCTTGTGTGGTCCTGTGGGCCTCTGCAGCCCGGCACGGGAGCCCCCACTGTGGAGGTGTTGGATATTGGGTGGATCAGGTACTGAGTGCTCAGCAGCCTGGCTCAGGAGCCCCTACCGTGGAGGTGTTGGAGATGAGGTGGGTGAGGGACTGATCGCTCTATAGCCCAGCTCAGGAACCGCCGTTGTGGAGTTGTTGGAGGTTGGGTGGGCTCAGGTACTAAGTGCCCACAAGCCGGCGCACTCCCCGCTGGGACCCTTAACCTAATCACGCGTTTTACCACGTTCACAGGCTGTGAAGAGCTGTGGAGATTGGGTGGGTCAGGTCCTAAGCACTCCGCAGTGCAAGCCACGAAGCCAGGCTCTCGTTCCCGTCTTGCAGATGGGGTGGTGGCGGGTGAAGGAGACCCAGGGCCTCCTGCTGCTTTCGGAGGAGCCGGAACTCAGGGCCC
Organism: Homo sapiens; assembly: GCF_000001405.40. Taxonomy (NCBI): domain Eukaryota; kingdom Metazoa; phylum Chordata; class Mammalia; order Primates; family Hominidae; genus Homo; species Homo sapiens. The sequence goes on along the minus strand of NC_000020.11, from coordinate 62,990,490 downwards.
AAGGCAGCTGCAGGCAAGTCTCCCGGCTGGCCCCATAGAGGCAGCCCCTGCCTGGGGTGGAAAGTATGCAGGGAGGCGGCTCTCTGGCACACACCGACGCTCTCCTGGTCCAGGCATTTGCATTCTTGAACAGAAGGTCATGCACCCTCCACCTCAGGATGCTCAGACCAAGGAGCACGGAGGGTGGCCTTGCTGGGCTCTCCTGAAAGTCACAAGCACCTTGGAGGCCACCCCAGGAACGTTAGGAGAAGGCAATGCCAGCCGGGCCACCCCAGGAACGTTAGGAGAAGGCAATGCCAGCCGGGCCACCCCGGGAACGTTAGGAGAAGGCAATGCCAGCCGGGCCACCCCGGGAACGTTAGGAGAAGGCAATGCCAGCCGGGCCACCCCGGGAACGTTAGGAGAAGGCAATGCCAGCCGGGCCACCCCGGGAACATTAGGAGAAGGCAATGCCAGCCGGGCCACCCCGGGAACGTTAGGAGAAGGCAATGCCAGCCGGGCCACCCCGGGAACGTTAGGAGAAGGCAATGCCAGCCGGGCCACCCCGGGAACGTTAGGAGAAGGCAATGCCAGCCGGGCCACCCCGGGAACGTTAGGAGAAGGCAATGCCAGCCGGGCCACCCCGGGAACGTTAGGAGAAGGCAATGCCAGCCGGGCCACCCCGGGAACGTTAGGAGAAGGCAATGCCAGCCGGGCCACCCCAGAAGGGGCGTGTGTCAGTGGCTGGGAGGATGGCCTCAGTCCTCCATGTCCACGCCAGGAAACAGGTGTGGGGTCTGGGCTGATGCAGAGAAGACGAGCAGGGAAAGGGGTCCCGATCCAGACCCCAAGAAAGGGTTTTTGGGTCTCATGCAAGAAAGAATTTGCGGCGAGTCCATAAAGTGAAAGTAAATTAGGAAAGTAAAAGAACAAAAGAACGGGGACTCCATAGGCAGAGCCACCGCATGGGCTGCTGACTAAGGTCACTTACACGTATTTCTTGATTATATGCTAAGCAAGGGGTGGATTATTGATGAGTTCTCTGGGAAAGGGGTGGGCAATTCCCAGAACTGAGGGTTCCTCCCCTTTTTGGACCATATAGCGTAACTTCCTGATGTTGCCGTGGCATCTGTAAACTGCCATGGCACTAGCAGGAGCGTCTTTTAGCCGCTAACCTATTATAATTAGTGTGTAATGAGCAGGGCGGGTGAGCAGAGGCCACTCTTCTCACCGTCTTGGTTTTGGTCGTTTTGGCCGGCATCTCTACCACATCCTGTTTACCAGCAGGGTCTTTATGACCTGCATCTTGTGATACCAGTCCTGCCGACCTCCAATCTCATCCTGTGACTCCGAATGCCTCACCCCTGGGAGTGCAGCACAGCAGGTCTGAGCCTCATTTTACCCACTCCCTACTCAAGATGGACTCATTCTGCTTTGAGCCCCTCTGACCACAGTATTGGAGGAACAGGAATTGGGGTGCAGCTTAGCTGGGTGGTTTTCACAGGAGGTTGCTGTTGAGGTGCTGGCCGTGGCTCCGGTCATCTGAAGGACCCACTTCCAGTTGGGGTGTGGCTTAGCTGGACGTTTTTCCCAGGAGGTTGCTGTCGAGGGGCTGGCCATGGCTCATCTGAAGGATCCACTTCTAGGAGGGTTTCCGCGGCTGCAGGCAGGCGGCCTCTGTTCCTCGCCACGTGGACTCCCAAAGCGGGCAGCGCCTCACCTTGGAAGTCACACTGTCCCTTCCACCACTTCTTTGTTTTTCTTTTTTTTTTTTTGAGATGGAGTCTCGCTCTGTCACCCAGGCTGGAGTGCAGTGGTGCGATCTCGGCTCACTGCAACCTCCGCCTCCCAGGTTCAAGTGATTCTCCTGTCTCAGCCTCCCAAGTAGCGGGGATTACAGGCATGCGCCACCATGTCCAACTAATATTTTTGAATTTTTAGTAGAGACAAGGTTTCACCATGTTGGCCAAGCTGGTCTCCAACTCCTGACCTCCGGTGATCTTCCCACCTTGGCCTCCCAAAGTGCTGGGATTACAGGCATGAGCCACCGCACCCGGCCCCTTCCACCACATTTTATTCATGAGAAGCCAGTTGCTAAGTCTGGCTCACACTTAAGAAAACCTGCTTTTGAGGGAGGATTGTCCACAAAAATGGGGGACATTTTAAAACCACCACACTCAGATAGTTCACTGACAAGGATTTAAAGAAAACCACCAAGGCTGGGTACAGTGGCTCATGCCTGTAATCCCAGCACTTTGGGAGGCCCAGGTAGGAGGATAACTTGAGACCGGGAGTTGGAGACCAGCCTGGCCAACATGGTGAAACCCCGTCTCTACTAAAAAATACAAAAAGTAGCTAGGCGTGGTGGCGCACACCTGTAGTCCCAGCTACTCAGGAGGCTGAGGCAAGAGAATCACTTGAACCTGAGAGGTGGAGGTTGCAGTGAGATGAGATGGTGTCACTGCACTCCAGCCTGGGCAACAAAGGGAGACTCAGTTTCAAAAAAATAAAATAGAATAAAATAAAATAATATAAAATATAAAGAAAACCACCCAAAGATCCTTCCACACATGTAAAAATAATGATGGGGTCTAAATTCAACCTTCAGATGAGTCTCCGAGCTCTGGAGTTAGAAGCGAACATCCCAAAAGAGGGGCCACATACGAAGGAATGTCCATCATCGACCCTTCAAGACCAATCGCCGTCCTCTCTCGGGGGTCTTTGGTGACAATGACCTCTGTCCTCGGGGTGAGGTCTGTGCCCATCGCTCTATCCTCACTGTTCCTGTCCTGCAGGTACAAGTAGTTGGCTCGCACGCCTGGCTTTCATGACGCTGGATGGTCGTGTCCCCCGAGCTCCGTGTTCACCCGTGTCCTCAGGGTGGGGGCAGCCCGGGTGTGAGAATGTGATTGTGTTTTGCAGCTTTAGCAGGGGTCCCCGGGTCCCCCAGCTGTCTCTGCTGAGTCCCCCATCCCCATCCCCCCTGTGCCCACCCCTGCATGCTACGCTGGCTCTACCAATCCCCTGAGACTATCTTTTATCAGCAATAATAACGCTCACGTTAATTAACTTAATGAGCTTAACCCAGGTAATGACTCTATCACAGGAGTGATTCCAGGTCCCAATAAAAACTGTGACGTCACATTTCCTCTGCATATTTATGTTAAGCTTCCATTGTTCTGAAACAAAGCGGAGCTTCCACAAGAACGTTCTGGAGGGGATGCTGGAGCCTCACGCTCCTTGCCCCAGTAGAAAATGGAAGGGCACTAGAGGGCTAAGATCCCAAACGTGCCCCCAGGCTCTCTCTGCAGAACCCTCTCGCCCCACCATGCTGGCGTGGCCCCCAGGAGGGTGCAGGCTGGGATAGGAGACTGGGGCATCCCTGCAAGGCAGGGGCCAGAGCCTGAACCAATGCCCGAGAGACCAGGCAAGCCGCTGACTACTGTGAGCCTCCGTATCCTGGTCTGTGAAATGACGGTGAAGACGTGGCTCCTGCCACCCCTGGGCTCAGCAGATGAGGCCCACAGACACCCAGGAGGGGTGGACAACCTCTTAGAAGTGAGAATGCACAACAGGGCGGAGTTCGCAGACACCAACTGGCACAGTGTTCAGGAGGATAGTCCTGTTCTAGGGTCACATTTTCCCCTGTTAAAATCAGTTTCCTAGTTCCAAGGCTCTGAACTCACAGGGCTGGACATTTGCATTTGAATAAAGGGCAGAGTGGAGAATTACACCCACAGGCCACTGCACCCCCATGCCTACATCACCCCCATGTCAGACTCCAGCCACCTGTACCCCCTGCCCAACTGCACCCCTGCCCACCTGCACCCTAGTCCACCCGCACTCTTTGCCCACCCACACCCTCTGCCCACCCACACCCCCGCCCACCCGCACCCCCGCCCACCTGCACCCTCTGCCCACCTGCACCCTCTGCCCCATCACCCTTTTCCCACCTGTACTGCACCCACCTACACCTCTGCCCATCTACACTCCCACCCATCTGCATCCCCGCCCACCTGCACCCCCTGCACACCTGCACCCCTACCCACCAGCACTCTGCCCACCTGAACAGTGCCCACCTGCACCACTGACCACCTGCACCCTCTGCCCACCTATGCCCCCTTCCCACTGTACCCCAGTCCACCTGCACCCCAGTCCACCTGTTCTGTCCCACTGCCCAGCTGCACAATACCACTTGCCCTGCTGCACAGCCCCAGGCTCTCCTCCATCCCACCTCATCCTCAGAGCCCGAAGTGCCTGCTCTTGCTCCCCGGCCCCTCTCCCCAGGTTTCCTCACTGTAGGTCATTTCTAGGCCTAGGAGAGGTGTCCTCAGGCCTGACAAGGTCCAGCAGAGGGCTGGACGCAGGTTGGAAGGTCTCACCTCCCACAGCGCCAGCTCCTGTGAAGAGATGACCTGTGGTGTCCCCTAGCCTGCCTGGGCAGAAACCAGGGAGAGGGACTTTGACAGAGCTGGGCCAAGCAGGTGTCAAGATCAACAAGTTTGCATGAAAGACTGTGGTTGTGGGGCCCCGAGGGACTGCCTGGTGCCTGCCTCTCCTGAGCACCTCACCTGAGCAGGGGCCACCTCACCCCCAGGTCCAAGCACCTGTCAGGTTTCGTGTTCTAACATCAGGAAGGAGACACTTGCCTCCATCCACCCCAGACGAGTGTGGGCAGCGGGTCCTCTCAGAAGGACTCTGGGACCAAGACGGGCGAGGAACTGGGGTGGCCTCACCCATGTCAGCCAGCTCCCAGGTCCAGACTGGACCCTGGTTCAGGCGCCAGGCCCTGGAGCTAAATGTGTCCCCGGAGTCCTTGCGGCAGCCTGAGAACCACGTGCAGTGGCCTTTCTCAGATGCTCAGATGCCGGGGAAGCCGGGGCCAGGACTCCCTTGAGGCCAGGCCTTTTCCAGACGCTGGAGTCCTCCCCAGCCCGCCCGGGCCCCGCCTCTTAAGGCACCAGTCCTCCATGTGGTCCGTGTCAGGATGGCATAAGATGATTGGGGAGGGCCTCAGGAGAGCGCTGTAGACCCTGCGCGAAGCCCTGGTGATACTGGCTGAAATCAGCAAATCAGAGTGTGATGGATGGACAGGTCAGACCACAAAGGACCAGCGTCTCTGTGTGTCGATGATGTCCCCTGTCCTGGACTCCCATCAGTCCCCTGGGGCCTCCACCCACTTGGCAAGCATTGTGTGAAAATCAACCTCTGCATTAAAAACAGCTGAGGTCAGGCTTTTCACGGATTCTGACAGGTGTTCTCCCTCATTGTTCTCAGCTTTTCTGCTTTTTTTGTTTGCAAAGGGTGCCTGTGTGGGCCTGGGCCTCCCTCCCAGGGCCTCTCATCCTTCCAGGGCCTTCTCTCTCCCTCGCTTCCTCTCAGTCTGGGGAGCCTCTGGCTTCGCATGGAGCCTGGGCTGATCTCTACCCCTCATCCATTCCAGAACTGTGGCCTCTGTAGAGTCCTGGCCTGTTTCTCGGAGGCTCACAGGGACTCTGGAGGCAGAACTTGTTCCTCCCTGCCAGCCAAGGCCCAGAACCAGTGCCACGGAGAGGTGTCTGGCCTGTGGCTGCCTCGTCCTCTCTGTAAACCCAGCCACGCAGGCCCAGCTCATGAATATTGATGGCACCTCCTTTGTGGTGAGCGTGCGCCCAGCCACCCAGGCCTGCTGCTGAGCAGCCACCGCTCCAAGATCCAGCTTTGTTGAGTGTCAGGACACACGGCGGCGACAGATGGACGCTCGCCTTCAAGCCTCTGTGCACCCGGGCCCTGCACAAAAGAGCCCAGGATGTTTTTAATATCACACACTTGCCTCAGGGCTTGTTTTAAATCCCCATTTACCAAGGGTTCCAGCTTTTTATCAGTCAAACGCCTTAAGCACTTTGTCAACCTGGACATCTGGCCGCACGTTTAAAAAATTTTTATTTGCTAAAATATTTAGTAGTATGGCAGGGGGGCTAGCTGGAGACTCGGGCGGCCACGCATATGCAAAGAGCTCGAGTTGCTTCGCCAGCTCAGGGCTTGGCTGCTCCAGCCCAGGACAGGGCAGGGAGGTCAGGAGGCGGAGAGGATGCGCCCTGTCCTGGCAGGAGGGGCCTCCTATGGATAACCAGAATCTGCCCCAGTCGGGGGCAGGGTGGGCATTCTTGGGGAGGATTTGTAGCCCTCCCCGCACACCAAAGACCAAGGGGGAATCTGTGACTTCGGGAGACAGTTGCAGCTGAAAACAGGGGATCGGCCAAAGCTGCACACGTGCATCTCGAGAGCGGCGAAGATTCGACACCTCTTCAACAGGACACGGGAGCCAGGTGGGGGTGTCCAGCCCTCAGCCCTCAGCCCAGGACAGACCAGCGAAACGCCGTCCACCCATAGGTGCCTCCATGCCATGGTACGCCCTTGCAGCCTAAGTGAAGCACGGATTCCTGCTACAACAGGGACGAACCTTGAAAACTCAACGCTCTGTGGAAGAGGCCGGACACGGAGGGCACTTGTGATTCCACTTTCATGAAATGTCAGAAATTGCAAAGCCACGGAGACAACAAGTCGATTGGTGGTTGCCAGGGGCTGGGGGCGGGGTTTGGGAGTGATGGCTTACAGGTACAAGGTGTGTTTTGACAAATTGAAAAGATTCTGGAAGTACATGGTGGTGATGGTTGCACAACATTGTGAATGTCCTTAATGCCACTGAAAAGCACACTTAACAATGGCTGAATTTGCCGGGCGTGGTGGTGCGGGCCTGTAATTCAGCTGCTCGGGAGGCTGAGGCGGGAGGATTGCTTGAACCTGGGAGGTCAAGGCTGCGGTGAGCTGTGATTGCACCACTGCACTCCAGCCTGGGCCTGCCTCAAAAAAAAAAAAAAAAAGTGGTTGAAATGGTAAGTTTTCTGTTATGTGTATTTTGGCACATTCTTTACAAAGACAATCACAAAGAAGAGATGGCACTGATGTCGATGGTAGCAGCCTTAACCCTGTCACACTGACTGATGGTCACAGGTCTCTGTGTGCCCACTGAGGACATGACGATGGATAAGAGCAGCCTGGCCTCGCCCCGGTAGAATCCCCAGTCAAGAGCAGGCACAGCAGTAACCAGCCAACTCAGCCTGAGAAGAAGGAAGGCTTCCTGGAGGAGGTGACCCTTGGGGGTGGGCATCCAGGCAGGGGAACAGCACATGCAGGGCCCTGAGGCAGCAATGAGGGTGCTCAGGGGAGGGGAAAGGGTGTGTGGGTGGGGGAGGGGGACTAAGATTGGGGAGGGCGGTGCCAGGTGCCCTGGCTGGAATGGAGGTCGGGGCCTGTACTGGGGACAGGGAGGGGTCTGCTCTTTGCCCTGAGCGCGGGGGATGCCATTGTAGGAAGGGGATGGGAGTGATGAGGGCAGCTTAAATCTCTGTGATGGAAACCCTGTCCTGTGTGCCCGCCACGGAGGCCACAGGCCTGCAGTTTTGGGGCAGGGCCCTCAGTCCTCTGTGAGGGCAGGTGAGGAGGCACCACCATCCCCCATCCTCTTCGCAGCCACCTTTAAGGCCACCCATGGGTTCCACAGCTTCCCTATTCCCCCTTCCAGGGACAACCCGGGTTCCCTGACCGTGTGAGCCATCGAGGTGCGGCCGGGTCCTCAGCCATCGACTGGGAGCAGGCTCAGCCACCGGCACCTCCCCCGGCCAGGCTTCAGTCCCTCCTGCAGAGCCTCCGGAAGCCAACTCGAGAATGCATGCACCATGAAATGGATTTGTCTTTGCCTATTAATTAATGCATAGCCTAATCACAATGCATTAGTTGGAAAGCCAGGAAGGACAAGAATTATAGCTGTGAAATGGTCCTGGGGGCAGTGGCCGTGGGCTGTGGGGGCCAGGCAGGGTGAAGTGGGAGGACATCATTTGTTTTCAGACTTAAACATGTGACCTCCTCCATGTTCCCTCCCCACTGCCCACAGCTTAGGCCAGTGGAGACGGTGCTCAGTCCCAGGACTTGCCCCCAGGCCTGAGAACCCGGAGGCTTCTCATGCCAGATCCTGAGGGCAGCCTGCACTCCTGGCCCCTTGGGCTCACAGCTCTGGCATCCAGCAGAGAAGGACGCCCAGTCCCAGGGCCGTCAGGGACCCCCAGAGCCTGTGAGCACAGGGAAGGCACAGGGCAGGGCACCCTCAGTGTGGAGAACCGGGTGGGGTCTGGAGAGATGGGGATCCTCCCCAAGCTTGTGGCCTGGCAGCTGTGGTCGCTGGAAGGAAACCCCTGGGAGGAAGTGGAGAGAGGTGGGGAGGGGTTGGGGCAGCTGGTGCTGTCGGGGCACTTCTGGAGGAGGCCAGAGCTGGGCACTGCCCGTTGCCTTCCAGGGTCCCTGCACTCAAGGCCTCGCCAGCCTCAGATGGGCCCAGCCTGTTCCTGCTGCCTCCTGTTGCCCCTCTCTCAGCCTGCCCCCTTCTCCCAATGCCCAGAGCCCTCTGCTGTCCCCAGCCCAAGTGGAGTCACGGTCCCCCAGTCTGTCCCACCAAGAGCCTGCTCACTGCCCCCCAGCAGGTCTTGGTCTGGCCGCTCCCTGGCCGCTCCCTGGCCTACTGGACCCTGAGGCCCCACACCTGCACCCATGGTCCACAGGCTCTACGCTGGCAAGGAGGGAGACAGCCCCGAGGTCTCAGAGTGGGTCACCCTCAGCGTCGGAAGGAGCACAGTGAGGGTCAAAAGATTCTGGAGGGTTCTGTGTAGCCAACTCACCTTTGGAGCCCTCGCCCATCCTGGGTTCTCACAGAGAGGCGTTAAACCACCGCCCCCGAACCCACCGGGCCTTTGCCCATACTGGTCCAGAAGCCCTGCCTGCCCTCCCCAGCTCTTCATGGCCTCTCTACCCTGAGGACACTGCCCCTGGCTTCCCCTAGCCCAGGGTCCCACTTCCCCACTGCATGAGCTGATTCATGCTATTTTCTGAGCCTGGGTGGATGGCGGGACCTCCCTGCACCACGGACAGAGCCTGGGGCCGAGGGGAGTCCAGCAGGAACCCCAGAAGGGCGCACACGGCCCCACTCTGATGCACAGAAGGGACAACAGCAAGAGTGACTTTGAGGACGCGGGTGGCAGCGGCGCCCACCCAGCTGAGACTGCCCCAAAGGAGAGACCCACGGAGGTTGCTGGGGGGAGGGGGGAAGGGGGGGAGGGGAGAGGGGGGAGGGGCAGGGCCAGCGCCACCTGCCGCCACCGCCCGCCACCCCAGAAGCCATCTCCTCTGACACTGGCCCCGCTCATCGCAAACTTCTTCAAAGGGAACATTTGTTCTCCTCTCAAGGAGACAGGCACATCCCCTCCCCTGCTTTCAAGTCCCAGCAAAGGCGCCAGTCAGCATGAGCGCTCTTGCCTGGAGCCTGCCAATTACGCCAGTCCCGGAACGCAGCCGAGCTCTCGTGTGGCCGCGCGTTTCAGCCGACAGGAGGCTGCCTGAGCCCCTCCCGCCAAGCGGCTCCGTGCCTGTCACCCCCACCCCGTGCCTCTCTGTGTGGTGCCGTCTGCACCCCGTCCGCGTCCCCGTCCCCGGGGACCCCGGTGGGTCTGGGCGCGCGGCCCCTCCACCAGCGATGCCGGACCTAGGCCGCAGGTTTGGACTGTGTTGTCTCCTTTACCTTTAGATGTTCAGCAGCATGAATATTCTTATTTTTTATTTAAAACTAATTTGGAGTTCTCGCTCTCCAAGGGGCTTCTAATCACCAAAAAGTGCCTCGGGCGAGAGCTGATTGACAGGCAGCGTGGCCACTTCTGAAGAACAAATTGGCCACTGGCAGCACGGCGCACAAAGGGAACACTCAGTGCTTATTATTTATGAGCTATTAGGGAGAATGCGATTAGCATCTGCTTCCCACATGGGCAAAAACACCTGTCAGACATCAGGAAACCATAAAACATTGCACGTTTAACAGCTACTTTGTTTAAAAAGTCATTGAAATTGAATGTCAGCTAAAACTTAGGAAAACATTTATTCTTCAGCCCCCTTTGAATCGTGCTGGTGAGCAAAGGAAGATGGGACTGATTCTGTCCGGGACAGACACCGGTGGTTTGTGCGCAGAGAGGGCCTCCCCGTGAGCAGGCACAGCCACCGAGCTGGGCAGCGAGGGGGGCCGCACTTGAGCCTGAGATGCAGGGTTGGGACTGCAGGACCCTCGCCCGTGGGGTTCAGACCAGGACTGGCAGGGAAGCCACCTGTCCCTGCCTGGGGCCGCTGGACTGAAAGGACCCAGTCAAATCTGGCAACCGTGGGCTGCATGAGTTCAGGGGCTATTCTCCTCTCTTCGTTTTTCTGCAAACAAACCGAGTTTCCTTGCCAGCTCTAGACAGCGACCAGCCGGCAGGGTTGGGCAGGGCTGGCAGGCAGTCCTGTCTCCTCGCCTCCCCTGCAGGGTCCCCCCCAACGCTGGCTGAGACGGCAGCTCTCCGCCCACGAGGGGATGGCCGCAGCGCCTCACCCTTCTCTCTGAGAGCTGCCGAAAAGCCGCCAATTAGGCCAATCCTGGAGATGACTAGGGACAGGAGCCTGTGACCCTGGGTGGGTCTGCACGGCAGGCAGGGATGCTAATGAAGGAGCCTGAGCTGTGCTGAGGGGCTCTGCGTGCTGGAGTGTTGAGCATCTGTCTGTCCTCTCCCAGGCCCCAGCTTGCCCAGGGACAAGACGAGCCTGAGCCACTTGCTGCCCACGGTCACTGCTCTGTATGGACTGATCAATATGCAAAATCCAAGACCATCATGAGCTTTGTATTGCAGTGGGAGGGGCAGGAAACTCCACTCTGGGCAGAGCTGCTATCACCTCAGCCCTCCTGGCAGAGGGGGCAGAGAGGGCCCAGCCAGACAGAGCCACGTCCTTGGCCCTCGCACGATGAGGGGAGGACCAGCCAGGGCATCGAGCTTCGGTCGGGCACAGGAGCCAGTATGTGTTCTCAGCTCTTATTGGGAGACCCTGGCTCAGCTGTTTGCGCCCCAAACATTCGTGATCCAGGTTTTCGACTGCTTTTGCCTGGGGCCCGCGTGGTGCTGTTGAGCTCAGGGTCACCTTTGTCACCCACTAAAGGCCAATGGAAGAATAACCTCCACTTGACATCAGCTAGAGCTTCAAACCCAGCCAGGAAACTGAAGGCGCCCAAGAGAGATGGGGCGTGATAATTGGCAAATTTTGACAGTGGCCAAGTCTTGTTCGTAGTTTTCCACATAAAAAAGTTAATGTTGGTAAAATCATTTCCTCCAATTAAACGTAGAAATGGAAAATGTTTGAAAACTGGGTACGTGACCGCTGATCCTTGAGTTCCCTGGCTTAGCAAGGGAATGTCCAAGAAAGTCCCTCCTAAAACCATCCGCTCCATGGGATGCTGGCAAAAACACAGAGACAGACCGTCCTAGGGTCAGCGTGGGGGCAGCGGTCAGCCGCGCCGGTGCCTTCCCGAGCCTGTAGCCAGATTGTCTATTTGGGGAGAAAATGGTGGCACGGGGAGCACGTAAACAGCCTAAAGGGCGGAGGCAACTCCTTCGCTGAAAACCCCTCAGGCCCCGTGAGAAGCCCACACTGAGTGTCCACAGGAAACACCCCGGCCTCCGAGGGTCCCCCCGTCCCTGGGCACTGCCATCCACCAAGCTCGGCCCCCCAGGACAACGGGGTGAGGAAGTGCTGCCCGTGCCCAGCTCCGGAGGGGTCCCTGAGGAGGAGGGGCCCGGCTGCTCAGGGCTTGTCTCCAGCTTCCCCATGCTGGCTCAGGCTGCGGGAACAGAGGACGCTTGGGGACAGGAGGAGCTGCCGAAGCAGAACTGAGACTCAGGGGCCATGGAGGGGGCGGAGGCTGAGTCTTCCTGGGCTGGGCGGGGGGACCTCCAGCCTCCAATTGCCCAAATGAGCTTCAGGAAAGGCTTCGGGCCTTGCTCGGGTGAGCAATCCTCTCATCCTTGCCTGGGACCATCCTGGCCCTGGGGGAGGAAGGAAGGAGGATGGCCTGGGTATGAATGGCAGGGAGATGCCCAAAGGAAGTAGCCAATCCCAGATCCCACTCTCAGCCACCTGGGACAGGCGAGGTGGTGTCTGGGGCTGGAAGCAGGGAGCAGTTTTCTTGGCCTCTGGGGCTCACAGCCCCCTGCTATGTGTCCCTGGCGAGGCCCAGGGAGCGGGGTGCCGAGCAGAGGTGTCTCAGCAGAGGGAGATGGGGGTGGGACAGCCGCTGCCCTTGACAGGAGACCCTACGACCCGGCAGGAGAACGCTTCCCATTAGGGGGCCCAGGGGAACCCGCGGTGCACAGACGCCCAGCAGCTCGAAGGATACTGACCAAACCCCAGAGGATGCCTGGGCTCACTCGTGTGTTTTACTTTCTCAGATAACGGTATGCGGTTTCTGTGACGTCTATCAAGGTGACATCCTAAAACCAGAAAGAGGAAGTGCGCCAGGAGGGGAGATGGCCCACGGGAGCTGTGAGACCCCACCCTGGCCTCGTACCCACTCAGGGACCGGCCGCCCCAGCAGGGTGGTGGGGACGGTTCGGGGGCCAGTTCCACGTGCTCCACTTTAACAGGGGCATCAGCAGCTCCCCGACACCAGGCAGGCTCTTAGGACCCCTCCACAGCCTCGGTCCCTCCTGATCCTCCCGTGGGTCACAGTTCCAGCCATTCTAGTGGGCGTGGCCACAGTGCCAGCCAATCTAGTGGGCGTGGCCACCGTGCCAGCCATTCTATTGGGCGTGGCCACAGTGCCAGCTATTCTAGTGGGTGTGGGCGTGGCATCAGGTGGGGGTTTCTATTCTGTTTATAATGACACGTAATAACAGTCCATGTTGCAGGCACAGCTTACCGTTGCACACAGGGCGCAGCCATCAGAGCAGCGCGGCTGGCGCCTCCAAGCTTGTGAGTGTTCTGTGGGGCTGACACTCCAGGCCCTGCTTTCTGTGGGCTGACCCTCCGGGCCCTGCTTTCCAGGCTCTGGAGCCTGTGTCACCCCTCTCGCCACAGACCCGCATCCCCTGCAGTAGCACCTCCTGCCTGGGCCCATCCCTAGGGCTCCATCTGTCCCCAGCTTCCTCCTGGCTGGACTGAGTCCTGTGGCATTGTGGCCGAACATGTCATCTGCCGTGGTCCTCTCAACTCGGTTTGGCTTTTTTTCCTTATTAATAGGGAGGGTCTGCTGGGAGCCCTCCCAGCAAGGGGCTTGGGGTCTCGCCTTAGGCTGGGCCCCCACAAACTTGATGGAGATGGAGATTTGCCGACGGAGGGTCCTGGGGCTGGGGGGCAAGGCAGGGCGGGGGAGGAGTTGGGGTGCGATGCAGCCCCGACAGAAGCTTCTGCGGCCCACAGGTGCTCTGGAGCCCCCGTGGCTTCGGGGTTGTCCCCCATGCTGACCAGTCGTCAACTTGCTAGCGTGAGACCCAGGAGAGGGACTCAGCTGTGAGCCGTCTGTCGCCACCACCCCTCAGTCCCCAAGGAGGTCAGGGCAGCGCCAGGCTGTCGTATGCTCTCGGGTAGCCTCGCTGCTTGGTAGACCCTGGGTCCAGGGCAGGCGGGAATGGAGCCTCGCTGTGCTGGGCTGAACTGTGTCCCTCCCCTTCCTGTGCAGAAGCCCTAACTCCCACCTCAGGTGCAGCCTCATTTAGAGTTAGGGTCTTTAAAGAGGTAAGAAAGGCAAACTGAGGTCACTGGGGTTGGTCTTAATCCAGTCTGGCTGGATCAGAAGAGGAAATTTGGTCACAGACATACACAGAGGGATGACCAGAAGGACACAGGGAGGAGAGTGGCCTCCGGAGGAACCAGTCCTGGTCTTGATCTCGGTCTTCTGGGCTCCAGAGCTGAGAGAGAGCCCATTTCTTTTGTTTGTTTGTTTTTGTTTGTTGAGACAGGGTCTTGCTCTGTCGCCCAGGCTGGAGGGCAGTGGTGCAACCATAGCTCATGGCAGCCTTGACCTCCTGGGCTTAAGCCATCCTTCCACCCCAGCCTCTGGGGTAGCTGAGATTACAGGCTCGTACACCCACACCCGGCTAATATTTCTTTTTCCTTTTTGTAGAGACAAGGTCTTGCCATGTTGCCCAGGCTGGTCTCAAACTCCTGGGTTCAAGCAATCCTCCTGCCTTGGCCTCCCAAAGTGCTGGGATTCCAGCCACTGTGCCCCGCTGAGAAAACTCATTCTTGTTGTTTAGGCTGCCCTGTCACAGGACCCCGCTAGGGCAGCAGAGGTAACTCACACGACACCGTCAGACCCACCCCAGCACCAGGCCTGTCTGTGTGGGAGTTCCAGATTCCATTCATGGAAAACGTTCCTATAGGCAGCCATAAAAATAGATGGCAAGGGGAGAAGGGGCCAGAAAGACCTGGAGCCTCTCTGCTGGGGGAAGGTTGGGGGCAGATGTGGGTGTGGGGCTGGTGTGGGTGGGTCGGGGGCCCCAGAGGCAGTCCTGTGCCTGCTGGGGGAAGGTTCGGGGACAGGTGTGGGTGTGGAGCTGGTGTGGGTGGGTCGAGGACACCAGAGGCAGTCCTGTGGCACCTGTGCTGGGGTGGGAGCACACCCCCAAGACCCCCACATCACAGAGGCTGGTGTGGGTGAGTCAGGGGCCCCAGAGGCAGTCCTGCGCCTGCTGGGGGAAGGTTGGGGGGAGGTGTGGGTGTGGAGCTGGTGTGGGTGGGTCAAGGGCACCAGAGGCAGTCCTGTGGCACCTGTGCTGGGGTGGGAGTGCACCTCCAAGACCCCTGCATGACAGAGGCACAGGGAAAACAGTAAAATACATTTCCAGCCTGAGCTCTAGCTGAAGGTTCTCCAAGCCGGAGGAAGGAGGGAAGATGTGAGCCACTGCAGGTTTGGAGGATGGTAATTAATGTTAAAGGCATCAATAATTTAATGGGACAGGCTGTATTTTATCCTGCATGTCTCTGGCATTTTTAGTGGCCTCTCAGATTTGTCCTTGGCATGGACACTATTGGCTGAGGACTTCTTCCTGAAGCAACGCTGAGGTCCAGCTGCCGCCTCAGGGGGTGGGCGGAGGTGAAGTCAGTGCTGGTCAGATTCTCTCTGAGCAACAGCCATGAGCAGAGGCCAGATAGCTACAGAGGGCCGGGGCTCTCCGGGCAGCAGCTGGCTGGCACTGGCACTCGGGTGGGCACATGGGCGCTCCCTGCCCAGCACTCCCTGCCGGGCCCCTTCTGCCACTGGGGCTCCTGGGTCTGCTCTCTCAGTGAACAGCCTTCCCTCCTCCAACCAGCTCAGACACCCCCTCCCCCCACCCTAGGTGCATGTCTGGCCTCTCCAGGTGGCTCCTGCGTGGGGTGATTCAGCTTCCTCACAGCATGGTGGCCGGGTCCCAAGAGTGAGTGCCCAGGATATCCAGGCAGAAGCTGCAGAAATCACATTTTAGCTTCAGAAGCAGTCACAAGTCCCCACCCCCAGATTCAAGGGGAGGGGACACAGGCTCCATCTCTTGAGGGAAAGAATGTGGGTGCCAGTTTTAAAACAGCCTCAGCAGGGCACCCTCCCACGATGGGCACAAAGGTGCCCAGGCAGTGCTGGGATGGGAAGACCCTAGAATTTTGGCAAACCAGTGTGGGAGACAAGTGTCCCTGGTGCCTCTCAGACACTATATTTCCAACCCACAGATAGATAAGTTGCGGGGGCAGAGAAGAGTGCTTGGACCCCAAGGGGGGTCACAGGGACCTCGGCCTCCCCATCCATGGCTGTCTGGCCCAGGGCCCCTCCTGTACCCCACATGGCCACCAGGTTGTCCAATGGACTCCAAGGAGGACCAGCCAGAGCTGGGCTGGAAGGCGAGGCGTGCCCTGAGGGTGGACACCCCCGGCAGCCCCCACTCCATGCACGAGCACAGCCTCCCTGTCAGCTTCTTTGAAAGTTGAGAGCGTCTTTTGTATTGCAAAGGCCAAAGGGCCAAGCACCCCTTTAATTAAAATGCACGTCCTTTAATTAAAGGCCTCATAACACATGAAGGGCATCCACTGAATTACGATGTGTGACATAGTCATTACCCTGCTGTTAATTACTAATTAATGAAGCTATTTCAATAAATAGCTTCCTCACCGTCGCTCCCCCTCGGACAGGCCCCCTGCTGGGCACGTCGGAACACAGACCTCGGCTCCGCGCCAGCAGCCGGCGACGCTGAATATTCATGCCTCGACTTCCACGCTTTACAATTAAACACAATAAAGTAAATTCCCGTCAAAAGTATATTCCAACCGCTGCCCATCTTTCCTTCTGACCGACTTGGCAGGACCCAGGGGAGGGGAGGGGCTGGGCAGCCCGGCGGTACCCACTGCTGACAGGCAGAACGCAGCTTGGAGGGCTCCTGAGAGGTGCTCCCACTGGGGCATCCCCCAGGCATTGTCCCAGCTCGAGTGTCCCCATCCAGGGGAATAGATGTCCAGGGTCCCCAAGGGGGCAAGCAGAGATCTCCAGGTATTGCCGCCCCACAGATGAAGGACAATGGCCCAGAAATAGGGAGACAGGCTGCCTAGAGTGGGGGGGGGGTTATTAACATACTAATGGTGGCTATTAAGCGGCCATTAAAGATCCTGATTTAAAGAAATGACAGGCCGGGCGCGGTGGCTCACGCCTGTAATCCCAGCACTTTGGGAGGCCGAGGTGGGCGGATCACAAGGTCAGGAGATGGAGACCATCCTGGCTAACATGGTGAAACCCCGTCTCTACTAAAAATACAAAAAATTAGCCAGGCGTGGTGGCGGGTGCCTGTAGTCCCAGCTACTCGGGAGGCTGAGGCAGGAGAATGGCAGGAACCAGAGAGGTGGAGCTTGCAGTGAGCCGAGATCGCACCGCTGCACTCCAGCCTGGGCGACAGAGTGAGACTCCATCTCAAAAAAGAAAAGAAAAGAAAAGAAATGACAGATAAGTGCCTCTTACCAGGAGGGGAGGTGAGTAGGAGAGCCCTGGGGAGGCTGGCGTGGGGCGGTCCGGGCCTGGGGACAGGACCTGGGGGTCAGGGAGCTCGGGCAGGCACAGCCCCAGCCCTGGAGGGACATGCGGGGGGTGGGGCGGGAGGACTCAGGGCAGTGGGCTTGGGGAGAAGCCGGGAAGTGACCAGGATGGGGCCTCTAGGGCTTGTGGGCTGCGAGGCTGGCAGGGGCAGCCACGGCTCAACTGCAGCGCGCCGGGAAACTGGTTCTCCCCTCCACAGGCCTCTGTGTTTCCCAGCTTCTCCGGACCGGTCATCACAATAGTAAATATTTCCAACAGGACTCCCCGTCACAGGGACTCGAAATCTTCATGCAAAGTCCCGTGGGAAAGAGCAAGCGTAGAGCTCGGTGGGCACTGCAGCGCCCGGACCACCAGAGCTGGCACCGCCCGCATGTGACCCCGCCCCAGCCCGTGTTCCTGAGCTGGTGTCCTCGGTGATCCCGTGCCCACAGCCCTGTGCCTCGCCCAGCCTCCCCAAGCCCGCGGACCCGGAGCCGCTCCTTAGACGATGATTGTCCTGGATGGGGCCGGGACTGCAGCCCCCGCCACAGAACTCCTACCCGAGCCGTCTGTCCACACTGCAGCCCGGCCCTGCCCTGCTGGGCCCTGTGGTCTTTGAGGGGAAGGGCATGGGGGCGTGCTGGACCATGGGGAGGGGCGGCGAGGAGAGCCTGGAGCTCTGCCCTGGGCCAGGATTCTGCCCCTTGTCCTTTAAGGGGGAGGCAGGACACGCTGCGCACCCGGGGGAAGGACGCGCCGTGGTGCCCCAGGCTGGGGACGGAGCGGATGGTGGAAGGGTTCTTGCCCTCCGTCCATCAGGCCATCAGGCCCCTGAGGCACACCCACCAGTCCTGAGAAGATCCGGTGCCCACGCCCGGCCCCCTCCCCCGCGTCCCGCTCCTGGGCCTCACACTCTCCCTCCTCCCACCCCAAACTGGACGTCACTTTGCCCCCTGCCATCCCCCACGCTGTTCCTCCACCTCGTAGGTCTCCCTCGCAACCCGTTCCCTTCTCTCACAGCAGAGCGGCCGGCTCCTCCCCCACGCTGAGTCCCAAGCAGGAGACAGCTTTGCTGGGAGCTCAGAGAGCCGGCACAGCCCTGTCCGACGGCACCCTCTGTCGGCCCGACAGCGAATGACCGCCACGGCCAGGTCCTGAGGTTGTGTGCACACTCAGACGTGAACACACAGACGTGCATATTCACACGCACACGCACATGCGGCAACTCGCACACTCAGGCACATGCACACTCGGATGCGTGCACACACGTGCATGCGCACCCACACTCAAACACAGGGTCACACAGCTCATACACACACACACATATTCTCCCACACACACTCAAACACAGGGTCACACAACTCAAATACAGACACACACGCTCCCACACACATTCAAACACAGGGTCACACAACTCATAAATACACAGACACACATCCTCCCACACACACTCAAACACAGGGTCACACAACTCATACACACACACACACATTCTCCCACACACACTCAAACACAGGGTCACACAACTCAAATACACAGACACACACGCTCCCACACACATTCAAACACAGGGTCACACAACTCATAAATACACACACAGACGCATGCTCCCACACACACTCAAACACAGGGTCACACAACTCATAAACACACAGACACTACACGCTCCCACACACTCAAACACAAGGTCATACAACTCATAAATACACACACAGACACACATGCTTCCACACACAAACGGTCACACAACTCATAAATACACAGACACACACACTCCCACACACATTCAAACACAGGGTCACTCAACTCATAAATACACAGACACACATTCTCCCACACACACTCAAACACAGGGTCACACAACTCATAAATACACACACAGACACACATGCTCCCACACACAAACACAGGGTCACACAACTCATAAATACACACACACACCCGCTCCCACACACATTCAAACATAGGGTCACACAACTCATAAATACACAGACACACACGCTCCCACACACATTCAAACACAGGGTCACACAACTCAAATACACACACAGACACACACGCTCCTACACACATTCAAACACAGGGTCACACAACTCATACACACACAGACACACTCCTACACACATTCAAACACAGGGTCACACAACTCATAAATACACACACAGACACACATGCTCCCACACACAGCCCCAGCTGGCCAGAGCCCCTGCTTCCAGGGCACAAGGGCGCTGATGAGAGGTGCCGTGGGCCCTGCTGCCTCCTCCTGGCTTTCGGCTGCCCGCAGGGCTCCAACCTAGCAGCAGAGTGGTTTGTTGGGGGGGTTCTGAAAATCCAGACCCAGAAATGGGAGCTCCTCGTGGGCCAGCATCAGGATCTGAGGTGGGGGGGCTTTGGGAGCCGGGTCTGACGTGGCACTGACAGCACGTTCTGCCTTCTAGCAAGGTCCCAGGAGGGCGGGCACCGAGCTGGAGGACCAGGAGCCTGTGTGCGGCTGGGAGTCTCCTGCCCGAGGCTGTCTGTGCTGGCCTGCATAGAGGCCTCCAGGCTCAGAATCCACCCAAGCAGGCCCTGCCACTCGCTACCTCCGCAAATGACCACGGGGCCTGGACGCTCCTCCCCAGCCTTCCCAGGCAGGTTCCCTCTCATTCCCGCCCACGTCCCGGCCCCTGCGCCCCAGCCGTGTCAGGACTGCCACCCAAGCCTGGAGCTGACCTGGCAGAGGCAGTCAGCAGCTATGGCCGAACAGCTCCTGGAAGAAGGAGCCAGCACACGGGCGAATGGACGAGCATGCTCTGCCATCAGCGCTCACTCTGCGGCTGAGGAGCTCCATCCCGCGGTGCACCTTATTCCAGACTGGGGGGCCAGGGGGTTGGGCTCCCACAGCTCCTGCACCACGATCCTGCAGAGCTGCCCCACGGGGTGCAGATGGCATCTGGGCCTGTCTGCAGCAGACAACAACATGCAGACCCCACCATCCCCTCTGCTGGAGCTGGAGAACAAGCAGACCACCCACAGTCTCCCTGACTCGGGCTCCAACATCTGCCTGAGGAAAGGCCGGGGAGGTGGCACCCAGAAGCTGCTGGGAGGGAAGGGGGTGGGCCTGCCTGCCGTGCCTGGGCCTGCGCCCCCACATCCCACATGACGGCCTCCCCAGCCCCCACTCTGCAAGGAAGTGACAGAAACTCCACAGAATCCAGAGGGCCTAGGAATGTTGGTCCTGCAGGACTGTGCAGCCCAAGGGGCGGCCGCACTGCCCACCTAGTCCTGTATCCCTTCTGGGTTCTCCACTCCAGTTCCCTGGGAGGGGCTGCCTCCTTGCTCTCAGAGATTTTACAGCTGGCTGTGGATTTTAGACGGTGCTGACTGGTTGGGCACCGTGGTTCATGCCTGTAATCCCAACACTCTGGGAAGCCATGGTGACAGATCACTTGAGCCCAGGAGTTCAAGGCCAGCCTGGGCAACACAGTGAGAGCTGGGCATGGTGGTGTGCACCTGTGGTTCCAGCTGCTCGGGAGGCTGAGGTGGGAGGATCGACTGGAGTCAGGGAAGTTGAGGCTGCAGTGATCTGTGATTGTGCCACTGCATTCCAGCCTAGGTGACGGAGAAAGACCCTGTCTCCAAGAAAAAAAAAAAAGTAGGGCCGGGGCCGGGCGTGGTGGCTCATGCCTGCAATCCCACTACTTTGGGAGGCCGAGGCAGGTGGATCACCTGAGGTCGGGAGTTCGAGACCAGCCTGGCCAACATGGTGAAACCCCATCTCTACTAAAAATACAAAAATTAGCCGGGCTTGGTGGCAGCCACCTGTAATCCCAGCTACTTGGGAGGCTGAGGCAGAAGAATCGCTTGAACCCGAGAGGTGGAGGTTGCAGTGAGCCCAGATCAAGCCACTGCACTCCAGCCTGGGGGAGACAGCGAGCCTCTGTCTCCAAAAAATAAATAAAATAAAAATAAAAGGTGCTAATTGCACACTCGTGTTCACAGGTCCATCAATGGGTGAACAGATACACAAAACATGGCTTATCCACACAATATTTTATTCAGCCTTAAAAATGAGAAAAATGCTGACACTTGTGACAAAACTGATAAAACCGAAGGACACTCTGCTGAGTGAAGTAAGCCAGACGTAGGCAAACCCAGCGTGCGCCCACTGGCACTGGTCCCAGAGCAGCCACACTTACGGTCGAGACACAAAGTGGAATGGGGTTGCCGGGGCTGGGGGAGAGCAACGGGGAGCTAGCCTTTAATGAGCACAGAGCTTCGGTTTGGGAAGATGAGAAAGTTCTGAAGGCGGAGGGTGGCGGTGGCTGCACAATGCGAATGTACCTAATGCCACAGAACCGTGCACTTAAAAATGGCTAAAATGGTAAATTTTAAGTTATGTAGATTTAGTGCAAGATGAGGAGGAGAGAGACAGCAATTCATTCACAACGCACAGGCCCCACCTCTGAACTCAGCCGCAGGTGGGCTTCCTGGGCTTGGCTTCCTGGCCTCCAGACAGCAACTGCCAGGCTTCTGGAAGCCCCTCCTGCCCCAAGACCCCACAGCAGCGTCCAGCAGTCCAGCAGGACCGTCCCGAAGCCTCTGTGGGGGTGATGCTCTAGGCTGTACCCATGGTGCCACAGGGTTGGGCTGACCGAAACTGGAGAGATTGTAGGGGAACATTTGTGCTCAAGTGCAAAACTCCACTTTGTCTTTCCACAGCACAGCTGGGCTGTCTGACTCCATGGGGGCCCCACATCTTGGGAAAGCTGGGTGGACAGCTGATAGCAGGGTACATCGCTGTCATCTGTGGACACGCAGGACCCCTGGCGGCAAAGGAACCCCGAAACCCAGCCTGGCTCTGCTGGCATGCTCATTTCAACACTCCCGGCCTAGGAGTCCGTTCCTGGGATTCTCCTTTGACCTGATTCCAACGTGTCACTCGTTTCCTCATGAAATTAGTTACAGAAAGTCTTTAACACGTGTTCATTCTTAAAAAACAAAGGTGTTAAATAAAATAACAGTCTTCTTTTTGAATAGTTTAATAGTTATTATTTAAATAAGGCTTTGGCGTGCTTTTCCACATTTTTAGGTTTTTTTCTCTATGTGTACACCTTGCAAGATGTATCATTAACTCATGAAACCACCAGCTCCTCAGGCAACGAAAAGGGAGGTAGAAAGAACGCCAGAAAGGTGGGTCTGTGTGTTCTGGGGTGCGTGGGGCCCGCCCCCGAGGAAGGTGCCAACCGTCCCTGGAGAGCAGAATCACCAGGCCTGGGAAAGCCATGCGGGTTCGAGAGCCTGCGCCATGGCCATGCTGGGCAGGGCCCAAGGGGTGCCCAGGCGTCTGCCCACTGAGAACACTGTTAGTGCGGAGGGATCCACAGGAGGGGAGAGCGGCGCCAGGGTCCCGGACACAGGCAAGGGTCTCTAGCCCGCCACCCACCCACTGCCCTGGGGGTCTCTGTCAGGCTTCTAGGAGACACAGAGACTCTGAGGTCGTGTCTCGAGGGTGGCTACCTGGGGAGGCTGGGCAGAGTCTGGAGACATTTCTGGCTGTTGTCTGACTGGGAGCTGCTGGCTAGGGGTGGGTGGAGGCCAGGGATACCTTTAAGCATCCTACAGTGTGCAGGACAGCTCCCACCAAGGAGGACAGCCCGCCAGAGACACAGCAAAGTGGGCTGGGATTGGGGAGGCTGCAGCCTGGTGCCAGCCTCACATTGGCAGGCGGGCGCTGCAGGAGGCTTGCGGAGAACACGGCGACCGAGGGAGGTTTGGCGGGAACCACGCGGAACAGATCGTGGTGGGAATGAGGCTGCGCCTACTAACAATAACCCCACCCACCCTGACGGCCACACCAGCCTGTGAGGAGGACAGGGCCGAGCCCGCTGGCAGGTGGGGAAACTGAGGCCCAGAGAGCAGCGAGCCTGGTCTGGACCCAGGCCCACCCCACCCTCCCACCAGCTGTTGTGGACTCTTCTTAAGGAGCTTCAGGCTCCACAGTGGTTTGTGTTCCTCTCTGCTCGTGTGTCTGACATGGAGTGACCAAGTCCCACACACTGAGTCCCCTGTGTCCTGGGGCTGCTGGCGCCTGGGTCCTTGGAGAGGCTGTGGGGTTGGGAGCTAGAGGTCCTCATGGGTAGAGCTCAGGTCCACCCTCTGAGCCTGTCCAAACACCAGGAAGGTGCACAGCCCCAGGTTGCTGATGATGGCCACAAGGTTGAACAGGCAAGTCCAGGAGCCCGTGGTCTCCATCAAGTAGCCGCCTAGACACACACCCACGACACCTGCCCAAGAGAGGGCCAGGCGGGCTGAGTGCTCCCGGGCAGCCCAGGCCCCACACCCCACCCTGGTTCCCAAGGTAGTGCCAGGGGAAGGGCTGGGGGTCTAGCGCCTGATAGGAGCCCCCATGGTTCCCAGGGCTGAATTCAGTGTCCCAGCTGTGGGTCAGGCTCAGACTTGGAGGGTCTTGGAGGGGCAGAGATCTCACAGGCCATCCAGAAAATGGCCTGGTAACAAGTCCCCTTTGTCCCGCTGAAAGGAAAATGGGAGCCACAGGCCGGCCCAGGCGAGGCTGAGCTGAAGAAGGACCCCCATCATCCATGGCACTCAGCGGGGCCAGGAGGTGTCCCGGGGACCCTGGGCTACCAGGATGGGAACATATCTGTGAGTCAGGGCAGATGGCGACTCATGAGCCACCTGCCGTCAGCAAAGTCCAGTGGAACCTGGAAGGCAGCCCCATCCTCCTCTCCTGGGCCTGCTCTGGGGTCTGTGCCCTCCTCTGACACCCGGACCCCCTCTGAAGGGAGGCACAACCCCACCCTGCAGCACCTCGGTGGCCTCAAACCCCACAGACAGGGGAACTCCTGGGCACAGAGGCCCGCCCCTCACCTGCCAAGGCCCCGGCTGTGTTGGCCACACCTGTGAAGAGGCCAGAGCGAGAGAGAATATGGATGGTCAGCAAAAGCCCTCCGGGATCCCCCATGGCTCACCCACCCGGAGGCCCAGGGAGGGGCAAAGCTGGGGTAAGGCAAGGTCCTCACCAAACAGAAAGCCGGCGCAGGACGGGGCCAAGTCCTGGATGTTAACAGAAATGCCACTGTGGGGAGGAAAGAGGGTGGTGAGTGGCCCTGGCCACCACCGAGCTGGTGGCCCAGGGTTGTCACAGGGGAAGCGGGGAAGCAAGGTCTCGTGGAGCCACGGGAGGGGCTGGGACACGCTCAGGCCTGCTCCCTGGCCAGAGCACTGCAGCCCTGCACACCACGCCAACCCGAGCCCCAACCACCCACTGGCCAGAGCACTGCAGCCCTGCACACCACGCCAACCCGAGCCCCAACCACCCACTGGCCAGAGCACTGCAGCCCTGCACACCATGCCAACCCGAGCCCCAACCACCCACTGGCCAGAGCACTGCAGCCCTGCACACCACGCCAACCCGAGCCCCAACCACCCACTGGCCAGAGCACTGCAGCCCTGCACACCATGCCAACCCGAGCCCCAACCACCCACTGGCCAGAGCACTGCAGCCCTGCACACCACGCCAACCCGAGCCCCAACCACCCACTGGCCAGAGCACTGCAGCCCTGCACACCATGCCAACCCGAGCCCCAGCTGCCCGTCTTCATGGAGGACCCAGTGCAGGAAGCGACTCCTTAGAGTAAAGTGCTGTGGGGAAAGCATGTTCGCACAAATCACGCGCACGTGCTGCTCACTGAAGTGAATTGCTGGTTCCTAAAGAACTACTGGGTCTTCAGTGCAGTCACTGCCCAGCAGCTTGGGAAGGGGGTGAAGTGTGAGGAAGAGACTGAGAGAGGCGGACAGAGCTCCCTCTTCACATGTGCGGGCCTCGGCCGTGCGGGCAGCACGGCGCTCTGGTGGATGGAGCAGTCGGCCCTCACCTGTGGTTGAAGGTCTGGAGGCCGATGGAGGCTGATGCAAAGACCACAGACTCACAGAAGCTGGAGGTGTGGCCCAGGCACAGAGCAAAGACGCTGGAGAGGCCAAGGCCCATGCCCTGCAGGAAAGCGCCACCGTGACGGAGAGGCACCCAGCCCGCCTGCAGCAGGGCCCTCTCCTGACTCAGCTGCCCGAAAGCCCCCCTGGGCGCACCGCACAACGGTCAGGTTGGCTGCGACCACAAACTTCTCTCAGACCAGGCCCCCTAGAGGAGGTCTGGGAGGAGTCTCCGCAAGAATCAGCCCCGCTCCAAGGGAGAGGCCCTATTCGACGTGGGCAAGCTCAGGCCTGGGCCCAGAGGGGCACAGGATGCTGACCCCAGCCTTCCCCCCAACAGCTGTCTAAACAGCCCCTTCTGGGCCCCAGTGCTGGACACATGGAGAGGCCTGGCATTTGCCTGGTCCCAGATATCAGGTGACTTGGGGACACAACCCTGAGTTCCTGGGAGACCCTGAACAAAGCAGGGATATCCAGAGAGAACGACCGGAATGATTCTCCTACCTGCATGAGCTTCCGCACCGTGATGGCTCTGTAACCTACAGGGGGAGGCCAAGGAAGGGGCTCCCGTTAGCCCTTTCGTGCTGACACCCCAGAGGGGGTCCCATCCCGAATGGCTGCAGAGGGGCAGCAGGGGAGGAAGAGGCTTGGGGCTCAAGACAGCTATCCCGTGCTGCAGGCAAAAACGTGTGCACACACGCATGTGGGGTGCAGCCGCGAGGCCGCATGTGCGCCTTTGGAAGGTTCCCAAGGCGTGGGTTTGGGCAGAAACACAGAACAGCCACACAGCAGTTACAGAGGCGGAAACAGGCGAGCGGCCCCACTTCCTCTGCTGCTCCAGATTTTCTAGCTTTTCCACAACGAGTGTGTATTCCTTTTGCAATTAGGAAAAACACGAACATTCTAAGAATAGGCACACGTGTGGAGAGAGCATGTGGGCACGCGTGTGCATCCGCCTGTACGTGTCTGTGCAGCGGACACTGCACTAGGGGAAGAAACACGCAGCCCGCTCGGGGCTCATCCCAGCGTGGGTCTGGAGCACATGGAACAAAGACAGAAGCTCTTCCAAAGGTTCAAGGATGCTTGTAACCTCTGACCCCTCCAGGTGCCTTCCTGGAGGGTCAGGGGCTGCATCCAGCCCCCAGGGGTGAGCTCCACAGTCACCGTGAGACCAGACCCTCCACCACAGTCTAACCCCACCCTTTAAGGAGGAGGCCGAGCCTGGAAAGAAGTGCCCCTCTGTCCCAGCTCTCCGTGTGCTGAAGCTGCAGCCCCAGGATGGGAGCATCCTGCCCCTCGAAAGCGAGGTGAACCAGGGTGTGGCTTCCAGCCCCGGTCCCCTCCCTGGGGCTCACCCTGATTGATGAGATGATCAGAGAGAAACCCGCTGAATAGACTGGCCGGAATCGCCACCAACCAAGGAACCACGTTGAAGATCCAGCCCTGCAGGGGGGAGTTTGGCCTTAGAGGGGGCCAGGGCCGGCATCTGGCCATCTGGAAGAGGATACTCAGGCTGGACAGCGCCCCCGTGCCCACCACTGCCCAGGAAAGCTCTCCGGCAGGGCCAGCCCTGCTCCTGGGAATGTGCAGCTCTTGACCACCACCCGGCAGGGCAGCAAGACAGCCTCAGAGAAGGAACCGTGCTGACCGCAGGTGACCCCTCTGTCCACATCCCGGCTTCTGCACCGGCCTCCTCAGGCTCTGAAGTCGGGTTCTGTGGGCCAGCAGGTCACGATGAGGGCTGGGAGGGCTGCAGCCGCAGCAGGAAGGCACCGAGCGCCCGCATCATTTCCAGCCTCAAACACAGAAACCTGCCCCGAGCATGGACGGGGTCCTCTCCAGAGGAAGAGCCTGGCAGTGCCAGGACCCTCAGAGTCCAGGAGGAGCCGAGGGTTCCACCATCTGCAGGCCAAGGACCCACAGTGCCTGGTGCAGCTCAAGCCTCGTGCCTTCTGGGCGCTCCTTCACCCTGCGGGAGCCCCCGACTCACCTTGGCGTCGGGGAAGGTCTCCTCGAAGAAGGTGGGCAGCCAGGAGAGGAGGATGAAGAAGGAGCAGGCTGCAGAGAGCTGGGAGACGACGGCTGCCCTGCGGGGCCCAATGGTGGACCGTGACTCTGGTGCCGCACGAGCTGGCCGGGCCTGTGGGACCCACCCCGAGAGGCGTCCCCTGGGGGCCAGAGTCCCACTTCTCTGAGCCCTAGGCCCTGCTGGCTCAAGGGCTGTCAGGTCCGGCCAGGTTCACACCCCCATGGTCACCGGCCCTGCCGCTGCTCCAAGGGGTGGCACAGGTCCCAGCTCACCAGACAGCAGGCTTCCGGAAGAGCCGTCTCCAGGGGACTCTGTTGTGCCTGGACACCGGCCGGCTTTGGGCCAGGACACCCAAGGCCAGGATGAGATCTGAGGGAGCAACGGTTTCAAACTGATGGCTATCAGGGCGGGAGGCGCCACCCGTTGCCAAAGGATTGGGGATTTGGGGGTGGTTCCAGAGGGGTCAGCAGGCCTCGTCCATGCCTCAGGTTGCACATGGGCGCCAGCCTCCCTTGGCCTCCCCTACCAGACACCTAACAGGCAGCATCACCTTTGAGAACCGCGTTCTGAACGACCCTCCACACGGCCTCCTCCAGAGCCCCCTGGCCACCCAAAGACTCGGCTGCTCCTGCACCCTGCCTTGACCTGTGCCCAGCAGGTCTTCCTGGGTGTCTGCCTTAGCCCTAGATGGAACCTTCCAGATCGAATTGGGTGGCGGAGCCGCTGACAGCTCAGCACCCGAGCGCTTTTCCTCACTGGCGGATTCTTTGGGAGGTCAAAGCCATCGTCTCCGGGCTCCTGCTCCAGGCTGCTCAGCGGCTGCCACCAGGGGAGGAGGCACTGGGCAGCTGTGGGCGCCCGGGACTAGCCCGCCCGGCCTGCGTTACCTTTTTCACTCAGCAGGTACCTGTACACGTACCACACCCAAAGCAAGGTGAGGCCGCCGGAGAAATAGAAGATGCTCTGCCAGCCGTACCATTCCAGGAGCAGGGAGCCCACCGCCCCGGTCAGCAGCGTCCTGCAAAGACAGGGGGAGTGTGGCCAGGCCCCTCAGCGGCACCCCTCGGGTGAGGAGGGGCCTCTCAGAAACCCCACCCTGGTGCAGGCTGAGCCCCTGGAGAAGAGGGTGTTTTCATCGCCTCCAGAGGAGCAGCTCAGAAGCCACCGTCCTGGCCTGTTTTGTTAAGGACTTCGGGTACTCAGGGGAGACTCCGGGCACACAGGGCTGGGGCGAACCTGGGACCAGCCACGCATGTGTCCCAGTCGGGCGGCTGCTGTGGAACTCACATTGTTTTTCACATCTTGCTTCTAGGCCTTCCAATTGGCCTACAATTTGTCATGTGGATCCTTTTCAACTAAAAACGGCACCGAGGAGGAGACGGTGATGAGCATATACCACAGTGAAGCTCCGCACGGTTTTTGTGCTTCAAACATCATTGAGGACAAAATTCAAAAAGACTTCTGGATGCAAAAATACCATGACGGCCAAATCCAACAACCCCCATCCCGTCCCCATGACTTCATTGTCCCAAATAGCCCCTCAGAGGCTCCCTTCTGGGTGCAACCTGGCTGGCGGCCCAGCCCCCATCTGCTGCTGAGGCCCCTCCACTGGCACCAGGGGGAATAGTTAACATCATGGCAAAAGGAGGAAGAGAGAGAGCCCCAAAGCGGGGCCTGGCATCCAGATGGGGCCTCCTTCCTCCCGCGGAGCCTCTGCGGGGTGGACACAGCTCCTGGGGTAGCAAGACTTGGCCTTGGGCACCAGGGCGGGCTGGGGTAGCACTCTCCCTGCCCAGCCCAGCCCACACTTGACCCTGTCTCTGCTCCCCACCTGGGTGCAGAAAAACCGCAAGACACTCAATGAAACCGGGTTTCGGAGAAGTGAGGATTCATTCTTTAGTAGAAGTATATCCCCTCCGGTTTATGTGAAATTCACATTCCTCTGGGCAGTCTGTTTTTACTTGATGAATCTGGTCACTCTAGGCCTGCCTGGGCCTGCTCCCGGCCCCACCTACAGGGGCCGCCTCCGCCCCTCTGAACCTCAGCAACAGTAACACGAGGGCCTGAGCCCAGTGATTGGGAAGCCCCGGTCAGCTCCTGCACCAATCCACCCTGCTACAACCACCGGGAAGGCCTCCCACCCCTGGCCTGGCCTCGATCCAGGCCGCCAGCATCGCTAGAGGGTCTGGAGCTCCCCAAGGAGCGGGCGCAGGGAGGGAGGACTGAGGGGCACGGGGTTGCCGCATCGTGGATGAGGACAAGCCGCCCTCCAGCCAGCTGATAGGCCCACCCTGAGGACAAGCCGCCCTCCAGCCAGCTGATAGGCCCACCCTGAGGACAAGCCGCCCTCCAGCCAGCTGATAGGCCCACCCTGAGGACAAGCCGCCCTCCAGCCAGCTGATAGGCCCACCCTGAGGACAAGCCGCCCTCCAGCCAGCTGATAGGCCCACCCTGAGGACAAGCCGCCCTCCAGCCAGCTGATAGGCCCACCCTGAGGACAAGCCGCCCTCCAGCCAGCTGATAGGCCCACCCTGAGGACAAGCCGCCCTCCAGCCAGCTGATAGGCCCACCGTGAGGACAAGCCGCCCTCCAGCCAGCTGATAGGCCCACCCTGAGGACAAGCCGCCCTCCAGCCAGCTGATAGGCCCACCCTGGCCCAGACGCTCCTGCGCTCACAGACTCTCCTGTCGAGGGTGGGGGCCAGCGGATGGTGGGGACGGCATCTGGCATCGTTAGCACAGATGAAAGAAAATGAGATGATGTGGCCACTCCTCCAACCCATGTCCCCAAGTCCCAGCCTCATCACCTGCCAGCCACTCCAGAAAGGCAGAAATATGCACAAAGCAAGCGCGGTGCCCGGGGCTGGTACCTGCAGAGCACAGCCTCGGGCTACAGAGCCCAAAAGGCGCCTGCGGGACCCACCTCACCATGGTGGCCCTGCAAGCCCATGTGGCCCATCCCCCACGCAGACCAGGGGCCACTCGGCAAGGGGCTCACCTGGTGGCCTCTCCTGGGCCCCGTCTTAGGCCAGGACTTACCCAAACTGGGAGCCGGCGCCCACGATGCTGTAGGTGAAGGCTCGCTCACTCTCCCGCACCTTCTGCGACAGCAGGCTGGTCAGGGCAGGGAAGTAAACCCCTGCAACAAGTGGAGGGAGGGTCTCTCAGGGTCCATCCAGGGAGGCTCCTCCCGGCCTATCTGCTCAGGTTTGGGCTGTGATTCCAGAGGACGTCCACCTGTCCCTCTAGCTCACCTCCCCACCCGAGGGACCAGCAGGGCAGGGCTTTTGGTGCCACTGAGGAAACAGACTCCTTTTGGGTGAGGCTCGCTCAGGGTCGTGCCACCCGCACGGCTGAGGGAAACACCCCTGCTTCCAAGCTAGCCCTCCCACCCCGCGAACACGCACATGCACATGTGCACACTCTCACCACCGGCCTCCAGCTGTGCTCTAGAGTCCTCGCACCAACACACACACATGCGCCTGCACACGCACGTGTTCACCGGCACACTTCTTGGCAGTGCTGCATTGTGCTCACACTGATGCAGATACACGCATACGCATGAAGATGCACACCTGCGTGCACAGACACCTGCCGCATGCGTGCACAGACACATACTTCCCCCAAGAAAGCTGCCCTTCCCTGTTTTATAAACTGAGCTTCCTCCCAGGATTTCTTTTGGACCAAGTGTTCTCAGCCGCTTTAGAAGTTTGGAAACCACCTTACCACCCCATGCAGCTCCTCCACATCCAGAGGGCTCTGAGCCTGACCTGGAGGGACTCTGCGAGGGGAGGCACCGCGGAGCCACGGTGACAACAGGAGCTTGTCCCCCAAACCCACGGGCCGTGTCTACAGGGCGCTGATGCTACCCTGCAGGGGGGCATCGTCAAACAGACGGCCACACACAGGAAGCGCCTGCCTGGCCAGCGCCTGTAACTTTTAACCGCAGAGCGCTCACTCATAGGCTCACGGCTCAGAGGCAGGGCCCGTTCCCTCGCTCCCTCGAGGGAGGCTGGGGGCCGCCTGGCGGAGCTCCTGGGGCTCCCTCCAGAAGTCCGATGCCCCGCAGCAAGAGCCACAGGTCTTGGGACACCTGGCGTCTCTGCTCTGCCCGAAGACAGCGTGCACAAACACGGCAAAGCCAGCCGCAGGTGGTGCCCACCGTTACCACGCAGCCGCCATTGCTGCCCCCCAGACCCCCAGAGTAGGCTCATGGGCACAGGATGACATCTGACATTGAGACGTGCCAGACTTTGAAGGTTTCTAGAAAACAGAATGTGCCTCAGGTGCCAAGTCATCGTAGCACAACAAGCTGGGCCCCGCAGAGGAAGCGCAGCTGGAGCGGCAGCGAGCCTACGGGGTCTGGCTGCCTGCTGGGTCCCCAGAGCTGCCCACGAGGACAGCCGCCTGCCCCAGGGCCGAGGGTCTTCTCAGCGACACTTAGAGGCATTGGTCAGCCCAGTCCGAGGCAGCACCACTGTTTTCCTCACAGCTTCAGCCTTGGGACCCTCCTCCCTCACCCCGAAGACCCTCCAGTAAACAAAGATGAGGGCCCCCACCCCCCGCCAGGCCTGTCCTCCCCTCCAGGTGGTTGCCGATTCGTTCATTCCTCCCCTCCTCCTCCAGCTCCTGCAGTGGGACCTGGGCAGTGCCTGGGGAGGCGGTGATGCTGGAGGGGCTGGCTCTGGGATGGGGCCTCACAGTAAACACACAATCCTAAGTCCTCAGTTGCACTCGCTGCACCCTCTTCTGAGGGTGGGCCATGCACTGGGCCCTTGTTCTCATGTGACACCCCGTGACCATGAGAGTGGCCTCTCTCCTGGGCAGACCCCCTTCCTCTGTTATGGAGACAGTCCCAGGCAGCACCTTCCAGGCCATAACCTTGGGGAGTGAGGGTGTGGAGAGGGAGGAGAACGAGGCCTGGGAGTGAACTCCCCAAAGTCTCTGGACTTGGAGGAGAGGGAGGGCAGAGGTTCTAGGGGAGCCATGGCCAGCGCTCTGAACCTGATGCCGGCTCAGGAAGGTAGGGGGAGTCCTGAGTGGGGGGTCTGGATGGCCCAGGACACTGGGGGAGGAGTGGCCCAGGCAGGGAACTGCTGATGGGTGGGGTGGCCAGGCAGGCTGGGTTGGGGCCAGCAGGCCCCTGCAGGCTGGAGGCCTGGCTGTTTCTCCAGGGGACCCCAGCCAAGTAGGGGCCCCTCAAAGCCCCCTTGGCCCCCCCACCCACCTTGTTCTCCTGACAGTTAAGGCGCTCCAAGGCCCTAGTATCGGAGGCATCATCAGCATACGTGTGACCAAAATGCACAAAACCCAGAGTCCCACAGCAGGTCCCTTGCAGCTGGAATCCACCACTGAACTAAGGCGTTTGGTGACAAAATTCAGGGGCAGGGGCAAGTTCACTACACAGGTGCCCCCTGTGATCCTGTGTATCACTGCAGAGTGTGCACCTACAGAAGGCACACACATGGCCACACGTACACCCTCATACGGGCACACTCACGCACGTACACACGCATATGGGCACGCATACGCACATACACATGGATACAGGAACGCACACACACATACACATGCATACAGGCATGCACACG
The DNA here is from genome assembly GCF_000001405.40 of Homo sapiens. Lineage (NCBI taxonomy): Eukaryota > Metazoa > Chordata > Mammalia > Primates > Hominidae > Homo > Homo sapiens. Next base: position 62,958,051 of record NC_000020.11, on the reverse strand, counting down.
CATGCATACCACCTGCACGCACAAGTGCATGCTCACACATGTGCATGCACACATACGTACGCACACGCACAAGCACAAACATACATGCACATTGCTTGCATACACGTGTCTGCAGGGACATATGCACTTGCACACGCACACACACACAGGTGCACGCATGCACGCGGGCATGCCCATACACACACTTGCACACGCACACGCACAGGTGCACGCATGCACGCGGGCATGCCCATACACACACACTTGCACACGCACACACACACAGGTGCACGCATGCACGCGGGCATGCCATACACACACTTACACACGCACACACACACAGGTGCACGCATGCACGCGGGCATGCCCATACACACACACTTGTACACCACCTGCATGCACGCATGCACCTGCACACACATCCGTGCACACCCCCCTTGTCTCCCCACCTGGTGCCAGAGAGCGTGAGGGAGCCGCCTGAGCTCCCCTTACCTTGGAGCAAGCCCATGAGGATGCGTGAGAAGGTCATGAAGGCCAGGTGGGCACTGCTCAGGTGGGCGAGCAGTGGGGTGACGGCCGTGATGGAGCCCCAGGCAGAGGCTGACAGCAGGATGACCTTCTCACCCCCAATCCTGGAGGGAAGACAGAGGGAGGTGAGGATGTGGCTGTGCAGGACCAAGGGGCACCACCCTGACTCAGGGCAGCCCTTGAGTGGGTGCTCAGAGCTGGGCCTGGCCTGTCTGCCTCTACAGGGCCTGCTCATGACCCCAGAGCTGCCTCGTGAGGAGACCAGGTACTCCAGGGGAGCGGCCTGCCTCCTCTGCCTGCAGGGCCCTGGGGCCTTGCCAAGCCTGGCCTCTCCCCTCCCAGCTCCCATCTTCCTCTGGGGGGGTCTTCTGCCCAGATTTATCCACCAAGCTCCTTCCCCAGGAGTCGCATCCTCTGTGTCCACGAAGCTCCTTCCCCAGGAGTCGCATCCTCTGTGTCCACCAAGCTCCTTCCCCAGGAGTCGCATCCTCTGCGTGCAGCAGCACAGCCAGCCCACTCGCCCCTGGAGGCCCCAGTGGGGCGGCCCCCACCAGCCAGGAGATGGGGAAGATGGGCAGTTACCGATCCCCGAGGTGGCCGCCCACAACCTGTGTCAGGCAGTAGCCCCAGAAGAAGCTGCTGAGCACGATGCCGGCCTCCTTCTTGTTCCAGCCGAAGTCCTGGCTCATGGAGACGGTGCAGATGGGCATGCTGGAGCGGGCGCAGTACAGAAGGCATGTGCCCAGCAGCAGCGTCCCCGTCCATGCCTGGCACTCGGGCCTGTGGGACAGGAGATGGTCAGGCCCTGGGGAGGCCCCACGGCCCTGCTGCTTCGAGTTCATCACTCAGAGACCTCCCTCAGGGCTGGGGGACATGGACTGTGAATGGGGACAGCTTTGATGGAGGGCAACTTGGCAAGCATTCAAACACCTAATCGCACCTATCTGCTGACCCCTGGGAGAACACAGGCAGCCAGAAATGAGGCACAGTGGCTCCTGGGAGCAACTGAGTGGCCAGCACTCGGGCAGGTCACAGCAACGACTCATCCCCACAAAAGGTGCCTGGGCCGGGCCCTGCTTGTTCCCCTCAAAGAGAACAGGGGAGAGGGTGACCAGGAGATGGGTGGCAGAGGAGTCGGACACTGGAGAGTCTCACCCCACCCTTCCCAAAAGGTCCTGTCTGCCCCTGCGGGGAGCTGGCTGCACCCCGGGTGTGTGCTCCCAAGAACCTGCCCCAGATGAGTGAGTGGATGACGGTGTGCTGTGGACAGAGGGGCAGGTATACGGCCTTCTCGGCACTCTCTGCAAGTCTGCGCCTAGACGCTTCCCACGGGAGAAAAGACCACCAAGTCGGGCACTGACCATGCCCGAGGTCACAGAGCCAGGCCGGCCAGCTCACACTCCCAATCCTGGTGAGGGAGGCCGGGCGAGATCTCAGAGGCAAGAACAGGTCACTCCAGCAGCCCAGAGCTGCGTCCTCTGACACCTCCTGCTCTGCCAGAGGCTATCCTGGCTCCAGCCCCTCCCCACGGCAGGGCCAACCATTAACCCCTGGAGTTTGGAGAAAGTTGTGTGGGAGGAAGTGCTGTCTGTCCTGGAACTTGGCAGTGAGTGTGGTTTCGCCAGCGTCATTTGCAGCCAGGTTCCACTCTGGGGACAACTGGCTTGCCCCATATCTGGCTGCTCCCTGGGTTACCACAGAAGGACACAGTCCTCACTGCCAGGCTGCCTAACCCAGTACAGCCCTGGCCTCCACGCCCTGTCCTGGCGTGGTTGATACCCGCAGCCCTGTTGTTTACCTAGCCCCAGGCTCTCTGTAAACAGTTTTCATTGACTTAACACACGAGGCTTGCAGAAGGGACATGGGGGCCCCCACCCTTAACTTTCCACTAAAAGCCACACAGTCCAAAGGTGCCTTTAAAAAGGAGCTTTAGAGCCAGGTACGGTGGCTTATGCCTGTAATCCTAGCACTTTAGGAGGCCGAGGTGGGCAGATCACTTGAGCCCAAGAGTTCAAGAGCAGCCTGGGAAACATGGGGACATCCTCAGCTCTACAAAAAAAAACAAAACAAAACAAAAAAAAACTTTAAAAATTAGCCAGGGCCGGGCATGGTGGCTCACGCCTGTAATCCCAGCACTTGGGGAGGCTGAGGCGGGAGGATCACAAGGTCAGGAGTTCGAGACCAGCCTCGCCCACATGGTGAAACCCCATCTCTACTAAAAATGTAAAAATTAGCCAGGCGTAGTGGCGGGTGCCTGTAATCCCAGCTACTTGGGAGGCTGAGGCAGGAGAATCGCTTGAACCTGGGAGGCAGAGGTTGCAGTGAACCGAGATCAAACTACTGAACTCCAGCCTGGGCGACAGAGTGAGACTCCACCTAGCGAGACTCCATCTCAAAAAAAAAAAGAAAAAAAAACAACAATTAGCTGAGTGTGGTGGTGTGCACCTGTGGTCCCAGCTGGGAGGCTGAAGTAGGAGGATCGCTTGAGCCCAGGAGGTCGAGGTTGCAGTGAGCCGAGATTGCACCACTGCACTCTAGCCTGGGCAACAGAGAGAGACTCTGTCTTGAAAAAGAAAGGGGGGGAGGTGGGGGACCTGTGTCCAGGTGGCACCTGCCCCGCACTGCCTGGCCGCTAGCTAGAAACAGCAGAAAGCTCAGTTGCACTGATCCTCACCCCCATTGAGGCCAGCACAGGACTGAGAACACAGAGCCACTCCAGGGCCTCCTTGGAAGGAGGAAGTCAAGAACAGCCCTTCCAGGCAAGCAATCTGCCCTACGTGGCAGGCGGCAGCCACAGCCCCTTCTCTGAGCTGGGCAGGTGGTGCTGGCCAGGTGGGCACAGGGGCACCCTCCACAGCTGCCGGGGAGACAAGGATGTCAGGCTGGAGAGGATGGCCCAGACAGTCGGCTACCTGAGGCCTGACTAGGACCCCAGGCTGGGAATCCTCCATCCTGCTGGGGGCGCGGGGGACGGGGGGTGTGCCAAGAACCGGAAAGCTTTGGGCAGCTTGAACAGCTTCCTCCCACCACTCTGCACTCCCTGAGCCCAGCAGCCTGCTTCCTGTGAACTTTCTAGAGCAAACGGCCCCTGTGCAGAAGCAGCATCCACGGCTGAGCAAACAGGTGGTCACATGGCCCCTCCATTCAGAAAAGGGAACTGTGCGGGGCCGGGCCAGGCGAGCAGCAAACCGGAGAGTGTGGGTGCCGCCCTCCAGCTCTGTTCTCGCCTGGCCCAGCCTTTGTGATGTGGCTGCAGGAGGGCGGGCTAGGAAAAGGCGTGCGTGTGGCAGCCTTGACCCACAGGCCCCTCCAGAATCCTTGGCGCTACCCAATAAGGGCCTGCAAAGGAAGTTGAAGAGCTGTGGCAAGGGCTCCTTTTTAAACATCGAGCCTGGGAGGGACGTAGTGAAGGCTGCGGCAAGGGCTCCTTTTTAAACATCGAGCCTGGGAGGGACGTAGTGAAGGCTGCGGCAAGGGCTCCTTTTTAAACATCGAGCCTGGGAGGGACGTAGTGAAGGCGGAGCCACTCAAACCAGCCGCCAGTGAGGAGGCCCTGAATCCCTGGGGAGCTGGCCCTGCCCGGCAGGCCTGGATGAACGTGGGTGGGGGAAGAGGAAGAGAGCAAGGGGCAGGGCCCGCTGAGGGCAGCCCTCCCCTCTAATTGGCGCCTGACAGGGCTGTGATCTGGGCTGCCAGCTTTTCCCATGCAGCCAGCGCTCCCTTCATCTGGGTGCCAACATCCGATGGTGGCACTGCCCCTTTGGGCCTTCCTACAACTCTTCCCAGCACTTCTAGGGTCCTCAGCCCTCATACAGCTGGGAACTGGTGGGGCCAGAAGGTGCCATTACCTTGCCATGGTCAGGGTAGGTACCCTGGGGACTCAGTGCAGGCAGGAGACTGCTCTGGAACCCACAGGGCCTGAGTCTAGGCCCAGGGTCCAGCCACTTAAGGCCTCAGCCCAAGACCCAGAGCCAAGGGGTTCAGCAGTGTGGGGGCTGCTCTCAGGAGCTCCCTGGCAGAGGCCCTCCCCAGCTGACCAATGGCCCGCGGTCACCATCTCGCCCGGTTTCTGAGGCGTCACCTGCCCAGGGAGCCTCCTACAGGCAGCAGTGCTGGTGGCCAGGCGACCTGCCCAGGCCCTGCTTCTCCCCACCACCAAATGCTCCGAGAGCTGAAGCCAGCGGGGAGCTCGTCCTCAGCACACAGCTGGCACGTGGTGGCAGGACCCCCCCCAACCCCGTCCAGCTGCAGGCTCCAGCCCGTGCCCCCTACCTGGCCTCCTGACTGTCCTGGCGCCTGCTTGTCAGGGTCATGCATACACAGGGTGGTTCCACCTGGCGAGGGGTATGCCTCCTGACTGTCCAGGACAATGCCCCTGGCCTGGGGAACATAGCCCTGCCTGGAAGAGCCCCAGGAACACTGGCTGGGATAGGGCACTTGCCAGGTCCGGTCCTGGAATCTCATGGCAGGGAGGAAGGACAGGGCACTCACTTCCTTCCACCTCCCACAAGGAACACAGGGGGCCCCACAGCCAGAGGAGCCCGCCCAGCTCAGCCCTCCCCACCTAGCATCGTCCCACGTGGCAGTATCTCAGCTCCCTCCCCACGGCCCCATCTCCACCGCTCCCACCCCCCCTCCCCTCACCCCCGCCACACCTGGACCACTGGGTGTCCCCGGCCATGTCCCTGCGGGCCTCGTCTGGGGGTGGCTGCATCGGGCTTGGGGTGCTCAGACGGCGTGGGCACAGCTGTGTCCCGGGGCTGCCTCCCAGCCCAGGCTGACCCACCCGGGCAGCACCGCCCAAGTCCACGTGTCAGTCCCAGCGCGCTTCCGTCTGGTTCTCTCAGGACTTGTCGCCCCCAGACGGCCACCAGGGCGGGCAGGCGGGGCAGGGCGGGGCATACCACTCGGGTGCCCGCCCCACCCTGCTGACGTCGGTCCCTGCTGCCCCATAGGAGCGGGGCCAACGGTCGCCCTGGCTGGGTCGCCCTGACTGTCCGACGCGCCCTGGCTCAGCCCCAGCAGAGGTTAGTGTGGGGGCAGAGGGGGATTCCCAGCAGCAGGCCGGTCAGACTGGGGCTTCAGAGAAGGGCCCTGGTGGTAAGCCTGGTCCAAGAGGTGCCAGCCCATCCCTTGGACACGACACGGAGCCATGGGGCCGTCTGTCCTCTGTCTATAAAATGGGGAATGATGGCAGTCCCTGCCTTACCGATCAAATAAAATCAGGGATAAAGTCTTAACCAAGTGCAAAGAGAGTAAAAGTACAGGGTCACTGATTTTTAAAATGGATCTTTCGGGGCAGGGATGGGTCCACTCCTGAGCCCTTGGACCAAGCCTGGGAGAGCTGGACAAATCCAGCGCTGGCCCATGTCTTCTCAGCAGATGCCTGTGAAGGTTGTCATTGGCCCCTGGGTTCCTGGACAAAAGGTGTCCTGAGGACCCATCACAGGCCAGGTTCTGGGCTCGGGGGCAGGGGTGACGGGGTGGGGCCCCCACTCTGTGTGCTCCTGCTGCCATGCCAAGGATGAAGCCAGCAGGGGAAGGCCTCAACCATGCAGCCTTTCCCCAGGAGGCGGCAGGGCCTGCTCCTCAGGCGTTGCCCCCACCTCCACTAGGGCCCACCTCAGTCCATCCTCCACGCAGCAGCCACCACCCAGGGGCCGAGGGAGACACGTCTAAGGCAGGGCCTTGCACTTAGAACAGACCCACATTTACCCCCTCCCTCCCCCTAGCCCTCAGGTCTCCAACAGCCCAACCCACTGCACTGCAGGGCCTGCTCCCAGGGCCCTCTGAACAGAAAGACACGGGCACCCTGAAAAGCAAGGTCATACTTTCATCCATCCTGACGTAGGGTAGGTGAAAAGATGGTGGCAGAGAGAGGTTTATTGCCCCAAACAGCCCTAGCCCATAGCCAGGAAGTTTGGAAACTGTTGCTAAACGTATCGCTGTCAACAGCACCCTCTTTGAGGTGATTCGCTTCCATTCACTCTGTGATGGTGATTTCCTACCGAGATCTGTGATCATGCTGCAGCAGACATTTGCCATCTGGTTACCCAAAGTCCCCTTCCTCCTGGAGCTGATGTTCTGGGGCAGGTAGACAAAAATCAAAGTAGTGAAAGGGGTAGGGAAGGGGTGTTACTTCAAATAGGTTGGGCTGAGGAGGCACCCCTGGACACCTGAGTGAAGGCTGGATGAGCTGAAGAAACGGGCCATGCAGGGATGGCTGGGTGGGTGAAGGGGCCATCTCACAGGGACATTATAAAGCTGGGTGCTGGTAGTGGCCAGATGGAGGCTCTCCACGCTTCTGGTGGATTCTGAGAGCTGCCCCGCACCCAAGCATCTTTGAGGCCTAAGGTGAAAAATTATGTAGGGACAATAGACAGTCAACACCTGGGTTTTCAAGGACACAGGGTGACCTTGCGGACAGGGCAGTCACAGCCAGCACCCACTGGCCTCTGCTTCTGGAAGGCTGCGTGCCTCCCTCTTGTTGGGCCTGGCCCACCTAACTTCTTGTTTATTTCAAGTGCTGCTATAGGGAGACGATGCTAGAGATTTTCCTAAAGCAAATCCACACCTCACTACGTATGGCGCCCGTTGCTCAGCCTCTGCATCCACACCCCCCACAGACGCCCCAGGAGACCCCGCACAGCTTCTTGTAAACCAAGACAAGCCAGCCCTGGGCCTGGGGCTCCTCCCTGCACCCCACTTAGCCCTGCAACCTTCCAGCCCAACTACAATTCTCAAGATGAGGAGTCCATGAAAAGGAGACTGACAGATGACACTTTCCTCTGCCATGACTGACAGGCAGCAGCAAGAGGGAAGACCGCGGTACTGGACATCACGTGCGGGAACTGCCTCAAAGGTGGGGGCACCTTTCGGGCTGAGCTAACCCAGTCAACAGCAGACTGGAAAAAGACAAAGAACTGTGTGAGATGGTGCTCAAAACCAGAAAGATGAACTCTGCAATGACGACAAATGGATTCGGTGTGATGTGGGCGTGATACAGAGAAACATTCTTGAAGGTTCTGGAGCAGTTCATTTTTCTCAGAGCTGGTAAACTCATTGTTCGAATCTTACAAGCACTAGTGTTCAACATTTCTAAAACTGGGAGGGCCCAGTGAGGACTGGATGGGCACACAAATCTATAAACGAGCACAGACGAACCCTGGGCTGCTGTGACCGCCAGCACCTCTTCCCGTTCTTCCATGACCCTCCATGGCAGAGAATTCTTGGTGACGGGTCAGCCTGCTTCACTTTCAAAGCCAGCTGGGAAAATTACCAAAGCTGTCAGTCACACACCGTGATCCACAAGAGGGAGAAAACCTTGTTTGTGTGAGGAACGCCTACAGATGTGTCTCCAGGAAGCAGAAGTCACAGCCAGGCGGAGACCTTGCCTGACACGGGCAGCTCAAGGCAACAGCAGCTCCACCGCTTCTCCCTGGTTCCCAAGCTCATCAATTCCACCTCAAATACACAGAGACCCAAGGACAGGAGGCGCTGCTGCACCCAGCACTCTTCATCTCCGAAGTGAGCCTGCGGGGTGACCAACTGCCTTGCATGGACGGACAGCTGGCGGAAGAGCCTGCAACGTGACCTGCATTTACAAACATGAGGAAACCCACTCACCTTCAGTTGTTACTCCTTTCATGAATTCTTTTGGTTATAGCTGTGCCTATGGCTTTACGGGCTTCACCTGATAAATGGTCTTCTGTACTATGGACAATTTGGACCCGTAAACCTGGCCTTGAACTAGGTGACACTGAAATGTTACAGACAAATCAGAACGTCACATTCCCTTTAAATATTCCCCGCACACATGCACCAGGCTGACTGGTGGATACTGGGGTGTGAAATGAGAGAAACAGCCCCCACTGTGCAGATGTGGGGACATGATTATTATCAATTAACCACAGGCTGCACCTCAGCTCCTGCACACCAGGTGCCTTGTGCCGGTGGCTCTGTAGCATGGGCCTGTTTATCTTCAAAGCCATTTTGTGGCTTCTGGAAAAGGCAAACAAGCTCAGGACATTGTATCTCCAAAGAGCACATCTCTTAAAAGATTCTTGCCATAGCTAGTTACACCAAAGGCCCATTCAAACCCCATGTTCTACTTTAACAGAAGTGAAAAACCACAAGCAAAGATGGCATTCCAAAATAAGGCAGAATATCTAAGACAGGAAGGCCATGTGTGCAAGGATGGTGTGAGCCTCCAGACTGTAGTGTGGGAGCTCACACTGAAGCATTCCTGGTGATGCCCACCTCCACTAAGAACTACCGTGCTGCCTTCTGACCCGTGAGGCTAATGGACTGGCACAGGTGTGTGAACATCAAGAACACTGTGACATGCCACTGCCACATAGGGAGGAGCAGCAGGTGAGGAGAGGCCTTCCCTGTTCTCTGATACCCAACAAACATGCAAGCTCTCAACGCCTCGCTCCATGATGCCCGCTGCTCAGCTTCTCTGCATGGGCAGTTTCTGAATTTCACCTCAGGCCCTTGAAGGGGTCAGTCTGAGTCCTTTCCAAGAACCCTACAACTGCCTTCCACTCATGAAGACGCTCATGGCCCTGAAAGCATGGTAGCCACCCAGAATCAGACACCTGTAGTTATCTCCTGCCTGGGGCTCTGGCAGGTGGTGGTGGGTGTCAGGCTGACTGGTGGATACTGGGATGTGCTGGCGTATTCCCTCTGTTTTTAATATGTTTGGAAAATTTCATTAAGCAAAAAAAAAAAAAAAAAAAGAGTAATTACTTAGGCTATTAAAATCAGTTTAAAATCATGCAGTGGGTAGCTCAAAAGTTCTACTTCCTTCACACCAAGGAAATTAGTTTATGAAACATTAAGTGCCCCAGTCAAGAGAGCAGCCGATAGGTTTCAAATTAAACACACCAAGTACAGATTTACAAACTAAAAGGGGCAGCACTGTCAGAGTGAGAGGAGAGCCAACTACAGTTCCAAGAGGCGAGCTTTCTTCTGTCCTTCCATTCCAAGATATCAACTTTCAATACAAATGCATCAGTATTTGTTATTAAAATACCCTTAGGAAAAAAGAGAGCTTCCAGATAACAGTTCTGAGAAAAATGTGAAAACTTTTACTGTTACATTAAGAACAGGTGGTAGAAGCAACCTATTCCGCACTTCTCAAAAGATACAGAGGGGCACATATGCCACACTGGAATAAAGAATACAGAATCAAACATGTACAAAGGTACCACAGCAGGTTATGGTTCATACAGGACTTTAAATGACCCATGTTGACAATACAATTTGCAAAAAATATGAGAAAAGCAATACATATTTCTGAAACAAAAACATACCTGTTGTAAAAAACAACACGCGTAGTATCAGAATAGAACAGTTAACAGAGCAGCAGTTACTGAAGACAGACGGCAACAGGCAGCTGCGCCAGCCATGGGTCTGCCATGCGGCTACACCCATGAGGCCCTATTGTGAACAACGCAACGTTCTCCATCAGCGGGGAAGCACACAGACTGCTTGGCCACCAAGCTTTCCGCCTGGTCTGTTCATACTGAGATTTAGCAGTAACAGCCCAGAAGGGAATGCAGCTCCCCGCTCCCTATGACATCAATGTCTTCAACACATGTGTAAGATTCTTTCTGGAGCCCCTAGCTCCTCCACTCTTCAAAACTAACAACGCAGAGAAAGAGAAATAAGAAAGCAAAGACATCACATTGCCTTAGAAAAGCTGTCCTCAACTCATCTTCTCTACATGTTTTCAGATCACGTCCTGACGGAATGGAAGGAGCAGCTCCACCTCCCCGAGGCTTCCGTGGACTCCGCACACACACGACCACCAGTCTTCAGTCATGTGCCATGGAGACTTTGGTCCCAACCAGTGTCTGCCTTTTCTAGAAACTGGAGACCCTGATTCAAATGGCAAGATGTGTTAGTTCCCATTTGCCTTGCAATAACCCTATGCTTCACAAAGATTCCAGACTAGGGGTTATTCCTCACCCAATTTCATGCATCTGGAACACAGAGTACCAGAATACTCTCACATTTTATTTCAAGGCACTCTCCAGCAGAAAGTATAATAAGAATAAACTACTTTGTAAAATGTGCCATTTTTATAAAGACAACAGTGAGATCCAAAATGAGACAAAGTAGAATTATACTGAATGTTCATTATCCCAAAGTGGCTTAATTTCATTTGCTTGCTGCAAAGACAAAGACTGTAAAAAGGAGCAAAGAAAGTGTGCAAAGCACTTCCTTGGAAGACCTCGTCCACTAACAGATCACAAGAAAAGCAAGTGCAGCCCCTCACACGAAAGGAAGGCAGGCAGTAACATCGGAGACTTCCCAGTCTCCCCGACGTCTGCTCACGCTGGATGCTGGCACTGGCTTATCATGAAGGGAAGGAGAGCAGTAACGCTGGAGACTTCCCAGTCTCCCCGACATCTGCTCATGCTGGATGCTGGCACTGGCTTATCAGCTACCCACTGGCTGAAATGGAAATCAACACCAGCACTTCACGTGACAGCCACATAGTGACAGTCCAGGCACGTGAATGACCCCATTTGTGTTCCCCTAGTTTGTGGAGAGACTTCCTATTGCTGTGCTTCTCACACCCTCTAGTTTTAAGAATATGTCAAATTGATGATATATTATGCAAGTAAACGATCTTATATACACGAATAGTGAAAGGTAATTAGGAATATGCTGAATCACCTGGTGCTGTTGAAGAAAACGTGCAGATGCATCTCTCTCACCTCACCGCTTTCTTCTAGCTTCTGCTATATTTCATCCCCTATTAGTTACTCTCTTTCCCTCCAACTTATCTTCATCCTCAAACCTCAGAGGAAATAATCGCAAGGGTCACATCTGGGAGAGTGGTAGTTGGAAGGCAGCATTTCTAGGGGGTAGGGAAGCACCACCTCCCCAGCACCGCATCCTTACAAAATCTAAAGGGCAACCAATGGGTCAGTCTGGAGGCCGCCATGCTTCTGTAACAACCGCAGCAATTTTATCTTTGCATCTCTTACTGGATTATATAAGCCATCTAGGTAAAGTAAACACTGCCAAAAGCTCCTACCCACTGGAAAGAGAAGTAGAGGGCTTGAAAACACAACTTCGCCAGGCTCCAACACAGAAAGAAGCATCATTCAGAGGCGAGAACAATGCTGTGGACGCCTCCTGATCAACACTCAAGGGATGCAGGAGCTCGGTGAGGACGGTCCCTCAGAGGCAGATGACCCGACCGGCTCAGGTACTGGCAAGCTGGCCACCAGACCTAGACCATGCTTGTCGAGATGCCTTGCTACTTGAGAATAAGGCGAGATCCCAGATTCAAGTGCTAGCAGCATTCTGCCCCTCAGATGCGCCGGCAGGCTCCACTGGCTCCAAAGGACGCCCTTGGATGGGTCAGCAATTCCACGAACATCCACTAAACCAACACTTAGCACTGCTCAGTGGGGTCAACAGTGCCCGGTGGTCCGCTGCAATGAATCCAAACACATCTGTGCCCAGAGCTACAAGGCCATGTGCCCATCAACTGTCCCGACTCGCAGGCAATGCACGCAGCCCTGCACCACTTCCCTCCTGCCCACCACGGAGCAGGGGACAGTTCTGTGAGTGAACAGAAGCAGGACATCGGCAGAGCCAGCTGACGATGGAGGATGAGATGCTGCCGAGATGCTGGAGGGCAGATCACTGAGGATGAACACGCGTTCCTTCCGCCAACAGTCGTGCACCACCTGCTGGGGCTCTGCGTCCCCACCGGCCAAGGGCTGCCTCGCTCTAATGAAGGCCGCTCACTCAGCACAGGGCCAAGTGGCCTTTCCAGCTGCAGGTACCAGAAAAAGCCACTGCCGCTATCACAGGGGGAAGAACGCCCCAAAGACAAAAGGTCATTTGAGATGATTAACATCTTTTAGAGGCCATTTTGGTCATTCTTGAAATCAAAGAGAAACCTTTATTTTCAACAAAACTGCCCAGAAGAGATGGTTCATTGATCCACTAGGAACAAGTCTCTTACCACACACAGCACCAAAATATATATTTAAAAAATTAAAAAACACATAGCCCCCTCACACGCATCCCCCAAAAGCCACACAACCCAGACCAAAGGGAAAACAAATCAAACTCAATGCCCTCACACATGAGCCATCTTTGAATTAGGATTTACAAATTTATATATTCTTTCCTATGGAAAAAGAAAAAAAAAAAAACACAAAAACCACAGGGGTAAGGAAAAACTTGTAGGTGAAGGCCCAATGTCTGCCTAAGCTAACAGAAAGCAGAATCATGATTCGTGCTTTTCCTGTATTTTGAGTGGGATGCAGCCTAACAGCACAGCCCTCCGTGGTAGACCGAATCCTTCAGCAGCCAGAGGCCCCCGAACACTGGAAGAGCAAACCGCAACCTTCCAGATTCTTCAGCGAGTGCCAGAGTGCAGGCTCTGCATCAGACTGCCAAAGAGACGGCAGCTTTCCTTGCAAGTTTTCCACTGCCTACAAAGGCCATTTTTCCCTATAAAAAGATGCCAGGTCAAAAAAAAGTACAAGGGAGAAAAAGAGTTCTCTACTGCAGTAAGAATCTTGCAGTCGCAGGCTGATCTGAGGCAAGTCCCACGACGCAGGGCTGGTGTTGGATCCACCACGCAAGCGCAGGCGCTACTTGGGCTCCTCAATCACACCCTTGCTGAGGTCTGTCATTTTGGGATATTTTACTTTCTTCTGGTCCAGCTCGTTCTGAGCCCAAAGTAGTAGTTTCAGTAATTTTGCCAGTTTGGGTGTTGACTCGCGATTTTCATAATCTAGCACAGCTTGGTTAACTTCACTCCACACCTAGAATATAAATACATCTGATAAAAACCACCATACACGCAGAGCACCAGCAGAGTCTATTAAAAAGAGGCAGTTTAAACAAACATTAAGCTCTTAACTGCGAGACACTCTCAGGACATGAAATACATAGTCCTTGCCTGGGGAAGCTCACAGTCTGGTTGTTAAACGTCACATGCAACCTCGATGGCAGTTAAGTGCCATGAGCAAGCCTTGAACAAAGTGCTGAGGGGACTGGGAGAGAGGTAAGACCAGCGTAGCAGGACATACCAGCACCCTCCTCACAAGCCTCAAGAAAACATCTCAAGTGGACTCTAGGACAGGCCATCCTTCCAAGACAGCGTAGGGAGGACAGAGCCCCCGGGAGAGGACCCGGGGGAAGAGGGACCTGGGTCTGGGAAGGCGAGGAGCTGTCATGTTCTGCCAGACAAAAACATAGCAGCGAGGAGAGAAAAGTTTCAGAAGACAGGATTTTAAATGAGAAATACTTGGGACATAAACAGAAAGAAGGTTCAGATAAATATAAGACACCAGCAAAGGGTGTGAATACTGTGTAACGATCACCAAGTCCGTTGTCCCTAGTTTGACAAGATAAAAGATTAAAAGCCAGAGAGAGGCTGAGCATGATGGCTCACACCTGTAATCCCAGTACTTTGGGAGACTGGATCACCTGAGGTCAGGGGTTCAAGACCAGCCTGGCCAATATGGTGAAACCCCATCTCCACTAAAAATACAAAACTTAGCTGGGCGTGGTGGCACACTCCTGTAGTCCCAGCTACTTGGGAGGCAGAGGCAGGAGAATCGCTTGAACACAGGAGGCGGGGGTTGCAGTGAGCAGAGATCTCGTCACTGCACTCCAGCCTGGGCGACAGAACAAGACTTCACCTCCAAAAAAAAAAAAAAAAGCCATGAAGGAACCACTTAGCATCCCAGGCACAGAAGCCACCTGTCTCTCAGTCCACACAGCAAAGCCACACACTTGGCGTTGTCACGAAGCCCCCTCAGAGCACATGGGGAATGGAAGAAAGCTTCCCTCTGGCAGGCCCCACCTTCTGCCTCTGCATGGTGTGGAGGAGGTCTCCGAAGGGCGACTCCTCGGGACTGTCAAAGGCCAGCAGTGCCAGGGTACGCTCCATCTCTGTGAGGCACTCTCGGCTCTCCTCGCCCTGCTCCGCCAGCTGAGTCTGTGCAAACTCCAGCGCCGCCTCTGTCTCCCGCTGGCGGATCAGCTCGATCAAATGCTGTTGCTGGAGGCAGAGACAGACAAGCTTGACCCCCACACACCCAGGCCAGGGACTTAGGGCAGGTGGTACCAGGTCCCAATCAAAAGTACATCACAGAGGGAAGACTTTTCTTGCATCTCTGAGTTATCAAATTTGCATTTTTAAAACAAAAAACCGCTTCTGAACTACATAAAAGAGCAAACTCAAACCTCTCCCCCTCACATGCATTGAAATAACATTATTAAAGCAAATTAGCCTAGTTATTTCTCAATCATTGCAAATAACTTTAACTTATCAAGTATTCACAAACCAGACTACTCTCTCCTGAAACATACCTGCAAATGGAAGTAAAGATACCGGTTTGTGTCCAAGAGCTCTGGGTGGAGGCTGTTGATCAAGGCGATGGCCTCCTGAATCTGACCTTTCAGTATCATCTCCCGGATCTTGATTCGTTCATCAAGTGTTTCCAGATCCACACTAGGTTCGATTCCAGATTCCATTCGAAACTTCTCCGCTGCTTCCTTAAAGCCCTCTGAATAGAAAAACCATCTTCACTGCTAGGAAAGTTAGCAAGGAATTAAGGCAAAGACTTTGTATCTCCAGAAACTCCAATTGCCTCAATTAATAACCTCTGATGTGAACCACACTTTCTCAGGAACTCGGTATTAATATCTTTATAATTTACAAGTTATGCTCTCAAAATACATATAGAAAATGAGAAGAGTATACTTCATTCCTTGTTATCCCATCCAAAAACTCTAACCCATTAGCCAAAGAGGTCAGAATGGCTGCTGGCCCAGTGTGTTGGTGTGGGCTCCTTTGAGAGGACAGATAATAGGTCCAGACGCCAGCAGCCGCAGCTCTGGTGCCAGGTTAGGCAAGTCACACTGGCTCAGCCTCCACAGCACAGGGGCCCTCCATGGTCAGCTATACCTGCAGTGGCCTGTTGACTCCCACCTCTTAAGAGTGTCTACAATTTTTCAAAGCCAGCATGTGTGCCCCTTCCCCTGCCCCTGACATAATTATAGGCCTAAATTTCCTCTTCACCTTCCAAAAATATTTTTTTTGAGATGGGGTCCCACTCACTCTCCCAGGCTGGAGTGCAGTGGCACAATCTTGGCTCACTGCAACCTCCGCCTTCCGGGCTTAAGTGATCCTCCCACCTCAGCCTCCCAAGTAGCTGGGACTACAGGCACAAGCCACCACATCCAGCTAATTAACATTTTTTTTTTGTAGAGACAAGGTCTCACTATGTTGCCCAGGCTGGTCTGGAATTCCTAGGCGCGAACAATCTTCCTCTGTCTCTCAAAGTGCTGGGACTATAAGCATGAGCCACCATGCTTGGCCCAAAAAAGTTTCACAGAGATTAATTTGGGAGAAGGAACTGGGGACTAACAGGAGGGAGATTTTTCATGTCATGTCTTTTAAAAACATCTATTTTCTTGCCATATACAGCACTGCCCTTCCTCCAGTTGACATCAAGAACAGCCTGACTGTTATTTCCCTCTGCACGCTTCTGCTCTTCCCCATTCCCATCCTCTGAGTTGGGCATACTTTCCAGAAACAGGCCAGCATATTTTTGCAGACTGGCCAGAAGAGATCAACTATTTAGGCTTTCAATATACTTACTTCACAACAGTCTCAATTATTTTGAGTAACTGTAAAACTGTCAAAGGCTGAAAAATGGGTTTGTGTTAGGTCTCAGAGACCTGGAAAAATCTCATCTTCAGAAAAGGCTTTCACATGATAACTTCCAAACTTACCAGGTTAGCATTGTGTTTTCATAATGTCTGAACACAAATAACTACGTCATCAAACCTCAGTGCTACAGCACTCCTTATGTGTTCAAAAAGGGAGAATCACATTCATGCAACAGCATCCTCACTGTAAGCCATTACCTGTGACCAGGTAGTTCATGATGAGGCGGTTCATGTCTGCTCTCTGGACATGCAAGTTATTGAGCTTTTCCATCCACTCATCTTTCGTGATTTCATCGGGTTTTTCTGCATAACTCATTCTGATTTATTTCTACAGGAAAAAAATAACAGCTGAGGGAGGGGTTTAGATGCTCCTCCAAGGGCAGAGGGCAGCGCTGGAAGAGCTGTGAGCCGGAGAATCCCACACTGAGCATGTACGGAAAGACAACGCTGCCGTGGGACACCCACCAGACTGAGAATGCCAATGCTTAGCAAAGAATAAGTTCACTTCAACTTTTTCTACTCTGGTATCAGGAGAACGGACTGTGCTACAAAAACAATCTGGTACTCCTTACAAAGCTGAACATGTGTGCTCCTCACAACCCAGCAATTCTACTTTTAATACATTTATATTCTAGAAAAACTCACCAGGATGCACCAAACACAGACAACGCTGTTCACAGAAGCACCGTTCAAAGCGGCAGGAATGTGGAAGCCACCCACCTGAGCGTTCATTCAACAGCAGCGTGGACCAAGGGACTGTGGCGCACAGAACTGCATGTTTAAAACCCTTGGGCAGATGGGTTTTGGAATTCAGAATTCTTCAATGTACAACGATTATTTGGCACAATTTACCATGTAACAGCCTCACTGGGGTTTGGGGGCACTCCCCATCATCAGACGTTATTTCTTCACTGAAATGTGTTAGGTATCTATACTAAGTGGTAGAGGCTATTAAACTTTACCTGGTGAGGTTTTGGCCACCAAATAGGTTAAAAACAAAACCAAAAACTGTGGTTTCAGAGATGTTTAGATTTTTAGCATTGCTGAGAAGGGACTGTGGTCATGTATTCACACAAGAGAATTTCATAAAGCAGTTAAAATAAATGAACATGACACAAAGTCACCTGGATGACTCTCATAAAACAATGCTGAATGAAAAAAGAGAGTTGCGGCCGGGCGCGGTGGCTCACGCCTGTAATCCCAGCACTTTGGGAGGCCGAGGCGGGCGGATCACAAGGTCAGGAGATCCAGACCATCCTGGCTAACACGGTGAAACCCCGTCTCTACTAAAAATACAAAAAATTAGCCGTGCTCGGTGGCGGGCGCCTGTAGTCCCAGCTACTCCAGAGGCTGAGGCAGGAGAATGGCGTGAACCCGGGAGGCGGAGATTGCAGTGAGCCGAGATCATGCCACTGCACTCCAGCCTGGGCGACAGAACAAGACTCCGTCTCAAAAAAAAAAAAAAAATTTGCCGGGCATGGTGGCAGATGCCTGTAATCCCAGCTACTCGGGAGGCTGAGGTAGGAGAATGGCGTGAACCCGGGAGGTGGAGCTTCTAGTGAGCCGAGATGGTGCCACTGCACTCCAGCCTGGGCGACAGAGCGAGACTCCGTCTCAAAAAAAAAAAAAAAGAAAAAAAAGAAAAGAAAAAGAGAGTTGCAGGAGAGGCCAAATCTGCCGTGAGTTTTATCAGGAACAACAAGACAAAATACATGACATGTGCTTTAGCAACAAATATGTACGTGGCAAACCTATTTTGTTTGTTTTTTTTTAAATAAGGGCATGAAAGCTGACACTCAGGAGGGGGTTACCTGTGGGAGGGGCAAATGGCTGAAGCCCCAGAGGCAGCTGTTCCGGCTTTGGGAGAATGGGTGGATACCTGAGACAGGCAGGGGCACGCCACCGTCCACTCTGTCTTTCTCTTTTGCCACTGATACATACGTTACACATACTACTTTATACGAAGTACTGCTAAAGTGTTTCAATAAATTAAAAAACTTTGGTCTCTTGGCTGAAAATGGGATGAATGCAGGGTGGTGAGATCTGAGCAGCCAGTCCCTTAGGGAGACACCCAAGCGAGAGAGAACATCGGCAGAAGAGATGGAGAGCAAGGTGAGATCAAGATGCTTTGGCCAGAGTCAATGGCTGCTGCTAGACAGATTACCGGACAAAAGAGAGGGAAGAATAGAAGATGGTCACAGGTTTCAAGCATGAGAGGCCCTGCAAGATGGGGCCACAAATAAGGAGGAAGGACTGGAAGAAGAACAGGTTTGAGAAGCAGGGCAAGTTTGACGTGACTATTAGACATGCGTCTGGAGAAATCAAGCAGGTGTCTGAATTACAGATCCTGAGCTCAGAGCTGAAAACATGAATTAGTGAAATAAGGGGCGGGGGGGGCGGTGCTGGGGCACAGGGATATTTAAAGCCAAGAATTCAGCAAAGACCATAGGAAGAGCGTAGATAGGGAATGAGAATCGCCATTACTTGGAGGATGCCAACCTTGAAGGTAAAGCAGAGAAAGTGGCACCAGCAGAAGAAAACTTGATGTGGAGCGGCAGGTAAAGTGGAGGAGAAACCAGGAGTCGCTGTCACACACGAACACCCATCTTTCGTTGTCAACTGCAAAACTCACTGAGACCAACTTTTTATTCACGACAATTAATGGTAACTTAAGGACTCATTTTCTTTTTCTTTTTTTTTTGAGACAGAGCCTCGCTCTGTCGCCCAGGCTGGAGGGCAGTGGCGCGATCATGGCTCACCGCAGCCTCGACCTCCTGGGCTCAAGCGATCCTCCCACCTCAGCCTCCAGAGTAACTGGGACAACAGGAGCGCACCACTCTGCCTGGCTAATTTTTTTATTTTTAGCAGAGAAGGGAGTCTCGCTGTTGCCACGGCTGGTCTCGAACTCGCGGGCTCAAGTGATCCGCCCACTTCGACCTCCGCCACCGCGCCCGGCCCTAGGACCAACGTTAAGAGCTCCCTAGGAAAAGGCACCTTTTCTCTCGGCCCATTCGGTGATCGGCACTCACAGCGCTTCCACTCCGGGCAGTTACGTGCGCCCATGAAAAGCAACAACTTTGTAGAACTGGCCAGTCCTGTTAGCAGGAAGAACTCGGTAGTCTCAAACTCCAGCATAAAAAGATTCAGCAGAAGAAAACACCCGTGTGCTGAAGACTCCTACTTTCCATGCCACACTTTACATCCTCACCCGCTCGGTTTCTGCTTTAAAGCAGCAGATTTTATTAAAAAGACTTCGTTACGGACGTCGCTCCTCCACAGAGACAGCTACCGCCGCCCCTCAGGCTGGCCGGGACCGCCCCAGAACACCAGCGCCTGAGGCCGCGCGCCTGGAGGCTGAGCCCTGACTGCCCCCTGGGCACCGGCGCGGGGCGGCCGTCCGGGCCTGGACTCACTGCGCGCCCCAATTCCGCACCTGCCAGCGCCGGCGCTTCCAAGGCCCCCAGAGCGGGGGCGGCGCGCACCCCGGCCACATCCCGCCTGCCCGCCCGGCCCGGCCCCGGGAGACGCTCGGCCCGGCCGCCCGGGCCCGCCGCCGCCATCTTACCGTGCGGAACCTGCCTCCCGCGCTGCGCGGTCTGGGCGGCTGCGGCTCCGCAGCCTCTCCTGGGCTGGGGAGAGGTGGCGGCCGCCGGGGCGCCCGAGTAGAAGGAGGCAGAGGTGGGGGCCGCGGCGGAGGCGGGGGCGGGGGCGGGGGCGGGGAGCGGGAGGGCAGGCGCACCGGAGGCCGCCCCTCAGCACCTCTCGCGACAGCAAGAGAGCGCGAGAGCGCGAGCCGATGACCAATGAAGCGCCCCCGCGAGGGGGCGGGGCGGACGGCCTCCCGGAAGCGCGGAACCTCAGCTTCCGTACTTGCGCAGAACTCCCCTCGCGGCGACCACGCACTACGGGTTGGCGCCAGAGTCAAAAGGCGTCGGCCCTCTGGCAAGATGGCTGCTGCGGAGGCGTTGGAGCGCGGAAATCTGGAACCGGGATGGCGACGTCTACACTGAGTCGGAGGCGAAGGTCCCAGCTTTTTTCCTGTCGTTTGCGTGAGGCCGCACGGGGTGGGGCGGGGGAAAGGCGCCGGGTGTCCGCGGCCGCCCCTCAGACGGGGAGGGAGTCCCCTCCCGACCGGCGGCCTTCCAGGGCTAGTGTCCCTGAGGTCCAGGGAGAGACGGCTGACCCGAGACCGGGCTGGGCGAGAGCTGTGCTGTCTGCGCGTTGAAGCGAGTTCCCCCGCTTTACTCGAGATGTTGTTGAGCGCGTCCTCACTCGAGGCCAGGTGGGGAATCAGAAGGGCCCTGCCCTCAGGGCGCCTCCCATGGGCTACGCCGAAGGGCGGGACGCGGCCAGGGCGCGCGGGACAAAGGAGACCCCACTTGCTTGCGGGGCGGAGTCCCGGCGGCGGCGCGGGGCAGGGCCGGGGTTACTCGGTGACTGGAGACCCTCCCGGCAGGAGCGCGGGTTGAGGCCGCACTTGGGTATTTGCGCGTTTACTTGCTTATTGCCTGTCCGCTCAGGAGGAATGCGAAGTCTGTCATTGCAGGGTCCCATGTTTCCGTTGCTGGGAAGTACCTTAAAATATTTGATAGAGCCGAAGGAAGAAATAGAGTCCTTGAGGGGCAGCTCCTGATTTCATCTGTGAGGAATTCACGGGACGGCTTCTTTCTGAAGTCAGGGGTGAGGTGGTTTCGTGTGTTTGCTTACAAGCGAGCTGAACAACGTGTAAGCTATGTCGGTCGGTCTACTCAGCGACAGTAAGTCCAGTTCGGCAAATAGGTTGGAGGAGACTGATTTTGGACATTTTCCGTTAATCGAAAGAGCTAAATCTGCAGGTATAAGGTCTTGACAAAATTATGCTTCATATGCAGAGGCAGTACATGCCAGTAATTTTTTCATTTGCAACTACATAACCCTATGGGAAACAGTTATTGGTCTTTATTTAGTTATTTATTTTGAGACGAAGTCTCACTCTCGCCCAGGCTGGAGCGCAGTGGCGCCATCTCGGCTCACTGCAACCTCCGCCTCCCGGGTTCAAGCGATTCTCCTGCCTCAGCCTCCCGAGTAGCTGGGACCACAGGGGCGCACCACCACGCCCAGCTAATTTTTGTATTTTTAGTAGAGACGGGGTTTCCCCTTGTTGGTCAGGCTGGTCTCAGTGTCTTGACCTCGTGATCCGCCCGCCTCGGACTCCCAAAGTGCTGGGATTACAGGCGTGAGCCACCGCTCCCGGCCTATTTTGATTTTATTTTATTCTATTTTTTGAGAAGGAGTCTCACTTTGTTGCCCAGGCTGGAGTGCACTGTCATGATCTCGACTCACTGCAACCTCCGCCTCCTGGGTTCAAGTGATTCTCCTGCCTCAGCCTCCCGAGTAGCTGGAACTACAGGCACCCGCCACCACGCCCGGCTACTTATTTTGTATTTTTAGTACGGGTGGGGTTTCACCATGTTGGCTAGGCTGGTCTCGAACTCCTGACCTCAAATGATCACCCACCTCGGCCTCCCAAGGTGCTCGGATTACAGTCATGAGCCACCGCATCCGGCCTATTTTTATTTTTTAAAGTTTTTTAGAGACGGGGTCTTGCCTTCTTGCCCAGGCTGGTCTCGATCTCCTGGGCTCAAGCCATCCTCCCGCCTCGGCCTCTGGGAGTGCTGGGTTTACAGGCGTCAGCCACCATGCCCAGCCTGAACGTCAAGGAGAAAGTGTGCAAGGGGATGCACGAGCAGAAAGCTTGAGTGCTAGCGCCTTAAGGCGACATTCCTTAACATTCCAGTCCAAAGAGGCTGTCTCAGTGCCTGCCTGTGGGTCACAGGTTAATGCTCCTCCTCCCAACAGCCAACCGGTTACCAAGTCCTGCTCGAGCCCCCTCCTTAATCCTCTCTAGAAACTGGCTCCTTTGTGTTGTTTCCCAGCCTCTTCCACCATAACGTGGAAGCCATCATCTTTGCTTTTTGGATTGCCAGGATGTCTCCGTAACTCCTGTTGAGCTCCAGAAGTCCTGTCACTACCTCTCACATAGCAGACAGGGTGATCTCTCCAAAAGCCATCACTCATTGACTCTATCCTTCTAACATCCCTTGGGGACTCCCCAGTTGCCTGTGTAAAGTTAGCGCAGCTATAAGTCTGCACTCCTGATCTTACTCTCTGCTCCAGCCATCCCAGCTGATTGGAGGTTTTCTCATGTCAACAAGCTTTGTTATCGCTGTGCTCTCAGTCTGGGCCCTAGCTAACAGCCTTCCCTAGGCTAACTCCTGCTCACCTCCTCAGTAGAGACGTGGCTTTCTCGGGGAAGTCTTCCCTAACAAAGCTGGATTGAGTGCCTTTCCTTTATGCTTGCACAGAATCCTAACTTAGCTCTTCGTAGCTCTTAGCACACGGTCCGTGTGGTTGCTGTCTGATGGGATGTCATGATTCAGCATAAAATGGTAAGCTTCATGTGAGTTGATTATGGCTAAATCGTAATAGGAGCTCCATAAATATTTATTTGTTGAGTGACGAAGGAATAAATGAGTGAATGATTATGAGGATCTTAACTGGAAGCAATACTAGCAAAAATGGAAAGAGACCTTCAGTCAGGATGGAAATGAGCAGTCCTTGGTGACTGACAATTTGTGGGAGCTAAGAAGGAAGACCAGAGTGATGCGGGTGAGTAGCCCAGCTGATGAGGTGGTGGCACCAACTGAGAATGATCATGAAGAAGAAGGAGGTGCAACAACGAGGGAAAGGTGGTGAGTTCACCGTGGGCCTCATTCAATTGGAGGTGCCTGTGGGACACATCTAAAGCTCAAGGGGAAGAGCAGGGCTAGAGTTGAGAGTTGATGGGTACAGTATTCAGAGGAAGCCCATGGAGACAAGGAGTGGATCAAGTCCAGAATGCAGAGCTGCAAGCTGTATTCACTAAGGAAGAAGCTGCCTATGAAGGGTAGCAAGAAAGTGGCCGGGGGGTCTGACAAGAACCAGGGGCTTCAAAGGCGCTCCCTGAAGCCACAGGGTGTCCAGTTTCGAGAAGCTATGTTAGCAGTTTCCAGGCGGCAGGGAAGTCCAGGGTGAAGGTGCCAAAACTCCCCATTTGATGGTTTTTGGTGAGAGAGCAAGAAGTTGAGAGATGTGATGGGAATGGGAAACATTGGAGTGTGGTGAGCAGGGGTGAGGTGAAGACAGCGTAGTATGTTGAAGGTGTTCAGAAGCCATTAGGGCCATGCACTTATGTACTGAGAAGTGAGCAGTGAGCTAGATGCCACAAAACGCTGCAGCAGCAGGTGAGACTGAGGAGCAGGGAGGGGGGTCAAGGATAATTTCTCAGCTTCTGGCCTATGAATTTATAGGGTGGTGGGACCATCCTCTGGATAGGGAACGCCAGAGAAGAGCCTGGAAGTATGTAGTAGGGAGGTCAGAAGTCCTAAGCTCATTTTGCATGTGTTAGGTAGGTTTTGAAGTGCATTTGAGGCATTCACGTGGAGATGCCAGGGGAGCAGGTGAATGATGGTGCCCAGATCCAGGCAGAGATAAAGGCAACTACAGCCAGGTGTGCATGAAGTCTCTGTGGAGAAGGGATGGGTGGAGGGAGAGGAGGAGAGCCTGGGCCAGAGCCCTGAAGCCACCAGCATGGAGGCTCACCAAGAGTGCAGGAGAGCAGGAAAGAGGTAGGTGGGTCCCGGGACAGGAGAGGGTGCAGGGCCACACGGGTTGGCATCTGGGACAGTGACAAGGACTTCAGCCTGCTGGATTCATCAACTGCCTGAGCTTTCCTATGACAGAGGTGGGCATGTGGATGAGAGAAACCAAAGGCTTGGCCCTTACAGTCAGCTGAGGGGCAACCAGGTGTTCAGAGCTTCCAGTGTCTTGCAAGCTGAGGTGGTGGCTTTGAACTTGAGTTGTTTCATATTGAAAGAGATGAACAGAAAGAGGAGTGCTAAAGGTATATTAATCTTAAAAGAACATTAATGAGTTTTTAAAAAGGGGAGAGCAGTTTGCCCAGGCTGGAGTGCAATGGTGTGATAATGGCTCACTGCAACCTACACCTCCCAGCTAATCCTCCCATGTTAGCCTCTTGAGTAGCTGGGACTACAGGCGGAAGCCACCACACCCAGCTAATTTTGTTTATTTTTTGTAGAGGAGAGGTCTCACTATGTTGCCCAGGCTGTTCTCAAACTTCTGCGTGCAAGCAGTCTTCCTGCCTCAGCCTCCCAGAGTGCTGGGATTACAGGTGTGAACCACTGCATAGAGTGCTTCCTTTACTCAAATCATAGAATGTTTAAAAACCAGGATATCAGCCATGTTTCAAAACCACATTATTCCCATGGATGTTTTGTTTTACTCTCAAAACCCAAAAGCATAAAATCAAACCCCTACATACTGGAGACTTCAGGCTTTCAAAGAGATTGGGCAAATCAAACCACCTTACTTTTCAGGATAATTGATAAACCCATCAGTTGTTGATGCTTAGAATGGTTAGCAGAAGTAGGTAGGAAACACTCAGACCTCAATTTTCATGAACTTCACTTTTCACAGTATTTTAAACAATTAGAGATGTTGGAAAGAGGTAAGGAAGAATTTTACTATTTAGTCTGCTGCACATATTCTTTTGTTGTTGTTTTTTTGTTTGAGACAGAATTTCACTCTTGTTGCCCAGGCTGGAGTGCAATGGCACGATCTTGGCTCACTGCAACCTCCGCCTACCGGTTTAAGCGATTCTCCTGCCTCAGCCTCCTGAGTAACTGGGATTACAGACATGCGCCACCACGCCCGGCTAATTTTGTATTGTTAGTAGAGATGGGGTTTCTTCATGTTGGTCAGGCTGGTCTCGAACTCCAGACCTCAGGTGATCCACCTGCCTGGGCCTCCCAAAATGCTGGGAATACAGGCATGAGCCATGGCGCCTGGCCTGCTGCACATATTCTGACACCATGTGTCTGGTGAACCCAGACCCTGTAAAGAATCTTCACTGGTGATTGTTTGATATAGGTGACCTTCCCCCTCCCTCTTTTTGCCTGATTTTATTTCCCTTTCTAGATTATACCACTAAATCAGAAAGCACTGAATATTTTGTAAGTTTGTTTGGGTGAGAGCAAGAATAATCTTTTCTTGATTTTTATTTTTATTTTTTTAAAACCTTTAACTCCTGCTGAGGTTGAGACAAACCGTATCTAGCATACTGTTACCTGAAACAAATGTGGTAGGAGGGAAGGTGATACAGTCCTGCCATTGCAGACCAGTGGGAAAGGCCAAAGAGTATTTTGAGTAGCAATGTACATGGTCAAAGCATTGTTTATGTACTATTTCATTTGAGTTTGATTATGTAGTTTGAACCTGGCTGGTCAGGATTTGATAGACAGTTACTGGTTTGGGATCTGACTTTTCTTTTTTATAAAAATTAACAAAAAATATATGTAAATATACACACATACATGTGGATAGTTCTCTCTGTGTCTTAAGTTATTTGTATGCATGCAGCTGTTGTGATCACGTGTCTGATGGGCAGGTAGAAGTAGAAATAAGAGTTCCTATGTTTCCCAGGCTGGCCTTCAACTCCTGGGCTCAAGTGATCCTCTCTCCTGGGCCTCCCAAAGTGTCAGGATTACAGGCGTGAGCCACCGTGCCTGGCCCTACATTTACTCTTTAAATACTTTCCTATTGGAATGAAAGAGGCAGGGTGGCTCACACCTACAATCCCAGCACTTTGGGGAGGCTGAGACAGGGGAATCCCTTGAGGCCAGGAGTTTGAGACCAGCCAGGTCAACAAAGCAAGACCTCCCTGAAGGGAAAAAACCTCCAGTTCCCATTTGGGTGTCTTTTGGAAACTGCTAATACCTCAGTCTTTGTTGTTGTTGTTGGTATTTCCTCCAAACACACTCTTTCTCAGTTTTACCATTTTGTTTTTGTGAACTAAGCAAGAGCAGGAATTAATTTATATAGTTATTCATATCTGGACAAATTCTGGAAGGTTGCTGGAGTCTCTTTCACTTCTTAAAGTGTTTTCATTTAAGAAAAAAATCTTTAATTGTAGCCTGCACAATTGTAGCCCTATCCTTACCCCTAAGGTCCCATACTCCCAAGGCATTGAGGTTAGGTAGAAGGCCCAAGAATGGGGCCGGGGCCCATTGCGTCTGGAATGCAGTGTGAACTGATGGCTGTCTCTGACCTCATGGACATCCCTGCACCTTCCTCCTGGTGCTCGCCAGCAGGTGCAGGAATTCAGTCGTCTATGGGTTCGTTTCCCCTTTTTCGCGGGTCTCTATTCCGTGGTGTGAAGAGCCTGTAAGGGTAAATGTCCTATTTGGGTACAACCACTTTACTCTTATTCTGTCAGAATCTGTCCAAGCGTTTTTTTGGCTTGTTTGCTGTGTTCCTTTAAAGATGGTTGAGATAAAACCAGTCAGAAAAGAAATAGTTTTTTGCCCTATACTTAACTAAAATATTGATTTATTCCAAAGTTGTTTTTATTTACTTTTCACTGACCTCAAAGAGAAAACTTAGACACCTTAGAGAAACATGAAACATTCTCAGAGGAAGGAGTGATGAGCATGGTTCTGTATTAATGTGTTCACTCCTTAGCAGAAGATATAGAAATACTGCAGCTTAGGCCAGGCACTGTGGCTCATGCCTTCGGAATCCCAGCACTTTGGGAGGCAGAGGCGAGTGGATCCCTGGAGTTCGAGACCAGCCTGGGCAACATAGTGAAACCCCATCTCTACAAAAAATACAAAAACTAGCCAGTTGTGGTGGCATGCACCTGTAGTCCCAGCTACTCGGGAGGGTGAGGCAGGAGGGTTGCTTGAGCCTGGGAGGCAGAGGTTGCAGACAGCCAAGATCACACTACTGCACTCCAGCCTGGCAACAGGGTGAGACCTTGTCTCAAGGAAAACAACAACACAAACTGCAGCTCATTCTTTCTAAAGGTATCTGGAAAATGACAGAACTGAGAATAACATCCAGATTCAGTTCCCTGCCATGAGAAGTTCCTTTTGCCTTGTTTGTGGATATTGTTGTCAGTTCATTGCAGCTGTCTTGAGTAACTTACAGAGGCTAATGTGACCAAAGAAAGATCCATCATCCCTTGTTGTTTTTCTAGTTAAAAGTCATAGCACAGGTTTCTGGTAACATACAAATGATAAGACACTGTCCATAATTCTAATTACAACAATTCAGTTTGTATAGTAATTTGGTACAGCATTAAAGGGGGTGATGCCCTCCTCCCATCTCATTTCCCTCCCTTTTTCCTATTTCACATTTATTCTTTTGTCTAAAAGACAGAAAATTGGTATGATTCTCATATGCCGCATAGAACGTGTAGCTCCATCACATCCCACAGCTTTCTAGAGGTCTTTGGGGTTGGAACACAAAGTTTAACTTCTGTTTCTGTTTTTCCTTGAATTCTTTTGTTTCCTGGCCCTTTTCCATCTTGCCGGTTCCCCTTATGTTACCCACTATCGTCCATGCTCTCCCTCTGTGTTGGTTGTCTCAAAACAGCATTCAGCGGAATTCATTGAGTGGGTGAATTCTGTGAAGTTGCCTTTTCTGGCAGTGCTGTTACTCAGTGATGCACAAACGTAGCATTTGCCCTTTGGTAGACAAAGATCTGTGTTTTTTTTTTTTTTGTTTGTTTGTTTCTTTGAGACGGAGTCTCGCTGTCACCCAGGCTGGAGTGCAGCGGGTTCAAGCGATTCTCCTACCTTAGCCTCCCGAGTAGCTGGGATTACAGGCGCCTGCCACCACGCCCGGCTAATTTTTGTATTTTTAGTAGAGATGGGGTTTCACCATGTTGGTCAGGCTGGTCTTGAACTCCTAACCTCAGGACCTCAGGCGATCCACCCACCTCGGCCTACCTAAGTGCTGGGAACAGGCTTGAACCACCGCGCCTGGCAGATCTGGTTAGTATTCTTCAAAGGAGCCAAAGGCAGTGCTTTCGTGTTTGCTTTGAGGGGAAGTAGTGGACGATTTGATTGTGACACCTTTTAGCATTGGTGAGTTGATTTATCTAAAATTAACTGTTAAAGTTAGCTGGCCTTATACAACGTAAAAGTAAAGAAAATTCATCAGTTTCTCAAAAAAAAAAAACAAAACAGTGGCTGAAGTTTTTGTTAGCAATAAGAAAACAGTAGGCATATATATATATATATACACTTTTTCTTTTTTCTGGGAATCCACGTTCTCCTCCTGGGTAAAGGAGAGGGTTGTATTTTGTGATTCCTTTTTCCTGCCCCAAGTGGCTGGCGATACAGCCCCCGGCGCGCCGGGCACTGAGGCCCTGGAGCACAGCGTGGGGGGCCTGGCACAGACACGACTCACGACCGGGCCGATCTCCGGCCAGAAAGAACTATGTTCCGGCCGCCCGGGTCGCGGGCCCGCGGTGCATCCCTGCAGGCCTCCATCCTGCCTCGGCAGAGGTCTGCAAGAATCCTGTGGGTGTCCCCCGGAGCGGGCAGAGGAGGAGCCCAGCGCCGAGGCCCAGGCGCGCCCCGCCCTCGCCCCTCCCCGTGCCCCTCCCCCGCTGCTCCCCTCCCAAAGGCCGAGACCTGGACGCTGCCCGGTGGCCTCGGCGGGGGCCCTGTCCTTGGCCGCTGCCTCTCTGAATCCCAGGTGAGAAGAATAAAACGTCCTGACGCTGTCCGGCTTCCGGTTCTTGGAGAGGACGGGCCGTCTCTGCCGAGAGAACTGTGCGGAATCAGGAAGCGCTGGTGCTCCTTCGCTTTCACGGGACTAAGCGAAATCCGGCTTTAAACGAAGTAAAGCCGGCTGCCTCCTGGAGTATTTTTGTCATAGTATTTTTATTTTGGGTCAGGGTATTCTGCTGCGGACCCTGAGTCTTAGGAAGGAGGCTTATAACAGCGGAAAGCCATTTTTTTTTAAGAATTGCTGAGTTTTCCGGATTGTACTTTCAAAGACTTTCCCTGAAACTTTGCGTGGCATGGGGGTTGCAGAAACTGGTGTCTACACATTACAAAAGTGTACTGTTTACACCTATTTGTGATGCACCCATCGTGTTTTTCTCCATGGACCACCTATTAAGCTTCCTGCTGGAGCGCTCTTGGCCCCCTTCCTGCTTTCTGGGCCACATCCTGTTGTAAATCGGTGCTACTTGTGGGGTTTTGTTTGTGAATTGGGGATATTTAAGGAACAATTTATTGAAACAACTGAAGAGTTTGTTTCCTCCTTTGGGTTTTACTTTTAAAATAAATTCGGTTAGGAAAAAGTATTCTTTTGCTAGTGGAGTTCAAATTCAAATACCCAGACTGTAGATTCTCCAAATGCCTTTCTCACCAGGGAGGGCAGCTCCCAGGAATAGTGACGGCAGGTAAGCTGGGATAAAGCTGACTTCGTCACCTTGTAGGTGGGGAAGGCCAGAGTGGATAGTCTGGCCAGGCCTCCACAGCCGAGCCAGCTTCTGCTGGGGGGCGGGGGAGATGAGAACGAGAGGCAGGTTCCAGTATCCTCTGGACTTGCAGGAAGGAAGGCATTCTGCGTATCGCTGAGCACTGCGGTGAGCTGAGTGAGGGTTCCCTTTCCTCATGTTTTCCTGCCTTTTTCTTCCTCTTGGTTCTCTTGTCCCTGAGCCGCCTTGTCCACTCTTTCTATTCCCTTAGTGCCTTTCCATCTATCTCTCCTGAGTGCCCAGCGTGAAACTGTACCCAAGAGTTAAAATCTCTTAAAAATCTCACCGTCTTGCAGAAACAAATTGTGGCTGGTTTAAAGATCCTCAGCTAAAGAGACTGGGCTGAGGTTCCCCCATACCAGTTGGATTTAGAGAGAGCCTCTTGTAGGGAGGCCTCATGTGGTCTTCACCTGGGCCTCAGCATGTGAGCCCTCCTTTAACAGAGAGCTTGCCCAAGATCTCACTGCTTGTTAAAGGTGGTCTCAACCCCGTCTGTCTTCTAAGCTTCCCACTACCCCATGTCTGAGAGCAAAAAGCCCTCTTTGCAACCTGAGATCACACTCAAGATGGAAGACTGTCAAGCCCATCCCTGCCAGATTCTATTAATGTGGTCCTAATGGGCCACACCAGCAAAAACAAGCTGCGTTGTATTCCTTTGAAGAAAACTAAGTCTGCCTCAGAAACTAGCAGACCCTGTAATCTTCAGCGGTATTATTAAAAAGCACACCTGCCTCAAAGCCCCTGGTTCATCCATGGAAGCATCGCAGAAGCCTCTGTATTAGGGGCAGCTTTACGGCACTCTGGGCCCCTTTTACTCTTGGCCAGGGCCAACGCCAAAGGCTAGATGGTCCATGCTTCCAGGTAGCGTATCACTGTTCACAGAAGCAGAAACAAGTAATGGGGCCACCTCCACCCCCCCCAGGTCCCTGCCCTCGGAGCAAGTGGCCAGTGCCCATGGTGCCTCGAGGCAACAGCTGCCCCTCCTGCCCCCTCCCAGTCTCTTTCCTGCAGTATCTGGGGACAGACAGGTGATAGAGTGTCACTCTAGTTACTATTGAGCGAACTGAAGAAAATCCACATGGAAGGTTGACATCTACCATACCTCACTTTCCCCTCTCTTGATAGTAAGTGTCTAATCTTTCCCTCCAACCCCTGTGGGCAAACATGTCCATGCGTTCTTTGAGTTCTAGCTACTGGTCAGTAGTTCTGAGTGTAGGATTGACATGGTGGGAGGAGGCAGAGCTTTGGGACCACACCGCCAAGGTCCCTGGGGCCTAGAGGTCCAGCGTGCCCGCCTCCCTTCCTCGCTGTGCTCCTTTCTCTCCCCCCCACCCCCACGCTCCTGGTTTCTGGAGCCGAGCTTGGGGTGGGGAGGCAGCAGGTAGGGTCTTCAAGTTGGAGAGAAACCCCGCCCACACCTGGACCTCGCCCCTCGCTGCCATTCCCAGCCGAGGCCGTCAGGGGCCTGCGTTTTGAGAAACACAATCTGGAAGAGAAAACCTGGGCCTTTTCTTCTTTTATCCCCTGTCCCCGCCCCCCTACACCTCTTACAAATTTAGCCCAGGAGCTTTCTATCCCCACCGACTTGAAGGGTTTATCGGTCTTAAGAGCGAAATCCTGGCGGAGTGCAGTCCCTCGGGGCTAGCATCCACGTTCCGCCTGCGCCCTGCCCGGGCTGTTCCGAGGGATCCCCGCAAGGGCACTGCCCCAGCTTTCACTCTTGGAGTCGGGGAAATAAGGTGTCCACAAAGGATGCAAGCAAGTCATTGTCAGTGCAGACCCGAAGGGCGCGTCCGGAGTGCAGGTATGAAAGACGGGCGCATGCGCGCAGTCCGGGGCCGGGCTTCGCAGCCCGGGCTCCGCTCTAGCCCCGCAGCGTCTCGGTGGCCGGTCTCGTCCTCCGCCCGCCGCGCGGGGGCGCCGCTCTAGCCCCGCGCCATCTCGGTGGCCGTCCGCCCACTCCGCGGCGTTCGGGGAAATGGCTGCGAGACCCTAGAGGCCTGCGGCCTGCGGTAAGTGGCGTCCCGGGCGCCGGGTAGAAGAGCCGGCCGCCGCTTGGGCCGCCCTCGGGAGCGGGGCGGGGCCGGCATCGGAGCCCGGCTGGCGAGAGCCGCGGATCCCGCACAGGCCGCTCCCGCCGAGAAGATGGCGGCCGCGGAAGGGAAGGAGCGGGCGGGCGGGCGGGCGAGCGGGCGGGGCCGGTCAGAGCCGCCGCGGCCTGGGGCGCGGGCCTCAGACGCCGGCCCTGGTGGGCTGCGTGAGGTCGAGGGGACTGGCGAGCACTCGGTGGTCGCGGCTGGAACGGTTCCGAGGGTGGGAGTCGGGGCGGCCGCTCGCGGGGAAGAGCGCAGGGCTGGCCTGGGCGAGTGCGGCCCGGGGCTCGGGGGCTGCGTAGCTGGCTTGTAAGCGCAGCTGGTTTCCCTAGGCATTCTCGGGGACCTCGGCGCTTCCTCCCGGGCCTTGGGTGCGGTCGGGGTGGCCGGCTTAGCTTCTGGCGTGCCTTCGGGGGATTCCGGCACTGCAGGGGCGGCTGGCGCTGCAGGAAGCGCGAAGAGCCCGGATTCGCTTTTCTGAAGAGTGTGTCCTTACCTCCCCGCGCTGGTTTTCAGTTTTTTTGTGGAATAGTTTGTTGCGTTGGTTTGTACTGGCCGTATTTGTGACACATTTTGCCTTCCAGTGACCCCGGAAGCCGAAAGGGCCCGCTCTTGCGCTCGGCGGGAGGGGTGCTCGTGCTGCCTCCGCTGCGGCGTCCGGGGCTCCTTCTCGCGGTTCTGAGACAGTGGAGGTCAAGGCCGGCTTTTCTGCTCTAAATAAAGGACTTTAATATATAAGTTTAGAGTTTGGGCCACAGGTAGCAGTAGCTTACTGCGTTACCAGTTATTGAAAATACTCTTTAACTTGTGCCTGGGCCTTCGATATCCGTGTCATCTGTCTGCTGATGGAATGAGATTTGAGCCTAGTGTACTCAGGGACTTAGAGGAGGGAAAGGCAGATGGGAACGTCTTTTCGGTATATTCACATAACTTTGCTATATACCCCGTGTTCCATGGTTTCCGTAGGGCCACATATGACTTGGTTGAAATACAGTTCTGAGAAAGGTCCTTAGCAGTGCCTTTTAAGGAGTAAATACAGTCTTTTTTTAAATGAGCATTCATTGCTTACTGTTAGCACGAGGGATACAGCAGTGACCAAGGTGGCCCCTGTCCCAGTCCTGGAGACAAGTTCACTGGGGAACTTGAGAGATTATTCCAGCTCCTTCCTTTAAATCAGGTGTTGCCAACTCGTTTACCTGGAGCCTAGGGCTCTTTAGTGGCCCTTTGGGTTGCTGTTAGTGTATGTGTGTCTGTGACTATTTCACTATTTTAAATACGGCATAGACATCTCAGAAGTGTCACCCAGGAAGACAGACACAGCCCTGTTGTGAAACTCCCTGCTTAATGCACACTTGTTTTCCTACTTGCTGTGTACATGGGGAGGAGATGTCTGTTCTTGTAGACTTGTTTCAGCAAGTTTCATAAGATACCTCTTGTTTTGGAAAAGCGCGTATCTTGAATTTTTTCAGGCTTTCCACCAGAGGCTGTCCCTTATTAGTAGTTGATTGAATTCAGACTATGTCAAGCAGAGCTCATTGTGCTGTGGTGAGAAGACAGGGCACAAATAAGATAATTTGTGATTGACTGCCCAGCCGTACCCATGGTTACCAGACAGCCCAGCCCATGTTGCATGTGCATATGTGAGCCTCGCAAAGGCTTGTCTAGGACGTGCGGATCATCGGTTGGGCCTTGGAGGGTGCTGGGGTTTCTTCATGTAAGGAGGAAATGATTGGAATGGGCATTGGCTCCCGTTTTGTTCGCGGTGAAGTTGGCAGGTTCTGCTGTTGATACTGTGAGTTTTTCTACAGCCTTAGGGTCATAATTCCCTTAAGGTCAGTTCTGTGGAGCCCAGTAGGGTGCTTCTCTTCAGTGTTTATTTTTAAGCTGTGCCACGTCTTCATTGTTTGGAATCTCTGTAAACAAGACACGTTTTTCCTTTTTATATGCCTGTCCCATAATACCAAGTGGCTTATTTGGCTCTTGAAGAGCTAAGATTGAAAGTGTTTAACAGGTGACTCCCTACTATCTGTGGGTCCCTGCACTGTGCCCTTGCCTGAGAGGTCTCATCTCTCTGGCAGGCTCAGAAGACCACTAGAAAATTCTCTCTAAACAGAGTCTCTCACTTACATTTCTTATTTAAATGACGGGGTCCCTTACAGTGGATACTAAGATCAGCCTTTTTATGACTACTATCAAATGATGTGTGTTAATTGCATTACAAAAGTTCTATAATTAACAGTTAATGGAAATGTACTAATTGGGAAAGAGGAGGTCAAAGAACAAAGTCCAGTTTGCTCATTTCATGTACGTGTACACAGTCATCTGTGAGACAGTCTGTGTTGTCTAGGCCTCATTTTATTTTTTGAGTAGTAATTTTGAGGTTAAGTTGTTATATGAAGTTGAATAGGTAATTGTACATATTTTAATAAGAATTCTGTAACCATGTCCATAAAACTTAATAGGCGGTTGTAATCGTGTGTAAGTTGTAAAGGAGGCATTTCTCTCCTTGGGTATCAAATTTTGATGCCGTGGTTTTGTTTTGCGTATGCTGATATAGACATTTAAGTGGTACTTAATATACCTTTATAATAAGGTAAATCAACTTTTTTTCCAAAATGAAGATACCTTAATGTGTTTGATTACAAAAGTAATACACATACAGGAAACTTAAACATTATGTAAAAATAGAAAGTAAAGACACTAGAAAGGGTGCTGTCCAGAAAAGCTCCACGTTACAGCTGTTTTGCACTAGTGAACGGGATGCGTTGGAGGCTGTGGCCACTGCCCTGGCCGGCTTGTCTGCGGCTCTCACTCAGGTGCCAGGGAGTTTTTCTCACGGCTGTGCATGTGATGATTCATCACCCTTAAAGAATTCCCGGCCGGGCATGGTGGGTCGTGCCTGGAATCCCAGCACTTTGGGAGGCCAAGATGGGTGGATCACTTGTCAGGAGTTCAAGACCAGCCTGGCCAATATGGTGAAACCCCATCTCTAACTAAAAATACAAAAATTAGCTGGGTGTGGTGGTACGTGCCTGTAATCCCAGCTACTTGGGAGGCCGAGGTGGGAGAATCGCTTGAACCTGGGAGGTCGAGGTTGCAGTGAGCCGAGACCGCACCACTGCACTCCAGCCTGGGCGACAGTGAGACTCTGTCTCAAAAAAAAAATAATAATAATTAGGCCAAGCATGCTGATGTGCTCCTGTAGTCCCAGCACTTTGGGAGGCTGAGGCCAGAGGCCAGAGGACCCCTTGAAGCCAGGAGTTCCAGGCTGTAGTGAGCCGTGGTTCTGCTACTGCTCTCCAGCCTGGGTGACAGAGCAAGACTCTGTCCACCCCCCACCCCCAACAAAAAGAATTTCACTATATAGATGTTTCTTGATTTTTCAAACTGGTCTGTTAGTTTGTGTTCAGTTTGTCACCTTTGTGAGAAAAAAAACACTCATAAGTTAGTGTGTACTTCCTACTTAATTTCTCCTGGGTCATCGTGAAGCACTCCCTGCCCTCCATGAGAACAGTATGTCACCCGCTCTCTTCCCTGTGCCAAGCCCATAAAGGGCTGTTGGCAAATATGTCGGACAAATAGACTCGCCTAAGAGGGCCTTTCTCTCCAAGCCCTCGCCAGCACAGGCTGTGTCACTTTCTTAGGTGGCACCTACCGTCTGTTGCACACTTGCCGCAGATGATTTGGCACAGGATGTCGCTTCAGAAAACCTTGTAGGAAGCTGTGAGGTCGTTACCGTCCCCATTTCACAGACAGGAAAGTGCAGGCCTTAGATGCACTGCCTGATACCCTGTGGCCCCCGCGTTCCTAGACAGATACACTGCCTGGTACACTGTACCCCCCCACCCCCGCTATCGTTTGCAGCTGGGGTTGAACCCTGCATTCATAGACAGGTTCCCCCTTGAGTGAGCCCCCCATCTGCTTAACTGAGGGCTTGTCCTGGTTATAAATGTCTGGGTGGGGGTGGGCACTGCTGGCTGCAGCTGTCAGGACTGGGAATGCTGAACCTGCACTGAGGGGAGTAGGCCCCAGAGATGCTCCCAAGACCCTGGAGACACAGGCCAGGTAGACACCTGTGTGTGTGTGTATATATATGTGTGTGTGTGTATATATATATATGTGTGTGTGTGTATATATATGTACATATATATATACACACACACACACATACATATAAAAGAGCCGGGCATTGTTTGTGTGTGTGTGTGTGTATATATGTATATATGTGTGTGTGTGTGTGTATATATATAGTGTGTATATATAGTGTGTATATAGTGTATATAGTGTGTGTATATATATATTGTGTGTATATATATCGTGTGGATATATATTGTGTGGATATATATATAGTGTATATATATTGTGGACATATGTATAGTGTGTATATATATTGTGGACATATATAGTGTATATATATTTTGGACATATATAGTGTATATATATTGTGGATATATATATAGTGTGTATATATATTGTGGATATATATATAGCGGGTATATGTAGTGGATATATATAGTATATATATATTGTGGATATACACACACACACAATAGCTGGGCATTGTAGTGCATGCTTGTAGTCCCAGTTACTCAGGAGGCTGAGGTAGAAGGATAACCTGAGCCCAGGGAGATTGAGGCTGCAGTGAGCCGTGATCAGTCGCTCCATTGCCCTCCAGCCTGGGCGACAGAGACCCTGTCTCCAAAAAAAAAAAAAAAAAATTGGCTGCAGCTCCAATTTGAGAAGCAAATTCTTGTGAGAGAAGGGTTTTTAAAGAAGAAACCCCATTCTCTCCACCTGAACTTAGGGTGGCCATCATCTCACTTGGCAATCCCTGCCTGGTCAGTAATCACATGAAACTGAATGAGAGTAGACAGGGTGTCTGGAAAAAGTGAATGCTAAAGCAGTACCTGTCACTGCCACTAGGATCCTGACTGAACCGGAATGGCCTCGGGGAGCAGCCTTTCAGGCTCCAGCAGTGGAAGGCGCTGCTGTGTCAGCGGTTACCAGACTGGCAGGACCCAGGACTGCTTTACACTCCTAAAAAGCAGGGAAGACCCCAAAGAGCTTTTGTTATATCTATTGATAGTCACCATGTTTGACATTTAAAAATGAGTCATTTAAATGCTGAAGTGCCTTCTATTTAAAATTGGAAACCAGCCGGGCACGGTGGCTCATGCCTGTAATCCTAGCACTTTGGGAGGCCAAGGTGGGCGGATCACCTGAGGTCAGGAGTTCAAGACCAGCCTGGCCAACATGGTGAAACCCTTTCTCTACTAAAGACACAAAAAAAATAACTCGGCATGGTGGCACACGCCTGTAATCCCAGCTACTCGGGAGGCTGAGGCAGGAGAATCCCTTGAACCCAGGAGGCGGAGGTTGCAGTGAGCTGAGATCGTGCCACTCCACTCCAGCCTAAGTGAGAGCGAGACTCCATCTCAAATAAATAAAGTAAAATTGTAAACCATTATATATTAACATAAGTAAACCATTTAGTGGAACCTGTTTTCAATGACGAAAACAATGAGAAAGATGGTTTTGTTTTCACAAATCTGTTTGGCTTAACTGACAGCTTCTGGATTCTCCTTCCGAATTCAAACTTAGTGTCTCCGTTCAGCTTCTGAAATGCTCTAGCATATACTCAGAGTGGCTGTGGAAACAGCATGGAATGTTGGTGTTGTGCAGACTGCTTTGATCCGGGGGCCTCCCAAAAGGACCCCTGGACCACGCTTTGAGAACCACTTCTCTAAGAGTTGTAAAATAGCTCTAAACACTTGGGGAAATTGATTACTTTTAGGAAGATAAGCTGTGTCTTTGAACAATTTTTAGTGGCTCAACCATGTGCTTGCCCCTTGGGGCAAGTGTGGAATCAATCTGATGCGCTGTCACCGGTAAAGCTGTTCCAGTACACACCTCTCCCTCAAAGTGCCCTACACAGCCCCTTGCTGAATCCTTTGCAGCAGTGAAAATCGGGGGTTGGGGGGAGGCAAGAGTAGGCTGTGCTTGGGGCCATGGAATTATGCAGGTCTCTAAGGGTGTGGACCGAGGAGAACATAAAGGAACAGTGATTTAAACCTGTAATAAACAGATGCCCTTGAGGGGAAGCAGCCCCCACAGTACCCTGCTGGGATGACCTCCCGCAGCGCACCCCACTCACATGGTACCCGGGGAGCTCACACTGCCACACTTGCGGCATGAGGTGGATTTCTTCATGGGGATAAGAACCTGTGCATTGTGGTCCTCACCAGGGCCCAAGTGGTAATCTTTTATTAAGAGCAACAGGAATCCTGGTATGTAGAATTGGGACCGTATCTTAAGTGTTTGAAACCATACTTTCTTTTTTACTGAGACAAGAGGAGTCCATCAAAGGTAGTGGTTTAGGAGACTTTATGTCCAGCCATTAAATAGAGAACAATAAACCTCACTTCTCCTTCACCTCGATAAATGATTTTATGTGACTGTTTCTGGTTCCTGGCATTCATTTGGAGAGTTGAAATTTCCCACCTGAGTTGCCCACCAAGGTCACCAGCCTGTGTTTTGCACTAGGAAGTAGATAGAGGGAAATGGCAGGATTGTTGCAAGCTCACATGGGGAGCTTGGCGGCCCGGCTGTAGCCGGGGGCTGGCCAAAGCATTAGTCCTCAGCAGGTTTTTCAGTAACAAGTTTTGCTTTTTGTCTCCGCGTATCTATAAAAACACAAATACCCAAGAAATGTAAAACAACAATAGGTTGTTTCTGGATTTTTCTCTACATTTTCTTTGTGAGAAACATACTGTGTTGTGGCACCCTTGCTGCTTTTTTTTTTTCTTCTTTGAGAGGGAGTTTTGCTCTTGTTGCCCAGGCTGGAGTACAGTGGCACGATCTCAGCTCACTGCAACCTCCGCTTCCCGGGTTTAAGTGATTCTCCTGCCTCAGCCTCCCAAGTAGCTGGGACTACAGGCACCTGCCACCAAGCCCTGCTAATTTTTGTGTTTTTAGTAGAGATGGGGATTTCACCATGTTGGCCAGGCTGGTCTCAAACTCCTGACCTCAGGTGATCCACCTGCCTCAGCCTCCCGAAGTGCAGGCATGAGCCACCGCACCCGGCCCAGAATAATTTTTGTAATGACGGTATTATTTGGTAAGCAGCAAAACTTTGAATTTGCCGTCTGAAGGATTTAAATGTAATCTATGCAATTGAGTCAGATTCTGCATAGATACTAAAGTAAATGAAAGTTGGGCTTCTTCAGTTCCTTGTGGGCCCAAATCTCTTTCCTGTTTGGTGAGTGCAGCACAGTGTTTCCTGCCGCAAGCTGGTGGAGCTTTGAGTGGGCCATCATGGTACATGAACGGCTGCTGCTGGTGGCTGGAGAACACGTCGCATTTGGGGATGTCATCTGAAGTTTCTAGGCATATTCTCCTAGTGACTGTCGCATTAATGAAAACTGAGCTATCAAGAGTCTTTCATTGGGTAATCTTTCCTTCATTTGTGGTAGTTTAAAGATCTTTTACCTAGTGTCTTCTCAGTTGCTCCTCATCTGCATAATAAACAGATTGATGAGCCAGGAGACCCTTAATAGGCAAAATATAAATAAATGTAAACTTTGGCCTACCCTGTCAGAATTAGCGAAAATAATGAAGTTTAGAATAGTGAGGTTTTATTGTAGCATTATAATTTCTGACTGGCGGGTTAAAATTGTTTTGAATATTGTTTCAGGGGAATGTGAGGTTTGAAGAAACAGAATGTTTGCCACTAGGTGAGGTAAACTATGCATTTTTGTTTTATCTTTTTGCTTAGAAGTCAGAGCTCTTTTCCTGGAGGTGCGATGTTATGAAAATAGAAACTTAATTATGGTTGTATGTCATATTTTAAAGTGTCTTGGAGATTAATTACTCAGAAACTAGTCTCAAGTTTTTGGAACTGAAAATCTTTAGGTGGGAGCTGGGCACTGTGGCTCACGCCAGTGGTGTCCCAGCTACTCAGGTTGAGGCAGAAGGATCGTTTGAACCTATGAGGTAGAGGCTGCAGTGAGCCCTGATCATGCAGCTGTACCACAACCTGGAAGTGGGCACGCTTGAGTTAATGACTTCAAGCAGATTTTAGAGTAGTAAAAGTTGAGCATACAGATTTGCAGTGGTTGCAAACCCATGCATTGTAATAGTTGCAGTTAGGCTTTTTAAAGTAACAGAGCTGACCTTTTGGGAAGATATTTTTATTTGGTTTTTAAGAAATTTCACTTTTGGCTGCTTACTGTTTTGGTGAGTTGGGGAATCTGAGGGAAGATTAACAGGTAGTTACAGAACCCTTGTGGAAGGAAATGTTTAAAGTCTCTTCTGATGTCTGAAGCATAGGTATGTATTACTGCTTTGCACATATCCAGTGTACTCCTAAACTGGTAGAAATGGCATGTTGCCACAGTTCTTTGTGTTTCATGGACTCCTGAGGGGGAAGTCCTTGAAGCCCTTTCTGGGGCTAAGAGGTAAAGATGACTTCTGCATAATAATAGTCTAATAGTACAGGCCTTTTCTGGTGAGTTTGACATTTGCATCGGTGGCACAGGGCAGATTGGAGCCCTCTTCAGCACCGTGCATGGGCACCGAATGTTTAGAATATGCCAATTTTCCCAAATAATGTCCCTGATGATGCAGTAAATATTAATTTTTTTCGGAACCCGCAAACATACATCTTTTTTACTTTCGCTGTGATTAAATGTCAAGTTATATATAAAGCTTCTGCTGCATCCCCACGTGGTACTGTCCACGCACAGCCCTAGGGGATTGAGCTGGGAGCCGAGTGGTCTCGGAAACGCTGTCTGTCCCTGACAGAACAACAGACGGAGGACAGTTTTCAGACTCAGCATGTGGCAGGCGTTTTGTCCAAAACGAGTGATGTCTCAAAGAAAAAACGAACAGTATTTGTTGCTAAGGATAAAATTTGAGCTTTGGGGTGAAAATTGGAATTTTAGAAAACTTGTATCTGCCATTGTAAACCTGATGGCTTTCTAGTAATTAAAGTCTTCTTGGAGATTGGACCCGACATTATCGGCCAGGTGAGGTGACTCACACTTGTAATCCCAGCACTTTGGAAGGCGGAGGTGGGTAGATCACTTGATCCCAGGAGTTTGAGACCAGCTTGGGCAACATAGTAAGACCCTGTCTCTACAAAAAAAAATGCAAAAATTACCTGGGCATGGTGGCATGCACCTGTAGTCCCAGCTACTGGGGAGGGTGAGGTGGGAAGACCGCTTTGAGCCTGGCGGTGGTGTGGGTGGGGGAGGTGCTGAGGCTGCAGTGATCCTTGATTGCACCACTGCACTCCATCCTGGGCAACAGGAAAAAAAATGTTTGTTTTATGCTATCCGATGAGATGTGTGGACATTGAGAATCTGTCTGTTACTTGAACCCGTGTCATCCAGGTGAACAGCATGCACATGGGTCCAGAGTGCAAGGACGTGTTCAGAGTGAACACAGCAGTCAGTTTTCATGAAAGAAAGGGAGAAGTTCCTTGACAAAGGCTGCAAATTCTGTTTCAGCTAACTTTTATGAAACTGCTCCTTGGCGAGAGTTGGTGTAGTATCAGTGAACATCCAGTTATGTGAAGATGGTTACAATACTCCATTCTAAAGACCTATCTGTGTGAGGCAAGATTTTGATGACATGTTTTAGCTGAAACACTCTATGGGAACAGATTGAGGGCAGAAGTAGACATGAACATGGAGCTGTCTTCGGTTATGCCAGAAATTTGCAAAAATGTACAACAGGGCCACTCTTCCTGTTCATTTTTGTTTGTTTTAGAAATAACTTTCATTTAAAGATACTATTAATGTATTAATAGGTTTATTTTTAATACATACTTAGAATTTTGAAAATAGCAATACATTCCACATAAACAAAAGCTCTTTGGTGTTCTCAACTTGTAAAAGTGTCTTGAGACAAAAGGTTTGAGAGCCGCCATTCAAGCATTTGGAAGTCAGTGTGTGTCCTCTGCTTGAATCGCCGCTCATCAGCTGCTTCTAGTCAATAGAAAATGAAGCAGTTTTCAGCTGGGGAAAAAAATGTGCTTAGAAATGTGGAAATATTAAATTTGGTACATTCTGTTTTAACCTGTAGTTTGTTCACTTCCCAGCTTCAAGGATACCCACATTTTTCTTTCTGGGGAAAAGTTGTTACTGATACAATATGGTTGCAGTTTTATGAACACATTCCCCCTGTGATGGGCTGTGTAGTGTGTAGAATTACACACTAATTATACACACAAAAAGTTGTGTTAGAACAGGTTTTTTTGCTTGTGCCTTGATATACATATGTTTTTATTTTACAAGCTGACTGAAATGTTATAGTAAATTTTCTCTGTTGAAGACATTATGAAATCAGTTTTGTAAATATAAAGTGATCTGATCTTT
Organism: Homo sapiens; assembly: GCF_000001405.40. Taxonomy (NCBI): domain Eukaryota; kingdom Metazoa; phylum Chordata; class Mammalia; order Primates; family Hominidae; genus Homo; species Homo sapiens. The sequence goes on along the minus strand of NC_000020.11, from coordinate 62,915,971 downwards.
TCCGAAGGTATATCCTTCATTGAATTCTACTTAACAGAAATAACTACATTTTTCTGATTACTCAGAACTCAAATCTAGTAGCGTGTTTATTCGCAGATTAACATAAATTGAATTTTTAAAAATCAGTTTTCGTTCCCGAGAACTTCTTAATTTCTTTGCTTTTATAAATGTTCAGTGTTGGCTGGGCATGGTGGCTCGTTCATGTACTCCCCAAAACTCTGGAGGCTGAGGCAGGAGGATTGCTTGAGGCCAGCAGTTCAAGACCAGCCTGGATAACATAGCAAAACCCTGTCTCTAAAAGAATTTTTTTCAAAAATTAGCTGGGCATAGTGGCACGCATCTGTAGTCCCAGTTGCTCATGAGGCTAAGCCAGGAGGATCACTTGAGCCCCGGAGTTTGAGACTGTAGTGAGCCATGATTGGGCCACTGCACTCCAGCCTGGGCAACAAAGCAAGATGCCAACTCTTTAAAAAGTAAAGTAAAATAAATTAAATGCTCAGTGTTGCAAAATATAAAAGTTTATTTCCAGTGTTTTCTGAGCAGTCGTTTCTGAATTCTTGAAGTAATTGTTTTGAGGATGATAGTTTTACCACATTGAAGAGATGGTGACTATGACGATGCCGTTTGGCTTATCAGAGGGAATGCCTGTCTTATTTTTATTTTTTGTAGAGACGGGGTGTCTACATGGTGACACGTTGCCTGGGCTGGTGTTGAACTCCTGGGCTCAAGCAGTCCTCCCAAGCAGCTGGGATCACAGATGCGAAACACTATGCCCAGTTGTCACTGTCCCTTTAAAAGGAGGGGAGTTGGAATGTTTGTCCCTTTGTTCTGAGGTTGCCAGGGAGACCACAGAGGGAAGGCAGTTGGTCTTGAGGCTGAGGAAGAGGTGAGAGCTGGGGCTCAGTTTGGAAGTGTCGGCTTTGGGGCAAGGACCTAGCTAGAAACTCGGCACCTGGAACCTTTGAGTGTTGTGATGTGACTGGTTGAGAGAGGATACAAGAGAATTGTTTCTTAAACACACGTGGTGAACTGTATCGTGTTGATTTTAGTACGTCACAAACATTAGTATTCTAAAATTTTTCTTGTTTTTAATTAAAATAATTCAGATACATTATTAAGAATTTTCAATTATTACATTCTTATATAATTTCGATGTTCAGCCTTTTCACTTTTTGTTCTTGTTCCTCTGTTTTGTGGTGGATTTTATTGAGTGGGGTCCATCTCGGACATAGGCTCCAAATGGAAAAGAAGCTGATGCTTGGCGACTCCTCTCTGGCCCTGGTCTGGCTGGGCCTCTGCCTGCCTCCCTGGGGCAAGCCTGGGACTCCACTCCTTCCTGCGCTGCCCCGGCCCCTTTCTCTTGGGGGTTGGTAGCATCTGCTGTCCTGGGTAGAGGTCCTTAAGGACACTGCTTGCGTGCTGGTTTTCAACCCCCAAGCTGTCTTTGTGGGTCACACAGTATCACTCAAATAATAGGTTACTTGAGAAGTTCGGTACTCCCTTTTAATTGTTGTCGATACGTAGTTTACTTAAGATATGTAAAATATTTTCTTATTTTCTTTTAGGAGCTTACTCCACGGGAACAGCCTCTAGATAATCTGAGTTGTTGAAAATACGAAGCCTGTTACTCGTGAACAGTGGCTGACAACAGTGTTGTTGTGAGCCTGGCTGTCTGCTTGGACCCAGAGGTTTCGTCTGCCAGGGTTTTTGGTTGTATTTAGGATTTCAGGGAAAAGTGTCCAAGCTTTCAGTGTTGGAGCAGGTAAGGTATCAACACTGTTAGTAGCAACAAAATTTTAACTTAATAAGTCTGTATTTGCTATTTATAAAGTGGCATTTGTAAAGAAACTGATAGTAGAATGTAGTATTCGTATTCATTTGAAATACATTCAGCCATTTGTATCAGCAGTCTCTATAGCAGCAGATTCTGCATCTGTGGATTCAACCAGCTGCAGATTGGAAATATTTGGGGGACAAACAATAAATAATAATCTGACAATAAAAAATAATAAAAATGTTATAAAACAGTGTAGTACAGCAACTGTTTCTATGATGTAATCTAGAGATGATCTAAATATTTGAGAGGTTTTGCATAGGTCATGTGCAAATAGCCTGTTCTCTCTTTAATGAGAACCCAGTTTTATAAACTAGAGCTCTTCCTGTAGAAAGCTACCAGCATGGATGCAGCAGCCCTTTTCAGCTGGGTTGGAGCTTCATAGGCCCCCAGAGGCAGAGGCGACTGCAACTTTGTGCCCTTCTGGGCAAAGGCTAGTGCGAGCCCCTCAGACTACATCTTTACTAGAAACTCCAAGTGTTGCATGAAAACGAGAGCTTGACCCTCTTTTGAGATGACAGTCATATTTCTTGCAAATATTTTGGCTTGCACAAGCAGAAAACTTCTTCTAAATGTAAAATTTCCAATGAGAACGAATAAACCATTTTAACTGATGTGGTTTAATAATTGCTCTACCATATATATTTGTAAGCAGCATTCTCTGCTTTGCCCTTAATCTTTGAGGTCAGCATTGCCTCCTGGATCAGAGCGGTTCCTTGTGACTTGCCTGGGGTCACCTGGCTGGTGAAGGAAGCCCCCCTTTCTGTTTACCACCATCTCTAGTGCCCCCCTCACACAGCAGCCTCCAGAGTTTGCACCCTGACTTGGAGTCGCTGCTGGTGCCCTGATTGAGTTGAGCTGTGTCCTTTAACAATGGGGTCACTTCAGGTGAGCATAGAAGTGATGTGTCCCTTATCTCCAAGGCTTCCGTGGAGTGCCCTGGGGGGTGTGGGTCATGTTTACAGAGCGTGGAGGCCACGGCCAGGCAGCATCTTTAGCTGGACAGGAAAATGAGAAGTGACAGCATTTAGAGGGAAGCAAAAAGAACAACACAGGTTACAGGTTGCAAGTAATTTTCCATTTTGTATTTTCGTTCTTTTTCTTTTTTTTGAGACTGAGTCTTGCTCGCCCAGGCTGGAGTGCAGTGGTGCGATCTCGGCTTACTGCAACCTCCACCTCCTGGATTCAAGCAATTCTCCTGCCTCAGCCTCCCAAGTATCTGGGATTACAGGCGCCTGCCACCATGCCCAGCTAATTTTTGTATTTTTAATAGAGATGGGGTTTCACCATGTTGGCCAGGCTGGTCTCGAACTCCTAACCTCAAGTGGTCTGCCTGCCTCGGCCTCCCGAAGTGCTGGGATTATGGGCTTGAGCCACCAGGCCCGGCCCCATTTTGTATATTTTTTAAGGCTTTCATTTTATGCCAGTCCTTCCCCCAGGATGGAACATGGCATAAAATCAGAGTCATCATTAGCATTGAAATGTAATTAAAGCTTGGACAGCTTGGAAAAGAATTCTCAAAGTATCTACTGTCTTTTTCAGATTTTTGTCATTTCAACAAGAGTAAAAGTTTCATAAATAAGATTCTTTAGTAATGTATTAGAATGAAAGTGAAAAATAATACAGAAAAAAAAATATACTGGCCTGGCACAGTGGCTAACTCCAGCCTGGGGACAGAGCAAGACTCCGTCTCAAAAAAAAAAAAAAAGAAATATACCTTAAAGTGATCGCCTTGACCATGTTTTCTAAGTGTCCCAGTTGTCTTGCTGCTAACAATATCTCCAAAGCTCAGTAGACTAAAACAAGGTTTATTTCATACCACACAATCTGTTGGGTCAGGAGTTAGGCAGTTCTCTCACATTGTGCCCGTGAGGGTCATTCACTTGGCAGCAGGGCTGGTATGGAGGGTCCCAGATAGTGATAGCATCCTTCCTGGCCCCAGCCCCTGGTTGGGGAGCTGAAAGTCGGGACTCAGCTTCTTCATATCCTCTTTTCAGCATGGTGGTGGCCAGCCCATACTTGCAAAAGTCCAGAACAGACTTGGGTCCCTTTGCAGGCCACACCCAAACTGGCACAGCGTCTTGTTCACTGTGCTTGTGGTCAGAGCAGCCCATCTGCCTGCGGAGGTGCTGGGGAGCTCGTGCCACCTCCGAGCTGCTCGCGTCCTTGCTCACGTCCTTACTCACATCCTTACCCTGCTATACTGTCCAATATTTCCTATTTGTCCCTACTGTCTGGCTTGTGAAGCCTTGTCCTGAGCAGTTAAATGATGAAATTGTACATTTGATTTGTTAGCTGTATTTTTGTCTAAACGTTAGTTGTTTAACTATATTAAAATTATCTTTACAAATCATCTTGAATCATCTCACATAGCACACATTAGGAAACACTGGTCAGAAGGACTTGCTTTATGTAGAGCTCCACTGTTTGTAGGGAGGTGGCCCCTGCTGCGCGTGTTTGGCGGCAATGTCACCTTTTGTTCTGTGGTCAGTTGGTCACTATGTGCTTACACTTTACCGCTAGGTATGGACGACAAAGGCGACCCGAGCAATGAGGAGGCACCTAAGGCCATCAAACCCACCAGCAAAGAGTTCAGGAAAACATGGGGTTTTCGAAGGACCACTATCGCCAAGCGAGAGGGCGCAGGGGACGCGGAGGCTGACCCACTGGAGCCGCCACCCCCACAGCAGCAGCTGGGCCTGTCCCTGCGGCGCAGTGGGAGGCAGCCCAAGCGCACTGAGCGCGTGGAGCAGTTCCTGACCATTGCGCGGCGCCGCGGCAGGAGGAGCATGCCTGTCTCCCTGGAGGATTCTGGTGAGCCCACGTCCTGCCCCGCCACAGACGCCGAGACAGCCTCCGAGGGCAGCGTGGAAAGCGCTTCTGAGACCAGAAGCGGCCCCCAGTCTGCTTCCACAGCTGTGAAGGAACGACCAGCCTCTTCTGAAAAGGTGAAAGGAGGGGATGACCACGATGACACCTCCGATAGTGACAGCGATGGCCTGACCTTGAAAGAGCTTCAGAATCGCCTTCGCAGGAAGCGGGAACAGGAGCCCACTGAGAGGCCCCTGAAAGGGATCCAGAGTCGCCTGCGGAAGAAGCGCCGGGAGGAGGGTCCCGCCGAGACTGTGGGCTCCGAGGCCAGTGACACTGTGGAGGGCGTCCTGCCCAGTAAGCAGGAGCCCGAGAACGATCAGGGGGTTGTGTCCCAGGCTGGGAAAGATGACAGAGAGAGTAAGTTGGAGGGAAAGGCGGCTCAGGACATCAAAGATGAGGAGCCTGGAGACTTGGGCCGACCGAAGCCTGAATGTGAGGGTTACGACCCCAACGCCCTGTATTGCATTTGCCGCCAGCCTCACAACAACAGGTGGGTCATGTGTGGGCACCCACAGAAATCCCAGGGTTGCAAACAGAATTTTCCATTTGTTTTCATTTTAAAGGGTTACAAAGCTGGGCTGGATGAGCGATTTGTTGGAAAAGATGAACAAGTTGTCAAAAAAGAAACACATAAGAGTGGCTAAGGACTTCCTAGAGCCACCTCTCCACTCTGGTAGCCACTGGCCACACATGGCTGTTTCCAGTCAAGTGAGGAGGTGAATAGCGCCCCACCCCAGTCACGTGAGCCACGTGCAGCCAGTGGCTCTGTGTAGACGGCATGGAGGAGAATGTGTCCGTCACTCCGGGGTCTGTCTGAGACTGCTCCTCTAGACTGCCCCTTGGGAGACATAGCAGAGGGGCATGTGCAGACCGCAAGTGTCCTAGTGCAAACATTGGGGCAGCTCAAAAGATCTCTGCTAGGACTGGGTGTCAGACGGTGATAGGCAGCCTGTTGGCTTGGCGCTGGGATAAAGGCATTGTCGCAGTTTTGGGGGGAGACTTGCTGAGGTATCTGTGGTGGAATGCCTTAGAGTTTGCTCCTAAAATGCGCTACTCTTAAAAAACGGTGAAGTAAATTTGGTTGAATGTTAAAATCAAAGGAAAGGCATGAGGACGTTCTTAATCTCTACTTTTCTGTATATTTGCATTTTTTCATGAAGTTAAAACCAATTGTCTTATTAATGTGTTGAAAAGTGCTTGTCACTCACGTCCCATTGCTAATACCGTTATTTTATAATTTCAGGTTTATGATTTGCTGTGACCGCTGTGAAGAATGGTTTCATGGCGATTGTGTGGGCATTTCTGAGGCTCGAGGGAGGCTTTTGGAAAGGAATGGGGAAGACTATATCTGCCCAAACTGCACCATTCTGCAAGTGCAGGATGAGACTCATTCAGAAACGGCAGATCAGCAGGAAGCTAAATGGAGACCTGGAGATGCTGATGGCACCGATTGTACAAGTATAGGAACAATAGAGCAGAAGTCTAGCGAAGACCAAGGGATAAAGGGTAGAATTGAGAAAGCTGCAAATCCAAGTGGCAAGAAGAAACTCAAGATCTTCCAGCCTGTAAGTGTTTGTCCGCTGAGACGAGCATTCAGCAGTCGGCCTCACTGGTTTCAGTCTCGCTCTAGATAGAAATTCCTCCCAGGACGGGTGCTGCACCCATGTGGGGCGGTGCCTCTCCCGGGTTCCTGCCTCACTCCACCTGGGTGAGGCCTTTCTATTTTTATTCTTACCCTGTCTACCTCCTCTACTATTAATGACTTAATTGTTGAAATCAGCCCATCTTTGAGGATTTGGGTGTTGCTTACATGCTTTGTATGCATTAGCAGAAAGGAATTGTTTCTGAACGATGGGAGTGGCGGTGCTCCTGTGTCACCTGCTGTCTCCAGCTGCCTCGTGGTTCTGGTGCTGGCTCCTCGGGGTGCTTGTGTTGAGAGTGGTTTCTCTGTCTTGCAGCTGTGTTGACACTTAATTCTCTCCCCCTGATGTTTATGACATTTCCCACATGCTGTCAGCTTCTGCTGCTGTCTTGTGTTTGCAGTCTCCATTCCAGTCCCCACAGGGCAGGTGTGACTTGGCGTGTTTTCACTCTGGTCCCTCCAGGGTCCCGGGCCTGTCCCCACCCAGCTGCCTGTCCTCTGGCAGGTATTGGAAATTGCTGTGTCTAGAAGCATCTCTGCCTTCACACTCTTGCACTGCATTAGCTGCAAGGTGAGGATGTCCGAAGGCTGGGCCGTGCACCTGGGAGCGTGCCCTTGGAGGCAGGAGGGGCTGAAGGCTCATGCTGCGCTGCTATCAGAGGCCACATCTGGGCATTCAGAGATGAATGGAGATGGGAATTCATGAGAAAAGTCATTGGCTTTATGTCTTTATTTTTTAAATATATTGATTCTGTTTTTTGTGCAGTTGAGGCTTCGCTCTGTTGCCCAGGCTGGAGTTCGGTGGCACAGTCCCAGCTCACTGCAGCCTCGATCTCCTGGGCTTGAGTGATCCTCCCACCTTAGCCTCCCAAGTAGCTGGGACTACAAGCACACACCACCACGCCCAACATCTTTTTTTAATTGTCATTGTGCTTGACAATACCCTGCACAAACCTAAATTGTATTCTCAATAAAACTTAGATTCTGTGGAGGAAAACTGATTATGTTAAATATTTAATTTGAGAAATAAGGTTTCGCTTAAGTATGTGTGAGGGACATGTTCGTGTGTGTTGAGGCCTGATCATCGAGACAGACTTTGTAAACAGCAGTGGTCAAGCTGTTTGTGGTGCGTGAGTTTCCTCCTGCTGCACGATGAGTTACTGCAGTCCTGGCTTGAAGGAGCTCACATTTATGCCTCCATTTCCATGGGAAGCCTGGACCTGCTGCTCAGGTCTCACAGGACTGCAGTCACGGTGCAGCGGGGGCTGTGGTCTCCAGAGGCTTGGCAGGGGATTCCCTTCCAGAAGCCCTCACGCTGTTTTTTACTGTATAAGTGTGTCTGGCCGGGTGCTGTGGCTCACACCTGTCATCCCAGCACTTTGAGAAGTCAAGATGGGAGGATCACTTGAGGCCAAGAGTTCGAGACCAGCCTGGGCAACGTAGTGAGACCCCCATCTCTACAAAAAAATAAATAATGAGCTGGGCGTGGTGGTATGTGCCTGTAGTCCCAGCTACTGGGGAGGCTGGGGTGGGAGGATCACTTGAGCCCAGGACATCAAGGCTGCAGTGAGCTATGATTGTGCCACTGCTCTCCGGCCTGGGCAACAGAGCGAGACCCTGTCTCAAACAAAAAAAAAAGTATGTTTCATGCAATTTGGGGGGCATACTTACACTGAAAAATTACTCATTGTTTATCTGACATTCCGATTTCATTGGCATACTGTATTTTACTTGGCAGCCTTGCCCTCAGATCCTAGCCACAGCTAATCCTCTCAAAGCAGGGAAGCTTACTTCAAAACCAGCTATGAAGTCTTCTCTCTTCATGAAAGACCCAGTTCCTTTTTTAAGGGTTTTTACCTGATTTAGCCGGACCCATTTGACTTGCAGTCATCCCAGTTAGATCCTTAATTACATCTGAAGAAGCCCTGCATGTGGGTCCTCTAGCGGAGCCTCATCGTGGATGTGAGGTCCCGTGGGCCCCGCCCACCCTCGAGAGGGGTGCACAGAGCAGAGGGCGGCAGTCCAGGGGTCTCCTCACACTCCTGCCCCCTGCAGGGCATGACGGGCAGTGACAGTGTGAATGCCTTACCTGGCTTTTTCATAGCTTGAATCAACAAAATGTTTATTCATATTAAAAGTACTGTTAGTATCTCATTTTGAAACTGTGGCCTTGGTACTATAAATGGTGATTTTACAAAACACACACTTAACTGCTTAAAATTGGCAAGTACATTGTTTGAAGTCATCTGTTTTGTTCTGCAGGTGATAGAGGCGCCTGGTGCCTCAAAATGTATTGGCCCCGGGTGCTGTCACGTGGCGCAGCCCGACTCGGTGTACTGCAGTAATGACTGTATCCTCAAACACGCCGCAGCGACAATGAAGTTTCTAAGCTCAGGTAAAGAACAGAAGCCAAAGCCTAAAGAAAAGATGAAGATGAAGCCAGAGAAGCCCAGTCTTCCGAAATGCGGTGCTCAGGTGAGTGGACCAGGACCAGCCGCCCAGGCAGTGGACGCACAGGCGTGAGAGCGTTTGTCGCAGAACTGTTGGTTTGTAGACCGTGTGGGGGTGGCAGGTGTAGGGGGGCGCACACGTGGTGTCGCCTTGACCTTTGTCTTCCACCTTCCCACCAGTTTTCCCTTCTCTGCCCGTTAGCTGAGGGGTTAATTAACACAAGTGCAGTAAAGCAAATGCTGACAATGGCAGTGTACGGGGGGCATAAGACTTCAGGACACACCCTGCTGTCTTGTGAGAAGAGTTGGTAACCACCCGGTGGAGTTTGTAGAGCGTAGACTTGCAGGCAGGTAGGAGTGGGAGGCGGGTTCGGGGCAAGGCTGTGGTCTTCATTTAAGACCCGGCTCTCAGAGTTGTCTCATGTTTGTACTCCGTGTTATTTGGAAAGAACTCCGTGTTATTTGGAATGTTTAGAGATCGCAAACTCTTGTCTTAGACTTGAAGGCCCTTGTGAGGCTCAGGCGGCGGTGGCTGTGTCACTGCCCCGGTTATGTTTGTGACCAGCAAAGCGCAACTAGCACTGTTCAGGGAGTTTTCTTGATTATTTTCAAATGATTATTTAGCCTTTGAATGACTTAATTTTTAAGGCTGGTCCTTTTGAACCCTCGGCGTTGGGCACAGCCTCGCGCGCAGGCCTTTCCTCTCATTTGGCTCATTTGGTTCATTGCCGCACTCCTCCTGTCATCTTGGCAGCCTGTCCAGTGGCTGCTGCTCCTGTCATCTTGGCAACTTGGCACCTCATCAGGGTTGCAGGTGACTCTGTGCCAGCCGCCCTTCACGGAGCACAAGTGGTTGAAGTTCTCAGTTTTGCACGGGGAAACTGCGGGCCCACCGCGGGCCCACCGAATACGCAAGTGTGTTGAACTGCTGCCAAGCAGGCGCAGGATGGGTGCAGGGTCTTCAGATGGCCTCAGGAAGACATTGGGTCCCCGCCTTCATCTCTCAGTGAAATGAAGTGAAGGTATGATTTCTTACCTTTTTAATGATTTGGGGTTTTACTGATTATCCAGGCAGGTATTAAAATCTCTTCTGTGCACAAGAGACCAGCTCCAGAAAAAAAAGAGACCACAGTGAAGAAGGCAGTGGTGGTCCCTGCGCGGAGTGAAGCACTCGGGAAGGAAGCAGCTTGTGAGAGCAGCACGCCGTCGTGGGCGAGCGATCACAATTACAATGCAGTAAAGCCAGAAAAGACTGCTGCTCCCTCGCCGTCACTGTTGTATAAATGTATGTATCACCTAGGGGTTGGCCTCCTGGACCCCTCCCGTTCTTTCTGGATAGCCATCCCCTGGGCCTGTCCAGGACTGGGAGTTGCAGCTTTGTGTTAAGCTGATCACAGACACCGGCTGCACCATCAGCGGGAAGCAGAGCCCATGTCCAGGATGCCTCCTGCTGCCCTGTGTCCATCCCTAGTCTGTCAGGACTTCCTGTCACTGTTTTCCAAAGCTGTAAACCTCACTGGTGAACGTTCACCTTAATGATTGATTCTTTAATCTCTGTTTTCACTCTCAGGCTCTGGTAAGTATTCGTATTCTCTTCATCCCAGTCTGATTGCATAGCCACACTGCCCGGCACGCCACATCCACCCCTGTCTGCACATGAGTTGTTCTGACAACAGCGCTGTATACGCTTCAGTTTTTCCACATTGTCCACGGCCAGCACATGAAAGCATCACTTCTTTTTTATGTTGTGGGAATCTTTGCAAGTTAGTGTTGCATCTGATTTTCAGGTGTACATTTATTTTTGACTGGGCAGATAGGGGATTTTTTTTTTTCCATGTCCGATTCACACGCTACACACCCACATGAACACATTCGAACTTCGAAGGCCACACACTCCTGCTTCATAGGCCCCACGGTAAGTGAGTTCACACCTAGAACACTGTCCTGACCGCAGGACGCGTGCCTTGGACTTGGTATTCTACATGTGACTGGCTTTCTTGCCCTCGTCTCTTGAATGTTTAGACTCTTAAGATCATATCCTGCCCCAAATTTCAAATTAATGAAATGAAGATATTTCAAACAGATCTTTGAAACCTCAGATTCTGTGGTGCAATTTTAATGTTTTCTTGTTTCTCAGTTTTCTGCTATAAAACTATTTTCAATTCAGTCTTTAATGCCTTCTGTCTATAGTGCATTTTGTGCTTTTTTTAAAAAGCACCGAAAGGTTAAATAGTCTCAATTCAAAGATGATCACAGAGTGCCCCACTTTCCCGTCGTCAGACTTTGAGCAGATTCCCTAAGGGAAGGCACTCATGCAGGCAAGCAGACCTATGCTAGGTCTGGTGTGCCTTACAAAAAAGACACTTTTTTTTTTTTTTTTTTTTTTTTTTTGAGACAAGAGTCTTGCTCTGTCACCCAGGCTGGAGTGCAGTGGCATGATCTCGGCTCACTGCAAGCTCCACCTCCGGGTTCAAATGATTCTCCTACCTCAGCCTCCCAAGTAGCTGGGATTACAGGCCCGTGCCACCATGCCTGGCTAATTTTTGTATTTTTAGTAGAGACGGGGTTTCACCATGTTGGTCAGGCTGGTCTTGAACTCCTGGCCTCATGTGATCTGCCCAACTCGGCCTTCCCAGAGTGCTGGAATTGCAGATGTGAGCCACAGCGCTTGGCTAAAAATATGCAGTTATTGAGTATGAGTAGCTTCATAAAAGAAGAAAAATATGTCCCTCGTTTTGATCATGTAAACAGCCTAGACCTAAGAAATTGAGCCGCACATAAAATGAATCATGCAATTGCTGCATTATAATGAATCTCGATACCTTACATTGTTTGAGCTGAGAATTTTATGCTAGCAAATGTCTCAAATGTTCATCAGATTCTAGCACCTCTACGATAGAGCAGTTCTACAGAGCTAATGGGCTTAAAGTGTCACCCACCTGTGAATGCAGAGAGGGATTTTTAATGCTGTACTAAAATTTAGCTGTACATTGGTTTTAGACACATAACAGTGAAGAAAAGAAAAACTGCGGTTATAGCCTCAGTTCAGATAAGTGGGTGATAATTTCAGTTTGGTTAATTTCCATCTGTGTCAACCAAAATTGAAAAGCTGCCAGAGACTCCACATGTGGAGTTGGAAGAGTCCGTGTACATTGTGGGGAGGGAGCATTGGTGGGAAGATGGGGAAATGAGGGGCTCTCAGCCCTGGGTTATTGCTTCCTGCCTGCCTCCTGCACTGTGAGCGGGGAGAGGTCGACCAGGAGGCTGCTCTTCTGCCCATAGCGGGGTACTCTGACCTCTTCTCCCTCTTCCCTTCTTTGCCACACATCAGCTCCTCTGGGAAGCTGATTTGCTCCAGGGACAGGAGGTGGGGGAAATTGCCTGTTAACCTTCCCAACACATCACCTCAAGTTAAAATTGGTGGATTTCCAGAATTTGTATAGGATGGGAATGGGGACGACACACTTTTGAGCTAGTAGCTTCTGCTCGTTTTGTTATCCCGTAAATGTTGTCTTCCCAAAAGGTGATTGATTGGAGCAGAGTTAGAGACATTGGTGACAGCAGCTACCATGTCTCTGCCTCTCCCCTAAACACCTCTGCACTTTTGTAGGCTCAACAAGTACTGGGGAGCCTGCCACCACTGTATGCCTTTGAGGCCCCTGCCCTGCCTCCCTGGCTGGCCACGGAGCTCGCCCTCCCTGGTAGGGGGTGAGTTTGGAAGTGAGAGGCTGGTGTGGGTCTGTCCCATGAGCTGACTCACACTTGCCTCACCACACATACCATCAGAAGACCCACGTGGTGGAGCTACCGCTGCTGCTCCCCACAGTGCACCTAGGCACCCTCCTGTCCTTCCCATGGCACTCGGTTGACCTGGGGGTTCCTGTCCAACAGGTGAGGCCTGGTGTGCACAGACACTCTGCCATTGCTAGAAGGAGGCTGTGCCCCCTGCTAAGATATCAGTAGGTCCTTCACAGCCTCACCTTGTTCCTCCCATTTGTTTTTAAAAATTGTTTCTTATATATACAGTTTATTTAGCTTACGTAAACATTTGGTGCACATAACTTCTCTCAAAGATCATGATGTTTCTTTTGTGGTTTTATAAATTCTTATTCCATTTTTTTCTCTTTATTTCCACTGTTCACCTCCCATTATTGTCGAGGCATGAAGTCAGTTGGAAATGTTTTTCTGAGATGTACCTGACTGACTAGAATTTTGAGATGGAATTCTCAAAATTTTGAGATGGTATTTGATAGGTGCAATTTCTAGTATTTTGTCTCCCTAAATGGCTCATTAAGTGACTTAAACACTGAGGATCTGAACAGATTTTGACTGCAAAGCAGATTCTACAGTTCGTTTCATCTAACCGTTGGAATTAAAATGGAAAACGTTGCCAGTTTGTAAACCCAAATCCAGATGCTGTGTTAAGCATGGTGCCCAGGTGGAAGCACTGCCTCTTGTTCCCACGTGCTGCCACAGAGATGGCCCTGGTGGGGTGAAATGGACGGAGAACACCGTTCACAAGGATAACTCATGGTGTGGGCTCCAGAAGCACATTTCACTGAAATCCTAAGAGGACCCAGTCTCAGTTTTCATTAATAAAAAATACATGGGGGGATTCTAGAACCTAAGAGTGTTTTGCAGGAATTTAAAGCCGGGAGAGGAGGGTGGCTTGTTTCACTGGTCGCGTGAGCTCTTTTTTTATCTGTCTCCTCCAGAGTTGTCAGCGGCAATAAAACGAGACTGGGAGTCATCAGACTCTACGTGTCCACCAATCTCTTCCTCCCAATTAGAAAAATCAGAATTTGTTCTGAGAAAGAATATAGCTTGATAGTTGTTTTTTTACGTTATCCATATAACTGGAAGTTTCTTGGCTGTCAGTAATGACATTCTTTTGTTATTTTTAAGTGTTTTACTTTTTATAAACTTAAAAAGCAGCCTGCCATTGAGAAAATTACATCAGGGAAAGGTTTCACACCTCCGTAACCGTGACCCTGCACGGTGAAGTCCCACATCAGCACCGTCCCGTGGTGCCCCTGTCCATCCCTCAGGTGCCCCTTTGTGCTTATGCTTCAGCCACCTTGGGCAGGTGGGGTGCAGGGATGGAAGTTTCCAGCAGGATCGGTCCCCCTGAATTCACCACCTCTTCAGTGACCTTCATAGGACCTTTCGGAGCTGTGGATCTACTCATAGTCTAAAGATGAATACTCGGGAAAGCCTCCTCGGCATTCTCGGTGTCACAGAGTGCAGAGGTCAGCTCTGAAGACGCCTGCTACAATTCCTCCAATGTGGTACACAAGTTTCAGGTAGATTTGTATAAAGTTGTAAAATAATACTAGGTTTTTTTTTTTTTTTTTCTGTTAACACATCAACATACACATAGTTATATTCTTAGCTTCTAAAAGTTAGAGAAGTAACTTAGAATATTGACAAGAATTTTTGCTACTTATTTAAATGAAGGTTGCGGCAACTTTCATTTGCCGCAAACCTGGAAGAGTTCGGCAAGAAGAGCTTAAGGTAACTGGCTTTATCCTCAACTGACCTGCTTGGTGCTGTCAGCTAGGGGCTTTATACTGAGTATGGCCCTTTAGGACTGGAGGGATTACAGGGGAGGGTTGTGGACTAATTTTAACATGCCCCTAACATGTTGGTTTAAGTAGTAAACAACTTAGATAAAGGTTAAATTACTCGTGTGGGAGATCTTGGGAAGAGCAGCAGCTCTGCTCCCAAATGGGCTTGGCAGCCAGGCACACACCATGTGCAGCTGGGCACAACTGAAATTGCAGTTGAGTGGAACGTCCATCTGTCCACGTGGCCCTCATCACACGAGTTTCTTAGGGAGAATTACACACCTCTCCATTAAGTTGGAAGGCACTCAAGTAGCGGGTATTAGTAAGAAAACTGACCAAGGAAAGCTTTGAGTATTCCAAAACACGGCAGTCTAGCTGTGGACCCTGCAAGGGCGTCCTGGCTGTAGTGATGGTCTCCTCTGAGGAGCGTCTGCGATGTAGTCTGCCTGCTGTATTTGGGAAGTAACTGTTTCCCCGCAACATGAAAGCAAACTAGTAACTACTTATAAAAGGCGAATTCATGTGAACACATTCTAGCATGTTGAGAGGAGCAAAAGCAGAACATTTTCTCTTGCCGCTGCCACCTTGATTGTTCCCACTAGGGGCAATCTTGGAGTGAAGAAACAGGTAAAGCAGGAAACTGCATTGTTGTACACACGCCTCACTGAGGGCTGCAAATAGGCCTGACGTCACAGTGAACAGAATTTACTTCCACAGTTCCTTCACTGACTGTTGAGTCTGTTTTCAGGTGCATAGCATAGAAACAGCCCTTAGAGCTGTAGCGGATGGTGATAGGCAGGATTCAGGACACCGTGGGAGACCAGTGGAGGTCTGAGTGCCCCAGCTTCCCTAAACCAGCCAGCAGTACCGCGACAGGGCAGGCCACTTCATTGTCAACACCTACGTGAGGGCGTGTGGTGTTTATTTTAGTGATTTTTATAACCAGTTCCTTTCCCTGTGGGGAGCCATCCAGCACATAAGGTTGCTACATGGGGGCCTCTGGACAGTCCAGAACTGAGCAGACTTGGTCTCTTGCCCCATATTTTAATCCCTGTCCTGCTAAAACTTCCACTGGGGCAATTGGATGGGTTCTGCAGAGAGGAGCGGAGTAGCACCATCCTCCAGTGGGGGCCTGATTTTCTCCTCCCCGTCTCTGCTCAGGCCCTGGTGCCACCCAGTGGCCAGAGGCGCTGTAGCACCCAAGCCAGCCAGCCTTCTGCTTTGGGGGAAATTGGCCAATTAGAGTGTGCTGCTGATCCCTGTGCACGACGACGACCTGCTTCATTCTGCAGTTGGCTGAAACCCAGACCCGGCAGCAACAGTTTCATCTGGGCCAGTGGCCTGGGCAGGCCCCCAGAATGTGGGAGCTAAAGGAGACAGCACTGCGACCAAGGGGCAGAGAGGTGTGGGGAGGGGCAGGGGACCCCTGGCTCTCAGGCATCAGTGCTGTGCGGTGTGACCAGGTCACCACCACTGCTGCCCCCAGGGGGCCCAGCAGCGTGTAGGGGAGGCTCGTACCCTGACAGAGCCCTGTGTTTCTGCAGTGGGGTTTTTTCCTGGGTTGCCTGGAGTTGCTGCTTGCCCTTCTCTGAAGTTATACACAACGTAATAGTTCAAAGCAAATTTGGATGAACTTGCAAATTGAATTTTAGCTCCACTAAAAAGTTTCTGTCCCCATTTCAGCAGCAGCTGACCCAAGTTGAGCACCAGCCATGCTGTCCCACCTGGAGTGGAATGGGTGTGTGCTCGGGTCCCTGGAACAGTTGCTGGATAGAACATGTCCGTTCAGAGCAGGAATGGGGCTTTCTGCGTGTTGTAGGACACTGCTCCCAGAGGCCCGGCTTGGAACATTCTGCCGTTCACTCACCTGACTGCCCATTTCCATGCTCTTTAAAGCACAGATGAGGGATGACAAAGGTTGCCTTTAGAAAGGGAGCAGTTAATTTTCTAAAATAGCAATGGTTAAGGAAAGCTATTTCCTGCTTTTAAAATAAATTACGTTAATCTGCTGCCCCCACTCTTGGGTAATGGGTGGTTTTAAACCCATGTACTGGGAGTGCCCTAAAACTCATCTCTCAACTCGGGTTTTCCCTAAGTGAGGGAGACAATAGTGTAGTTACACGAGCAGAAATCTGAGTGTGGCCATGGACGCCTCATTCCAACACTTACGATCTGGAGAAATGGAGTTGATGGTTTTGAAGGTAGCATGTAACCCTAACTTGCAACAAGGTGAGCGTTAAACATCATTAAAGATACCGTTCAGGTCACAGCACACAGGTGTTCTGTGTGTCACAGCCAAGGCATTTTGCCGAGGTTTCTGGAAATGCTTTCAGCCAGCTTTTTTAGAGTTCTTTAAACGTGATATTAAAACACTCCAAGGTTTCTAGTGCAGTCACTGAATTGGTTTGAGGTTTCAGTTTGAATCACGGTTGGCTTCCCGGCAGGTGTCTGTCTGCCGCCTCTGGAGACCGGGGCTTGGTTCCTGGTGCCTGCCTGGTGTCAGCCTCCTGCCGGTGTGCCTCCAGCGCCCTAGGCCTGCTGGGCCTTTTCATTCCATCCTCACCCCACCCCCTCGCTGCTTCCCCCAAGAAAAAGGGCCTCCACTGATTTTTATTTAACCTGACTGACCTATTGCAACCCTGCAGGCAAGATGCTGCAGACCTGTGAGCTAAGTCTAATGAGTTAAACTGAGTTGTTAAAAACAGATTTTCAAACACTAAGGTAGTGACTCCTGGGGTGTATAGACCTGATCTGATGACATAGTACATGTGGAATTAAAAGCAAAGTTTCCTGGACAGATAAAAACTAGCTGTCACCTTTGTTCCTGTCGTGTTAGACGTTGCCATTTTTTATAGTGCGCTTTTAAGATCCAGCTCCAACAGGAATGAGTGTTTTGGGGTGCGGTTGTGGGTGAGGAGACAGGGCTTGGCAGTGTTGCCAAGGAGGGGGTCCTGTGGCTGGACCACATCTAGCAAGGGGTAGGCAGGGGCCGGCCATGAGGTTAGAAGGGTCCTAAGATGAAAATACAGGATTTGCCTTTACTTAGTTACCATTAAAATGATGGTTAGGAAAGAACACATGGAAATCTTGAAAGTCGGGGCGAATATCTGTTAACAGTGACACCATTGTTTGAAAGTTGGGGTATCTGTTAACAGTGACACCGCTTTTTGGATCCATGTAGTACTGTTGCAAGTTTTGTAAAAATGGAAGGAGTTGTACTTATCTGGGAAGTTGGGAAGACTTGCAGCCCTGAGGCTGCTGCTTGATGGACTGGCTGCTGGGGAGGGCTGGCACCCGCTGCCAACGTGGCCAAGCCTGGCAGCACATGCGGGATATCCTGCAGGACCAAGCTGGGGCAGGCTGTTGAATCAGGCCTTATTTGTAGAGTCTTGGCTCTTTCCTGAGCTTTCAGACTTACCTCATTTATTGAAAGCGGTCAGTAAGACGACGGGGGAGGAGTGCGGTTTGATTTTCAGTCCCTGGGTAGAACTGAAGCGCTCTTGGGAGCATCTGTCACATTCTCCCATTTAGGCCTTTGGGAGTTTTGGAGGCTTGCTGCTGTACCGATCGTTGGAAAAGCCTTTCCTCAGGAGGTGCCTTGTTGACTTGATCACCCGAGGTAGCTCCCAGGCACTTGCCTGTAGAGCTGAGATGGCCTCTGCCATCCTGGGGCCCTCATGGGGGCCCCCTATTCCCCAGGCGTTTCACTCTGCTCCACTAGCTGGATCCCTGCCCCGGCATGCGGTGCACCTCAACGAGCCCTGTCCCCTGGCCATCTGTCCCCTGGCACGCCGTCTGTCCCCTGCTCGAGGGCCTTTGGGCTCTGACGATCTCACATGGGGTTATAAGGTGATTGATTCTCTACTGACATAGAAAGCTTTTTGTGCAAGTTGAGGGGGTTTGATGTCTTTGAGCTTTTAATTATAATCCTTGTTTGGATTCATACTTCACTTAATGGAATTACAGCCTGAGGGCTGTGAATGGACGCATTCCTGTAACAGCATTGCTGCGTTCTCAGCTTCTCACTCTTCACGTAAAGGTGTGGCTGCTCTTCCTGTGGTTCAGGTGTATGCCAGCTTTCCATATTTTTATTAATGGCATCGCCTCCAATGGACTCCAGTCTGGAAGGACAACGAAGTGAGATGTGTAAACCCCACCCACCGGGCTAAGAGAGCCTGTTTTACGCTTCTAAACGGTCTTTTTCACTGAAGTTTACAAACAGTTTGCACTTGAATTCATAATGATAGTGCTGCTGTAAATCTGCCTTTTAAAAAGTGATGATAGGAAATTGTCCTTCAGCTTTGAAGCTTAGCTAGTGCGCAAGTCAAGCCTTTAATAACTAGAGTTTGCTGGTTGAAGGTAAAAGATAGAATAATAAAGCATTCTTCTTTCTGAAATAAAATGTAGTCACCGTCATAAATGCTGCTGGCGGTCCTCCCTTACACTCCTCTGAACACTAACATTTTACAAATCCTTTTCTCTATGTGTATCCTATTCAGTAATGCCAGGTGGGCACTTACAGGTTTAAGGGTAAGTCTGCTTTTTAGAGTCAGGTGACAGCACCCTGTGGTGTCCTCCCTTACTCAGCGCCTGTGTTCTTCTTTGTAGCCACGAAGGAAGACAGGAGGTCCGAGGAGAAAGCGGCAGCCATGGCAGCCTCAAAGAAAACAGCCCCTCCAGGCTCCGCGGTGGGCAAGCAGCCTGCACCTAGAAACCTCGTGCCAAAGAAGTCTTCTTTTGCTAATGTGGCAGCAGCCACACCAGCCATTAAAAAGCCACCCTCAGGTTTCAAGGGCACCATCCCCAAGAGGCCATGGCTCTCCGCTACCCCATCGAGTGGTGCTTCAGCTGCCAGGCAGGCCGGACCGGCACCTGCAGCGGCAACGGCTGCCTCCAAGAAGTTCCCTGGCTCCGCTGCTTTGGTGGGAGCCGTAAGGAAGCCAGTGGTACCTTCTGTTCCAATGGCCTCGCCAGCCCCAGGACGCCTTGGGGCTATGAGTGCTGCACCATCGCAGCCAAATTCACAAATTCGGCAAAATATCAGACGCTCCTTAAAAGAGATTTTGTGGAAAAGGTGGGCTGTTCTGCTTGATTTCTTACCCATTAAAATGGAAGGGCTTTCATTAGAGTGTGGCTGCAGGATTGCCTCACTGTTCAAAAAGTTTAATATACACAAGTGTCTTATGTAGTTCCTTTTTTTTATTCTGTTCAGAGTCAATGACAGCGATGACTTAATCATGACAGAAAACGAAGTAGGAAAAATTGCCCTCCATATTGAGAAGGAGATGTTTAACTTGTTTCAAGTTACAGATAATCGCTACAAGAGTAAATATCGCAGCATCATGTTCAACCTGAAGGACCCTAAAAATCAGGTGTGTGCCTGGTGTCGGTGCATTGGAGTATTCCTGTTCTGTTCGCTGGGTGCTAAAGGGATCAACCAATATTTTGAGATGTTCGTGTCCTTTCCAGGAAAGCTAAGACGTTTCTTTCTCCTCTGTGATCCTTCTGCCGCCCACGTATTGTTGCACTGGCGTTGAGCGTCCTGGAAACCCCTTCCCTTCCCTGCCTTAACTAGGGTCGCGTCCGCTTCCTGGCTTCCCTGAAGTCCACCTTTTATCACCACATTAGTCTCCTGTAAACATTGCTGTAAAGGTACAAGCCAGTCGCTTCACTGGGCTCCAAAATAAAGTCCAGTTCTTCATCCCAGTGTATGAGGGTGTCCGTATTCCGGCCTCAGACAGCCTTTTCCACCTTATTTTCTCATATTCCTCATCAGCCGAGTGAGCCTGATGGTTTGGGCTGCTTGAGTTCTCACCACTTGGAGCAGGGGCTGCTCACGCCCAGGTAGTGGGATCAGTCCTTCCTCACTGCAGCATGGGCCATGCGACGAGGACAGAAACTCCAGCTGGGAGGGATAGGCCGCCGGGCTGACAGCCTTGTGGTGTTCTCTCTCCATCGGCCTCCAGGCTCCTCCCTGTTTAGAATTTTAGGATAATGAAATACCCTGACTTTGCATCTCACCATTGAACAGCCCTAAACAGAAATGATTTCTTCCTTCCTTTGTTCCTGACGCTACCTTTTTGACTTGTGTCCACCTTGTGTACATAATTGTTTTTCCTGAGGTGTTGTGTGTTGTTTTTTTTTTAGCAGAGCCAGTGCAGCACAGGCCGTGAAACCCACTGTTGAACCTTATTACCTGTGCTCTCTGGGCTCCCATTTGCTCACAGCAGGGATATCCTGGGGCGCACTCTCATAAGGCCGTTTGGGGAGTTAGGTCACACCCTGCAGGGAGGGCTCTGCCCAGTGCCACACGCAAGTGGGCCCTGAGGGCCTTTGTCCTGTGCCCGCTAAACTTCTGGGCAGCTGTGTTTTCCAGAAGCTCTCTGTATTGACAGATATAGGAATATTATTTGAGTAAATGAAAAATACTTGTTTATAGGGACTCTTCCATCGTGTTCTGCGTGAGGAAATCTCTTTGGCGAAACTTGTGAGACTGAAGCCAGAAGAACTTGTATCTAAAGAGCTTTCCACGTGGAAAGAGAGGCCAGCGAGATCTGTGAGTGCTGAGGGGTACCTGCGGAGGCACCCAGGACTCGAGCTTAATAGAAATAAATTCATAGACGGCTGCATAAGCGATGCTTTCCTCCTAGAAAACAAGGCCTAAGCTCTGTTTCGTCTTTTTCATTTCAGGTGATGGAGTCCAGAACTAAACTGCACAATGAAAGCAAGAAGACGGCCCCCAGGCAGGAGGCCATCCCCGATCTGGAGGACTCTCCGCCAGTGTCGGATTCAGAGGTAAGCATTTGGGAGATTTTGTGTTCACCGAGAATAGACTAATCCATCCCAAATGTTTTGAGGTTATCTTAAATTATTGGGCAGGACCTGAGCTTACAGCAGGTGTATGTCATTGTGGCATTCCTCAGTCCTTGTATTAGATGGTCCTTTTTTCTCCCCCGTGGGTCTCAATCCCATGAGACTGCTTTTCTTGTGTGTGGTTAATTTGGAGCTGAGTTTGGAGAAGAAACGACCTCACTTTTTTTTCTTTTTCTTTTTTAGGAACAGCAAGAGTCAGCACGTGCTGTCCCTGAGAAGAGCACAGCGCCGCTTCTCGACGTCTTCAGCAGCATGTTGAAAGACACCACCAGTCAGCACCGCGCACACCTCTTCGATCTCAACTGTAAAATTTGCACAGGTGAGCACAGTGCAGGGGATGGAGCCTTGGAGCTGAGACTAAACTTGATTTTGTTAAAAATCACTGAACCTCCTAAAAGCAACCGCACGTAAGCTTAAACACGCAGAAGGGCCAGAATGATTTCCTGCCCTGCCTTTAGAGTATTGCTTTCGGCTTTGTGTGAGAAACACCAGTGTGCCGGCTGGGTTTCTCACAGAGCCTTTCCTCGCCTTCTTCAGGCCAGGTTCCCTCCGCAGAAGATGAGCCAGCTCCGAAAAAACAAAAATTGTCAGCTTCTGTTAAGAAAGAAGACTTAAAATCAAAGCATGACAGCTCTGCACCTGACCCAGCTCCGGATTCAGCTGATGAGGTGATGCCGGAGGCTGTGCCTGAAGTTGCCTCTGAGCCAGGCCTAGAAAGTGCTTCTCATCCAAATGTGGACAGAACGTATTTCCCTGGGCCTCCAGGAGATGGCCATCCCGAGCCCTCCCCGCTGGAAGACCTGTCCCCCTGCCCAGCCTCCTGTGGGAGCGGGGTGGTCACCACCGTCACAGTGTCCGGCCGGGACCCCAGGACCGCTCCAAGCAGTTCATGCACAGCCGTGGCCTCCGCAGCATCCCGCCCAGACAGCACCCACATGGTGGAAGCCAGACAGGATGTGCCGAAGCCTGTCTTGACTTCTGTGATGGTGCCCAAGTCCATACTAGCTAAGCCATCCTCATCTCCTGACCCAAGATACCTGTCAGTTCCTCCGTCACCAAATATCAGGTGCGTACTTCAGGTGTGGTCTGAACAAGCCAAACTTTTTTTTTAGATTAACGAAAGGAAAGATAACTGGTGATTAAATAGTTGAACTTGGAAATGTAACCTGAAATACAGCTTCACTCTTTCATCTTTTAAAAAGCCCCAGTTGTAGGGTGCCTTATTGTCCTTTTGGAAGTAGAGATCTTAGAAATTGACATTTAAATTTGTGCTCATCCAGTTTTGTTGCCTATTCACTTTATTTTTCTTTAACCAAAATGTCTGTATCATTTTAATTAAAGTAAGTAATTGGCAAAAGTAAGCTACCAAAAACGTAAAACTTGCAAGCGTTCACTTTTGCTTTTACATATAAAGTCTTTGTACTCTTGAAGCCGGGCACAGTGGCTCACACCTGTCATCCCAGCATGTGCTTGAGCCCAGGAGTTTGAAACCAGCCTGAGCAACATGGCAAAACTCCATCTCTACAAAAAAGACAAAAATTAGCTAGGTGTGGTAATGCACGCGTGTAGTCCCAGCTACTTGAAAGGCTGAGGTGGGAGGATCACCTGAGCCTGGGAGGCGGAGACTGCAGCCAGCTGTGTTGCACCACCGCACTCCAGCCTGCATGACAGAATGAGATCCTGTCTCAAAAAAAAAAAAGGCTTTCTACTTTTGAAATTCTCATTGCACAGAGAGACATTGACTTTTTTTTTATGGTTTTGTTTTACAGCACTTCAGAATCACGTTCCCCTCCAGAGGGAGACACGACCCTCTTTTTGTCTCGACTCAGCACCATTTGGAAAGGATTTATTAACATGCAGAGTGTGGCAAAATTTGTCACTAAGGCGTATCCTGTCTCTGGGTGTTTTGATTACCTCAGTGAGGTTAGAACCAAGAAAATGTGTGTGCGTGTGTGTGTCTTTCATAGGAGTTTCTAAACTAGAGTCAAACACATGACTTTCTCCCTTAATTCATGAGGTAGGAGAGAAACAGAAATGCCTGACACTCTTGCAACCGTCTGTCTGGATGCAGAAACGGCTCTAAATGCAAAGTGGCGATGGCCGTGATGAGTCCGCAGGTTCAGCAGTTTGGACAGGGTCGGAAATGTGAGCCTGCAGTCTGGCCTCTCAGTGATCGGTTTCGCTGGGGCACTGACCACATGGCTGTGCGCACAGCCACCGGCACAGCCAGGTGTTCGGAGCCTGCTTTACACACACCTGGCCACTTGCGGGGTGGCGCATATGACCCCGTGGCAGGCCTTTTAGTTTTCAGAATTAACCAGAAGACAGCACTAGCATTTATGACTTTAATGCAAGGAGTCACCCTGGCTCATAGTGAATCGTTACTCTCTGTGTATGTACGTAAAGACAGCATAGAAGTGTTGGGCAGTCATTTCTAAACATAATCTTGTCTGGCAGAAGGTTGGCATCACTCCCCCTTTGGATTTGGCCACTTGTCATCCTGGACTTAATGCATTTAATACAAGTGTGACTCTTTTCCTTGGAATAGCTGTAGTCTTCTTGAATCTTGGGTAGTGTGTGCCTTCACATGGCTGCATTCGTCTTTCTGTGACTACTACAGTTCAAAGTGATTTACGCAAAGTACTTTCTGTTTAGGATTTGCCTGACACAATTCACATTGGTGGGAGGATCGCACCGAAGACAGTTTGGGATTATGTTGGCAAACTCAAGTCTTCTGTGTCTAAGGTACCTGCTTATAGTATAAATTCTGCAACCATGGAAAATTGTGTTGATTTAAACACATCTTTTTTTAACCTCTCGTTTGGATGGGTTAACACTTAAAATGTTAGCCTGTAGCTTACTAGATATTTCCAGGTGAATGTTAAAAATTAAGTTTTGCAGTGAGCCGAGATCGCACCACTGCACTCCAGCCTGGGAGACATAGCAAGACTGTCTCAAAAAAAAAAAAAGTTTACATAGTTGTATGACTGTGTGAAGGTGTCTGAGTGTGCCGCGGTAGAAGTTTGTTTCTGATTTATTATAATGTATGTGCGGTTAAATTTTAGGAAGAAATAGATACGTTTTATTTTCTTGTTTTTTTATGATTGAAGGAGCAGAAGGTGTCTTTTGCAGGGGTGATCAGGCTCAGGGCACTCAACCTGGGCTCTTGAACGGTTCTGGTTTTCTGGGACCCCCTGAGATTTAGCTACAGCTGTGCGTGTCTGTCTGTGGTTTTCTCTGGGGAATCTCTGTAGTCTTCGTCAGGTTCACGAAAGGGCTAGACCCTGTCGTCTAGTTTAACCCCCTCTAGGGAGGGGCACAGACAGCCATTGCAGATCATGCAGCTGGTTCCTCGTGACCGGGGCCGTCGTGCATGTAGGAAGAGCCGGCTCGGCTCCAGACACTGCTGGGCTCACATGTCACGTGAATTGCCTCACTGAGACAGCAGCTCTGTGAGATCGTGGCTGTGAGTCGGAGAGATCTGACAAGGTTTCCTGTTGAAAGCAGGATGTGAATTGGGCGTGTGATGCTTGAGCCACATTTTCTTTATGAGTGCTTCCCACTCTTCCATTGCAGGAGCTCTGTCTGATCCGCTTCCACCCCGCCACAGAGGAAGAGGAGGTCGCCTATATCTCTCTCTACTCCTATTTCAGCAGCCGTGGCCGCTTTGGTGTTGTAGCTAATAACAACAGGCACGTCAAGGACCTCTACCTGATCCCGCTGAGCGCCCAGGACCCTGTTCCATCCAAACTCTTGCCCTTTGAGGGACCAGGTAAGCGCCGGCTTTCTGGGTGGAGGTGAGGCCCACCTGCACCTGCACCCCTCCTCCCACTGACATGCCCTGCTGAGTCCTGACCAGCCCAGGGCTCTCTGGGAGCAGGAGTTAGGAGCACAGACGCAGCGGTTAGCAATAGGATTCATCTTTGAGGGCGTAGGACTGTGGCACGAGAAGTACCCCTGATTCACAGCATAAATTGTCTTAGGAGAGTTTTTTAGAGAGGGAAAAACCCACAGCCTGCAACCAGCTCATCTTGGCCTCAGGTCAGAGAAGACTCAGTGCCCAGAAGCCCAAGGCTCAGCCAGAAAGGGAGGTGACACTCCCAGCGGCCCTGCTCTTTCCTCTAGACAGACTCGGGAGCCAGCACACACCGGGAAGTGGCTCCATCAGGGATCACTTCTCTAACAGGGATGGATTTCCAGGAGACTTAACAATAATGACATAGAAAACTATTTCTAGAAATAATTATTTTAAAATCTGCAGCTCAAATTGTAATAGGTTCATTCATCTTTGGCAAGCTATTTTGTGTTTGCACGTTCCTTGGAAAGTACTGTATTTAAACGATTATTTACAAATAGCCTAAAATACATCTTTGTCAAGGGTTGAGGGTGATTCCAGGGGCCACGTGCTCTGTTAGTGACCAGCTCTTTCATAGCCCCTTAGAAGAAGCTGATGTGACTTCAGTTAGGGGTTAGTATCTGATGCCCAACTGAAGTGTCTCCGTGGCCATGCAGTCCCCAGAGGATTGGTGTTCTCTCAAAGCGGGTGTGTGGATCACACAGTGTCCTCTGAAGTGCTTCGTCATAAAGGCAGGTGCTGTCTGGACCCTGTGCCTCAGTGCCCTCTGTCCCTGTCACCAGGCCTCGGCGGGTGTTCCTGCCATAGCTGTGCAGGGTGTTCCCACCCACACCCCTCATGCCGCACCCTAGCTAGCTGGGGTCCTGTAGGGGCCACTCCACATCTTGGGCGGGACTTCTGTCGCCCCAGGCACAGCCCACGTTCCTACTGGAGCCCATTCTTCACAGCTGGAGTGGGCTCAGCCTATGCCTGTGTTGTGGAATTATATGTCCATAAAGGGATTGGTTGGTATCAGTAATTTCAGGGTTAAATATTTGCTGGCGTGGTGCATTAAATTATTTTAGTGCCAGATAAATTTTTAAAAGCAAAGTGCTTTAGTGTGTCCCCTCAAATCCTACTTGGGATAAAGAGATGCCACCTAATGGGTGGCAGAAAGGACCCTGGTAGAGGTTCTTGGTGTTGCTTGTGAAGAGCTCTGGCCAGCTCCACGTGACCAGGGAGAGGAAAAGCCCGGCCCTCCTGGAGGTGAAGACCGAGAAGCTGGCCTCTCCGCACCTGTGAAGACCCACTGGTCAGTTGCAAGTGCGACAGTGTGTGCACTCAGTGCAGACACTGCAGCACCTCAGCACCTCCCTACCGGGGTGGAAAGAGCACTTTTTCTTTACAGAAACATGATTCTTAGATAGCGAGCCTCCCCTTTTTAAAACAATTGAGGCGATATTTCATCCTTTCTTGAGCTTCTCTCCCTGCTCATCTCCAAACTTGGAGCTGTCAGGTGAGCACGGTTGTAGGGTGTTGAGCGAGCCCCGGCGCATGCCGGGCACCGGGTTCCCCACACTGGGCAGTGACGGGGCCCAGGGAGGCCACCAGAGGAGCGGCGCCTCCATTCTCCCCACAGCAAGGGCTGGCTGTGCAGGTGCAGCCCCGGGGCAGAGGGAAAGGACAGGTCTCCCAGCACCTCCCGGATGGCACCGGGACAAGGAGGGCTGGGCTGGGGTCACTCACCTTGTCTGCTGAGTGCGATGGCACCAACCACCCACACTGTCAGCTCCGCGACCAGCTGGGGGAACGTCACACTCGCCCACCAAGGCACTTGCTGAGGCCACGACGCCGCCTGACGGGGACACACAAAAGCCCCAGGGACTTTGATCCACGATAAAGAGCAGAGGCGTCTGGGTAAAGTAACACAGGGCAAGGGACTTTAGAAAAGTAACAGCTAGTGAAACCTTTCCATACACTTCAGAAATGTTTTAACTTAAGACTTCAGTATAATGTTAACTTCTCCTGATGTCCTTGTTGACATGAATGCGTGTGCGTGAAATCTCACACACTTCCATGGTCACTAAACAGCCTTCACCCCGGGCCAGGCCATCGGGTACTCGGCCCGCTTCACGTACTGATTACTTGACTTGGCGTTTTCTAGATATAAACATGTACATGTGTGTCCTGGCTTTGTGGTGTAAATGTGTAGTGCGTGTGCATGTGCGCGCGTGTGTGTGTGTAAGGCTAGGTCCTGGCATGTTTCCCCTGTCTCAGCGGACCCTGTCCTCACGGAGATAGCCCAGAAGCCCTTGGACAGCACAGGCCACACCTGAGGGTGCTGATGGTGGTGACTCCACAGAGCTGTGGTCAGGGGTGAGCGTGTGCTGCGCAGCTTGGAGTCACGCCCCCAGAAGTGCTGGGTGAGGGTCTGCAGGACCCAGCTCCATTCCACAGCCTCAGTTCTCTGCGGCACATGCAGCACAGGCCTGAAGGAGACCTGGCGCCCCAGCCTTGAGCTGCCCGTCTGCATCAGGGCACTGATGTGGGAGCATCTTCCCCTGGGGATGTTAAGGAGAAGGTCCTGTTGGGGGTAGAGATTCACGCAGAAAAGAGTGACTGACTCGTCCATGTGCCTCAGTTTATACCACACAATTGCAGGTGTCCATGCCTCCCACACATGGGGACCTAGTGGGTTTTGACAGCGTGGTGTCCAGTCCTAGCCCCCTCAGTGCTTGCTGTTCACACTTAAGCAAGTGAAGGCCTGAAGGTGCCCAGCTGTGCCCTCAGGGGAAACTTAAGTCACCCGCCCTGTCAGCACTTGGCCCTTGTCGGGCAGTGAGAGTGGAGCTGCCCCCGCAGCACCCTCAGGAGCCATGCAGTTCACAGCAGTAGCTGGATCTCCCTGAGGACATTTGTCCTTGCATATCTTAATGATTTGTCCACAGAAACACCGGGTTGTCTTCCTCTGCCCCTCTGCCCCGCAGTGGGGGCACTCTCTGTAACTCAGCATCACGGTGGGGGGCAGCTGGGAGGCCTGGTTCCAGGTGACCTTCTCCACCTAGATGTTCACCCCACTCAGTTCCAGCTTTACCAACAGGGCCCCCCGCAGGGACTTGGGGTCGCAGAGTCCCGGCCTGTCTCAGGGCCTTGTTCATGGAAGGGAGATGAGTCAGGTTGAAAGCTCATCGTGTAGGGTTCTGTGCAGGGCCCTTACAGGACTGGACCGCAGCCAAGATGCCTGCCTGTTAACCATGCCCAGCCCCCGTCATTTCCGCGTGAAGCCGCAGGCCTCGGAGCCTTGGTCTGAAATGCCTGTGGAGTAACCTCGGTCCATAAACATGGGTGCACAGTCTGTTCTCCCCAAGTACAGGGCAGGAGGAAACACCGCCCTCTGTAGCTGCTCGAATGGAAAGGGCTCTTTTCTCTGAGGTCTTTATACATTAGAAAGCTCTTCTGGGAAGAATGTTTGAATCCATAGTGTCTTTCTGTATTCACTTTTAATTGCTTTCTAAATTAGCTGAGAAATTCTGACTTGAAATATTGTCAGGTAAGCATTTCTTCAGTTTTCATGTGTGTATGTAACAGTAGCTTTGCATGGAAATTGTAATCAGAGTCAAATACAGTATTGAATGGAATGTACTGCCTTCTCCTCCTAAATCAATAAACATCTTTCATGGAAACTGGTCCTTGTTTGTTTGAATTGGAACCATTTGGTGGCTCCTGGTCACCTATCCTAGGCCCCTGTTTGCTTTCCATAAGCCAGCGCAGTGCACCCTAGTGTGCCCAGCTCTGCAGCCCACCCAGCAGCTGCTGGAGAGGACGCAGTGCAGGCTGGTGCTGCCCTGGGGCCCTTCTCGGCACCCCGGCACCCAGAAGAAGATGGACGTCGCTCTCCTCTTACCTGAGACGTGCTGGACCCAGTGGCTTTGTGCAGGTCTTAGAGATTCCCAGTTGGAACAAGGGAGGGTCTGTGTGTGTGTGAGTGGGTGTGTTTGGTGGGTTGGGGGAAGTCACTTCTTCCCACCTTAATTGCCAAGTCTTTCTATCCAAGTCATACGTCACCCCTTGTTGATTAACTTCCACACCGTTTCTGTTCCAGCAGGTGTGAACATTTTGTTTTGACAGGTGCAGACCATTGAGAGAGTTTTCATTTTAAATCACTGATAGTGGGATGTGCCAGGTGGCTTTAGGGGTAAAGGCCTCACTGTGATAGTTTGGGGTTGGGAGGAGTCAGGTTTCGGGTGGTTCATTTAGTAAGAAGGAGCGTCTTCCTGCAGCCTCAGGTTCAGTACCGAGGGTGCTTCCTGCACCCTGAGAAGCAGGTGGTTCCCTTTGCCAGCTGCCTTGTCCCCCAGTCCCTGTTGCGACACACCTGGACACAGATCCTGGTTTTGGTCTTGGCCCACACAGCTTTTCGAATACACCCTTTTATCTTCAGTTTCTTGAGTTCTTTTCCTGTGCGTGTGGTCTGATTCTGACCACTGAGTCCAGACCCCTCCGTCATGAATACGCAAAGGACACAGATGTGCTAAAAAGGCCTGTTGGCTTGCACGTGGTACGCCCTGAAGAAAGCCATTTGCCTTCTGGCCTTTCAGAGGGCGTTGGGGGAACATCCACACCCTTGTTCCAGGCCTGATCAGTACCCTTCAGTGGAAGTGCAGGGGCACGTTTAGCCGCAGCTGGCGTCTCCAGGCCCTGGTCCCTGGTTGCTCCTGAGCCCCGGCCCCTGGTTGCTTTATGAACTGAGGCCCTCAGTAGCCCTCAGGAGGAAGGTGGGTAAGTAAGCCTACCGTGCCCTGTGCCACCCGCAACCTGGCTGGTGCCAGCTTCGTGCAGGCCTCAGTCTCTGCACCTTCCCGGGGCACTCTCCCTCCCAGGGCTCACACACCACGGGGCAGCTGCCGAGGGGAGGGGCTAGCCTGGGAACAGCCCCTGGGCAACCTCGACTGCCCCCCTGAGGTGGGGGCTCTGTGACCTTTCGACCTTACTGGTCTGCTGGACATGCCAGGCAGTGGCAGGCACACCCTTTCCTCCAGGGGAAGATGGCTCCCAAGGTCCAGCCAGGCGAAGTGCACTGCTCCTTCCACGAAGAGTTATTTCCAAGGCGCCTGCCACATTTTACATATTCATGCAACCATACATAATAACAAACATGAGTTGGGTGACAAGATTTGACTGTTTCACAGCGGGTGTGCCTTTTTGGACAGCCCAATTTAAATTTTAAATGGCGGGGAAATTCAGAACGAGCACCCATCTGACTCTGCAGCTTTCTTTATTCAGTCACCAGTGTTTGCAGTTGAGAGCACCAAGAGCTGGGAGCATTTACACGTGCCAGCTGCGTGTTTGATGCCAATCTCCAGACGGTTGCTGTTTTCAAGACTAACGAGTCTTGCCAGGGTTGGGATATACTAATTATTTTTTTCATTAACAAGCAAGTTAGCCATTAAAAGTTTGAGTTCTAGTGACACACCACGAGACGGGACCACGTAACAGTGATTTTGTACATCACACTGCCACCCTAACAGCCCTTTAGAAGCTGAGTGTCTCCCTTGGGTGGCATGTCCCCTCTGTGTCAGAGTCAGCACTAGGCTTCCCCAGGTAACTTCCCCACACGAGGCCCCACAAGCCCTACTGCCCAGGGTCCTTCCCGAGGCCTAGCCCATGCCTGTGTCTGTTCCCCGTGTCAGGTTCTGCAGGCAGAGGGCCTGGCTTACAGAGCCCGGCTTACAGAACTCAGCCTGAGCCTCAGTGCCCTTCACCCCAGGGCGTGGTGGGCTCTGCAGATGTATGGTCCAGGAAGGCCATAATAGCCAATTTCATAACCGAACATACCCGAAAAGTGGATTTGAGTAAGCTGTGTAATAGCTTATTCAGTAAACAGATAGCTGTTGTGCTGAGAGAAATACCGTTTTAAAATATGTTCAACTCATGTTAAGCAGAACATGAACTCGACAGGTTTGCTGAGCAGCAGAGCTCAGCTGTGCCCTTCGGTGTGGCCCGGCTGGTTTTCCTGCTTCCCTCCTCCTCTGCCCACCCAGCCCTTTCACTGGCACCGTGCTACTATCCGGGGGACAGAGAGTGAAGAGGAGGTGGAGGTGAGGTGCTGGGAATCTCAGCTCTGTCCAGCAGCCTGTGAAGGAAGAGGCCTTTGGTCCTCTCTCCAGGAGGGAGGAAGTGTCCCGTGGAGCAGGCTGGTCCCAACTCAGTCTGGCAGGCCTGGTATTCCTGCCTTCACCCATCTTCCGTGCTCAGCCTGTCCATCAGTTCCTTAGTGGAATTTAGGGAGATGAACAACAGATGTACTTAGAACTACATGGTGGTGCCTGAAGCAGTCCGTGATGATCTTTAACATCACCTGAAGCACGGGAAATCATACTGGTTTTCACTGTAAGGGGAAGAAAATCTGTAGTGTGAGCACCTTTTGTATACCACAGTCACGTTAAATTATCTGTACCGTTGAGTTGTTACGGTTTAATCTCACATAGTGTTACGTCGCTGCCGCTGAAACGTCCCACCCACGTGTATCACTTTCCTTCAGCTCCTGTTTTGGGATGTGGGTTTTTATATTCCCCTTTGGCATTCTTGATTGATTATGAGTGTGGGGATGGTCGTTACTGGAATGTTAGTACTCCTGATTGAAGTTACCACAACTTACGACGTTGGGAATATCTTTGAATAATTTTTTTTTTAAACTAATACTGTGCCTTAAAACCCCCAGTGCGCGTCGTCCACCTGCTCTGCTCTTTGCCACCTGTTTGCTGAGCACCTCGGTGCTTTACGTGAGCGTGGTGTCTGTCCTGTGTTTACAAAGACATGAGCCTTAGGGAGTCTTTGATATGTTAATGCTCACTGAATTTCTAAACCCAAAACATTTATTTTATCTTTTTTCCAAGAGAGTCTCACTCTGTTGCCCAGGCTGGAGTTCAGTGGCACGATCTCGGCTCACTGCAACCTCTGCCTCCCAGGTTCAAGCAGTTCTCCTGCCTCAAGCCTCCTGAGTAGCTGGGACTACAGGCACACGCCACCACGCCTGGCTAATTTTTGTTTTTTGTTTTGTTTTGTTTTTTTGAGACAGAGTCTCACTCTGTCACCCAGGCTGGAGTGCAGTGGTGTGATCTCGGCTCACTGCAACCTCCACCTCCTGGGTTCAAGCGATTTCTCCTGCCTCAGCCTCCTGAGTAGCTGGGACTACAGGTGTGCGCCACCACACCCAGTTAATTTTTGTATTTTTAGTAGAGACGGGGTTTCACCATGTTGGCCAGGATGGTCTTGATCTCTTGACCTCATGATCCGCCCACCTCAGCCTCCCAAAGTGCTGGGATTACAGGCGTGAGCCACCGTACCCGGCCCAATTTTTGTATTCTTAGTAGAGACGGGGTTTCACCACGTTGGCCAGACTGGTCTCAAACTCTTGACTTTGTGATCCACCCGCCTTGGCCTCCCAAAGTGCTGGAATTACAGGCGTGAGCCACCATGCCCAGTCCAAAGCATTTATTTTAGCCATTTCATTTAATGCTGTTTTTCCTGTCTAGTTGTAATTCTGACACCAGAGACTAATGGATGACCTCATGGCTTGTGCTTTATTGATTATTATGACTTTATTGATAATTTAATATTAGTATATTTAGAGTAATTATGTGTTGCAACTCCTAAGTTAAAGACAAAAAGGGGTCCGGGTGCGGTGGCTTACGCCTGTAATCCCAGCACTTTGGGAGGCCGAGGCAGGTGGATCACCTGAGGTCAGGAGTTCGAGACCAGCCTGGCCAACATGGTGAAACCTCTTATCTACTAAAAACACAAAAATTAGCCAGGCATAGTGGTGCATGCCTGTAATCCCAGCTACTCAGGAGGCTGAGACAGGAGAATTCTCCTGAACCTGGAAAGCAGAGGTTATAGTGAGCCGAGCTCGCGCCACTGCGCTCCAGCCTGGGCAACAGAGCGACACTCCATCTCAAAAAAAAAAAAAAAAAAAAAAAAAGGCTGTTTGTTACCTTCCTGGCAGTGGCACGAGGGGAAGAAGAGCATAGCTGAGCTGTTGTGTTGAGGGCATGTGCGACAATGCCCTTTTCACCCTGCAGGCTCACACCACGGCCTCCCTCCCCTCCACACTACTGCTCTAGCATTATAATTTAAAATATGTAACAAATTCAGACGATTGGGATGAATTCCCTTGTGGATTGGGCCTTCGGTTCCATGGTTGGTGACGAGGGGTTAGTCGCCCCCTTCACATGGCTCCGGGAGGACTGGGTTGGTGCATTCCTGGCACGGTGTGTTCCCAGCTCGTTCCCGGGGCGGTGCGTTCCTGGGGCGGAATCGTCCAGGCTTTTGCAACTGTCTTGACACTTGATCTTATTTTGCCACAGAATGGCTTATTTTTGTCTATTAAACGTTCCCCGTGAAAGCCCTTAATGAAATTCACCTCTAAAGGGTAAAAGCTGGATTTAGATTCTAAAATTTGCACAAATATTTTGTTTTTCAGGTCTTGAGTCACCACGTCCGAATATAATTCTTGGGTTAGTAATCTGCCAAAAAATCAAACGTCCCGCAAACAGTGGAGAGTTAGACAAGATGGACGAAAAGCGGACCCGACTTCAACCGGAAGAAGCGGACGTTCCGGCCTATCCAAAAGTAGCCACAGTCCCGCAGTCGGAAAAGAAGCCCTCCAAGTATCCACTCTGCTCTGCAGACGCGGCTGTCAGCACCACACCTCCTGGGTCGCCGCCGCCTCCGCCCCCTCTTCCAGAACCACCGGTGCTAAAAGTGCTGTCATCCCTCAAACCTGCAGCCCCCAGCCCAGCCACAGCAGCCACAACAGCAGCGGCAGCCTCCACGGCAGCTTCCTCCACCGCTTCGTCTGCTTCCAAAACAGCATCACCGCTGGAGCACATCCTGCAGACTCTCTTTGGAAAGAAGAAATCATTCGACCCGTCCGCCAGAGAGCCTCCCGGGTCCACCGCAGGTCTCCCCCAGGAGCCCAAAACCACAGCAGAGGACGGGGTGCCGGCACCTCCGTTGTTAGATCCGATCGTCCAGCAGTTCGGTCAGTTCTCAAAAGATAAGGCTCTAGAGGAAGAGGAGGACGACAGGCCATACGACCCTGAGGAGGAGTACGACCCGGAGAGGGCCTTCGACACTCAGCTTGTGGAGCGAGGGCGGCGCCACGAGGTGGAAAGGGCTCCTGAAGCAGCTGCAGCCGAGCGGGAAGAGGTGGCCTATGACCCCGAGGATGAGACCATCTTAGAAGAAGCGAAAGTGACTGTTGATGACCTGCCCAACAGGATGTGTGCCGACGTGAGAAGGAACTCCGTGGAGAGGCCTGCCGAGCCGGTGGCCGGGGCTGCGACGCCCTCCCTGGTGGAGCAACAGAAGATGCTAGAAGAGCTGAACAAACAGATCGAGGAGCAGAAGAGACAGCTGGAGGAGCAAGAAGAAGCTCTCAGGCAGCAGAGGGCCGCCGTCGGGGTCTCCATGGCCCACTTCTCGGTGTCGGACGCCTTGATGTCTCCACCACCAAAGTCGTCCTTGCCCAAGGCAGAGCTGTTCCAGCAAGAGCAGCAGTCTGCAGACAAGCCCGCCTCACTGCCCCCCGCCAGCCAGGCGTCAAACCACAGGGACCCCCGGCAGGCGAGGCGCCTGGCCACTGAGACCGGTGAGGGGGAGGGGGAGCCTCTCTCCAGGCTCTCGGCACGTGGTGCCCAGGGTGCCCTGCCCGAGAGAGATGCTTCCAGGGGTGGCCTCGTGGGCCAGGCGCCCATGCCAGTCCCGGAGGAAAAAGAGCCAGCCTCTTCCCCCTGGGCTTCGGGCGAAAAGCCCCCAGCGGGGTCCGAGCAGGACGGCTGGAAGGCAGAGCCTGGGGAGGGCACCCGCCCCGCCACGGTTGGAGACAGCTCGGCCAGGCCTGCCCGGAGGGTGCTGCTGCCCACACCGCCTTGCGGCGCCCTGCAGCCCGGCTTCCCGCTGCAGCACGACGGTGAGAGGGACCCTTTCACCTGCCCGGGGTTCGCGTCGCAGGACAAGGCTCTCGGCTCAGCCCAGTATGAGGACCCAAGAAATCTTCATTCTGCTGGAAGGAGCAGCAGCCCTGCAGGTGAAACAGAGGGGGACAGAGAGCCACAGGCCAGACCCGGCGAGGGCACCGCCCCGCTCCCCCCACCAGGACAGAAAGTGGGGGGCTCTCAGCCCCCGTTTCAGGGTCAGCGGGAACCTGGACCTCATGCTTTGGGGATGTCAG
Source organism: Homo sapiens (assembly GCF_000001405.40). Taxonomy (NCBI): domain Eukaryota; kingdom Metazoa; phylum Chordata; class Mammalia; order Primates; family Hominidae; genus Homo; species Homo sapiens. The sequence continues at coordinate 62,880,662 of NC_000020.11, read as the reverse complement.
GGCTTCACGGCCCCAATTTCCCGGGACCAAGGGGGCCAGCCCCTCCGTTTCCAGAAGAGAATATCGCTTCTAACGATGGGCCACGAGGGCCTCCGCCAGCCAGATTCGGAGCCCAGAAGGGGCCCATCCCTTCCTTATTCTCGGGGCAACATGGGCCACCTCCTTATGGGGACAGCAGAGGCCCCTCACCCTCTTACCTTGGTGGACCACGAGGAGTGGCACCATCCCAATTTGAAGAACGCAAGGATCCCCATGGGGAGAAGAGGGAGTTCCAGGACGCCCCGTATAACGAGGTGACGGGCGCCCCCGCCCAGTTTGAAGGGACAGAGCAAGCCCCATTTCTGGGAAGCAGAGGCGGCGCGCCTTTCCAGTTCGGAGGCCAGAGAAGGCCACTGCTGTCTCAGCTGAAAGGCCCCCGAGGCGGCCCCCCTCCCTCTCAGTTTGGAGGTCAGAGAGGACCACCCCCTGGTCATTTCGTGGGCCCAAGAGGGCCCCATCCTAGTCAGTTTGAAACTGCCCGGGGCCCTCATCCCAACCAGTTTGAAGGACCCAGAGGCCAAGCGCCTAACTTTATGCCAGGTCCCAGGGGCATTCAGCCTCAGCAGTTCGAAGACCAGAGGGTCCATTCACCACCAAGATTCACAAACCAAAGGGCGCCTGCACCCCTGCAGTTTGGTGGACTACGGGGGTCCGCACCCTTTTCTGAAAAAAATGAGCAGACCCCTTCGCGATTTCACTTCCAGGGCCAGGCCCCGCAGGTGATGAAGCCGGGCCCCAGGCCCCTGCTGGAGCTTCCCAGCCACCCCCCGCAGCACCGGAAGGACCGCTGGGAGGAGGCCGGGCCGCCCTCCGCGCTCTCCTCCAGTGCGCCCGGACAGGGCCCCGAGGCCGACGGACAGTGGGCATCGGCCGACTTCCGAGAGGGGAAAGGCCACGAATACAGAAACCAGACTTTCGAAGGGAGGCAGAGAGAGCGGTTTGACGTGGGGCCCAAAGAGAAGCCGCTGGAGGAGCCCGACGCCCAGGGCCGGGCGTCCGAGGACAGGAGGAGAGAGCGCGAGCGCGGCCGAAACTGGAGCCGAGAGCGGGACTGGGACCGGCCCCGGGAGTGGGACCGACACCGGGACAAGGACTCCAGCCGGGACTGGGACAGAAACCGGGAGAGGAGCGCCAACCGCGACCGAGAGCGCGAGGCCGACCGGGGCAAGGAGTGGGACCGCAGCCGGGAGCGGAGCAGGAACCGAGAGCGCGAGCGAGACCGGAGGCGCGACCGGGACCGGTCCCGGAGCAGAGAGCGGGACCGAGACAAGGCCAGGGACAGGGAGCGGGGCCGCGACCGCAAGGACCGGAGCAAGAGCAAAGAGAGCGCTCGGGACCCGAAGCCCGAGGCCTCGAGGGCCTCCGACGCTGGCACCGCCTCGCAGGCCTAGACGCCCCGGCCGGGCAGAGACCCTTTTTAAAGCCACGTTCGTAAGATGCGTTGAACAAATAGCTTTTGAAATAGCCACGATCTTAGATTCAGGATAGAATATTCTGGACTTAAACATTACTGTAATTTTGTGTAAATGGTTTCTTACAAGATTTCACATCTTTACAATTCTGATGCTTTTTTAAAAAAACTAAACTTTAATATTTCCATTTAAAATTAAAAGAAATGGGAAATTGCCTACGGAGCATATTGCTTTTCAGATCATAGTTATCTTTTCCAATAACTTTATTGTAAATTTTAAGGGAGTTTCGTTGGACCCTAGAGCCATACCTTCACTGACATCTCATCCGTTTGTGTTTCCAAAAGCTGCTTTTACAGGTCTTAGCCGCCGCCCCGGAGGCCGGTGTGGGCGTGACCTGCAGGCGTCCACCCTGCGGCTACGGGAGAAGTCTTAGTAGCTTGTATCTGGAGTCTTGAGAAACACAAACCTTACAAATGCATCTTTCTTTTGTCATAAAATTGGAATTACAATTTTCAACTGGGAAACAGAAACACATTTCTTAGCGTGCTCAGATTTTATATATCACCTTATCAATTTTTTCCAAAACATGATTTAAAGCAACATCTGTCCTAGTATAATTGTTGCATTTTAAATAACAATTTATTGAAAAATGTTAAGTTTTACCAGCCTAAAAAAAGTAACAAACCAATTAAGTGTACTTTGGGGGCAGGGAGGAGTCCTTGATTTGAATAATCAGGAGTTTTGTTGGTCCAGTTTCGCCTTCTGAGCAGTTCTTCTGTATCCCGGGAAAAGTACGCTCGGCCCCAAACTGGTATTTGTCAGACGATACATGTAAAAGTTTGTCCTTGAACGTGGAACAAGACTTGTGTAAAGTCTGAGACGGGAACTAGTGATCACTAGCTCAAGAACTGCAAATGAGACAGGAAGCTGTTCACTGTGAAACAGTCTCTTGCTTGTCGTGTATTTTTCGAGTACTTCTGAAGTGTGAAGTAAAAAAATCTGGCTAATTTATTTGTACAAATACACTTTGATAATTTTTTATATTTTCATAAACTTTTACAGATGTAAAATTAAAGAACTTCACTTGTTCTTTGGAGTCTGTTATTCCATTGTACGTCACTACAGATTTTTCACTTTATAGCACAGATTTTTTAAGTTAAGAAAACATTGAGAATGTATCAGTTTGAGATGTTTGGTGTTGAAAGCCAAGTGTCCATAGGTTAAATTACATTAAAGTAGGTGTCACGTTCCAACATCTAGTACGATGAGAAGGTTTTGTTTGTTTAACATATAAAGCAAATTTTTCTAATTTAAATACACAAATGTAAAAATCAAGTGTGTTTCTTTAGTTTACTTGATAGAGATTCCTGTACATTGTATTTTATATTGCGGAGGCTTATATCACTGTACATGAGAACATGGAACGACCTAGGTTTTGTTACTCGCAGTAGAATAAACAGCTACAGGAAGTTTCTGTCTCGGGTCTTCATCAGCCTTTTTCTAACGCGGAGAAGTTTGGGGTCGTGCACGGACGCCCTGGCCACCCAGTTTCTTGTTGCTGGTTTGCCTGGGCGTGGGCAGGAGTGCCCTTTGGACCCCTCCCTGAACTCATGCTGAGCCCAGGGTGAGACCGGCCGGGTGCGGGTCCCCACATCCTTCCGTCACGGGGCAGCTGTCTCGCTCCCTGTGGGGACCCAGCACCATCCAGCTCTGGAGACGATGGGCAGGAAGGTCGGGAGGAGGGACTCACCCCCTTCAGACCCTCTCCTGGGGCTGAGTGGGAGCCCGAGACCACTGCAACAGCCTCAACTGCGGTGAAGGAGTCTCATGGTTGGGGAGTGAGCCCCGAGGCCCCAGCCCATCCAGGCTGCAGCAGAGTGTGCACCCGCCGACTGCGGGGCGTGCTGCTGCTGAGGATGCAGGTGGGCAGGTGGGCTTGGCGGCCCAGACCCAGCAGTGCCAGTGGAGGAGACGCGGTGGCCCACGTGCCTGCACACAGCGCGGCTGCAGGGACAGGCTCGGGGAGCTGGCGCCTGGCCTGCGAGCTTCCTCTGGTCGCCTGTGGGCCAGAGCTTGGCTTCCGAACAAGCGTATGGGTCCACAGCCCAGCCATGAGCAGACGCCGGTGGGACGTTCCCGCGCAGACCGGTGCAGGCCCCTTGGCCAAGTGTCTGGTGGGGCAGCAACAGCTCTGAGCAGCCTCCTCCAACAGCTCCAGACCGTGACCTGTGCAGCCAAAGGGCTCACTGTGGAAACATGGCGAGGAAGACCTAGCTCCAGTATGCCCCTGGGGTCGGCCGCGTCCCGGTCAGCCACACCAAGCAGGAAAAGGCCCAGGCCCCGGAGCCCTGGCACCCACAGGCCCACAAGGCACCACAGGGTCACTGAGCTGTAGCTCCCTGTTCTAGCACAGAGGCCGAGGCAGCTGTCGGGGGAAAATGGAAAGAGCCATCTCACTCGAGAACTCGGCACGGGGGCCTCCAACGGGGGGTAACACCCAAAGCAGCCAGCACCCTCCCCACACCAGGCATCAGCGAGTCCCAGGGAGGAGGCGGCAGTGGGGATCGTGGCTGTGGCTGAGCTCAGGGGGCCTAACCAGAAGGGGAGAAAAGGAAAGACCACATGAGACATGCCCAGACGGACAGTGACCTCAGCCCTCAGTGGCAGGGCAGCGCCAGTGAACAGGCTGAGCCAGGGCGAGACTGGCTGGGTGCAGGTCCCCACATGCTGGGTCCGTCTTCCTGTGGGACACCTAGCAAAAGGGAGAAGAACCAAGCCTGCCCAAAACGTCACACCCAGCAGTCACTGCTGTCGTTAATTTGGTATTTTCCTTAATCTTTTTCTCTCTGCATCTAAATTTTGACAAAATCGGGGTCCCTCCAGGAGCACGCTGTGGCCTGGGGTTTGCTCCTCCTCCTCCGGCTGCTCTGCTGCTCCCAGCCGACCTCACTCCAGGGCTCAGGGGACCATGTGGGGACCCTGCCATTGGCTGAGTATGTCTGTTCCACAGGAGGCCGGGAGGCTCACTGGGCCTCCTCAGAGGAAAACCTGAACCAACTCCGTCGTCCGCCTCCATAAACCACAGCTCTGCCTGGCATCTGGGCCTCCTGAAATGAATGTCCTTTCAGCTCCAGGGTCTAGTAATTCCTAAAAGGCCTGATTATTTCCCATTCCCGTTGCACAGACTCCTGATAAACAGAGGAAGATTCCTTTGGGAAGGGGCGGTGGGAAGATTAGCTGCATGTTTTTGGCATTTAGCAGGGCCCCTTCCTCTCGGAGACTCAGTCTGTCCTTCATTCCAGGGGCCTGGGTCTGTCCAGAGTCTGGAACTTGGCCGAGGGCCCCGGACTCTGTGTTGGGGCTTCCAGTCAGAGCGCAGGACTCCTGCTCTCGGACCTACAGCCTTTCTGCCAGCACAGAACGGGGACGCCTTTGGCAGGATGTCCTTTTTTTTCAGTTCTAGGGAAGCTGCGCCCATCAGGCAACGCAGGAACTATGTGGGTCAGATGACTGCGCCTCTGCTGCCGCTCACGGCTGTGCTGGGAATCACGTCCGGCAGGATAGCTCCCGCCAGCCCAGAGCGCCACCATCCCCACTGCATTGGGAGCCCAGCTGCATGGCAGCAGTTCCCGCCGCAGTTTTTCGCCTACAGAAAAGAATGATCATGGAGCTCTTCCCCGATGTGGGTGTGGGTGCGGTGTGGGTGAGGGTGCCAGTGAGGGTGCGGTGCGAGTGAGGGTGCGGGTGAGGGTGGGGGTGGGGGTGAGGGTGGGGGTGAGGGTGGGGGTGAGGGTGGGGGTGCGGGTGAGGGTGGGGGTGCGGGTGCGAGTGGGGGTGCGGGTGAGGGTGGGGGTGGGGGTGAGGGTGGGGGTGAGGGTGGGGGTGAGGGTGGGGGTGCGGGTGAGGGTGGGGGTGCGGGTGCGGGTGGGGGGGAGGGTGGGGGTGGGGGTGCGGGTGGGGGTGGGGGTGGGGGTGGGGGTGGGGGTGAGGGTGCAGGTGAGGGTGCGGGGCTCCCCGATGAATTCACTCCTCACAATCCTCGTGAAGGGGTGACCTCCAAGCCCTAAGGACATCAAGCTGGTCTTGCACGATAAATCCATCCCAGCGTTCTGCCGTCCTCTCCAGTGTGCCAGGAAAGTTCTGGATTTCACTGAATTTAGGGTCAGCTACCTGTGGGGCGAAAGTTTCGGTGACTGATGAAGAAAATGGGGGTGGGGGGTGGGTCACTCCCAGCCGTTCCCTCCAACGCATCAAATCCAGAATCTCGTATCTGAGTCCCTGTCCACTTACGCAAGCTTATATTCCTCCCACCCAGATCCCGCACTCTCAACATCGATTTCCACACATTTTCCGCAGGTTTTCGTAGGGAAACATATTTGTAGGCCACACCTCACACTTTCTCTTTTGGGGCCTGCTGGAACTCCAGTCTGGATCTAGGTCTAGAAGGAACACAGAGGTGGTGGTGAGTCCCGGGCAGGACGGCGGCACCTTACAGGGCAGCTCCCTAGGGAAGGCACTTGAGGGTCTTTGGGCAAAGGGGTCTCAGCTCCCCAGGCAGTGGCAGAAGAGCCACATGTGCCTTCAAAGACGACCTGCGGAGTTCACCGGCAGATCCCAATGGACTTGCAGGGCTCGTGGTCCTCAGCTTCACTGGGATCTTCCCACATGCCCCTGTAGGGACCAGCCCCACAGGGTCGGTGGGCTTCTCCCTGTGTGTGGTGACGAGAGAGTGTAAAAATAAAGACACAAGACAAAGAGATAAAAGAAAAGACAGCTGGGCCCGGGGAACCACTACCACCAATGCGCAGAGACCGGTAGTGGCTCCGAATGTCTGGCTGCATTGTTATTTATTGGATACAAAGCAAAAGGGGCAGGGTAAGGAGTGTGAGTCATCTCCAGTGATAGGTAAGGTCACGTGGGTCACGTGTCCACTGGACAGGGGGCCCTCCCCTGCCTGGCAGCCAAGGCAGAGACAGAGAGGGAGAGACAGAGACCGCTTACGCCATTATTTCTGCTTATCAGAGACTTTCAGTACTTTCACTAATTTGCTGCTGCTATCTAGAAGGCAGAGCCAGGTGCACAGGATGGAACATGAAGGCGGACTAGGAGCGTGACCACTGAAGCACAGCATCACAGGGAGACGGTTAGGCCTCCGGATAACTGCGGGCGGGCCTGACTGATGTCAGGCCCTCCGCAAGAGGTGGAGGAGTAGAGTCTTCTCTAAACTCCCCCGGGGAAAGGGAGACTCCCTTTCCCCGTCTGCTAAGTAGCGGGTGTTTTTCCGTGACACTGAGGCTACCGCTAGACCACGGTCCGTCTGGCAACGGGCGTCTTCCCAGACGCTGGCGTCACCGCTAGACCAAGGAGCCCTCTGGTGGCCCTGTCCGGGCGTAACAGAAGGTTCACACTCTTGTCTTCTGGTCACTTCTCACCATGTCCCCTCAGCTCCTGTCTCTGTATGGCCTGGTTTTTCCTAGATTATGATTATAGAGCAAGCATTATAAAGAGTAATTGCTACAAACTAATGATGAAAGATATTCATATATAATCATGTCTATGATCTGTATCTGGTATAACTCTTGTTGTTTTATATATTTTATTACACTGGAACAGCTCGTGCCCTCGGTCTCTTGCCTCGGCACCTGGGTGGCTTGCCGCCCACATGCCCCCATTGCAACGTCAGGTTCCCATTCTTTCCCAACTTCCCTAACTTTAACAAAAGAGGCACTGCAAAGTCGAAACTGCAGTTTAGGCTGTAATTAAATCATCCAGGAGACTAGGCTTCAGGTTTGCTTTGCAGAAATCTCAGCCCCATGGCTACAGGAGATAAGGACTTACTTTAAGGCAGTCATAGAGGCTTTCAGGTTCCTTTTTCAGACTCCAAGCCAGGCATTTAAAGCATCGAGAGCTGGAGCTGCTGTGTCCATCACCAGCAGGTCCTCGTCCTGCTAATTCCTGTCTACAGCTTCACCAGCACATGGGCCAGTGAGATGTCCCTGCCTCCCTCTTTCTTCCTCAGTTCTTTCTCTTCCCCCTTGTTCAATTTGCCTGGAAGCATGAAAGAAGAAAGCACAGGGCCCCCCAAGCCCCTCTGCTTCTGCCCATCACAAGTGCCACGAACCCATGGTCCCCGCCATCTCCTCTCTCTTCTCCCGCCTCTTCAGCAAGAAGCAGATGCACATTTGGACGGTTCGATTGGATGCTGCCTATACATTGTGTATAAACTGAAGTTAGGGGAGGTACTCACCACAGTTCCTGCCATTGGTTTTAACATGGAAAGAGTAGAATATAAGAACACTTGTTTTGGGCCAGGCACGGTAGCTCATGCCTATAATCCCAGCACTTTGGGAGGCCGAGGCAGGCAGATCACAAGGTCAGGAGTTCAAGACCAGCCTGGCCAATATGGTGGAACCCTGTCTCTACTAAATATACAAAAATTAGCCAGGCATAGTGGTGGGCTCCTGTAATCCCAGCTACTCGGGAGGCCGAGGCAGGAGAATTGCTTGAACCCGGGAGGTGGAAGTTGTAGTGAGCTGAGATTGCGCCATTGCACTCCAGCCTGGATGACAGAGCGAGACTCTGACTCAAAAAGAGAACACTTGTTTCATGGTGTGGGATGTTCATGGTCAAGATGTAATTAGGCTTCTCTGGAAGCATTACTTCCAGAATACCCAGGGTTTTCTTTTGCTGGTAGATAGCAACGATCATGAAAGAATTCGGGAAGTGGCGGACGCGCTGCAGAAAAGGCTTCTGGCCGGTGAGTGTGGAGACGCAGCGCCACTGCTCTCTGCAAACAAACAGGGTTTGCCCAGCGCTCGGGCCATCAGTGTGACGACAGATGAGCCAGCCAGCTCTTCAGTCTCTTCCTAACAGGACATGGTATGTTCAAGCCACTTGTGCAACACGGAGCTGGTGTAGATGAGGGACTTGACTGGCTGTCAAATGAGTTTTCAAAACGTTAAATGAAACTAGACATCTAACCAAAGACATGTTTGATAAAATTGGTCTAGACTTGCTACAGCAAAATTTGTTTGTATCTTGGTTAAGAAACAGCATCTGGGACTGGCTTGGGCAGAATAATAAACTTATTTTGTTGCCAATTATTGTTTGCCAAATATAATGTTGTTATTTAGCAATGTGCTTGGTTTTAAAGAAATTCTTCTTGGGAAAAAGGTGTCCTCATTTACTTCCCATGAGCCTAAAGCCTGGACATAGTTATTGTAAAACCTTTAAATAAATCCACCTTGGAAGTTAAGATACATAAAAATAAATAAGGTGGGGCGTGGTGGCTCACGCCTGTGGGAGCACTGTCTGTGAGGAGGTGAATCCCTTGAGCTTGTTGGAGACAAGGCTGGGCAACATGGTGAACCTTGCCTCTATTTAAAAAAAAAAAAAAAAAAAGGCCGTGCACGGTGGCTCATGCCTGTAATCCCAGCATTTTGGGAGGCCGAGGCGGGGGGATCATGAGGTCAGGAGATCGAGACCATCCTGGCTCACATGGTGAAACCCCAAACCCCGTCTCTACTAAAAAAATTAGCTGGGCATGGTGGCACGTGCCTGTAATCCCAGCTACTCGGGAGGCTGAGGCAGAAGAATCGCTTGAACCCAGGAGGCGGACGTTGCAGTGAACCAACATCGTGCCACCGTACTCCAGCCTGGGTGACAGAGACTCCATCTAAAAAGAAAAAAAAAGAAAAAAAAAATTCGGCTGGGCACGGTGATTCACACCTGTAATCCCAGCACTTTGGGAGGCCGAGGCAGGCAGATCACTTGAGGTCAGGAGCTCGAGACCAGCCTGGCCAACATGGTGAAACCCTGTCTCTACCAGAAAAATACAAAAAATAGCCAGGCATCGTGGCATGTGCCTGTAATCCCAGCTGCTTGGGTGGCTGAGGTAGGAGAATCGTTTGAACCCAGGAGGCAGAGGTGGCAGTGAGCCGAGATCGCACCACTGCACTCCAGCCTGGGTGACAGAGCAAGACTCCGCCTCAAAAACAAACAAATAAATAAATAAATAAATAAATAAAATAAAGCACTGACTCACCATTTTCTTTTCCCAGATTATCCAGAGCACTTGGGCAAAAGCCTCCACCCCATTTTTACTAGAATGTTCAATGGCAGCCTTGGTTCCAGAGGCACTTGGTTGAATTTTGCCCATTGATGCTCATTTGCATGAATTATCAGCGCCTCTTTCCCGTGAGAAACGGTTACCAATGCTTTTAAATCAAAGGCAATCAAAGATCCAGCTCCAGAAAACCCAGAACCAGCTTTGATCACTCCACATCACGGAACAGAAAAATCAATTGGCCCAGGAGTCCAAGAAGCTACAGGAGGATGAGAGGAAGGGGAGCAGTTGCCGGCAGGCCTGGTGACCCTGCCCTGCTCAACCTTCCAAGAATTTGAGAGAGAAAGAAAGAAAAAAAACCCTGCTTGCTGCGGTCTGAGTTTGTATCCCTCCAAGATTCATACTGAAACCTAATCTGCACTGTGGTGGCATTAAGAAGAGGGGTCTTTAAAACAATGGCCGGGTGCGGTGGCTCACGCCTGTAATCCCAGCACTTTGGGAGGCCGAGGCGGGCGGGTCACCTGAGGTCAGGAGTTCAAGACCAGCCTGACCAACATGGTGAAACCCTGTCTCTACTGAAAATACAAAACTATTAGCCAGGCGTGGTGGCACGTGCCTGTAATCCCAGCTACTCAGGAGGCTGAGGCAGAAGAATTGCTTGAACCCGGGAGGCAGACGTTGCAGTGAACCGAGATCATGCCATTGCACCCCAGCCTGGGCAATAAATCGAGACTCCATCTCAAAAAAATAAATAAATAAAAAATAAGAAGAGGGGCCTTTAGGAGGTGACTAGGTCATGACGGGAGAGCCATCATGAATGGGATTAGTGCCCTTTTACAAGAGGCCTGGGGGAGCTGATTTTCTCTCTCTGCCACATGAGGATGTGGCAGGAAGGCAGCATCTGAGCGGAACAGGCCCTCATCAGCCATCACATATGCTGGTGCCTTGATCTGGGACTTTCCAGCTTCCAGAACTAGGAGCAATACATTTTTGTTGTTTATAAGTGACCCAGTCTAAGGTGTCTTGTTATGACAGCACAAATGGACTAAGACACTGCTGGGTTTTTATTGGAACTGCATACATCAGTTTTGGGAATAACAGACATCTTAACACTATCGAACCTTCCAATCCATGAACATAGTATATCTCTATATTTGTCCATCTTTTTAATTTATTTCAACAGTATTTTGTAGTTTTCAGTGTACAGTCTTTTACATCTTTCATCAAATTTATTTCTAAGTTTTGTTTTTTTTTTTTTTTTTTTTTTGAGACAGTGTCTCACTTTGTCACTGAGACTGAAGTGCAGTGGCACGATCTCGGCTCACTGCAACCTCTGCCTCCCGGATTCAAGCAATTCTCCTGCCTCAGCCTCCTGAGTAGCTGGGATTACAGGTGCCCGCCACCACGCCCAGCTAATTTTTGTATTTTTTTGTAGAGACAGGATTTCGCCACGTTGGCCAGGCTGGTCTCGAACTCCTGGCATCCAATGATCCGTCCATCTCAGCCTCCCAAAGCGCTGGGATTACAGGGCTAACATTATTTAAAAATAATTTTGGGCTGGGTGGGGTGGCTCATGCCTGTAATCCTAGCACTTTGGGAGGCCGAGGCAGGTGGATCACAAGGTCAGGAGTTCAAGACCACCCTGGCCAATATGGTGAAACCTGTCTCTACTAAAAATACAAAAATTAGCCAGGTGTGGTGACGGGTGCCTGTATTCCCAGCTACTTGGGAGGCTGAGGCAGGAGAATTGCTTGAACCCGGGAGGCAGAGGTTGCAGTGAGCCGAGATCGTGCCACTGCACTTCAGTCTCAGTGACAAAGTGAGACTCTGTCTCAAAAAAAAAAAAAAAAAAAAAGAATTTTGGGCTGGGCATGGTGGCTCACAACTGTAATCCCAACACTTTGGGAGGCTGAGGTGGAAGGATTGCTTGAGCTCAGGAATTCGAGACCAGCCTGGGCAACATAGCAAGGCTCTTGTCTCTACAAAAAAATTTTTTTAAATTGCCAGGTATTCTGGCATGCCTGTGGTCCCAGCTACTGAGGAGGCCGAGGTGGGAAGATCGCTTGAGCCCATGAGATTGAGGCAGCAGTGAGCCATGGTCACACCACTGCACTCTAGTCTGGGTGACAGAGCAAGACCCTGTCTCTTGAAACTTTTTTTTAAAGTAATAAATAAAAATAAAAATAACTTTTGCATCTTTGCTCCTGTCAGATATTGCTCTGTAGTTCTGTTTTGTCTGGTTTTGATATCAGAGTTATGTTTGTTTCATAGAATGCTTTAGAAAGTATCCCCTCCTGTTCAGTTTCTTGGAAGAGTTCGTATTACCAATAGAACTGGTATTATTTCTTCCTTAAATGTTTAGTAGGATTAGCTCGTGAAGACATCTGTTAGAGGCATTTTCTTTATGAGAAGGTCCTTAATTACCAGTTCAATTTTATCAACAGATATAGAGAAAATAAAGTTATCTATTTATTCTTGAGTGAGCTTTTGTAATTTATGTATTTTGAGGAATTTGCCCATTTTGTCTAAGTTGTTGATTTTATTGCCATAAAGTTGTTCATAATAGCCCCTTAATATACGTTCAATATCTACAGAAGCTTTTTTTCTTCATTTTATTTTTGAGACAGGGTCTCACTGTCACCCAGGCTGGAGTGCAGTGGCATGATCACAGCTCACTGCAGCCTCTGCCTCCCAGGCTCAAGTGATCCTCCCACCTCCAGCCTCCCAAGTAGCTGGAATCACAGACATGTGCCACCACTCCCGGCTAATTGTTGGTGTTTTTCGTGGAGATGGGGTTTTGCCATGTTGCCCAGGCTGGTTATAAACTTCTAAGCTTAAGCGGCCTGTGCACCCTGGCCTCCCAAAGTGTTGGGAGTATAGGCATGAGCCACTGCACCCATCCAGTATCTTTAGAATCTTTACTGCTGTCACCGCCTATTCCTGATTCTGGTCATTTGTTTTTCTCTTTTTTCCTGCTCAGTCTGGCCAGAGGTTGATACATCTTATTGCTTCTCTCAGAGAACCGGCCTTCAGTTTTTTTTCTTTTTTCTCTTTTGAGACGGAGTCTCGTTCTGTCACCCAGGCTGGAGTGCAATGGTGCAATCTCCACTCACTGCAACCTCTGCCTCCCAGGTTCAAGCAACTCTCCTGCCTCAGCCTCCCGAGTAGCTGGGATTACAGGTGCCCACCACCACGCCCGGCCAATTTTTGTATTTTTAGTAGAGACGGGGTTTTTCACCATGTTGGCCAAGCTGGTCTCGAACTCCTGACATCAGGAGATCCACCCTCCTCGGCCTCCCAAAGTGCTGGGATTACAGGCATGAACCACCGCGCCCGGCCAGCCTTTGGTTTCATTTGAGCTTTTCTCTACGGTTTTTCTGTTTTTTATTGTATTTAGAAATACAATGGAAACTGACGCACAGTTCTGCTTACTTTACTCTTCCTTTTCTACTCTTCCTTTTCAACAGTGCAGAAGTTGAGATTAATAATTTGATACTTGTCTTCTTTTGTGATTGCTATACTTTTCTAAGTATTTCTTTAGCTATATTCCATGAATTTTGATGTTGTCGTTTTCATTTTTGCTCATTTCTAAATACTTTATAACTTCCCTTTTGATTTCTTTGACCCGTGAGACATTTAGAAATGTATTATTTAGTTGCCAAATGTTCGGAGATTTACAATATCTCAAATATCTTTACATTAGATTTGAAATTAAATTCAGTCGTGGTTGAGGACATATTTTTCTAAAGTTTAAATTTATTGAGACATATTTTATGGTCCAAATTATGGTTTATCTTGGTAGATGTTACCTATCCAGTTGAAAAGACTGTATTCTGATGTGGGTGGTTGGGGTGTTCTATAAACATCAACTAGAGCAAGTTGGTTGATGGCATTGTCCAGGTCTTCTGCATCCTTTCTGATTTTCTGTCTTTCTCCTCTCTCTCTTTCTTTTGAGACGGAGTCTCACTCTGTCACCCAGGCTGGAGTGCAATGGCACAATCTCTGCTCACTGTAACCTCTGCCTCCCGGGTTCAAGAGATTCTCTTGCCTCAGGCTCCCGAGTAGCTAGGATTACAGGCATGCGCCACCATGCCCAGCTAATTTTTTTTTTTTTTTTTTTTTTTTTTAGGTAGAGACGGGGTTTCTCCGTGTTGGTCAGGCTGATCTCGGACTCCTGACCTCAGGTGATCCACCTGCCTCAGCCTCCCAAAGTGCTGGGATTACAGGCGTGAGCCACCGTGCCCAGAATTTTTTTTTTTTTTGTGAGATGGAGTCTTCCTCTGTCGCCCAGGCTGGAGTGCAGTGGCACAATCTCAGCTCACTGCAACCTCCATTTCTCTGGTTCAAGCAATTCCCCTGCTTCAGCCTCCCGAGTCGCTGGATTACAGGTTCACGCCACCACGCCCGGCTAATTTTTTTGTATTTTTAGTAGAGATGGGGTTTCACTATGTTGGCCAGACTGGTCTCCAACTCCTGACCTTGTGATCTGCCCGCCTTGGCCTCCCAAAGTGCTGGGATTATAGGTGTGAGCCACTGCGCCCGGCCTGCTCCATGGTTTGTTTTGTTTTGTTTTGTTATTTTTTATTTATTATTTTTTTGAGACAGGGTTTCGCTCTGTTGCCCAGGCTGGAGTTCAGTGGCACAATATCAGTTCACTGCAACCTCTGCCTCCCAAGTTCAAGTGATTCTCCTGCCTCAGCCTGCCAAGTAGCTGGGATTACAGGCGCACACCACCATGCCCAGCCAATTTTTGTATTTTTAGTAAAGATGGGGTTTTGCCATGTTAGCCAGGCTGGTCTCGAACTCCTGACATCAAGTGATCCGCTCGCCTCGGCCTCCCAAAGTGCTGGGATCACAGGTGTGAGCCACTGCACCCGGCCCTGCTCCATGTATTTTTAAGCTTTCTAATTAGATGCATTTAATCAGGAAAATGTTCTGCCCCCTATTTCACTATGAAATGACCAGAATCGCTGGCAAAATTCTTGGCTCTGAAATCTACTTTAGTATTTGTTTTCTTCTTTTTCTTCAGACCCGCCTCCTGGAAATTGACTTTAGTGTTTATATGCCTATTCCAGCTGCCTTTCGACAGCGCTAGGGAGGTGCGCACTTTCCATCCTTTCTCTTTAAAATGAGTTTCTTACGGGCACTCCAAGGTCTGACTTACAGAGTCTCACTCTGTCGCCCAGGCTGGAGTGCAGAGCTGGGACCTCAGCTCACTGCAAGGTCCGCCTCCCAGGTTCGCGCCATTCTCCTGCCTCAGCCTCCCGAGTACCTGGGACTACAGGTGCCCGCCCCCACGCCTGGCTAATTTTTTGTATTTTTCAGTAGAGACGGGGTTTCACCGTGTTAGCCAGGATGGTCTTGATCTCCTGACCTTGTGATCCGCCCGCCTCGGCCTCCCAGAGTGCTGGGATTACAGGCGTGAGCCACCGCGCCCGGCCTCCAAGTTCTGACTTTTTATCCATTCTGGTCTCTGCTTTCTCATTGACGTGTTTAAACCTTTTACATCTCATGTGATTTTTTTTTATTGGATTTAAATCTACTATCTTGCTATTTATTCTCTATTTGTCCCGTGTGCTCTTTGTTCTATTTTTCTTTTTTCTGCCTCTTGCATTTTTAATTTTTGTATCATTTATTTATTTACTTTAGAGGTGAGGTCTGTCATTCAGGCTGGTGTGCAGTGGCACAATCATATCTCACTTTCTGCCCCTTTGAGAGTCTGATTCCATTTTCTCTCCTTTATTGATTTATTAGCCATCACCCTTTGTTGCTGTATTGCAGTGGTTGTGGTAAGGCTCGTAATAAATAGCTTTAACCCGTCCAGTCTCTTCATTCTTCTGTGGAGACCCCGACTTCTATCCAGTCTCACCTTCCTTTTGTCTGAAGGACTTCTGGAACATGTCTTGTACTGCAAGTCTGCTAGTGATGGATTATTTTAGCTTTTGTAAGTGCAAAAAAGTCTTTATTTTGCCTTTGTTTTTGAAAAATATCTTTGCTGGGCATAGAACTACAGTTATTCCTCAGTATCCCTGGGGGATTGGTTCCAGTACCTGCCATGGGTACCAAAATCCACGAATGTTCAAGTCCCTTATGCAAAATGTCATAGTGTTTCCATATAACCTATGCACATTCTTCCATACACTTTAAATCATCTGTAGCGGCGAGCGTGATGACTCACACCTGTAATCTCTGTAATTTGGTAGGCTGAGGTGGGAGGATCACTTGAGGCCAGGAGTTCAAGACCAGCCTGGGCAACATAGTAAGATACCATCTCTACAAAAAATAAAATAAAATAAAAATTAGCAGGGCATGGTGGTGTGTGCCTGTGGTCCCAGCTACTCGGCAGAGTCATGCAGGAGGATTGGTTGAGCTCAGGAGGTCGAGGCTGCAGTGAGCTATAACCGTATTATCCTACTCCAGCCTGGGAGACAGAGCGAGACCCTGTTTCTAAAATATATACATATCGAGATTACTTATAATACCTCATGCGATGTACATGCTAAATGAATACTTGTTATACCATATTGTTTAAGGAATAATGACAAGGAAGAGCAGTCTGTGCATTTCGGTGCAAGTAATTTTTTTCTGAGTATTTTTGATCCTTGGTTGAATCCACAGACGCAGAGCCTGTGAATACAGACGCCTGACACTATCAGTCAGCTTCTCCCTTGCCCTCAGCACTTCAAAGGTGTGATTCCACTCTGTTCTGACTTGCATTATTCCTGAAGAAATGTCTGCAATCACTGCAATCTTTTCATTTATTTTTTTAGAAGGAGTCTCTCGCTCTGTCACTAGGCTGGAGGGCAGTGGCGTGATCTTGGCTCACTGCAACCTCCACCTCCCAGGTTCAAGCGGTTCTCGTGCCTCAGCCTCCTGAGTTACCTGGGATTACAGGCCTGTGCCACCACACCCAGCTATTTTTTTTTATTTTTAGTAGAGATGGGATTTCACCATGTTTACCAGGATGGACTCGATCTCCTGACCTTGTGATCCGCCCGCCTCAGCCTCCCAAAGTGCTGGGATTACAGGCGTGAGCCACCGCGCCTGGCCTGTAATCATTCTTATCTTTGTTCCTCTGTACACAATGTCTTGTGTGTGTGTGTGTGTGTGTGTACAGCTGCTTTTAAGATTTTTCACTGATTTAAAGCAATTTGAGGCCAGGCACGGTGGCTTATGCCTGTAATCCCAGCATTCGGGAGACCAAGGTGGGCAGATCACCTGAAGTCAGGAGTTCAAGACCAGCCTGACCAACATGGCAAAATCCCGTCTCTACTAAAAATACAAAAAATTGGCCAGGCATGGTGGCACATGCCTATAATCCCAGCTATTCAGGAGGCTGAGGCAGGAGAATCACTTGAATCCAGGAGGCAGAGGTTGTGCTGAGTCAAGATCGTGCCATTGCACTCCAGCCTGGGAGACAGAGCAAGACTCCATCTCAAAAAATAAAAAAATAAATAAATAAAGCAATTTGCTTTCCATCTTGGTGTAGTTTCCTTCATGTTTCTTGAGTTTGAGGTATGTTAAACTTCTTGGGTCTGTAGGTTTGTAGTTTTAAAAAAACTTTTCAATCATTATTTTTTTTTGTTGTTTTGTTTTTGTTTTTTGAGACAGCGTCTTGCTCTGTCTCCCAGGCTGGAGTGCAGTGGTGCAATCTCTACTCACTGAAACCTCCACCTCCCGGGTTCCAGCGATTCTTCTGCCTCAGCTTCCTGAGTAGCTGGGATTACAGGCACATGCCACCACACCTGGCTAATTTTTTATATTTTTAGTAGACACGAGATTTCATCATGTTGGCCAAGCTGATCTCGAACTCCTGACCTCAAGGGATCTGCCCGCCTCGGCCTCCCAAAGTGCTGGGATTACAGGCGTGAGCCACCTCACCTGGCAATCATTACTTCTTAAAATGTCTTTCTCCCCATCCTTCCACCCCCAGGGGACTTCAAATCACACTGCTTGAAGCGGCCCCACAGCTCACTGATGCTCTGCTCACTCTCTTAGCCTTCCCTCTCTGTTTTACGTTAGACGACTTCTGTTGCCATGTCCTTGAGAGTTTTAAGTCCTTGCTTTCCTCCTTGGTAGTGTTTTCTGAAACCTGATGTTTTGCCCAAAACTGATATATTATTTTCATGTATACATGTGTGAGTTTAGATTTGCATGGCTGAGCTTTCATAGCCCATCGTTGAATCATTGTAATATATTGGTCTGTGTCTAAACTGTGATGAAATGAGCGAAAGATTCAGACCCGGCTTAGAAGACGATGTGCAAGTCACAGGCCTTTAAGTGTCCTAATGCCTAGACAGAGAACAGACAACCACTGAGTGAGATGGGAATGTGGGTGAGAGGTTAAGTACAGGAATTATTTCAAGATTGCAAAAATAAGTCTCTTAAAGACCACATATTGCATAGTTCCCTTAACAGGGAAGGCCCAGCCTAGGCAAACTCCTGGACACAGAAGATTAGTGGCTGCAGGCGGGGGAGGGGCAGTGTGCTGACTGCTACAGGAGACCGGTGGTGAATGCAGCGGTGGAGGCGGGCCCAGCGCTGGGAATGTACCACCACCGTCGCGCTGTGCATTTTTTTTTTTTTTTTGAGATGAAGTCTGGCTCTGTTGCCCAGGCTGGAGTGCAGTGGCAAGATCTCGACTCACTGCAACCTCCGCCTCCCGGGTTCAAGCGATTCTCCTGCCTCAGCCTCCCGAGTAGCTGGGATTACAGGCACGCACTACCACGTCCAGCTAATTTTTGTATTTTTAGTAGAGACGGGGTTTCACCATGTTGGCCAGGCTGGTCTCGATCTCCTGACCTCCTGATCCACCTGCCTCGGCCTCCCAAAGTACTGGGATTACAGGCATGAGCCACAGAACCCGGCCATGCGCTGCGCATTTTACGCGGATGAAGCGGATGGCCTGGGCACTGTGGACTGTGGGTCCAGGGAGCTGTTTTGACAACGTCTTCATTCCTGCCGCTGTAATGGGGCGCACGTGCACGCACGGACGTGGCTTCTCCCCAGGGTGTCACCGCGTAGGTATCACGCTGATTCCAGCGCAGCCGCCCTCGCCGGGCCTCAGCGGGGAGTGGCCGGGCAGCAGGGGCGTGGCTGGGAACCGGGCGTGGCCTGAGCTGGGGGCGTGGCCTAGCTGTGGGGGCGTGGCTGGGCCGTGGGGGCGGGCCCTCCGCGCAAGCATCCGCCGACGTGGGGCGGGGCCGGGCGTGCGGGCGGTTGGGCGGGGGCGGGGCCGGCGGCGGCGGGTAACGGAGGGGGCGGGGCTGGCGCAGGGGTGGGGTTGCCGTTGCGGGGCGGGGCGGCGCAGGCGCTGTGCGCGGCACTCAGCGGTTTTCCCTCCCCCAACGGCGCGCCGGCTGTGGCCGGCGCAGAGTAGTGCTCGGGCCGGGGGTCGCCTCCCGCCTCCCGCCTCCCGCCTCCCGCCGCCCGCCGCCCGCGTCGCCCTCGCCGCCGTTGGGCCGCGCCGCGCCGCCATGTCGGGCCCCGGACCGCGGGAGCCGCCGCCGGAGGCAGGCGCGGCAGGCGGCGAGGCGGCCGTCGAGGGCGCGGGCGGCGGGGACGCGGCGCTGGGCGAGCCGGGGCTGAGCTTCACGACCACCGACCTGAGCCTGGTGGAGATGACGGAGGTGGAGTACACGCAGCTGCAGCACATCCTCTGCTCGCACATGGAGGCGGCGGCTGACGGCGAGCTCGAGACGCGCCTCAACTCGGCGCTGCTGGCGGCGGCGGGCCCGGGCGCAGGCGCGGGCGGCTTCGCGGCGGGCGGTCAGGGGGGCGCGGCGCCCGTGTACCCCGTGCTGTGCCCGTCCGCGCTGGCGGCCGACGCGCCCTGCCTGGGCCACATCGACTTCCAGGAGCTGCGCATGATGCTGCTAAGCGAGGCGGGCGCGGCGGAGAAGACGTCGGGCGGCGGGGACGGAGCGAGGGCCCGGGCCGACGGCGCCGCCAAGGAGGGCGCGGGCGCGGCTGCGGCTGCGGCTGGACCCGACGGCGCGCCCGAGGCCCGGGCCAAGCCGGCCGTGCGCGTCCGCCTGGAGGACCGCTTCAACAGCATCCCCGCCGAGCCGCCGCCCGCGCCGCGCGGCCCCGAGCCCCCCGAGCCGGGCGGGGCGCTCAACAAGTGCGTGCCCGGCGGCCGGGGGCTGGCGGGGCCCGGGTGGAGGCCGAGGCCGGGGCCGGGGCCGGGGCGGAGGCAAAGGGGGCCCTCGCTGTGCACGCCCCCAGCCTGCCCTCCCGGCGGCACAGGGCGCGGACCTCACCGGGTCTGGGGCCGCCCCGAAAGGCTGTGTGCGCTGTGCGGGCCCCGGGGAGCAGGTACTTCCAGAAACTAAACACCCCCTCCCTCAGTGGCCCCGCCTGGAGTGGGGCCGAGCGCGCAGAATTCCTGGGAACCATGTGCTCCGGGTGGCACTCTTGGATGTCAGGGAAGCCTAGGAAGGCCCGACGGGGGTTTGCAGGCTTTGAGCTCTAAAATGAGGCTCCAGCCTGCAGCCGCCCCCTTGGCGACCCTCAGGGATGGCTGTGGAAGGGGCTGCGTCCGCAGTTTTCTGCTCATCCCAGCCTGTAGTTGCCCATCGTGGTCACACTGGAGGATGGCAAAAGTGAGATTGGTGTCAGGATGTGATGAGAGCAGGGAGGTGGCGCAGTTTTGCTTTTCCTCCATAGGAAGAGGAGGACTTCCACAGCAGCGATAGTTGCTAATTGTTGTGTAGAGATTTCCAGGATGAGAGTTGGGTTGCTGTCTGGAAAAACTAGCCAGAGCCATGGGAGTGGGATGGTGGATGCTTGTCTGCCACGTATTGCTGACACTTCTGGGCTTTCTTTTGTCTTGGCAGTTTGGTAACTCTCATTCGACATCCATCTGAACTAATGAATGTTCCTCTTCAGCAACAAAACAAATGTACAGCATTAGTGAAAAATAAAACTGCGGCTACAACTACTGCTTTGCAATTTACATACCCACTGTTTACTACAAATGCTTGCTCTACTAGTGGAAATTCTAATCTTTCACAGACACAGGTAGGGAACATGATTTGTGAAGCTTTGCTCTTTTGTATTAAATGGGTAAATTTTAACTTATTTTGGTTAGGTCCCAAGTACTTTTTTTTCCCTTCAGTGAGCTTAATAACCTTTTAAGCCGGGCGCCAAGGCCGACACCTGTAATCCCAGCACTTTGGGAGGCCGAGGTGGGTGGGTCATTTGAGTTCAGGAGTTCAAGACTAGCCTGGCCAACATGGTGAAACCCCGTACGAAAATTAACCAGGTGGTAGTGGCGGACACCTGTAATCCCAGCTGCTCAGGAGGCTGAGGCGGGAGAATCGCTTGAGCCTGGGAGGTGGAGGTTGTGGTGGGCTGACATCGCGACCCTGCACTCCAGTCTGGGCGACAGAGTGAGAGCCTGTCTCAAAAAAAAAAACAAAAAAACAAAAACAAAAAAATACCTGTGAAAGTTGAGTGTTTATGTGGTATGCGAATATTTTTAAATCTTCAGTGCAACTAAAGTTCTTCAAATTACGTGTTAGTAGTTTTGATGTTTGTTAAGTGCATTTCATTTGTGCAGTAAAGAGGAGAGTAAGCCACATATTGATAAAATTCCTGTTGCTTCATTTTTTTCCAGAGTTCTAGTAACTCATGTTCTGTACTTGAAGCTGCCAAGCACCAGGATATTGGATTGCCTAGAGCATTTTCTTTCTGTTATCAGCAAGAAATTGAATCCACTAAACAGACGTTAGGTAGTAGAAACAAAGTTTTGCCTGAGCAAGTTTGGATTAAAGTGGGAGGTAAGCGATGAAGCAGCAGGTAGTGGGAGCTTTCTTCTGACTGAGCCCTGTGGCTGATGGCATTTTGGCCTTGGGGGGCAGGGGAGACAGATGGTTTGTACACATGTGAAACAGTCTTGGAGGTGTCTGTGTATCTCAGGGGTCTGTCCACCCGCTTCCCTGTCTTTTCGCTTTAAACATTATTCTGATTCTCAAACATAATTAATCTTGGTGTGAGAACGTTGCGTTTGAGGGCTTTTTCTTAACAGTAAAGTGATAGACTTACATAAATTTTCAGTTATTTTCAAGTTACTGAAAGTACTTTATAGTTTTTTATTTTCCTTATGTTATACTCGATGAGTGAGGCAGTCATCTAACATCTGCCGAAAGCCTTTGGATAGGTGGCTGCTAATAGGAGGACCCTATTAGGGCTGCCAGGGAGAGGCTGTAAGGTGATTCGGAAAGTTTGGAAATAAAGTCACTGCTGAAGGCACTGCTGCGCTAACCTGCATAGTCCCTTCCTCCCTGGGAAACACCTGCGTAGCCCCTTCCTCCCTGGGAAACACCTGCGTAGCCCCTTCCTCCCTGGGAAACACCTGCGTAGCCCCTTCCTCCCTGGGAAACACCTGCGTAGCCCCTTCCTCCCTGGGAAACACCTGCGTAGCCCCTTCCTCCCTGGGAAACACCTGCGTAGCCCCTTCCTCCCTGGGAAACACCTGCATAGCCCCTTCCTCCCTGGGAAACACCTGCGTAGCCCCTTCCTCCCTGGGAAACTGATTTGTGAAGTGACCCGAAAAAAGAACACTCCTTACACTTAGCTTTCCAAGAGTTGGTGAAGACAAGATGGGGAGGAAGAGCTACCGCCTTCTCCCATGTCAGTCCTTCCTTTTCCTCCCTATAAAATTTTATGCCAAAGTATATGTTCACATTTGTAAGATACAAAGATGAGTATTAAAGCAGCCTCTGTGCCGACTACTCAGGTTAAGGAATAAAATATCACCAAAACGACCGAATTCCTCTCTCTCCTGCTGAAAGCTTCATCATCCTTCTGAAATGGGTGCTTTGTGTGGCATACGCGTGCACATGAGCACGCCTGCCAGTCACGTGCCTGTGGTCCTTTGATGGATACAGTTCCACTGACGCACACGTGGCATAGCCTGTCACGCAGCAGAAAAGCTCGGACGCTACTTCTTCCTGCTTTGGGGAGGAGAGCCACTTCTGCGGCGAGGGCACACACACACGCTGCTGCAGTTTTGTTCTGAGCATTGCAGTAAAAATACTGTCATATTAGAATAATTGTTTTTTTTTCTTGTTCTTAGAATAATTGTATATAAAGAAAATATTTTTGGGAGGAAATATGTCCAGGTGGTTTGTTGTTGTTGTTTTTTTTTTTCCATTCTGACCTTTAGAAAAAGTAAACAACTTCTTGTTTTCTGTATTCATAGATAACACCTGTTAATTAAAAAGAGGGGCTTTGGATGAGGTCATATTGGTTGCATAGCACTTGGAAAACGTATTTAGTGTGATGATTGATTCTTGTTCAGTTTCGTTGTATAAAATAGGCTTGGGCTTCATGGTCCCTGCTGATGCTGAAAAACTGCATTAGTACATCTCTTTGTGTTTCGGTTCTCTGTGCTGCTTACCCAATAATGTTTATATCTTGGATTGAAAAGGCCAAAACTGTATTCAGCATTAATTGAGATAAGAATACAAAATTAAAAACCACTTTTTTCTTCTTTCGCAAAGAAGCAGCGCTATGCAAACAAGCACTGAAGAGGAATCGGAGTAGAATGCGTCAGTTGGACACAAATGTAGAGCGAAGAGCCCTTGGAGAGATTCAGAATGTGGGCGAAGGTGCCACCGCCACACAAGGCGCTTGGCAGTCCTCGGAGTCCTCACAGGCAAACCTGGGGGAGCAGGCCCAGAGTGGGCCCCAGGGAGGAAGGTCTCAACGTAGGGAGAGGCATAACCGAATGGAAAGAGATAGAAGGTAATACGTGTGACTGCTTGTCAGGCTGACTCATATATGATTACCTTAGTCATACATGGTTATCACAGATGAGTGATCCTTAGCCGTTTCTGCGTTCAGAGGGAATAAAGCAGGTAGGAGCATCGTTAGCTTTCCCAGATGGATCAAGGATCCCCCAGACTATGCCCAGGCTCGCTGGCTCACTAGGAGGACTCCCGGGACTCCGCATGCAGTCACTCTCAGGCTGTGACTTACTATGGAGAAAGGATGCCAGGTGCGATCAGCAAAGGCGCGTGGGGAGAAGGCAGGAGCTGAGGTGCAAGCTTCTAAGAGCGCGCCCTGTGGAGTCAGGCAGGTTGCCCCTCATGCCCCCAGCCATGTGGTCTGAAAACGTGGGTGAGGTGTTGCCAACCAGGAAAGCTCGCTAGAGACCAGGGGCGTGTCACGTAGGCACTGCCCCCATGCATGCAACCACAGTCCAGTCTCCCAGAAGGAAAGCAGTTGTTCAGTGTCAGCCATATCGTTTGCACAGTGTAGGTTCTGGGGGCACTCTTAACTCCCTGAATCTAGGTTTGCAGACTCCACTAAGGGCCAGCCCTGACTGCAGGCCTTTCTGAGGAGAGTGGTCAGGCTGTTTTGGTAACTGCTGCTTACCAGCCAGCTTGAGTTCAGCAAGTTTTGCCTGGTTCTTTTTTTTTTTTTTTTTTTTTGAGACGGAGTCTTGCTCTGTCGCCCAGGCTGGAGTGCAGTGGCGCGATCTCTGCTCACTGGAAGCTCCGCCTCCCGGGTTCATGCCGTTCTCCTGCCTCAGCCTCCTGAGTAGCTGGGACTACAGGCGCCTGCCACCACACCTGGCTAATTTTTTTGTATTTTTTAGTAGAGACGGGGTTTCAGCATGTTAGCCAGGATGGTCTTGATCTCCTGACCTCGTGATCTGCCCGCCTCGGCCTCCCAAAGTGCTGGGATTACAGGTGTGAGCCACCGCTCCTGGCTATTGCCTGGTTCTTTTAAGATTGCTGGGAAGGAAGAGGTTAAAATTGTTATTTAAGTGGTTTTGTCTGTAGATTTTATTTGTGGTATCCTTCTTTGTAGAATTAAGAGTGGTTAATTTTTTTCTATTATAATTGGGTTTTCTTTTCTTTTTCTTTTTTTTTTTTTTTTTTGAGACGGAGTCTTGCTTTGTCACCCAGGCTGGAATAGTGCAGTGGCATGATCTCGGCTCACTGCAACCTCCGCCTCCCAGGTTCAAGCGAGTCTTCTGCCTCAGCCTCCCCAGTAGCTGGGATTACAGGTACCCGCCACTACGCCCAGCTAATTCTTGTACCTTTTAGTAGAGATGAGGTTTCACCATATTGGCCAGGTTGGTCTCGAACTCCTGACCTTGTGATCCGCCTGCCTCGGCCTCCTAAAGTGCTGGGATTACAGGCATGAGCCACCACACCCGGCCTATAATTGGGTTTTCATAGAATATTTCCCTAATCTATAATTAATTAACTACATAATGTATCGAGTACTGGTACTGTGTACCAGTTTCTGCTTTAAGTTCAGGAAATAAATAACAGTGAGTGAGACAAATACTCAGGTTTGAAGCTCCAAGGTTGAATGTTGAGCTAAGGCAATTTATTTATTTATTTATTTTTTTATTTGGTGAGATGGAGATTTACTCTTGTTGCCCAGGCTGGAGTGCAATGGCACGATCTCGGTTCAACGCAACCTTCGCCTCCCAGGTTCAAGCGATTCTCCTGCCTCAGCCTCCTGAGTAGCTGGGATTACAGGCATGCGTCACCACGCCCAGCTAATTTTGTATTTTTAGTACAGGAGGGGTTTCTCCATGTTGGTCAGGCTGGTCTCGAACTCCTCACCTCAGGTGATCCACGTGCCTCGGCCTCCCAAAGTACTGGGATTACAGGCTTGAGCCACTGCGCCTGGCATGGCAATTTCTTTTAAAGGGATCTATTCAAACTTGCTGGGGCAGGGTGCAGTGGCTCATGACTGTGGGCCGAGGTGGGAGGATTGCTTGAGCCCAGGAGTTTGAAACCAGCCTGGGCAACATAGCAAGTCCCCGTCTCTAAAGAAAAACCAACAATACTAGTAGTGGTGGTGTTGCACACCTGTCGCCCCAGCTACTTGGGAGGCTGAGGTGTGGGAGGATCACTTGAGCCTGGGAGGTCAGCGCTGTAGTCAGCTGTGATCATGCCACTGCACTCCAGCCTGGGCCACAAAGTGAGACCCATCCCCCAAAGAAAGAAAATTAAAAAGCTAGCTAATATCTTTTTATGATACTTTTATACACATGGACTAACTGAGGGCCTTCCTCACCCTACTGTGAATTATGAAGGGCATTTTGCTCCGACATTTATTTAATAGACATTTATTGAGTACCTGCTATGTGGAAAGCCTTACACCGTACGTTGACAGTTTGAAAGTTGGACTTCTAGCTCTACTGCGTAGACTTGTGGTTAGAGTTCAGTGAGCTGATGTGTAAAGAGTGTTTCGCTCAATGTCTAGAAGTCCAAAAGCACCTAGTAAATGCCAGCTGCTGTTTTACTGGCAAAGTCTCTAATTAAAGTTCTAAATAGACGGGTGTGAAGGTGAGTAACAAGGGCCATATTGAATAAGTTGCTCAGTATCTGCTTGTTTAGGACTTTGCATGTTACTGAATGTAATATGTAAAAGTTTAAAAAATAGTCTAATAACAAGACTCCAATTGTTTATCTCTACAAAGACCAAGTTTCAGAATATTAACAGAGTGTTGGGCCGTGATCCTTTCTGAATCAGGGCCCCTTGGAGAAAGCTGTGCACGAGTTCCTGGTAGGGTATTTAGCCCGTGAAGGGCAAGTAATATCAGTCTTGAATGACAGAGTTATCTGCCCAATTTGGACCCCTCAGTGGTCCAAATGGAAGAAGGTGTCAGACACAAAATGTTGCTTCCAGTTTCAGGGGCTTTGGAGCCATCCCTAATCTAGAGACTTGAACCTGGCCCGTGAGAAGTAAAGAGGGAAAGCTCCAGGGAGCTTGTGGGTCATGGGGCCGCCAAGGGCACCCGAGGATGCTCTGGCCTCTGGAAGGCAGTGGCTGCCTCTGTAGACAAGGCCGTGGCAAAGCCGTGGGGCTTCCTGTGGTGACAGGCGCTTCCGTGGCACTCAGTGGCCAGGATGCACGAGCTCTGGTTCCCTCAAGTACTACAGGAGACGCTTCCTTTTACATGTTTGTTTTGCTCCGGTCTCTCTCGGTGATGACTTTGGGTTTTGACTATAGGCGCAGAATCCGCATTTGCTGTGATGAGTTGAATCTCTTAGTGCCGTTCTGCAATGCCGAGACTGACAAGGCCACAACTCTGCAGTGGACCACAGCATTCCTGAAATACATCCAGGAAAGACATGGAGATTCTCTTAAAAAGGTTAGTGGTAGGCCAGGTAGATTTTCAGAATTTTACAAATTTTACTTAACAATGTCCCTCCTTTTTCCTAAGGATAACTCAAACTATCCTTTGTTTCCTGGAATCTAACATCAAATACTAAGTCCAGTATGAGCAAAGCTCTGCTCTTTAATGATATAACTTGTCATTTATTAAAGTAATAGTCACAGCCTACATGTGTTACACTCAGTGTGTAAATAACTGTGAAGAGGCAATTGTCAGATAGCAAATTGGGCACCTGCTGTGTACGGTATATTGCACTGGGGCTGACGGGTGTGTAGGACATGATATTTGCCCTCAGAAAAACTTGTGAAAGGGATAAAAGCAAGAATAGAAAAACAAAAACCGGCCAGCCACAGTGGTTCACGTCTGTAATCCCAGCACTTTGGGAGGCTGAAGTGGGAGGATCTCTTGAGCCCAGGAGTTTGAGACCAGCCTGGGCAACATGGCAAGACCCCATCTCTACTAAAAAATACAAAAATTAACCTGGTGTGGTGGCGTATGCCTGTAGTCCCAGCTGCTCGGGGCGGGGGCTGGGAGGGAGGATCAATTGAGCCAGGGAGGTCGAGGCTGCAGTGAGCTGAGATCATACCACTGCACTCCAGCCTGGGCAACAGGGCAAGACCCTGCCCCACCCCCACCCACCCCAAAAAAGAAAGAGAAACAAAAATGCAGATAAGTGTCAAATAGTCTGATCTGGACTTCAAATATGCCCAGCAGGTTAATAAGAAATATACTTCTGTGGACTGGGTGCATATACTTCTGTGGACTGGGTGCATATACTTCTGTGGACTGGGTGACTATACTTCTGTGGACTGGGTGACTATACTTTTGTGGACTGGGTGACTATACTGTGGACCGGGTGACTGTACTTCTGTGGACCGGGTGACTATGCTTCTGTGGACCGGTGACTGTGCTTCTGCGGACCGGGTGACTGTACTTCTGTGGACCGGGTGACTATGCTTCTGTGGACCGGGTGACTATACTTCTGCGGACTGGGTGAATGTACTTCAGCCGACCGGGTGACCATGCTTCTGCGGACTAGGTGACTATACTTCTGCGGACTGGGTGAATATACTTCTGCTGACTGGGTGAATGTACTTCTGCAGACTGGGTGACTATACTTCCATGGACTGGGTGAACATACTTTTGTGGACTGGTTGACTATACCTTTGTGGACTCGGTGAATATACTTCTGCGGACCGGGTGACCGTGCTTCTGTGGAATGGGTGAATATACTTCTGCGGACCAGGTGACTATGCTTCTGTCAACCAGGTGAATATACTTCTGTGGACCGGGTGACTGTACTTCTGTGGACCGGGTGAATATACTTCTGTGGACCGGGTGAATATACTTCTGTGGACTGGGTGACTAGGGAGGAGCCGGCGTGTTAGCGCCAGCATATGCAGTCCCTCAGGACAGCCAGCCTGCCGTGATCCTGTCTGTGTGGTCGTGGCAGTGGCCTGCAGCAAGCCATCGTGGTTGGCTGGAACTAGACGTGTGATTTGAATGCAGGAGTTCAGTCAGCCCCTCAGTGGCCTAAAAGGAAGAAGGTGTCAGTCACAGGGCTGGTTCTGGGCCCTGCCTTGGGGGGACCCCAGTTCCAGGGTTCTGGGCCCTGCCTTCAGGGGACCCGAGTTCCAGGGTCCTGGGCCCTGCCTTTGGGGGACCCGAGTTCCAGGTCCCGGCCTCAGCGTTGCAGTGGCCAGGGTCAGTGGCTCTTTGGCCCTCTAGGAGTGAGCAGACCTTAGTGAAATAGATCCACAGGGTCCTGACTTTGTACCTGGTCCAAGCTGTTGGGGAATTGCTGCTGTTGACCCAGGCAGGAGTCTGACTAGAGAACAAACTAAGGTTGCTGCAACAAACAAGGACCTCTTCCAAGAAGGGCTCCCAGGCCTGGCGCAGTGACTCATGCCTGTGATCCCAGCACTTGGGAGGCCGAGGCGGGTGGATCATTTGAGGCCAGGAGTTCGAGACCAGCTTGGCCAACATGATGAGACCCCCGTCTCTATTAAAAATACAAAAATTAGCCAGGCGTGGTGGCGCCTGTAGTCCCAGCTACTCAGGAGGTTGAAGCAGGAGAATTGTTGAACCC
Organism: Homo sapiens; assembly: GCF_000001405.40. Lineage (NCBI taxonomy): Eukaryota > Metazoa > Chordata > Mammalia > Primates > Hominidae > Homo > Homo sapiens. Next base: position 62,851,902 of record NC_000020.11, on the reverse strand, counting down.
GGGAGGCGGAGGTTGCAATGAGCCAAGATAGCACCACTGCACTGCAGCCTGGGTGACAGAGCGAGACTCCATCTCAAAAGAAGGGCTCCTGTGTCTACGTCATGGTGGGGCTAGAGAGAGGTCCCCGCAGCTGGGCTGTGTTGAGTGAGGGCTCGTCTCTTCAGCGCCAGGCAATAGTTTGTCTTGTCTCTGTCCCTTTTCTGTGTCCACATGACATTTACATCTTGCGAGTTGCATAATTTAAGTTGTTTATTTACATTATACATTTAATTGCATTCTATAGCGATGCTATGTTGAATGTATTCTGATCGGATCGTTTATGGTTATTTACAATGCAGTTACTCTTGAAGATTATTGTTAGAGGTAGACTGTTGATTTGTTTTGATAAAATAAAGCTTTTGTGTTTTAAAAAATGCTTTAATGTTTTGGCTTTGTGTATCTATTAGTAAATCATTATTGATCTGATTTACTCAAGACGAAGGCATTTATAATTTTTGAAATTAAAAAATGTTAATTGTATGTATAGTCAAAGATTAAGTAGACCAAATGTTTATGGATATGATACTTTACATACATTATGTTTGCTGAATATTTCTTAAATGTAATTACATTGAATCTGATTACTTCTGGGTCACATTATTAGACCCACCAAGAAACAGGCTGAGGTCAAGTCAGTTCACAATTTTTTCGGGGAATTAGAACATAAAAAGCCGAAACACATGGGTTCTTAATTGTTTCTTTAGTGACTGCCCCCTTTTACTTGGATGCATATTTTTGTCCTTGAAGACGTAATACATGAGAGTTTTAAGTGATTTCTCTACATTATTTTGGTACACATTTCACTCAGCAGGTCTTTTCCAGTGTGACCAGGCACTGCTGAAGGTGCTGGGGTACCCTGCGCAAGATAGAGGCATGTCTGGCATGGAGGGAGGCAGGGGACGAGTAAACGTGAAGACAGTGGGAGCAGGGCCTTGCGGGTGGAAGGTGCTGCTGCGAGCCAGCCGGACTCGGGGGCTGCTTTGGATTGGGTGATGTTGGGTGGTCGAGGGAGGCGCCCAACCAAGGCCCAATGATGACAGGGAGCTGGCAGCCAGGACCTGCCGGCTGCAGAGTCTGAGGAGTGCCTGCCTGCCAGCCAGTGTTGCTGGGCAGGGCACCGGGGCAGGCTGGGGCCTGGTGGACCGCTAGTCCTGAGGGTTGGGGGCCTCGGCAGTCTTTGGGCAGTGAGTGACATGACCCATATCACCCTGCTGCTGGGGGACACTGGATGCTAGGGAGTAGGAGCTGGGCTGGGGTGAGAGTGGAAACCAGGAGTCTGCAGTAGCTGGAAGATGTGGCTTGCCGGGCGATGGCTGCCAGGGGGCGGCGCTGGGGAGGAGGAAAGGCACAAGGCTTCTTGTGTTTGTGGCGGTACCAGTTGGGGGTTGTGATGGGAAAAAGGCGTCAGGGTTTGGCCTCGGTGGCTGGGTGGATGGGGCTGTTTACTGAGAGGGAAGACTCAGAGAAGCAGGATCTCGGCATTCTGGGGGCGTCAGGTGGGGACATCGGGAGGCAGGGGATAGATAAGTATGGGGTGAGGGCAGGGCGGCGTCAGCCATCAGTGATTCACTTCTGTTCGTTTTCTAGTGAACATAGGAATTACAGTGAACACCTGTACACCCATGCTTCAGTCTCAGCAATGAACATTTACCGTATTTACTTTGTACACACGCACAATTTCAAAGACAATTATAGACACGAACCTTCATCTCTAAATATTTCTACATAAATCTCCAAGACAGGCCTTCCACAGAATCCCAGTGCCATGATCATGCCTCCCCAAGATAATAAGTCTTTTTCATATCCTCTAATGCACAGACTATTCAGATTTGCCCAAAATGTTCTTTTATTGCCACTATACCTGCCTAATTTTTTTATTTTAATGTTTATTTTGTTTTGTTTTATTTTTTTGAGACAGGGTCTTGCTGTCTCCCAGGCTGGAGTGCAGTAACATGATTATGGCTCACTGCAGCCTCTGCCTCCTGGGCTCAAGCAATCCTCTTGCCTCAGCCTCCTAAGTAGCTAGGACTTCAGGTGTGTGCCATCATGACCAGCTAATTTTATTTTTGTAGGGATGGGGTTTTGCCATGTTTCACAGGCTGGTCTCATACTTCTGGGCTCAAGTGATCCTCCTGCCTCAGCCTTCCAAAGTGCTGGGATTACAAGCATGAGCCACCATGCCTGACTAGTTTTTTAATTTTTGTAGCAATAGGGTCTTGCTATGTTGCCCAGGCTGGCCTCCCAAAGTGCTGGGATTACAGGCATGAACCACCACACCCAGCCAAAATGTTCTAAAAATGACTTTCATAGCTGTTTTTTTCCACAGTCCAGCACCCAGCCATGGATTATGCACTGCATTTGATGACAGTTTTCAAGCTCTTTGAGCTACAAGAATCCCCCCCACAGTTATTAACTATGGCATTGAGGCTTTGAAGAGATCAGGCCGGTTGTCTAGAGAATGCCCCACATTCTGGGTTTAGATGGCTCTATTTACTGTTGGTAATTTTAAATTTTGGTGTAATTTCAAACTTACAGAAAAATTGCAAGAACAGTACAAAGAGCTCTTTGTAGGCCTGTCCGGGTTTGCTCCATTCTCCCTGCCGGTCCCAGTTTCTCTCCAGGTATCTTTGGGATCCATTTGATAGTAAGCTGCAGACACCATGCTTCTTTATACTTAAATACTTCCGTGTTTTTTTTTTGAGACGGCGTCTCGCTCTGTTGCCCAGGCTGAAGTGTAGTGGTGTCATCTTAGCTCACTGCAACCTCTGCCTCCCAGGTTCAGGCAATTCTGCCTCAGCCTCTTGAGTAGCTAGGACTACAGGCATGGCCCACCATGCCCGGCTAATTTTTGTATTTTTAGTAGAGACCAGGTTTCACCATGTTGGCCAGGCTGGTCTCAAACTCTTGACCTCAAGTGATCCTGCCTACCTCAGCCTCCCAAAGTGCTGGGATTACCATTGAGCCACCACACCCAGCTAATTTTTGTATTTAATAGAGACAGGGTTTCACCATGTTGGCCAGGCTGATTTTGAACTCCTGACCTTGTGATCCGCCTGTCTCAGCCTCCCAAAGTGCTGGGATTACAGGCCTGAGCCACCACACCCGGCCCAGTGTTTACTTTTTTTGAGACGGAGTCTCGCTCTTGTCACCCAGTCTGGAGTGCAATGGCGTGATCCCGGCTGACTGCAACCTCCGCCTCCTGGATTCAAGCGATTCTCCTGCCTCAGCCTCCCGAGTAGCTGGGATTACAAACGCATCCCACCACGCCCGGCTAATTTTTGTATTTTTAGTAGAGACAGTGTTTCGCCATGTTGGCCAGGCTGGTCTCGATCTTACCTCAGGTGATCCTCCCGCCTCGGCCTCTGAAAGTGCTGGCATTACAGGCTTGAGCCACTGTGCCCGGCCCCCGTGTTGACTTTTTAATATCCACAACGATGAAAATCAGGACATTTAACATTGGTGCAAGACTGTTATTCACATTTTGCCTGCTGTCTCAATAGTGCCCACTACAACTTTTTCCCCAGTCGGGATGGCGTCTGGGGCGCTGGTTGTGTTTAGTTGTGAGATGCCCCTGCACGCTGGGGGCCCTGAAGGTGCCAGCCACTCCTGGGGCCTCCCTTGTGGTGTCTGTCCCTCCCTTCTTCACACCAGCAGGTGGTTGAGTCCCGCTTCGCATCTCCCTGCCATCTGCATCAGGCCCCGGTGTCGCTGTCCCTCACGTGCTGTCTGTTGTCAGGCCCTGCTGCAGACTCGGACTGGCCTGTCCCTTCTCTCCTCCTTTCCTGCGGACACGCTGTGACTTCTCCCGTGATCCTTCTGTGAGAACTCCCTGGACCTCGTGTCCTGTACTGGCAACCGCCCATTTCTCTGCTCTCCTTGGCTGCCCGGCTGCCCGGCGCTTGTCTGTACCTCCTGAGCCACTTCATCCTCTCTTGGATCCATTCCCAGCAGCCTGTGATCATGGCCTCCCATGCCGTTTGGTCACGCCACCACGCCCAGCTAATTTTTGTATTTTTAGTAGAGATGGAGTTTTGCCATATTGGCCAGGCTGGTCTCGAACTCCTGACCTCAGGTGATCCGCCCGCCTCGGCCTCCCACAGTGCTGGGATTACCAACGTGAGCCACCGCGCCTGGCCTACATACGGATTTTCATTCTGTTTTTGAACATGGCCACTGGAGGGCCTCTCGGCTGCAGAGCAAGCGTTTGTAGCTTGTTCGTGGCAGAATGAGCCGAACGCTGTGTTGTGACCTGTTTTAAAAATAAAGCATCTTGAAAAAGAAAAGCCATTCTTTTTGTCCTAATGAGTTTATGCCTCCTTACCTCTGGCCACCTGAGCTCCTTGGTCTGCTGTACCCCTCTGGCCTGGGCCGTGCTGGAGTCTTTCTGGGGCTCAGTCATTCACTTTGTTGGTTTTTTATGTGGGGTCAGTGGTAGTGCTTTTTCCATCATAATTTGCTCTTATCTTTATTATCCCAAAACCTTATTTCTATTATTTCCTTCTTGAAGTTTTATTTTTTTCTGGTATCTTGGGTTGAAAGTTTATTTTGTCTATGTTGTTTTCTAATCAATGCATTATAGTAAATTTGTCCTGGTGTGCTTTTGAAACATTTCACAGGTTAGGACACAATGCTTTCATTGTTTCTCAGTTTTAAATAGCTTGTAATTTTTTTTTTTTTTTTTTGAGATGAAGTTTCACTCGTTGCCCAGGCTGCCGTGTAATGGCGCGATCTTGGCTCACTACAGCGTCTGCCTCCTGGGTTCAAGCAATTCTCCTGCCTCAGCCTCCTGAGTAGCTGGGATTACAGGCATGTGCCACCACCCCGGCAAATTTTGTATTTTTATTAGAGATGGGGTTTCTCCATGTTGGTGAGGCTGGTCGTGAACTCCCGACCTCAGGTGATCCACCCACCTCGGCCTCCCAAAGTGCTGCGATTACAGGTGTGAGCCACTGCACCCGGCCGCTTTCTTCCTCTTAATAACTTCCTGGTATATTTTCCTGACTCATAGTTAGAGCTATTTCTTTTTTCTTACTAAGAAAATTTTTTTTATTGTTGGTATTATTATTTTTCTTTTTCTTTCTCTCTTTTTTTTTTTTTCCCAGCGAGGGGCCCTCATTCTGTCACCCAGGCTGGAGTGCGGTGCAACCACAGCTTAGTGCAGCCTCGTCCTCTTGGGCTCAGGTGCTCCTCCTGCCTCAGCCTCCCGAGTAGCTAGGACCGTAGGCGCCCCTCACCACCGCACCCGTCTTGTTGTTATTCTTCTCATGTTCACAAATCTAACATGAGTATCTGCTTTGGGACGTTGTCATCTCAATGTTTTGATGTTATAAAAATTCCTTTAAAACTCAACGATTTCACATATGTTCTGTTGCAAATAGATGCATTTGGATTGAGGTGCAGATTGAGAGTGCGATGACATCAGTACCACGTCTTTGGCCTGGGCTCAGCTGAGGAGGACTAAGGGGATCTGCTCCTCTCTTTCACAGCTGCCCCAGCTCCCAGGAGACGGGTCGTGGGCGGGCCCTGCAAGGGTCCAGATGGAACCACAACTCAACCCTGCCTCTGCCCAACTGTTCATAGTGAAGGCAGACGCCGGGACTAGCCTCATCACTGTGTGAAAATAGTTCAGAAGATCTTGCGAGCGCCTAGTTATGTCTGAGGATGATTATTTTCTTCCTTCCTTCTTTTTTTTTAAATTATCGTCTTTTAAATTTAGATGGATAATTAAGAATGCTTCCAATTTAAGGTTCTAAGCACAAACTCCAGATACGTCATGTTATGGACTTGCTTCCTGAAGATGAAATCAGCAGTTGATGGAAAGAATCCACAACACGCCTACAGAACAGCAAATCACAAATGGCTGTGTCTCCACGAAGCCAGGAGCTTTGCATTTGAAGTTTCTATCTGGGCTCATTTCCAGCTGTTCAGGGTTCGGATTCCTGAAGGCTTCCTTAGCATTTAACTCATTCTTTGTTGACTGAAGGCACTGGCACTGTTTCTCCACACGCAAACTGATCTTTGTCATAAATCACTTTTATAATGAGAGAGCAGCCTGGACACATTGCCACACCTTCCCCATTCTCCAGCTCTTCCTTGGTGATGGAGAAGTTATCTCCGCATGGGCAGGGACAGAAATATGTCTCCGAGTCCTCGTCATATTGGAAGTCCTCGATTTCCACCTCGTCATGAAATACTGCCATGGTCAGCGGGGGTTGCTGAAGGGGTGACGCCCCAGCAGTCCGAGACCAGCTCCGAGGGTCTAACTTCTCCGGAGCCGGCCCAGGCTCTGACTTTCATTTAATTGTCCTGAAAGGTGAATTCTATCTTGCCAAATAGGCAAGTGTTTTTTATATGTAGGCTTTAGGTGTCAGAATATAGGAAATTATCAAAATGTGGGGTCATTTTAAATTGCATCCTAAAACCTTTTAAAATTTGGGAAGAAGCTGGGCGTCGTAGCTCACGCCTGTAATCCCAGCACTTTGGGAAGCTGAGGTGGGCAGATTACCTGAGGTCAGGAGTTCGAGACCAGCCTGGCCAATACGGTGTGACCCCCGTCTCTACTAAAAATACAAAAATTAGCCGGGCGTGGTGGTACATGCCTGTAATCCCAGCTACTCAGGAGGCTGAGGTGGGAGAATCAGTTGAACCCAGGAGGCAAAGGTTGCAGTGAGCTGAGATCGTGCCATTGCACCCCAGTCTGGGCGACAAGAGTGAAACTCCATATCCAAAAAAAAAAAAAATTGGGAAGAAAATGAGTATATTTATATGCAGGTGTAGATTCTGAGTGCACACAGTAGTTGGAAATGGCAGCTTGCTTGGTTGGAAAGTTGCTTAAAAGTGGATGGGTGGAATGTTCCAGTCACTCCAGGTGGTTCAGAAGTTAAATCCATGGCAGCATGGCGCTTGTGTCCTCCTGGACTTGAATTAAGTAGAAAGTTACTACAACTCAGCAACAAAAAGACTACACAGACTGGGAACCGTGGCTCCCGCCTGTAATCCCAGCACTCTGGGAGGCCGAGGTGGGTGGATCACCTGAGGTCAGGAGTTTGAGACCAGCCTGGCCAACATGGTGAAACCCTGTCTCTACTAAAAAAACAAAAATTAGCCGGGTGTGGTGGCAGGTGCCTGTAATCCCAGCTATTCAGGAGGCTGAGGCAGGAAAATTGCTTGAACCCCAGGAGGCAGAGGTTGCAGGGAGGTGGAGGTTGCAGTGAGCTGAGATCACGCTGTTGCACTCCAGCCTGGGTGACAGAGTGAGACTCGGTCTCAAAAAAAAAAAAACAAAAAACAAACAAAAAAAAACAGAAAAAAAATGTTGAAAGCCAGGCGTGATGGTGTGCACCTGTAGTCCCAGCTACTCGGGAGGCTGAGCCTGCAGTGAGCCGTGGATGTGCCACTGCATTCCAGCCTGAGAGAGCAAGACCCTGTCCAAAAAAAAGACAGCACAACTGAAAAATGGGCAAAGAACTTGAATAGACATTTCTCCAGAGAAGATACACAGATGGCCAATAAGCCCATGAAAGATGCGCCAAGCCGTTAGTCATTAGGGAAATACGAATCAAGACCCAATGAGATACTACTTTTACACATACTAGGATGGCTATTCAAAAACAAAAACAAAAGCAAAATAGCAAGTGTTGGCAAGGATGTGGAGACATCAGAATCCCTGTGCTTTGCCGCTGGGGGTGTGAAATGGTGCAGCCACTGTGGAAGACAGTATGACAGCTCCTCAGAAGGTTCAACATAGAATCACCAGAGAAGCATAAACCCCAAAGAGGTGAAACAGGGACCCAAATGGATGCTTTTCTATGAATATTCATGGCAGCACCTTTCACAGTGGCCAAAAGGTGGAAATGACTCAAGTGTGCTCCAGCAGAGGAATGAGTAAACAAATGTGTTACAAGCACACAACAGAATCTTACTCAGCCATGAAAAGGAATGAAATTCTGACACAGGCTACAGCATGGATGGCCCGAGGTCATTATGCTGAGTGAAATAAGCCAGTCACAACAGGGCACACCCTGCGGGATTCCGTAAACAAGGCACCTAGAGCCGTCAGATTCAGAGAGACAGAAAGTGGACTGGTACGTGCCAGGGGCTGGGGGCCGGAGCGGTGTGGAGTTAGTGTTTAATGGGTACGGAGTTTCTGTTTAGGGTGATGAAAAGGTGGTGGCGGCTGCACAGCACTGTGAGTGGACTTCACGCTGCTCCACTGTACACTTACACATGCTTAAAAGGCAAATTTTATGCTATATTTTAATACCACAATAAAAACTGTATAAACCTGGATTTAATCGTGTAGAATGCTATGTTTTAAAACCAACTTATGGAAATTTTCAAATCTGCACAGAAATAGAAAGTGAACTCCCAGGTCCCTCTAACTCAGTTTCAGGCATCAGCTTGTTTCACCTATCCCCTCGCCCTCCCACCCCCGCTGAATTATTTTAAAACAATTCCAGACATCATTTCATTCATAAATATATCTTCCGAAAGAAAAGGCCTGTTTAAAAACACAACCGCATTATCAGTCTCCTTCCTGAAAGCCTTCACTCCTTATTACCCACCTGAGTCTCCTTCCCGAATCTGAGCAGAATCTCCCGTGAGCCCACAGGTGTCTCTACGGTCAGCTCATTTGAATCAGGATCCAAACATCACATTTGGTTGATAGTTTTTAAATATATCTTAACCCGTAATAGTTCCCCCTTCCTTTCTTCCTCACCGTTCATTTGTTGAAAAGGGAATGATTTGTCCCGTAGACGTTTCCACATTCTGCCCGTGGTGGTTGGCGCCTGTCATCGGGCCGTCGCCTGTGCCCCTCTCTTCCTCTCAGTCTCCTTCGGGAGGTTGAGACTGACCCCACCATTATAATTGAGGCCTTTTGTAAAAGACAGGTGGTGTGACAGGAGCAAGCTCAGCCCACCCCCACCCTGCTGGCAGGGTCTCCCCAAGGACAGAGCCATCTCAGCGAGCAGCACCTCCACCTTGCTGGCCTTGGAACCCTGAGTGTGTGGCAGTGCAGAGGGCAAGGCAGTCGCCCTGGGGTGGGGGTAGATGCCCCTGACTTGTTAATTGTTGAAACTTTTTAAAAATTTATTTTTTTGAGACGGAGTTTCACTCTTGTTGCCCAGACTGGAGTGCAATGGCATGATCTCGGCTCACTGCAACCTCCACCTCCCAGGCTCAAGAGATTGTCCTGCCTCAGCCTCCCAAGTAGCTGGGGTCACAAGATGCTTGCCACCACGCCCAGCTAATTTTTGTATTTTTAGTAGAGATGGGGTTTCACCATGTTAATCAGGCTGGTCCTGAACTCCTGACGTCAGGTGATCCACCCACCTCGGCCTCCCAAAGTGCTGGGATTATAGGCGTGAGCCGCCACGCCCGGCCTGAAACGTTTTAATATATACACTCTACCTTCTCTCACACGCTGGGTTTACAGGTTTATTAGCTAGGGCCCATTAGCGGTTGAAACGTTCATGTCATGTATATTTTACCACAATAAAATCAATACAGTGTGGCCAGACATTCTGAGTATTGGAAAAACAAAAGTACATGTACAGTGTAACTGCTATTTGAAAAAAAAAAAGTTAAAATCTGTTTATTATATAAATCCCCTTGTGAGGTAAGACACAAGTTTGTGAATGACACCTTAAAACAGCGTATTCTAAAGTCATTTACTTAGCTCTTAATTTGAACCTTTTGCACTTTGGAAGACAGCAGTTTTCATGTCAGTTAATTCAGTATGTTAACCGTCACTTCTTCACTGCAGGAATTTGAGAGCGTATTTTGCGGTAAAACTGGCCGAAGGCTAAAGCTGACCAGACCGGACTCCTTGGTGACCTGTCCTGCACAGGGGAGTTTACAGAGCAGCCCCTCGATGGAGATCAAGTGATCGGACTGAACAGGAATCCTCGGGGGGTGAACAGCCATTCCTTCGTGACCTGTGCACGCCTTCTGCAACCCTGGAGCTCTGCTCGGCTAGTCTGACTCGAAAAGGGCGTGACTCAAGCTGACGGGACTCCAGTAGGGACTTTGAGAGCACATTTTGTAAAAATATTTATCTAGACGCAAATGCTTATCCATGAATGTCCTCTTAGACCATTTGGGGATGAAGCCATCTTAATAATTAGTAATAATTAATTAGTAATAATTAGTAAGCATTTTCTCAATGCTCTGATTCCATCATGTTTTCTTAACATGATAACTTAAAAAATTGACATCCTTTGTACTTTCTTTAATCTTAAAAAGTACACGGCTTTTTACTTATTTACCTTTTAAATATGCCCCTTTAGCAATTGGAACAAGTTAAATTGTTAACTAAAAACAGTTTGGAAATTTTATTTCATTCGTTATATCACACCCCCTTGTCATGACTCTGAGTCACGTGCTGCTGTATTGCAACGTGCAGGACCATTTTAAACCTGTGTGCTAAAAATTTTCCAGATACTTGCTTTAAAGCTACTTTTGTCCACAAATGAAATACTGTCACAGTAGACGCTTAAATGCCACGTTTTCATACCAAGAGTCATTCATTACTTCATGTGTCACAAACTGTGGTGTTTGGAATTGGGTTTTTCAATGAGTGGCTTTACTTATCAATCACAACAGGTAATAGCAATAGACGTTAGTGCAATACAAAGTCACCCTCAATAAATACTGTTAATTGGAGATGTGAGTTTGTACACAAAACATCAGACTAGACCTTTGTATGGGAGAGAATTTACTGTACATTAAATTCTTTATTTTTTGTTACTCTGTAGCCAGTCATTAATCTGAAGGTTTAATATATCATTTTATTGGGATGAGATCATAGTCTTTACACAAATGCTATGTAAACAAGTTACTGAATATTTTTCACCTCGTGGAGTTGTACACAACCTTTTATATATACACACCCTACCTTCTCTCAAATGCTGGGCTTACAGGTTTATTAGCTAGGGCCTTTTGAGGTATGCTGTCAGGCGACAGCCCGATGAGGGTGCTCGCTGGCAAGGCCCGCGCGTCCAGTCGGCGGCCGAGGGGCAGCCAGGGGCGCTCCCTCTCCTGGACGTCACCCGCCTGCCACACCCCCGCTCCTTCATGACCGTCCACTGTGCTTCGGGCGTCCTTGTCACTTGCTTCCTCACGTTGAATTTTATGAGCTTCGAGAGCCTGATTTCTCCCCGACCCCTCCTAACACGGCTCCTTGGCAGGCTGAGGTGTCGCAGATCCCCGGTGTCCCCTGGGCCCCAATGGCACCTGGAAGCCCAGGATCTCCGGGAGGCCCAGGCTCGCCGGGAGCACCGTCCTGGCCGTCCTTGCTGGTGCCGGGCACGCCTTGGGGTCCTTGGGACAGAGCAGAAAGGTGAGTTCAGCTGCAGCCCGGACTGAAAGCAGGGGGACTTGACATCCAGCTGTGGGCAAGCCCTGCTCTTCCATCTGCTCACTCTTCACTTGGGGAGAGGCCACAGCGGGTGGGGAGGCCGAGGGAACGGCACACAAAGGCTCTCCGCGGGGCTGGCGGTCGGGAGTGTCCGGGGAAGGCCAGGCGCGGCCAGCCCCAGGCAGGGGTGCAGAGCCGTCCTGAGGACACCCGCACTCTGACTTACGCGGGTTTGGTGGGGGCTGTGTGAGTAAGGAGTGGATTTGGAGTGAGCAGGGGGCCCGGAGTGGGGGGTTGTGGGGTGGCTTTGGTGAGTGATGACAGTGGAAACATGGGAGGCCTGGGTGTGAGGGAAGAGGGAGTCAGCCGCCTAAGTGGGGGGTGTCAGAGCCCTTCACTGAGATGAGGTGACAAAGTCCAGAATGGTGCGGGCATGGTGTGGGCATGGTGCGGGCATGGTGCGGCCGGGAGGCTGCTGTCCACCAGCAAGTGCAACACAGATGCTGTTCAGAGCCACAGGCGGAGAGACGTGGCTGGGGCCTGGGACCCCTGTGCGTTTGGACACCAGGTAGAGGCAGAGCTAGGTCAGCAAAGGAGAGTCCAGGAGCATGGGGCACCCAGAGAGCAGTGTGTGTGCGTGGAGGGGAGAAGGGGAGAGGGCTCCAGGGCACCCAGAGAGCAGCGTGCGTGCATGGAGGGGAGGACAGGGCTCCAGGGCACCCAGGGAGAGGTGGGGTGGGTGGAGGAGAGGAGAGGGCTCCAGGGCACCCAGGGAGAGGTGGGGTGGGTGGAGGAGAGGAGAGGGCTCCAGGGCACCCAGGGAGAGGTGGGGTGGGTGGAGGAGAGGAGAGGGCTCCAGGGCATCCAGAGAGCAGTGTGAGTGCGTGGAGGAGAGGAGAGGAGAAGGCTCCAGGGCACCCAGGCAGAGGTGGGAGCGGGTGCCTTCTCGAAGACTGTTCGGGATCCTTCTCATCTGGACACACACATCCTTGGAGTCTAAGGCCTCCTGGTTTTGAGAAGGCACCAGGCTAAGACAGGGGCGGGCAGGGGATGGCCTTTGCCAAGGATCCTGGCGCTGCCTCCCTCCGTGACAAAGCATTTATTTTTGACATTAGAAATGGAAATATTCAACGTATGCACAGGTCAATTAAGAGAAAATTCTGTTATACTTTAACTGAAATAGATACTGAGTAGCTTAAACAGAATCTAACCAAATTGACTTAGCTAAAATAGATCCAGGAGGATCTGCTTACTGATTAAACTTTTTTTTTTTTGAGATGGAGTCTCGCTCTGTCGCCAGGCTGGAAGGCAGTGGCGCCATCTTGGCTCACTGCAACCTGCAACCTCCGCCTCCCGGGTTCAAGCGATTCTCTTGTCTCAGCCTCCCAAGTATCTGGGATTACAGGCGCCCGCCACCACGCCCGGCTCATTTTTGTATTTTTAATACAGATGGGGTTTCACTGTGTTGGCCAGGCTGGTCTCAAACTGCTGACCTCAGGTTATCCGTCTGCCTCAGCCTCCCAAAGTGCTGGGATTACAGGTGTAAGCCACCGCGCCCAGCCCCGATTAAACTTTTATGTATTAAAGTGGTTATTGAGACAATTCCTAATCTTGTCTCTAAGACTGCTTTGCCAAGAGAAGAGGAAAAGAGACCCATTCATAACCCAAGCACGCCCCACATAAAGCTACAAGATGGCGGAAGAGATGTCACCCAGTGAAGCCTTGCTGGCCGTGGACTCGTACCTTGGGGCCCCTGGTCTCCTTCAGGCCCGTCCAGCCCTGCTCCTGCCGCGCCTTTGTCTCCTCTGTCACCCTGGTTTCCTGTCACGAGGTGTGGACACAGACATATGGTTAGAGTATCTGTTGCAGCCACACCACAGCGGTGTCTGATCAACCTTTGTAACAAACAGGGTGCCAGCTTTTCACTGAAGTGGAAACATTTAGAAAAGTACAGATGTCACACGCGTAGGGCTTGACGGGGTCCGACGAGAGGGACCCACCTGTACACAGTCTTAGACTGCAGGACGGCTGCAGGTGGACGACGCACCGCATAGGTGACAGTGGTCCCTTAAGATTATCATACCCAATTTTTACCATTCCTTTCCCGTGTTTGGATGTATTTAACACAGATACCCACCACCAGGTTAGAACCGCCCACAAGACCCAGCCCAGTAACAGGCTGTGCAGGTCTGCAGCCATAAACCCCAGGCTCTGGCACACGGCCCAGGGGTGCAGGAGGCCGGGCTTGCGTAAGTGAACTCAGATGTTCCACAGTGAAACCGCCCAGTGGCACAGCCGTCAGAACCTATGCCTGCTGCTGAGCCGTGCACGGCTGAACCACCTCCCTGACCTCTGGCAGCCAATTTAAATGGGATTTTAGTTTTGTTCAAAATATTTATGCCTATTAAGCAGTTGAGTATTTATTAATATTTTGTAATCATGTTTTAAATGATTTTCCACCCATGGTTCACCTAAGGGCATTTTCACATCCCTCTAATTGCGTCATTCAAATCTTACATCTGTGTTTTGCCTGGCTAATTTTGTATTTTTAGTAGAGGCGGGGTTTCACCATGTTGACCAGGCTGGTCTTGAACTCCTGACTTCCAGTAATCCACCTGCCTCGTCCTCCCAACGTGCTGGGATTACAGGCATGAGCCACCGCACCCGGCCATTCCTCACATTTTTTTTTTCTTTTATGGAGACGGAGTCTCGCTCTGTCGCCCAAGCTGGAGTGCAATGGTGCGATCTCAGCTCGCTGCAACCTCTGCCTTCAGGGTTCAAGAGATTCTCCTGCCTCAGCCTCCTGAGTAGCTGGGATTACAGGCGTGTGCCACCATGCCCAGCTAATTTTTGTATTTTTAGTAGAGACAGGGTTTCACCATGTTGGTCAGGCTGGTCTTGAACTCCCGACCTCGTGATCTGCCCACCTCAGCCCCCCAAAGTGTTGGGATTACAGGCGTGAGCCACCGCGCCCAGCCTTCGTCACATTTTAAATCAATCCCTCCCTGCCAAATATTGTTCTAATGGTATTTGAGAAAAACATCACATGTTAAAAATGTTCCAGTTCCCACAGGATTACCAAGGAGTTAACTGCGCTAGGCCCCAAAACATGAGAGGCCCCCACGTTCCAGGGGTTACCCCTGAGGGCGCATGGCAGGCACCAGAAGCAGCGCCTACTAACAAGTCAGTCTCAGGGATTTTTACAGCAGGGTGACCGTGTCATGGGGTCAAACACTCACCTCTGGGCCCGGGGTCTCCCAGCTCCCCAGTGGGACCGCGGTATCCAGGGGGTCCTCGAGCGCCAGGGTGACCAATGGAGCCTGGGGGTCCTGGGGGCCCAGGGGGGCCAGCTGGACCGGGCCGACCAATGGACCCGGGTGCCAAAGGCTTCCTTAGGTGCGCGGCTAACTGTGCAATTTGTTCTTTGGGAAAACAAGGGTGCAGGCGTTTACTCGAGAGAGGATCATCAGAAGTATTGTTACGTAAAGCATAAAATATCTACACGGTGCTGTCTTCCAGAAGCAAGTTTTCCTTCTGATTGATGGAAAATGGTTTAACTGCTTTGGGGTGATGAATGCTGGAGCTAGAAAGGACCCCCAACCCCTTGGAGCCTGAGAAGCCTGAGTGGGAAGGTGAAGGAAGTGCCCTTGGGGGTGTTTAGGGACCTGCCCTGCCAGCCACAGGGGCACACTCCGCTGTTCTTGTACCCATTGCATTCAGCAGGCTTTAGGGCGTCTGCTGCGTGCTGGGAATCTGGTTGAATCCGGGGCGGGAGCGTGGGCCATCCTCTAGCGCAGAGGACAGGCAGACGCCAAGGCGGACGTGGACCCCCAAGGGCTAACAGGCGGGGTGAGTGCTAGGGGCTCACTTTGGCTGGAAAGCAGTGGCACGAAGGCTTTCTGTGTAGCCCCAGGCACGGGACCCCCAGGCGGGGATGGGCCCCGCTGCAGCCGGTGCACGTGGCTGACTTACCGCTGATCATCCCCCCACACAGCTCCCTGATGCGCTGCTCGCTGGCCTCCTTCCCCTGGAATTCACCCCACACATTCGTCAGCATGGGGGCGGCAGCCTCGGTGAGGCATTCCCACCGTCACCCCGCAAAGTAACTTCCTTCCGGAAAAAACACGATCTCAACCCTGTGAAAGCTGGAAAAGCCGGAAAAGCGACGTACCGGAACTCCCGGCTTCCCCGTGATGCCAGGAACACCCGGGACGCCCTGCAGGCCCAGAGGACCGGGGGGCCCGGGGACACCCTGAACACCGCTGGTGCCGTTGGGACCCTGGGTGCCTTTGGGGCCCAGCTCCCCTCGACTGCCAGACTGCAGAGGAACAGAGGAAGGTGGGTCAGGGGCGAGCCCAGGAGCCCAGAGCCACCCCGACGTGCTCTTTCCCAGCCGGCACGGAGCCGTCTTGCCCAGCCTTGACCAGAGCAAGCTTTTTTACATCTCGGATCTGGGCAGTGCCCTGCAGGGCTGCCTGGTTGCCCAGAGGTGGGCAGGAAGCCAGCAGGCGCCCATGGATGGTGTCATCGGAACAGTCGCCGGGCACTCACCTCTCCTTTGGGTCCGACCAGGCCGCTGGGACCCTGTGAAGAGAAAAGTTGTGTGTTTGAACTAAGTGTATTGTTGGGTGGGTGGGAAGTAGCCAGTTGAGGATAAAATAAATCAAATCATCCACACACCTGCTATTAGACTACATCCAAATATTGACAGTGGTTCCTTCCGTTCTTCTATATACATTTTTTATATTTCTGTGATTGCACTGATTGATTGAAGCTTTTTAAAAACTTACTTTCCTGGGAAGAGTGACTTTGTTAGCTGCACGGTGCTGTCTCTTACACACGCTTACTTTGCTTCCATTCCTTTTTCTTACTAACACGCCTAATGCTGGGCTGAACCTCTCTGCCCTAAAACCCTGGAACCCCCTCCAGCTGGGTCCTCAGGAATGACTGGCCCCAGGTGCGTCAACACACAGTCAGCCGGGTTAATGTCTCCTCCAAAACACATGCTGCAATTGAACGGCCACTGCACTGCAATGCTATTAAGAGGTGATTAGGTTTGAGAGCTCGGCTCTCCGGAGTAAACTAACACCGTTGTCTCCGCAGTGGGTTCCTCATGAAAAGGATGGGTTGGGCCCCTTTCTCTCTCTGGCACCTCCTCTTGGCCCTTCTGCCTTCCACCATGGAATGACGCAGTGGGGAGGCCCTCGATGGATGCACCCCTCGGTCTTGGGCTTCCCAGCCTCCAGAACTAGGAGCCACATGGATCTCTTTCCCTTGTAAACTACCCAAGCTGCGGTGTTCTGTTACAGCTGCAGAATACAGACTGACACAGTCTAACCGCACAGCAGAGGGACCGACCGGGCCCAGACAGCATGCTCCGCGGAGGCCAGGAGGGTAGGGGGTCACCTCACACAGCCCGACCGTGCGAGTAGCTGAGAGCAAAGCCTTAGGTTTTCCGCCTGCAAGGGGCTCTGCCCCTCACCCCACCAGCAACAGTGGCCACGTAGGGCAGCTTCTGGGATTTCCAGGGTCCATTTGTCAGTGTTGTCTAAGAATTCACTAAATGGGCTGGGCGAGGTGGCTCACGCCTGTAATCCCAGCACTTTGGGAGGCCAAGGCGAGCGGATCACAAGGTCAGGAGTTTGAGACCAGCCCGGCCAACATGGTGAAACCCCATCTCTACTAAATACAAAAATTAGCCGGGTGTGATGGTGGGCACCTGTAGTCCCAGCTACTCGGGAGGCTGAGGCAGGAGAATCGCTTGAACGCAGGAGGCAGAGATTGCAGTGAGCTGAGATCACACCACCGCACTCCAGCCTGGGGACAGAGCAAGACTCCGTCTCAAAAAAAAATAAAAAAAGAATTCACTAAATGAAACACATACAACTGAGGTCTTTTGTCCCCAGGCATAAAAAGTTTACACTGGGCTGTGGGGGTCTGCCAGAGACTGGGGTCCCTGGGGCTAGGCTGTTTCTATTTCACCCAGACGCAAAGGAAAGACTTAATCATAGATGAAAACCCCCCTCGGGAAAGCCAGAAAGGCCGTCCTTCCCTCGGACTCACGACTGCTCCATTTGTTACCTCCAGAAGGAGAAATGTGCCTATCAAGGGACTCAAACAAGAACGTAATTTTATGCTTCACCTGAGTTTTAGGCCTGTGGAAGTGGAGTTTTCTTCAGTTAAAAACCAGCTGTGGGCCTGACACGGCGGCTCACGCCTGTAATCCCAGCACTTTGGGAGGCTGAGGCAGGTGGATCACCTGAGGTCAGGAGTTTGAGACCAGCCTGGCCGACATGGTGAAACCCCGTCTCTACTAAAAATACAACAATTAGGCCAGGGGCGGTGGCTCGTACCTGTAATCCCAGCACTTTGGGAGGCCGAGGCGGGCAGATTGCCTGAGGTCGGGAATTCGAGACCAGCCTGGCCAGCATGGTGAAACCTTGTCTCTACTAAAAATACAAACATTAGCTGGGCGTGGTGGCAGGCGCCTGTAATCCCAGCTATTCAGGAAGCTGAGGCAGGAGAATCGCTTGAACTGGGAAGGTTGCAGTGAGCCGAGATGGCGTCACTGCACTCCAGCCTGGGCGAAAGAGCGAGACTCCATCTCAAAAAAAAACAAACAAAACCCCCCAAAACACAAAAAATTAGTCGACTGTGGGAGGGCCTATAATCCTGGCTACTCAGGAGGCTGAGGCAGGAAAATCGCTTGAACCCAGGAGGCAGAGGCTGCAGTGAACCGAGATCGCGCCACTGTGCTCCAGCCTGGGCAACAGAGCAAAACTTCGTCTCAAAAAAAACCCCCGGCCGGGCGCGGTGGCTCATGCCTGTAATCCCAGCACTTTGAGAGACCAAGGCGGGATGATCACGAGGTCAGGAGATGGAGACCATCCTGGCTAACACGGTGAAACCCCGTCTCTACTAAAAATACAAAAAATTAGCTGGGCATGGTGGCGGGCGCCTGTAGTCCCAGGTACTTGGGAGGCTGAGGCAGGAGAATGGCGTGAACCCGGGAGGCGGAGCTTGCAGCGAGCCGAGATCGCGCCACTGCACTCCAGCCTGGGTGACAGAGTGAGACTCGTCTCAAAACAAAAAACAAGAAACCCCAAAAAACCAAAAACAAAAAAACAAAAATGCAGCTGTGACTGCTTCATGCAGGTGCCACTCCACGGGGCAGAGTGCGGGAGCCCACACGTCTGAGCACCGGGTCAGGTCAGACTCCAGAGCCGCTGAGTTTCCCTGCCAGGCCCTGCCCACTTGCTAAGGGATGGCCAGTGGCCAAGGCCTCTGCCCGACCCTGCTCCATCCCCACGCTGCCCAGCAGAGCTGCCGATCTTCCACCGGGAGCTGCAGATTTTGACCCTGTCCCCAGGACTGTTCCCCAGCCACAGTGGCGACCTCGCTCCCAGCTGTTGGTAACAGTGAGGTTACCTAATTACTCACCAGTTCTCCTTTATCCCCAGGAAGACCGTCGGAACCTGCAATACCCTGAAAACGATACACCCCAAAGTTAAAAGAGCTGTTCATGCATGAGTAGGGACTTCATGCCTTAAAGTCCCTGCTCTCAAGCCTCCGTAGGTGTAATGTTCATCTTAAGGTCGAGGCCAAAAGCCCAGGCCCCAGGGCTGCCTTTTAACCCGCTCCAAACACAGCCCTTGGGAGACCTGCAGGCAGGGGCGGGGCCAAAAAACGGAAGACATTTGTTTGCATAATGAGGCTTTTCTGCCAAGCAGAACCTGCGGTGGGGGTTCGATGGCTGCAGGCCCTCCAGCGGTATGGAAAGGCCTTGTGCCTAGAAGTGAGAGCAGGCACTGCAGGAGGGCGGGGCAGCCACGGCCATGGCCCCACCCACCCTGACACTTTTCCAAAAAGAAGAGTGCTTCGAACAGCAGAAATGCATTTCGAATCTGCCTGCAAAACACACACGCAGAGCCTAGCCCCTGCCCTCTGTCAGTTCTCCGGAAGGATGGCAGGACACACCTCTGTCCCTTTGAGAGTTCCCATTGGTGCCTCCTGGACTAGAAGCAGCTTCTGTTGCACCCAGAGCCATGCAGGGACACTCTGGCCAGCTGTTTGCACCCAGGAAGGCAGCGGCGGATGCCGGGGCGTGCCTGGGGGCTGGGTGCCCAGAGCTGCTTTCGCTGTGCTAAGCAGGAGGGGCAGGAGCCAGAAAGGGCGACTGACAGACACGGCAAGAGGAGAAAGGAGGCTCAGTGTCCCGAAAACACAGCCAGGGCCAGAGCCGGGACAGGAGGAGCCTGGGAGAAGCTGTGCAGCTTTGCCTTCATTCCTTTTGCCCCAGCCTGTGCCCAGCTCACCTGGTCTCCCTTAGGGCCTGCGGCACCTCCCGGACCCTGGATGTGGAGAGAAGGCTCTGGATTAGAGGAATGGCAGGAATCCCTAAAGTGAGCCTGCCCTGGGCCCAGGAATGGTAAACACCTCCCCACATCTCCATCTGTGCTGCACAAAGGGCTTCTGTGAACACCGGCTCCCAGACACAGGCCCAAAGGCCAAGCTCACGTTCACAGCCTCTGGGCCCGATGGCTCTGTCCAGCCTCCCCTTGTGGGTAGTGAAGTCCCGTTAGGTTTGCACTGTTTGTAACACCCGTGAATTCGTGCGGGTGTTTCTGCACAATTGCAGGATAATTCCGTCACAGTAGAGTCAAAGATGCAAAAGCTCATCTAATCACCTTCCCCCGGCATTGTGAAATGAGGACATGTCTGGGAGTTGCTATGAATCCCTTTAAAAAATGTCCATTTGCTCACATGGCCACATAAGTGAGAACTGGCCCAAAGGGCAGAAAAGCAGGAGACTTTCCCGTGAGTTTAAAGTGAAAGGGAAATTCAGCCACCAGGCCCCACCCACACCTGGGACAGGCGCAGTGCCCGCAGGGCGGGTGCCAGCCCTGCCATCTCTCGGAGGCCCTGAGGTTGCTGGCATGGCCCCCACCTCTGGAATGTCCTGCCTGGAGGCCAATAAACAGCCCGCTATCCCCCATGGGGTGGTGGTGTCCACAGCCCCGGCCATCACCCTGGAATGACCATCACCCTGGAATGACGGGGCATCTGCAGCCGTGTCCTGGAGGCTTCTCGGGATTGACATCTAAAAAGGGGTCTGTCTGCCCAGCAGAGGTGGCCACAGCAGGCACACGAGGTCCCCAAGGACCTGGTGGAGCATGGCTGGGGCCCAGACCAGACCCACAGGCTCCTTCCAGTGAGCTGGGGCCCTGGGTAGGCCGTGCCCCGCTTCTGCCCGGACCCCCAAGGAGCTAATGCTGCAGCTGCTGCAAGACCAGCAGGAAAAAGTCTTGACGAGGTAGAAGCTGTGACCGTTACAGTCACTTGGGACATGGTGTTCAAACCTATTTTATAGCAACGTGATCCTCTGTCAACCGCGCCTCCGCAGACACCCGCTAGGCGGGAGCAGGCGTGGCTCTTGAGCCTCAGCCTCCACGCCAATCTCGAGGAATGAACACTGACCGTGTGCAGGTCCCGCCAGGCGTCTACGCAGGGCAGGAGGCAGAGCGGCCCAGGCTCCCGCAGCCTCCCACCCACAAGGAACACCACGTGGAAGGTCAGAGGGGCCAAAGGCGCCACAGTCGGGGCCCTGATGCCACTGCCTCCGCCACGCAGGGAGACACTGCCCATGGCCAGATTTCCCACTGGGAGCTGCAAGGGCCTCTCCCTGTCTGCGTCCCAGGGGACTGTGGTGGGGGGTGGGGGATTGTGGTAGGGGGTGGGGGACTGTGGTGGGGGTTGGGGGACTGTGGTAGGGGGTGGGGACTGTGGTGGGGGTTGGGGGACTGTGGTAGGGGTTGGGGGACTGTGGTGGGGGTTGGGGGACTGTCATGGGGGTGGGGGACTGTGGTACATGGGTAGAGGGGGTGCAGGGGAGCTTCCTGCTGAGAGGGCCACTTACCCGGTCGCCCACGTCACCTCGGAGGCCCTGGGGGCCTGGAAGGCCGGGGTCTCCCATGCTGCCCTTCTGGCCCTGGGGAAGGAGGTCCTGGCTCGTCAGTGCCCATACCCTGTCGGGTCTGGCCCGTCTGGGTGTGCCGCCCCCCATGCCAGGCCCTTGCCCCAACCTCACCCACCTGGAAGCCTCGGACACCAGGGGCTCCGGGAGGGCCTTGTGGGCCGAGGGCCCCCTGGAAGACAAAGGTGAGGTGTGAGCGGATGTCTCAGGGTTCGAGGAGTCCCCAAGAGGCCCCAGGGAGCCTGGCTCAGCCTTCCCCCAGAGTGGGTGGACACAGGAGCCGGTTCTAAGCCACCTGGCTGGGTTGCTGGGGACAAAGGCAGGGCTACCTCCCAGGGCAGTTTAGGGGGTCTCAGAACTCAGGCATACCCTGGACCCAATTTGTCAGGCCAGACTCGGGGCCAGGCACCCATGCCCCTGGCTCCCCCCACCAGGGCCCTGTGGCTGGTGCTGTCATTATCTCAGTCTATGGGGGCACAAGGCTGGGCTCAGCATAGAAGGCTTGAAAACAGGGCAGCTCCGGCCTGGCCCCGACCGTCTCCCAGCGGGTGAGGGACAAGAAGATGGGGCCCCACACCTCCTGGCATCCTAGGCTTTTGTGGGCCTGGCCCATCAAGGCAACCAAATGCCACCCCGGCCTGCTCAGAAACTGGGGCCATGTGCCAATGGCTCAGTGCTAACCCCCGACCCCGGGCCATGTCCCTGCACTCACCGCTGAGCCCCGGTGGCCAGCCTCACCGCGCTCCCCAGGCATGCCAGCATCTCCCTACAGGGAAAGGAAGGAGGGTGTCAGGGCAGGGTCTGCACACAGGCTGGATGGGGAGGGGTCTGGGGCGCCGCAGATACTCACAGGGACGCCTGGCTCTCCAGAGGGGCCGGCCTCACCCAGCTCCCCAGCTCTGCCCTGTAGAGGAAGGAGAGCTGTGAGTGCCTGCCTACACCTGCACTGGGGCCAGGTCGCTGGCCCCCCAGCCCCTTGCCTCCCGGCCCCTCGCCTCCCCTCCCAGAGAGAAAGCGGCTGCAGCCACATACCCGTTCTCCCTTCTCGCCTTTGGACCCCGCTCGTCCAGGGAGGCCCTGCCAGGAGAGAGCTTGCGGTCAGGGCTGCCAGTTACATTGCACGCCGGCAGCAGCACCCAGGGGCGTGCACGCAGGCAGGGTGCAGGGGCCAGAGTGAGTGCACCCAAAGGCAGGGCCAACTTCTCCCAGCCTTGTGGACCTGAGGTGCGGCTTTGACAGCCTCCCTGGCCTTGGATGCAGGAGCCCCTACTCAGAGCCCATGGGGGTGATGACCGCACGGCATCCAGGGATGGCCATCAACATGTTCACACATGTCCCATGTACACACGAATAAGCACACACATGCAAACATACAGGCAACCGTCCACAGCACCCACTGGGCACCAGGGGTTGTGCCAGGCCCTGATGGACACAGGCCCCAGAACCCCTCACAGGGAGTCGGCCCTACAGTGACCAACCCACCCAGCCCAACATGGGCCACTGAGCAGGCAGAAGCTGTGGCGCCCCAGGCTGGCCCCACCCGCCGGGCACTCACCGGCAGCCCGTTGGGGCCCTTCTCTCCCGGAGCACCGTTGCGACCAGCCTCTCCCTGTGAGGACAGAGATTGGGGTGCGGAAGGGGAGGCTGAGGCCTCGGGAGGCCGAACTCCCCTCCAGCCCCCTCCCTCCCGTCACACCCTGAGCCCCATGCCAACCTTCTGGCCATCGAGTCCTGGCACGCCATTCTGGCCGTCCTTGCCCGGCATGCCCTGGGGACAAGGGATGAGTAAGGCCCGTCGGGCAGTGGCCCCCCTCCCTCCCTCTACAGTCCTGCCCTGGGGGCAGCCTCCTTCCCCATCAACCTAAAACTGTGTCTGCCCCCACACCCTGGCAGTTATCTGGTTTCATGACCAAGGTGGCCGTGTGGCAACCAGTGCTGCCTCGGTGACCGCACAGGTGAGGGGTGCGGGTGGGTGGCAGAGGCGGTGCTGATGCAGTGCTGACGCCCGAGGCCTCGTCCACCAGGCACATCATGGTGCCCTAAGGAAGTTTGGTTCTGGCCCATTTTACGGTGGGGAAACTGAGGCCTTAGGCCAGGCCTGCCTCGTCCACCCTGGACTGGTTTTGGAATCAGGACACAGCCAACTGCTGGGTGTCCCAAGACAGGGCACTACTCCGGGGCAGAGGCAACACGAGGGGCTAGAAGGGAGCTCAGGTCTGGGCTGAGGGTGGGCACCCAGCAGGAAGGAAGGTGCCCGCATGGGTGCCCGGGACCCTGGGAGTGCCCACCTCTGCCCAGTGGTGCTACCCACCCACCCTTACTTCCCGTGTCCTCTGTGCAGGTAAACCCAGCCTGAGGCCCCTACTCCTGCACACTCGTGAGGCTCTGGGCAAGAGAGAAATGTGTGGGGCTGCGGGGCTGTTCCACCGTTAACCCAGATTTCAAGATGGCCACAGCAGAGGGCACTGAGCTCCAGCCCTTCTGAATGCCATCTCCACCTGTACATACCCAGGACCCGGGGGAGGAGCATTCCATGAGCAGCCACGTGCACTCACCGGCTCTCCGCTTGGCCCGGCCACTCCGGGGGTTCCCTTGGGACCAGGTCTGCCCTAGAGGACACACAAGTGACAGAAGCAGTGGCAGTCTCTTCCCAGACGGCCTCACGCATTCTCCGGCCAGCTGCTCGGGGACACCAAGGAGCTATGGTGGGCAGCGGCAGGGGCCACCCCCGACCACCACCCTGGGGCCTGTGGGTGCGTGGAGAAAACTGTGTTTGGATCCACAGATGCTGCAGGACGGCACGGCGGCTCCCTGCACTCCGGCTGCCAGGGCTCAGTCGAGGGAGGTGTGGAGGCTGACCAGTCTGGGGACGGTCACTTCAGTTCCACTCCTGGAACGCTTGGCTGCCTCTGGACTTTCCTTATGTTCACTTGCTCAACCCGAGAGCCGTTTTCTCTGGGGGCAGGATCCAAGCCCTGGAGCCTGGTCCCTCCACCCGGCTCGTGGGCCGCTCTGCAGGGGGCCACAGAGCTCCCATGTGGCTCTGGGAGAACGGCTGGGGCCAGGGAGAGAGCTCGGGCCCTCCAGGGTCAGGCTCACCCCCACGCACCCCCAGGCCCACCCAGGCAGCCCCTTGCAGTCTCACTCCCAAGTGTGTCCCCCTCCCCAGCACGAGTCAGGAGGGAAATTGGGTTCTTCCACATAAGGACCCAGGGAACCAACTTCCCTCTCACTTACGAGGTCACCCTTGGGGCCGCGGAACCCTTCTGGGCCCCTCTCGCCTCGGTCACCCTGGAAAGGATGAGGTGGGGCAGGGACAGAGTTAACACCATGGAGTTGGTCGGAGAGTAGGACGGGGGCCCCTCCAGGCCCGGGCGGGGGACAGCCCTCCAGGAGTGGTCAGAGAGTGGGATGGGGGCCCCTCCAGGCCTGGGCCCTCCAGGAGTGGTCAGAGATGGCTGGAGGTGCCAGAGGGACGATGGTGACCCCTCATTCCACGTCCAGAACCAGAAAGGAGGCGAATGTCTCACAAAGAATGGATTCCATTGGTAAGCACCCCCGTACCCATGCCACAAGCCCTCCCAGGGTGTCCAGGGAACAGCTCAGCCACAGAAGAGGGGCCCCAGTGGGGCTGGGGGCGTCTGAGAGGAGCAGAGGGAAAGGGGAGAGAGGTCACGAGGCATGGCGCCCACCGTCCACTGACACACGTACCGCTTTCCCAGGCGCTCCTGGGATCCCAGGCGGCCCTCGGAACCCAATGGGACCCTGCAGAGGAGAGAGGGGAT
This sequence comes from Homo sapiens, assembly GCF_000001405.40. Classification (NCBI taxonomy): domain Eukaryota; kingdom Metazoa; phylum Chordata; class Mammalia; order Primates; family Hominidae; genus Homo; species Homo sapiens. The sequence goes on along the minus strand of NC_000020.11, from coordinate 62,826,746 downwards.
CCGGGGTCCTCTTGTCTGAGGCCTGGCTGGCATCCCCCCAGTGCTCCCTCAGGGGCGGCCCAGACACAAGCAGCCCTTCCTCTAGGGCTCCCCAGCAAGTTCCCCCAAGATGCCACCTAGTAGTCTCCAAATCCCTGCTTCCCCTCCTGCTCTGGCCTAAGCCACAACAGCCCTCACAGCAGCCTGGGACCGTGTGTGTGGGTGTCAGCGAGCAGAGTTCATCAGCCCTCGCCCGGGCACACGCGTGAATAGCCCTCACAGCAGCCTGGGACCGCGTGCGGGCATCAGTGAGCGCCGACTGTCAGCTCTCGCCCAGGCACATGCGAGAACAGGGGCCCAGAGCAAGGCCTGCGCCACAGTGGCGATGGCCAGAGCCAGGGTGCCGGCTGCTTCAGAGTGTCACTCACGGGGCCCATCTGAAGTCTGGAGGTGCAGACAACCAGGCCCCCAGCCACCTGGCCGGCCCCCACTAGGGGCTGCAGGACTTACCCGGTCCCCAGGGGGCCCGAGTGGCCCTGGCAGTCCTCGTAATCCCCGGGGGCCCTGCGAGAGAGAGGCACAGATGCAGAGGCTGGGGCTGCACCTCCACCCCGGGGAGCACCCAGGGCCAAGGCCCTCGGGGTACCCCTGGGAGCCCTGGTGTCTTCCATGAGCCCTCAGCCTCAGCTCAGGTCCCCCAGAGGGAGGGGGCACCAGCCTTGAGGTCAGCAGCCTTGGCAGAGGTGGGACCCCCAGCCAGGTCGCGCTCCTGTGCCTGGGTGTTGGCCAAACACCCCCCAGCCGGAGCTGGCCCCCTCGGGGGTAGATATGTGCAGGGCTTGATCACTCTGTGGGCTGAGTTCCCATCCCACCATCCTTACCCCTTCCTAGCCTCACCTGCAGCCCCACGCTGCCCGGGAGGCCGGCGGGCCCAGGGGGGCCAGGGTCACCCTGAAACAGAGGGGATAGGGTGGTCAGCGGCCCAGTCTGGCTCTCCTTGCACCTTTCGGTGCCTCCAGTCACCCTACTCAAGCCCAAGCAGCTGGGGGTGTTGCCCCCTTCACAGCTGGGCCTTGGAGGCTCTGTGAAGGGGACACTTGCCCACAGTTCCAGAGCAGTCCCGCGAGTCTCGGTGGCCTCGCCCTGCCGGGCCGGGGTCCGTGGTCACTGTTCCCACAAGGCCCTTCAGCCCTGTCCAGGCCCCTCCTCGTGGCCAAGCAGGGACCCCTCTGATGTGCACCTGGGGTCTCCTCATCTGATCACTCCAGCCACGCTAAAGGGCATCCCAGACCTGGTCCCCCGGCCTGCAGGTGACCATGGACAGACACCCTCCACGGACAGCGACCACAGGTGAGGGGAGGCTACAGGCTAAAGCCAGCCATCCTCACAGATGCCCCTCGCCCCGGCCACAGACACAAACCAGGGAGCTTCCACAGCGAGGCCAGGCAGGACGGGGTCTGTCCAGGGACCCTGCCTAAATCACCCAGCTCTGACCAGCCAGGCCCTGTCTGGAAGACAGGCACAGAAGGTGCCAGTGCAGGTGCACCCATGAAACGGTCCCTCCCCACCGCCGGAGCCCAGCCCCTCCCTCCCGCCGGAGCCCAGCCCCTCCCTCCCGCCGGAGCCCAGCCCCTCCCTCCCGCCGGAGCCCAGCCCCTCCCTCCCGCCGGAGCCCAGCCCCTCCCTCCCGCCGGAGCCCAGCCTCCAGTCCCCAGCTCCTCCCCAGCTGCTGTGCGGCAGCTTCACCTTCTCGCCGTCCTTGCCGACTTCCCCCTGCTCGCCTTTGTAGCCAGTGGGTCCCTGCAAGCAAATGTGGGGTCACTGCCCCACCCAGACCCCCCGACACCCCCTCCCTGGCAACACTGAAGTGAGGCCTGCAGGGTCAGTCAGCCCAGGGCCCGCCACACGGCAGCGCACAGGACCGCGGGTCTGGGCCCTCATGGGGAAACTGAGGCCTGAGAGGCGCTAGGACCCACATGAGGGCGCTCTGCGGTCAGGAGCGGGCCAGGGCTGGGCTGGGGTGGGAGCTTGAGGCTAGCTCTCCCCCGCAGTCTCTGACGCCTATGGCCAGTCCCAGCCTGGCCACATCAGCGTGTCACTGGGGTGCTGAAGGCGGGACAAGGAGGCTGGCCTAGCTTTCTTCCTGGGGCAACCCTGGAACCAGGGTCCAGCTTTCTGGACCCGCCACCTCCACAGCCCCATGGGAGCCCAGCTGCCTCCTGCCCAGCACAGGGTGGTGCTTGGGTCCCAGTCACCCGTGACTCACCTTGAACCCTGGCATTCCAGGGGGCCCTGGGGGACCTGGCGGGCAGATACTTGGGCACTGTCGGAAAACAGAGCAGTCAGACCCCTCCCAGCCAAACAGAGCAGGACGTCCGACGCAGGGGTCAGCGCCCGCGGGACCCCAGGAGGCCACTCTGCACGGTGACGGGACCCCGGGAGGCCACTCCTCATGGTGACAGGACCCCAGGAGGCCACTCCGCATCAGTGACGGGACCCCAGGAGGCCACTCCGCACAGATGATGGGACCCCAGGAGGCCACTCCACGTGGGTGACGGGGCCCCGGGAGGCCACTCCGCGCGGGTGTCGGGACACTCTGGGTGACAGGACCCCAGGAGGCCACTCCACACAGAGACGGGACCCCAGGAGGCCACTCCGCGTGGGTGACGGGGCCCCAGGAGGCCACTCCGCGCGGGTGTCGGGACACTCTGGGTGACAGGACCCCAGGAGGCCACTCCACACAGTGACGGGACCCCAGGAGGCCACTCCACACAGTGACGGGACCCCAGGAGGCCACTCCGTACAGGTGATGGCACTGGGACAGGACACAGACAGGGTCTCCTTCAGCACTGGCCAAGTGCAGCAGGGGCTGCATGGAGCAGCCGGCCCCACGGCAGACACTGGCTATCAAAGCAGCCATTCAGCACAGTCCCGGCCGGCACTGCAGGGGGCCTTGCAGCAGCCTCAGGTCGGGCCCATCCTCAGCACAGGAATGTGCTCGGCATGGGGCTTTTAGGAGGGGCACTGTGAGCCCAGGCAACAGGTCTGATGCTCAGGAAACCCAGGGCTGCTTCTAGATGATCCTACAGCTGCAATGGGCAGGCCAGGCCAAGGGTGCAGACCCGTATCTTCAGCCCCTGCCCCACTCAGCCCACGATCGGGGGCCCAACCACGCACCACATTCTGGAAGGTTCCCTAAAGCCTCCCTTCTGGGACACAGGCTGGCCAGGCACCTAGGCCCCGGGGTGGGGTGAGGAGAGAGGCTGGTAGACAGCGTCGGTGGTCAGGTCAGAGTGGGCCGAGCTTTTCCCTTCAAAACTATCAAACCTCTCTATGGAAACAAGGCGCTGACTGCCACCACGGACGGCCAAACAGAGAGGAGAGATGGATCCGTGGCCTCCGAAGCCCATTTTCTTTCCTCTTCATTTTTTTGAGACAGGCTTGAGCTTGGCTGCTCACGCTGGAGTGCAGTGGCTTGATCACAGCACCCTGCAACCACTGCCTCCTGGGCTCAAGTGATCCTCCCACCACAGCCATCCAAGTAGCTAGGACAACAGGCACGCCACCACGTCTGGCTACTTTAACAATTTTTTGTAGAGACAAAGATCTCACTATGTTGCCCAGGCTGGTCTCAAACTCCTGAGCTTAAGCGATCCTCCTGTCTGGGCCTCCCAAAGTGCTGGGATTACAGGCCTGAGCCACTGCGCCTGACCTGAGCCTGTTTTCTTTTCAGGCAAATGACAAGGCTCAAAGATCAAGATAAAGGTGGGTCCCAGACTCCAGTTCTGTCGCCATCTGTGGCCAAGGGCGCCCTCTGCGGATGACGCAGGGGAGCTGGATGGCTCTGTGACATGATTGTGATTCATTACATTTGTACAGCTCCATGCGCCTGGTGGCTTCATGAGGGACAGTGCAGGTCTAGACGGTGGTGAGGAGGGTGGGAAGGGGGAGGGGGAGGTCCCAGCCAGCCTCTCTGCCAGGTTGTGCCCGAGCTGTCTGCTCTGAGCTCCTGTCCCCAGGGAGGGCTCGGGCCCTGCCTTCTTGCCAGTATGGACAAGCCCCTCTCCAGGCCAGAACCCCTCCCCCCAAGGTAGGCACCCCCCAGCACCCTTAACAAATGGCTTCAAGTGCCTACCTGAAGGTCAGTAGCGCCTTCAGGGAGGACTCCTGGGTGTCCCTAAGACAAAAAGAGACAGCTGACATTCTCCCGCCCTCCCCAGCCACCTGCAGCCACCCAACCCACCCACCCACTCTCTGACGGACCACAACCTTCCCCATCCACCAGGGGACTTGGAGACCCTTCATCCTGTCCCCCAAGTGGCCAGTGCTGGGAGCTGCTGGCCCACCCACAGGGCATGTGACAACGACAGAATCCACCTGTCCTTGGGGCAGGATGGCCATGGGGACCTGAGTCCTGACCATCCCCAAGTTGGCTGGCCTAGCCACAGCCACTGCCCCCACCATTGACTGTTCCTGGGAGTGGCCAAGTTAGGGTTAGGAGATCTCGGAGGGGCATGGAGCCTGGGGAGGGGGAATGGGGAGGGTCCAACCCAGTGTCCTAGTCCATGCCCAGCACTTCTTAGAGCCTCTGCCCAGTACTTACAGGGGGTCCGGGAGGTCCTGGGGGACCAGGGAGGCCGGGGAGTCCAGAAGGTCCCTGGGGAGGGGGTATGACTTAGACAGAGTGGGACCAGCCCCCACCTGAGTGAGGTGCCCGGCTTCTCCCAGGGAGGTGGACACGCCCAGCTCCCACCAGCCCCCACTCCCACGGACTGTGCTGGTGTCTGCGTCCTGAGGTCGGGTCTGGATCATTGGCCAGGGCTTCTACCAACACCCACCAAGGTGGGGTTGGGGGAGAAAGGGAAAAGGGAGAGGGGAAGGGAGCCCCTGGCTGTTGAGTCTGGGGGTGGAGGCCACAGGTGAGCACACTCTGAGGGGCTCTGGGACAGCCACTCACCGGGGGGCCGCGGAGGCCGATCCCACCTGGGGGGCCGCTCACTCCTGCCTCTCCCTGGAGGGAAGTAAAGAGAGGTGGGGAGGTCTGCACCCGGAAGCCCCGAGGATCCCCACCCAGGGTTGGTGTGCCGCCTCCGAAGGGAGAGGGGCTCCAAGTATGGGGTGGTCAGATGGCTGCCCCTGAGAAGCCCCACCCCCAGGCACGGTTTGGGACATCCCAGCCTGGCAGGCTCTCGGGACTTGCGTGCTTGCTCAGGGCCCCAAGGGTTGTCAGTACTCACGGGGGGTCCAGGGAGGCCTTTGCCCTGCAAAGCCAAACATGGGGTCAGAGCCTGCCAGGCACAAGAAGGGCTGCGCCTCACCCCTCCCTAAGATGGCTCAGGTGGGTCCTGGGGAAAGGGCGGTTCCAGGGATGGGTGTCTGGTCCCAGCCCAGAGAGGGCACCAGGACCCCATCCAGGCACCAGCCTCCGGAGAGGCTGCAGATGAGAGGGCCAGGGATGGTCCCTGGGATTCCTGGAGGCCACCCCATTTAGACCAGACTCTCCAGCTCCCCAAACTCCCATGGAGAGGAGAGGACCACACTCCATACTCACCCCCAGCCCGGGCGGCCCCGGGGGTCCCAGACTTCCCTGTGGGAGGAAAGCAGGCGTCTAGGTTGGGCTGGGCCTCTATTTGCAAACCCAATCCCCTCCCTCTGAAGTGTGACGTCACAACTCCAACTCCCAGGACAACAGGGTCCAAGTCCCCACTTCACAGAGGGGCAGGGCCTCTGAGCCCTCTTGACCTGGAGGGTCTTTGCCGTCCTGGGGAGCTGCTGGAGACAGATGGCACCAGAGTCCCAGCGCTCGCTGCAAGAAGGTGCAACCTGAGGCAGGGCTGAGAGGCACCGAAGTGACCCGGGGTGCCTGTCTCCACCAGGAAGCCCTCCCGATAACCCACCCACGGAGCCTGCTGAGTCCTCAGCCCCCGCCCACGTCAGCGAGCCCCAGAGCCTTGGGCAGCCAGGCCCTGTCTGCCCTCCACACCCTCTGGGCCCTGTCTGGCCCCTGCTGCCTGAAATGCCTCATTCCCTGGACGGCACGCACGGGCCCTGTGCTGAGGCTGGAGGCCCCTCCTGAAAGCCTGGGGACCAGCCCACCCCACACCCCTGGGCACCACGGACTCGGCTGCCAGCAGCTACTGTTTCCCTCCTGTTTTCAGCTCAGAATCCGCCTCATGCCTGACGAGCTCCCAAGGGTCCCAAGGGCAGGGCTGTGTCCTCGTGTCCCCAGCCCAGCCTTCCTGCCCTCTGTGATGCTTTGCGCCTGGGGCCAGTGGCACCCGGTTGGCTGACAGCCACGTCTTATGAAGCCAAAGAGAGAATGCTGGCTTCGGGTTTGTACTCAGAAGCCACAAGGGGAGAAAGGCACCCTTGGGTGGTGGTGCCGCTCCGTCAGGGTAAAGGATTCAGTGTCCAACAGGCAGGCACAGGGGACTCTGCAGGCTGCGTGCCCGGGGGTCCCTGGTGGTGGTCTGCCCAGGGCCCTGGGGGCTTCAGGGACATTCTGAGGAGGCACCTGGGGTGGGTTCCCCCAAACCATCCCCCTTCTCCCTGCCATGGTCTGGATACCAGGACAACTCTGACCATACGTGGAGGTGAGGCAGGGAGGCAGGCACAGGGGACTGGCCACTTGGCACCCTGCCCTTCTGCCCCTCCACCCCAGGCACGGGCAGGGCAGCTGTCCTTGGAACTACCAGCTCCTTGGCCTTGTGGACACAGAGCAGCCAGAGGTGGCCAGGGGACCTCACCTCTGAACCCAAGCCACTGGGTTCGGCGCAGGCACTTACCCGTTCCCCAGGGGCACCCTTGGGTCCAGGGGGTCCATCTCGTCCAGTCAGACCCTGGGGAGAGGCAGAGGGCGAGCTCGAGGGGCCACATGGGAAGCACATGCCACCCCCCAGGCAAAAATGGAAGCACGGACCCTTCCCTTGGTGAGTCCAGAGAGGCATAGAAGACCCTTAGGGTGGCAGCCTCCTCTCTTGGCCCTGTCCACTGTCTGCCTGCTGTAGCCAGAGGCTCTGGGAGGAGGGAGGGGGCAGCCAGCGGGAAGCCAGCAACGGAGGCACCTGCTGTAGTCAGGCCTCGGGGACCAACCCAGCAGGACTGGACAGCTCACTTCTCAGGCCCGGCTTCCTCCGAACAAAACTCCGTGGCCCTGGGGCCAGGCCTGGAGCCCAAGATGACTAAGTGAGGCCAGCAGTGGGCAGAAGGTCCTGACAATGGGCACTCATTCCTGGACAAGCAAGGAGGGCTGGCGGGACTTCCGACTCCACTGGGCTGGCTCTGTCCCCTGCCAGATGCTGGTGGCGTCTGGGATGAAGGCCAAAGGACCCCTGTTGGGGACTTCTGGAGACTTCTCTCAGGACTGGGCTTCCCGCCTGAGCAGGCCCAGCTGGACAACAGCAATTAGGGCCGGACTCCTCCAGGGACCCGGAGCGGGGAGTGGGGCATGGCGGGGAGGGGCAGGCGCACTCACATCCACACCCGGCAGTCCCGGCAGCCCAGCCTCTCCTGGTTTCCCCGGCTTTCCTGGGGCCCCCTTTGGTCCCTGTGCAGGAGGAAAGGGCAGAGATGTGAAGGCGGGGTCTGGCCTGGAGCCCAGGCCTTCAGCAATGAAGCAAAATGCTTTCCACTTCCCCCCAGCCCAACCATACGGGATGGGCCCCTCTCCTGGGTCCCCCCTACTGTCTGGCAGACCCGGCTCAGCTGGGGCACGTGTGTCCTGCTTGCCCACACCTTGCTGGCCCAGGAAGGCTGCCCGCCCCATCCCTCAGTGGCATCTGTAAGACCTTCGTCTGGTCACCTCGGCCTCCCTGGCTAAGGGCCAGCAGGCATCTCTGTCGGACCCCCAGTGGGCCCAGACAGGGCTCTGAGCCCCAGGACCCTCAACCCCTGGAACTGAAGAAGGTGGGAGGGCTCCAGGTGACCTCAGGCCTGGGGGACCTGAAGGGCTGTACCAGCCCCGGTCCCGGCCTGCCTGGCGCTGGTCCAAAGAAAGCTTCAAAGCCAGGCCCTGCCCTGAACATGCAGAGGCTGAGCCCACACACTCCCCTCCCGCCCCGCTGGCTCCAGGCCTGCTCCAAGCCCTCTGAGGCCTCCCCTCAGGCAACCCGGGCTCCGGCAGGATGAGACAGGATATCAATGACCCCTCTGTTCTGAGTTCCCCCTTTCTCTCCAGACTGGAAAAAGGCTGTCTCCCCAGCCAGGGACACTCACCGGGGGCCCAGGCAGACCTGGAGGACCAGCTTCTCCCTGTGAGGAAAGACACCCACATGTAACCCTGAAAATCAGGGGTCCCTCAAGAACCCCGCCTCGGGGAAAAGAGCAGCGCTGGCCTCCAAATCAGCCCCAGAGGCCCAGCCCCAGCAGACAAAAGGGGCCCCTGAGCCCCCGATCCCTACCTAGAGGGCACCCTCCCATGTGTGGGGCAGCACTGGGCAAAGGGGTGAACTGGACAGACTGGAAGGAGGCTGTGGCCATTGAGGCCGAGCTGGGCAGGGGGGCAGAGGGTGGGTCATGGGGGGCTCTTGGTGCAGCCCTCCACAGCCCTCCACGGGGACCACACAGCGTGGACAGGCCCTGAGGGGACTCCTGCCCTGGTGGTGGTCACATGGGGAGGTTCACCCCAGACGGTCCCTCCGAGGGAGGCACAATTGTAGAATTTCAGCCGCCTCCTCCTGCTGCTTGGCCCACACCAGTCCTGAGATACCCATAGGGGACATCATCTCAGGACTGAGTCGGCTCCTAAGCCCCCTCCATGGCTGGCTCCAGAGCCCAGCAGCCTCCAACAAGACCCCCGGCCCCCAACCACCCAAAGGACGTGCCTCTCCCCACTTCAGCCAGAGGCCAGAACCCCGAACACAGGGGCACGGGCCCCTCAGGGGACCCAGAGACACACACCTCAGTGCCGGCATTCTGGGTGGAGGACCACCACATGACACCCTCCACCCCTACCCACCAGCAGTCCCCGCAGGGCCACCCCCATCCCGTGAAGGCACTGGCTGTCCCCTGATGTCACCCCGGCTCTGGGAGGTGGGGCCTGGTTTTCTCTCCATCAGGCCGGGGAGCTCAGGGAGGTGGGGGCCAGAGCCAGAACCCCAGAGCGCTCGGGGCCCTCCCCACCCCCAAACTCACGTCAATGCCGTCCTGGCCGGGCTTCCCGGGCGGCCCTGGGGGGCCGGGGGGGCCGGGGAGTCCCACTCTCTGAAACGGAGAAAACTCATTAAGGAGCGCAGGTGCCCCCGTGGGCCTGACCCGGCGTCCCCTCCTCCCGGGTCCCGAGCGGCTCCGGGGCCTGCGACGACCGCCGCTCTCCTCGGTGAGACCCAAAGCCTCGGGCGGAGCCCGGCGCCCCCGCGCAGTGTGTCCCCCGCCTCCCTCCGGCGGCGGGAACAAAGGCCCCCTTGTGCTCCCAGAGGAGGCGGCGGCGCCGGCCGACCCGGGCCAGCGAGGACCCATCGAGGACGCGGCCGGACGGGGCTCATCCCGAGGCGCTGGCGACTCCGCGCCCCGACGGCGACACGGGCTGGGGGCGTCGAGGCTGCGCCGGGCACCCCGGAGTGGCGGGTTCGGGGCTGGGGCGGTCGCGGCTCCACGTCCAGCCTCAGAGCCCGGAGCTCGCGCTCACCTGCGCCCCGGCGGCCGCCAGAAGCTCCCCGAGCAGGAGCAGGAGCAGGAGCGGGGCGCACGCGCGCGGCCCGGCCATGGCTGAGCGGAGTCTGAGCTGCGGCGTCGGGGCGGGCGGCGCGCGGGCGGGCGGGGCGGGAGGTGGGCGGCCCCTTCCCCTTCCCCTTCCCGCCCCCGCCTGCACAAGCCCCCCATTCAGCCGGGCCCACCTGGGCGGGGGGGCTTCCACCCGCCCCGCGCCGCCGCCCAGCCCGCCTGGGCGAAAACAAAAAAGACGCCGGGCGGGCGGCGCGTTCTCTCCGGCCGCGAGTTAAAATTATCCTGGGACTGGCGCGTTGCACACACGCAGCTTTGAGCAAGAGAGAAAGACGCTCTTTTCTCTCCTTGCTCCTCAACCCGAGTGTGGGGGCGGAAGCGCGCGGCGCTGAAGGGCCGCCTTCAGGGAGGGGCAGGGGAGACCCGCGAGTTTCCGAAGCCGCAGACCCCTCCCCAGGCGCCGGAGCGGACCCAGGCGACCCAAGGCCCAGGAACACCCCGGGGAGGGTGAATCCCCGGTACCAGGGCCCGGTCAGTGCCCAGCGCAGCCCTGGTTCCCGCTCCGGGGTCACTGTCCAGCGCTGCCTGCTGGGCTGGGAGCACCCCCACCGCGGCCCCTCACCCGTGGACCTGGACGGGCCGGGTGGTCAGGCCACGTCAGTTGCTACCGGCTAAGACCAGACTCCAAACCCAGACTCCCAGGAGAGATCGCAAAACGATGACCCTGGCCGAGGGGAAGAACCCCTCCCCGGGATCCCCGGCCTGAAGGAACCGTGCCCTGGGCAGGAACCTGAAGGCGGTGCTGGCCATGTCCATTTCCCAGAAGCTCAGGGGTCGCCAGGTCCGGCCAAGCTCTGCCTCAGGCTGCCAGGGCAGTCGCTGCCCTAGGGGACTCAAAGCTTCCAGTTGCCTGTAGGCTCAGTGAAGGCGCAGATGCCAGCCCCTCCCCCAGGAATCTTGAAAATTCCCGAGAAAGGCTGCCCTGGGGGTTGTAGGGGGCTGCAGGAGCTTCCTTTCGGCAGGTGGGGACTCATGACTGTTGCAATGCTGTGAGTTAGCAAGGGCGGGAGGGGATGAGAGGGGAGTGGGCGCAAAACTGCTCAGCAGGAGCACCGCACTCTGGCCGGGCGCAGTCAGCCTGGCGACAGAGGGAGGCCTCATCTCTACCAAAAATTGAAACATCGGCCGGGCGTGGCCAGCTTGGAGACAGAGGGAGGCCTCATGTCTACCAAAAATTAAAACATCGGCTGGGCATGGTGGTGCTCGCCTGTAGTCCACGCTACACGGGAGGCTGAGGCAAGAGGATCGCTTGAGCCTGTAAGGTCGGGGCTGCAGTGAGCCAAGACGGCGCCACTGCACTCCTGCCTGGGCAAGAGAGTGAGACCCTGTCTCAAAATAATAGTGTCGCTCTAATCTCTCCCGCGGTGAAGTGAGTGGAGGGAGATTCTCCCTTCACTGCTGGGTGAGCGCGGTGGCTGGGCTGGGAGGGGTGTGTGCGAATTCCATCAGGCGAGGTGGGAGGAGCTGAAAAGGCCCACCCTCCTGAGGAGTCCAAGTCATCCTGGCACAGAGCTTCCTAACAGAGGACTTTTGATTACGGGGAGAGGTGGGTGGAGCAGGTCAGCCCAGACAGCAGGGGGCCTTAGGGGCTCCCAGCACCAGCCCCACCCCAAGCCCAGGGTCTGGGGGACAGGATAAGTCCTCCCTACCAGTTCCACCTGGCAAGATGACCCTGTGGCCAGCCCCCTCCTCAGTGGCTCTCCCCTGGTCCCTGGCCCCACACCCCACTTTGCCTATCCCCATGATGCCCAGCATGCAGTCAGCAAGGACTGCTATCTGACCCAAATCAGACAAAACACAGCTGGCCTTCACCTCAGGCCAGGGGAGCCACCTCATGCCTGGGACACCTGCTTGGTGTCCCCCCCGAACCACCTTCAAGCCCCTCAAAAAACCACCCCCAGCTCCAGGCAGATCCTAGGCAGAGGGTGGGCACTGTCAGAGCTCAGCCTCCCCCGGCTCACTTTTGAGTGGGGCAGAGCCTCCTGCTGCCCGCCTGTTGTGGGTCATCACTCTCCCTGAAGCCCGGGTTGGCTGGCCAGCACTGCCTGCTGTCCCCAGGTGCCCACCGCCAGGCATCGGCCCCCAGGGCTGCTCCAACAGGCTCCTCACTTCAGGCGCTGATTTTCACCGACTCCAGCCCCACAACGGCCTGGACTGGGGACGCTGGATCTGCCGGGCGCTGCCCCAGTGACTGCACTTCTAGCCCTATGTCCAGCTCACTGCCTCAGTTTCCCTCCATGGCAGGAATCCCCTGAGCCACACTTGAGGCACCAGGGGTCCCACAGCTTCCCCACGCAGCTCTGGGGGATTATTGAACCTCGGGTGTCTCCTCCCAGTGACTTCCGGCTCGTGTATCCTGTGCCACCAGATGGGAGCTGGGCATTTTACCTGAAGTGGTACCAGGGTCTACAGCTTTAACCCTCCCACCCAGGGGTGCCCCAGGTCTGCCCTGTCCTTCACTGAGCAAAGACAAGTGTCCGGCCCCTCCTCTGAGGCCCCACAAAAAGCCCCTTACCCTGCTGATGTAGAAATGTAGGGGAACCGGGAAGCGGGGGGTCCTGGCCCAGGGTGACAAGGGCAGACTGCAGGGAGGGACTGCCCTGGGGGCACACCTGGCTCCACCAGACCTGAGGGAGCCAAGGGGCCCGCCAGAGAGTACTGCCAAGCCTGCCCGAGGCACAGCAGCGCATCCCAGATCACAGCAGGCAGAAAGGCCTGGTCCAGACCCCACCATGCACAAGCACTGCCCCGGCCAACCCCAAGGGAAGCCCCAGACTCATCTTGAACAGGTGGCAAAAGCCTGCTGAGGGACCTCGGTTCCACCTTCAGAGGCTCTGGGAGGCTGCAGCCTGCCCACCTGTTCATGCCTGGGGACTGTGTGGCCAAGTGGGTGTGTGGGGAGGGCTGGGCCACCACTCTGCCCCCACAGGCACCTGGTGGAGCAATGTGAGGCGGTCGCCGGGCCAGGCCACTGGAGCCTGGAGGGACATCAGCTGTGACACCAGCCCTACCAGCCACCCAACAGGACCCCGGTCCATACCAAAGACTCAAAGTCAAATGAATTTATTCAGAAAAGGCCTTGCTTGGTATCAGACTAAGAAAAGCAGCCCTGCCCGCCGCCCCCCACTCCAGAAGGGTCAATTTACAAAGACAGGGGCGCAGGGGAGAGCTGGGTGGGGAAGACACAGCCAGGCCAGGAGGCTTCTGCAGGCCTTGGGCTTCCCTGAGGGCCTCGCGGCTTCTGGTGGCTGCTATAGTGGCCCCACAGGAGGCCAGCACTGTGGGTCATGGGTCACGGGTCACGAAGCAGAGCCTGAGGGGAGCCCGCAGCAGCTCCGGAGGCCCCAGCCCCTGCAGCAGGGACAGGAGGACCAAGACGCCGACGGGCACTCCTTTCCTTAAGGCTTCCCAGACTTGGCAGAAGACTCCACCTCTGCGTCCTGCAACTCTGCTGCCTCCCCCGCCTTGGCTGGCTCATCCCTTGTAGGTCCTGCCGGGCTGGGGCCTGGGGTCTCCGATGGGCTCTCGGCTGGCTCGTCCCCTGCAGGTCCTGCCGGGCGGGGGCCTGGGGTCTCCGATGGGCTCTCGGCTGGCTCGTCCCCTGCAGGTCCTGCCGGGCGGGGGCCTGGGGTCTCCGATGGGCTCTCGGCTGGCTCATCCCTTGTAGGTCCTGCCGGGCTGGGGCCTGGGGTCTCCGATGGGCTCTCGGCTGGCTCGTCCCCTGCAGGTCCTGCCGGGCGGGGGCCTGGGGTCTCCGATGGGCTCTCGGCTGGCTCGTCCCCTGCAGGTCCTGCTGGGCGGGGGCCTGGGGTCTCCGATGGGCTCTCGGCTGGCTCGTCCCCTGCAGGTCCTGCTGGGCTGGGGCCTGGGGTCTCCGATGGGCTCCCAGGGGTACCTTCTTTGGGCCCCGTTCGACCTTCTGTGTCCTCCTCAACCCCGTTCTCACTGTGTCCAGCCTTGGGGTGCCCCGATGGGGCAGGGGACCCGGCAAGGGCCAAGGTCTGGGCACCACCACTGGCCACCGCAGCACTGTCCCCAGCACCCTCATCCACCTTCCTCCGCTTCCTCACCTTGTCGGCCACCCTGGCTCCCAGGGGTTGGCGGCAGGGCTGCACTGCCTCCCCAGGGTCCTGACCGCCCACTTCCTGGGTCCCCGTCCTGAGGCTGCCCTGGCTGAGGGCACACCCCTCCAAATTCAGAGCGATCTTCTCCACCTCTGAGGCACTCTGAGGGCCTGGCTCTGTGGGCGGCTGCTCCCGCCGGCTCAGCTCCAGCTTCCTCTTCTTGCTCTCTTTGGGGCTTAAGGGCTCCGGCCTATCTTCCCCGTGGCCCCCTGCCTCATCCCCCTGGCTCCTCTCCAGGGGTCCCGCATCCTGGGGCTCCACGCTCCGTGGCTGGGGCCCCTCGTCCACCCTGCCCCCACCCTTGCTATGCTCTGGCCCACAGGTCCGACCCTGGGTGCTGGCCTCGTGGTCGGGGTCCCCGGGGCTTCCTTCCTCCTCCACCTTCCTGGAGCCCTCGAGCGGATGGGGCAGAGAGCTGGGCTTGAACCTCCGCAGCTTGTCTTGGGGCCCCCAGACGAACTTGCAGCGGGGCCGGAAGTGCTCCCAGGCGAAGTGCACCAGCTGGCGGCGCTGGTGTCGGCAGCGCACGGCGAACATGAAGTAGTCCAGGGCACTCTGCCGCACCCCCGGCAGCTCCCGCCGCACCAGCGTCTCCTCCAGGAAGAAGCGGACCAGCGGCGCCTGGAAGTGCTCGAGGCCCAGCTCACCCAGCGACTTGAGGATGCGTGTGATGCGGAGGTTGTTGTGGCTGCGCCTGCGAGAGATCCGGGTCAGGAGAGGTCAATGGCTGGGGCCCCTCCTGCTGGGCCGCACCCCGCCCTGGCCTGCCCTCCCACCCGGCTCCACGAGGTCTCCCCACCCTGGCCCACGATTCAGTCTCTCTCTCCATTTACCTCTCTGGGCCCAGGGGAGGACTCATGCCATCCCTGTGAAAATGGCCTGTGGGCCCTAGACACACGGGGGTTAGGGGGATGCTGACGCATCACCTAGAGGGTGGCTGTACCCCGAGTCCCCCTGGTGGGGAGGAGCTGGCTGGATGAGAGCCACAAGGGGCCCCTGCAGGGTACAGGCGCCTCGAACACCCTGTGAGAACTGGCTGTACCGCCTGCAGGTTCTCCATCACCCCTGCTTGCTTCTCTATGTGGACTGCCACCTCCTGGGTGCAGGAAGAGCATTCTTTACCTTCTCACCAACCCTATCGGGGAGGGACCGCCCGGCTCTACAGGCAGCAAGGAGGGGACTCAGGGCCTTGGTCCATTGCCCAAACAGCCCTGGAGTTCTCCGTCTGCAGCAGCGCTCTGTGACCTGCCCGAAACCTGACGTGGCCCTGTTCTGCGCCGGGGTGGGGGTGGGCGGGAGCAGCCGGGCCTCACCAGTTCAGGTTCTGGAAGCGCTTCTGGTAGTTCTGTGCTCGGCCCACCGTGCCCGTGCCTCGGTCCTCCAGCCGGATCCCGTAGAAGCCCAGCATGAGCTCGTAGGCCCGGACAAGCCGCTCCTGGATCTCCTGGGAGCTTTTAAACACCTGGAAAAGACCCCCTTGGAGAGCTCAGGCACCATCCCTGAAGCCCCGGTTCCTGAGTGTGGGGGTGGCCGTGGGTCCCGACTCACTCAGAGGCCTGGACTAGACAGACAGACAGACAGACATTTATTTAGAGACAGAGTCTTGCTCTGTTGCCCAGGCTGGAGTGCAATGGTGTGACCTCAAGTCACTGCAACCTCTGCCTCCCGAGTAGCTGGGATTACAGTTGCCTGCCACCACACCTGGCTAATTTTTTTCTATTTTTAGTAGAAACGGGGTTTTGTCACGTTGGCCAGGCTGGTCTCAAACTCCTGACCTCAGGTGATCCACCCGCCTCAGCCTCTCAAAGTGCTGGGATTACAAACGTGAGCCACGGCACCTAGCCTGGACTCAGACTTTTAGGGTAAAGTGACAAGAGACACACTCATGCCTCCATCTCTCCTCTGAGCTGCTCCGAGCTCTCACCAGGGCCTGAGGCTGCCGCCCTCCCCTGAGAGGAAGTCGCTGGCCATGGGAAAGTGCCAGGAGGGGCCCCTCGGCTCTCTAAGTCCCTGCATCCCTCAGGGGCAGCTTCCACACTTGGGTGACCCCACTCCAGCCTAAACCAGTGGTGAGAAAGGCAGGTCCCGCCACTCCGGGTCTCTCAGGGGCTCAGCCCCAGACTCCCGCATGGGGACAAACAGCCTCGGAAATTGAGTTTCTCTAGATGCCTGGTGGGGTGAGGACCACTGGGGAGGGAAGGTCATCATACTGGAGGCTCTTTCGGCCCTTCTGCCTTCCAAGGGACCCCTGAGGGGGCACCAAATGCCTACTGCCAGAGGCGACCCCGTCTCTGCAGCGGCGTGGCTTGCCCAGGCCTCCCCATCTTCCCCTCCAGTCACAGCCAAGGCCTGGCTCACCTCGACCTCCCTGAGCGTGAGGGGCTTGGCATGCCAGTTCACTCCTGGTTCTCGCAGAGGAAACAGCCTGCAGGAGAAGAGATGCTCAGGCAAGGGATTAGGAGAGCCGCTTCCAGACCTTGGGCAGGTGCTCGCTGTGTAGCCCGGGGCAGTTCCAATCCCCTCTGGGTTCCCAGGCTCAACTCTAGGAGGGAGTGGCTAGGTGGAGGAGCGAGGGTGGGAGAGCTCAGGTGAGCGTGCAAGGGCCCAGGACAGGAGGTGTGTGGTGCGTAAGTCACAGCCTGCATGCTCAGCAGGACTGGGGAGGTGACTCAGGCAGCGAGGGGCCCTGCAGCCATCCAGCCCGGGCGGACAGGGCCTTCCTTTCTACTCCTCACTCTTCCCTCTCTTGTGTTGTCACTCATGACACGTCACACACCAGCAGAGGCTCCCTGTGGACGCCCAGCGAGCTGTCCCCAAAGCAGGGCATGCTGTTTCCGGGGCCACATTGTGGGTCCCCAAGACGCCTGCCACAAGTCTCATCCCAGCACTACGCCAGGACCCTGCCCCAGCTGAGTCCGAGACGGGGGCCGCCCCTTGAGGCTCACTGAGGCCTCCTGGCACTAAGGCTGCCCCTCTGGCAGGCAGTGCCTGCCCCCTCTCCTGTTTCAGGGAGCTTGTGTGCAGCCCTTCCTGTCTCCCTGGTCACCAAGAGCCCACAGATTGGGGACAGACCTGAGCCTTCCCTCAGCGGCCCTTGCATGTCCAGTAATGTCCATCCGTGTAATGTGGACACCAGCTTCCAGGAAGGGCAGGGAGTGCTCAGTCCGTGCCAGGAAGCAGCGTCGGGAGGGCTCCTGCCTGGGAGGGCCCTCCCCCTGTGGCCTCGCCAACCCCCCATCCCCCCATCCTCCCCAACTCACCACTGGATGTAGGAGTGATTGTCCTCAAGGAGGTCATAGTTGTCCGTCCAGTTCTGAAGAATGTCCTCAATGAAACAGCCTGGGAGCCCCATGGGGACAAGTCAGCTGTGGCAGCCACCCTGCCCGTGCTCAGGAGGACGGGGTGTGGGTGGGGGACATAAGGAGAGAGTGCTGCCAGCAGCTTCCCCAAGCTATTCCTCGCCCTCATCTCCTGAGGCTCTTCAGGGTGCTAGGCTCAGTGGGGCTGCCCATCCCTCCTCCGATGCACAGCCCTTGCCCTGCTGCCATCTGTGACCTGGACCCTTGTTGCTGGCTGGCGGCAAACCCCACTGAGAGCCCGGAAGGTCCCTCTGGGGGAACCACTGGTCCTCGACCAGGACCTGTCTGTACAGGAGGGGGCCTCAGTGCCTCCTGCAAAAGCGTGGCCCGTCAGCCACAGAAATCTGTCCTCAAACACAGCCCCCAGCTGAACCCAGTCCCATGATGTGGCAGGCACAGTCTCCTGAGATGGGGGCCTGACAGTGTTTTGTGCAGCCACCCAGTCTCTGTTTCACGTTGCAGCCCGGCACGTGCATAAACAGGTGTGGGCACGTGCCCGTGAAGCTTTATTGACACTGAAATTTTAATTTCTTATAATATCAAAGTAATAGAACACTGTTCTTTTTTTTTTTTTTTTTTTTTTTTTTTTTGAGACAGAGTCTCATTCTGTTGCCCAGGCTGGAGGGCAGTGGCGAGATCTCGGCTCACTGCAACCTCCACCTCCCAAGTTCAAGCGATTCTCCTGCCTCAGCCTCCTGAGTAGCTGGGACTACAGGCGCACGCTACCACACCTGGCTAATTTTTTTTGTATTTTTAGTAGAGACAGGGTTTCACCATATTGGCCAGGCTGGTCTCGAACTCATGACTTTGTGATCCACCCGCCTTGGCCTCCCAAAGTGCTGGGATTACAAGCGTGAGCCACCAGGCCCGGCCTCTACTTTAATTTTTTGCAACCATTTAAAAATATAAAAGCTATCCTTAGCTCGTTGGTTTACATGTGGCTTTCATGAGGTCGTGCAGGAGTTCAGTAGTTTTGATAGAGACTGTGTGGCCTGAAAAGCTGCAGATATTCAGTCTCTGGCTCTTTACAGAGATAGCCCACCCCGACCCAAACACCACTGCGGAGATCCCAAGCCGGGGATCCTGGAGTCCCTCTGGCCGCCTCCAGGGGGCACTGTGGGGCTATTTGAAAGCCGTGGCCCTGGTAATCGCCGGGTACATCCCAAACCAGGGCCCAGTGGACCACCCCTGCCAGGCAAGGATGGAAGCGCCGGCTGCCAGTGGTTGTGAGGCACCTACCGTTGGGCAGGAAGCGGATCTCATTTCTGTAGAAACTCAGGTTTGGCGTGTCCCCATTGCAGTCTCGTTCCACCAGATCCTGAAGAGCCAGAGAAAGGGGACAGCAGGGATCCATCAGACACAAGCTGCCCTGGGGCCCTCCGTGTCTTTCGGGGAGGCGCATCTGCAAACCTCCAGGCTGGCCCAATACCCCAAGAGCCCGCCTGGCTCCTCACTCTGCAGGTGGGGGCCATTCAGAGGACAGCAGCTGCCTCCAAGCCCCAGGGACCCCCCTTCCCCATTTCGCCAGCCAGGCCAGGCCTGGCAGGTCCCCTCCTCAGCACCCTGAAGGCAGCACAGGGGTTTCCGTGATTCAGGGGTGTGGAGGGTAATGGCTGAGGACAACCTGCAGGAGACAGGGCTGGCATGGGGGTGGGGTGCTGTGTGGGCGGTATCACGGACCCCACACGTGTGCATCACGAGGCTGGCACTATGGCCATGTTTGCAAGGCGACGGTGTGCTGAAGCTCAGAAAAGTAGGGGGATGCCCCCGGTCTCCCGCGAGAGGGGAAGGGCAGGGCTCTGAATCTATACCAGGCTGTGCCCCAGGCAGGGTCCTGCCCAGAACTGTGGCCCTGGCACAGCAAGCCAGGCCAGCCTTCCAGTAGAACCTGGGACATTCTGCCTGAGAAGAGCAGCTGGCGGGAGGGTTCTGTGTCCCGGGGCAGGGGCAGGTACGTACCGGATAGTTGTGCCGATACCTACACATGTCCCTCGTGGCTCGCCAGTTTCTGGACCCTGTCATTCTGGACTGGGAAGAAAAGAGATGGGATTAGGACCCCCATGGGAGACCCCCAAGTGAGTCCCAACGTGGTGAGGGCTGCAGGGCCTGGGCCAGCTGCCACAGAGCTGTCTTTAAAGGGCGGGGGTTTCATGGCTCCTCCCTCTCATTCTCCTGCCCTGGCTCTTTTTTGGGGGTTCCCAGTGGGGCAGATTTGGGCCTCAGTAACGCATCCCAATACCCTGCACAGAACCAGAGAGGGCTGCGGTAGCCAGGTGGGGGGCTGCTCCTTCTCTAGGCCCCTTTGGGACTCCTGGCTTCCACCTTAGGGTGGCCCCTGGCTGACATGCACCTCCCCTGGGGTGTGGCCCTGACCCTCTCCTCCTCCTAGGCCTGCTGGCCACCTCCACCCTGGCTTTAGCCTCTGTTCTGTGCCCCTGGAGACTCCCCCTGCTTTGTACACTAAAGTCACCAGGCTGTGTTCTTGGGGGCAGTGGCCTCACCACCTGTAGCCCCAGAAGGGGACCCAGGTGCTTCTGGCAGGGTCTAATGAATGAATGCCCCTTCCCTGCCCAACCCCA
Source organism: Homo sapiens (assembly GCF_000001405.40). Lineage (NCBI taxonomy): Eukaryota > Metazoa > Chordata > Mammalia > Primates > Hominidae > Homo > Homo sapiens. The sequence continues at coordinate 62,806,985 of NC_000020.11, read as the reverse complement.
CGCCTCACTGGCCACGGTGAGGGCAGGCCCTGAGTCTCCAGCCTCCAGCCCTGTCTAGTGATGGCTTCTCAGCAAGATGTCAGGTCCCCTTGATGCCCCAAGCCCTTCAGCCCCCATCTCTGCAGGCCAAGCATCATGGGGCTGAGCAAAGGGCCGGAAGTACCTAGTGATGAGGATGGTGGGACACAGCCCTGACCTTGTGATGAGGGTGGGGGGCCTGGGGCTGAGCCTCACTCGGTGGGTAGGGCAGGAATGGGCGTATTTGTCCAGGGCAACAATTGGGACCCAGGATCCTGGGGGAGTGCTAGAAGGGGGGTTAGGAGGCCCGGTCAGCCACTGTATCCCCTGGCTCCCCGCTGAGCTCCAGCTGGGACCTGGCGTTGCCTCTCTGCCTGATTTTTCTTTCTTATTTTTTTCCCCTCGAGATGGAGCTTCATGCAATCTCCACCTCCCAGGCAATCTCCACTCACTGCAACCTCCACCTCCCAGGCAATCTCCACTCACTGCAACCTCCACCTCCCAGGTTTAAGCGATTCTCCTGCTTCAATCTCTGGAGGAACTGGGATTACAGGTGCCCATCACGCCTGGCTAATGTTGTATTTTTAGTAGAGACAACAGTTTCACCATGTTGGCCAGGCTAATCTTGGACTCCTGACCTCTGGTGATCCGACTGCCCAGGCCTCCGAAAGTGCTGGGATTACAGGCCTGAGCCACCGCCACCGACCTCTCGGCCTGATTTCTCAACAGGGCCGCTGGTGTGGTTCTCTCGCCCCGCCTGATCATCAGTTTCTACTTCTCCTTCCTGGGGCCAGCGGGAGCCTCCCTGGGTCAGTTCTGGAGGCTGGGTCCTGACTGGATGTGGCCACACAGTCAGCCCACAGGTGCATACATGACACTGCCCAGGAAAAAGTGAAACAGCCCCGCCAGGGTCCAGCGCAGGCAGCTGGGGAGGCCTGAGGGGTCCAAAGGGGAAGGGGAGGGGCTTGTGGACAGAAGCCACAGCAGGAGGCAGAGGGAAGAGGTCAGGGGTCACGGGCGCCTGGCAGGATGGTCAGGGCCTCTGAGCACCGCTTCAGGAGAGCGGCCTGAGGAACTCCAGTGAGGAAAGCCCGTCAAGAGCCCACCCAGGGGTCACACCGTCCTGTGGGACAGAGCCAGACCCCACCCCCCTGCCCAGCCTGCCTGGCCGCTGCCCTCCCGGCGACAGGGCGGAGCCCCTCCGTGCTCTCTCACTGCCCGCTCCACCATGGCCAGGCGCAAACGCAAACAGTGCTGGGTGCCAAGGGGAGAATCCATGCGGAGCCGTCGAGTTCCATGCACTTCCCGGCCCTCCGCAACCCGGGCAGCTCAGCTGGAAGGCCGCTCCCAGATCAATCCCAGCTCCCCGACAGGGGGGCCGGACTGCGACAGTGTGGCGTTCCCAGCGCGGCAACAAAAGTAACCCCGGCGATGACAGGCGCCCGGCGGTAACAAAAGTAACAAGCGGAGGCCCCGTCGGCCCGCCCCGGGCTCCCGCAGGTGCAGACGCGAAGCCTCCCAGGCCAGACCCGGCCCGGGCCCCAGCCCCAGCCCCAGCCCCAGCCCCAGCCCCAGGCCGCGGGGCCTGCGCAGGGGCCGCCAGGAGGCCGAGGCGCGGGCCCGAGGCGGGAGGGGTTCCATCAGGGGCGGCCACGGCGGCTGGGGGCGGGACGCGCCCGAGGCACCCCCGGGGGGAACGGCGCCCACACACGATGGGGCCCGGGAGGCTCAGCTCCGCTGTCACCCACGCGCGGCCCCCGCACTTCCCCGCCGGGCCCTGGGGCTGGGGGTCGGCCGGTCTGGGGGGGGGTCCCCGGGGCTGCGGGAGCTCCAGGAGGCTCCAGGTGTCTCCGCCCGGGATGGGGGGGTCTCCCGTCCACGCAGCCGGGCGGGGGGCGCCGGGGACCCCAGGCCTCTTCCGCGCCGCGGGGCCGCACCTGGAACGAGCTGGGCCGCGCCGCCCGCGGCTCCTCCGACTCCTCGTCCTCGTCCCCTGCGTCCGCGTCCCTCGCGCCGGCGGCCTCGCCGTCCTCGCAGTCCTCGTCCTCCGCGTCCTCCGCATCCTCCTCGTCCTCCTCCCAGGTGGAGTCGCAGTCGGGGTCGTCCATGCTCGGCGGCGGCGGGGCTCGCGCTGGAGGCGGAAGCGAAACCGAAAGCAGAGGAAGCGCGGGGGGCGGGCGGGGGGAGGGGACGGAGCGGCCCAGGCCCCGCCCGCGTCCGCGCGCAACGCCCCTCCCTCCCCGGGACGCCCGCCCCGCGCCCCTCCCTCCCCCGAGAATCCCCCAACGTCCGCCCGGGAGGATGCCCCTCGCGGAACGCCCACCCCCACCCCACGATGCCCACCCGGGAGGATTCGCCCCACCCCGTCTCGCAAGGATGCCCGCCCTAGGAGATCCTCCCTCCCGAAAATGTCCCCAAAGCCTGCCCGCCCCCCAGAGGACGGTCTCCCCGGAAGATGAGCCGGGTACCTAGGAAGGATGTCTTCCCGACGATGTCCTCCCAGCAGGATTCTCTCCCCGGAGGATGCCTGCCCCGCAGAGAATCCCCTCTTCCAGGAATATTTCTGTCCCCCAAGAGAAATCCCCCCAGAGGATGTCCCCATCAGAAGAATGTCCCTTGGAGGATAACCCCCGGAGGGGCCACGTGTCCACAGGGGCCTCTCTCCCTAAGCTGGGTGTGTAGGGGTCTCTGTCCTTCTGCTGCGGGCTGGGGGCCTTACTCAGCTCCTGGAAGCTGCTGGCGGACCCCTGTCCCTCCATAGGCAGTGCAAAGCACGGCCGTTTTCTTTTCAAAGCCACCAGGGGAGTCTTTCTCTCTAGGGTGCCGAGTCTTATATAACCAGGATGACATGGGCAAGCCGTGGCTTCCTTCACCTTTGCCGCCATCTCTCAGTTGTAAGAAGGCACTTAGGGGAGAGGACCACACGAAGCCTGGGCCACCGGGAGGGTCACCCTGGGGACTGTTCAACACAGCTGATGCCAGTTCAGCGCCTCCTCAGGGCCCTCTCTCTAAGCACTGGCAGATATGGGGCAACACAAAGTCACTTTCACCTGCCATTTCCCAGCACCGCGGGTCCCTTGCTCATCCACCTTTGACATCTGCTGGCAGATACATGGCAAGGTTGGTGACCTCTTGAAATAAAAATCAGGAGTGGCCACTCCAGATAAATTTCTTCTGTAACTGCTATACCAATTCATTTCAAAACATTTAGGTAAAACTAAATCTGGATTTTGGACTTGGCCATGAGGATAGCTCCTCGCAGAGTTGTCCCTGTAATGATGGTGGTGGAAAGGTGGAGAAGGCCCCAGCCCAGCCCCTAGGGGACACTGCCATCTCCTAGCCCTGCAGGCCTGCTGGGCCTGGGAACTGGTGACATTCCTTGTACTGTGTGCCAGGGACAGCCGTGAACGCAAGTCTTCCAATCCTGGCCACAAGTACAGGTTAAGGACCCTCTGGGTGCTGGGCCCTAATCTTTGCTGACCTGTTGACCACTGTTAGCAGGTGCAGTCTCACCTGGCTGGAACCTGTGGACATGCATCACACTTTCTTGAAACGACAGTGGTGATGCCCCGAAGTTCTGGGGCGCTGGACATTTCTGTAAATCAACTTAGTGCAGTGGCCAGGGCAGGTTTCCCAGGGAGCCTGAGTGAGCTGCCTGACCTCCTTGTTAGATGATTTACAGGTGGGATCTGGTTGCAGCATCAGAATAGACTGTGAGGTGGAGTCGGGGGGCTCTGATGGGGACATTGATGGGTGCTGGGTGGTTGTATAGGGTTTGGGTGATCTGAGACTTGGGTGGTCAGGCTGCCCCCTCCACTGCCCCAGAAAACAGAAAGACAAGCATACTGGGTGCTGACAACATTGTTCTACGGGGACAGCATTCCCGCTGCTACCTACTGTCGGCAGGACTATAGAACCACTTCCCTAAAAAGAGTATTAGAGACATTGCCCAACTTCTGTTTTACAAATATCACCACACCAAATTGCTTCTTTAGTTGCTTTTGTGTTGTGTGTGTGTGTGTGTGTGTGCAGAGCTCATCTCGGGGGCGTGCTAATCCAAGAAGTGCAGGAGCTGCTGCAGGGGACTGTGCAACAGAATTGCTTCTTCAGAGCATCCTCTGCAGTCCAGTGACGCCCCGTGTGGCACGGCATTCCAGAAGGGTTTGCTGTTGAGGCTGGGGAAAGGGGCTCTCTTTCTCTGTCACATACTCACACACACACACACACACACACACACACACACACACACACACACACAGCTCCCAGGCACCCAGGAAGGGCAATGGTCTCTGCACACGCAGTGGGTGATGTGCCTGGAGCAGGCAATGCTCACAGCTAAGGAGCCCAGCAGAATTTTGTGTGGCTGGGAGCTTGGATTACAGCCTTCATATCTTCTCCAGGCAAGACCAGTGGCAGCCTCCTGATTTGGCCCAAGCATGCCCTGTCCTCAATCAACCAGCCAAGCAGGGAGCCTCGCTGCCAGTGCCCTGCCGCTCAGTATTTATTCGCTGCTATTTGGGGAGCAGTGGAGCCCAATTGCCTTTCCCAGTCACCCCTGGGTCGCCCTGGGTGGGCAGGCGGGGGAGTTCAGATCACTCCCACTCTCAGCCTTCACTGAGTCCCCACCCGCAGCTGCCAGCCATAGAGAAAATGTCTCTGCGGCAGCAGGTGCTCTTGGGCCCTGCGTGTTCCAGGTGTAGAGCCGCTGCTGAGGCTTCCAGGCTCAACATCAGCGGCGGCTTCTGACCCGTTCAGATCTTGTCCCGAGTGCACAGTGTACCACGTCTCGCCTCTACAGCAGCAGGCGCGTGAGCGTCCGTGCACGGGCCAGCCTCATGCCAGCTGTTTTCCTTTTCAGATTGGGGTTCAGTCGGCACCTTCTACATGACATGGTGGAGTGTGCATTACATAAAGCCCCCAGGTTACAGACAGGACCCCTGGGGCCAGGAGAGGGTAAGTACAGCGCTTACCAGGACTTGAGGCCACATCGCCCTTGCCCTGACACTTGTGAATTTGACCTGGTCATCCCACCTGCCAGCAGAGCATGAACTGGGCCTCCCCACAGGGAAGCCCAGAAGCCCCTGTGAGTCCATAAGGGCTGCGTGGCTCCTGACTTCAACCAGTCAGCCTCTGGTCCAGAAGGGAGGCCCGGGGCGGGGGCACGCTGCTCACCTGCCCAGTGGGCTTAACCTGTGGGCTCTAGCTTTCTCCTGGAAGTGCAGCAAAATGTTACAGTAATCGAGATGAGGCAGATTTATTAACTAGGCTTTCCTAGCACAATCTGAGGTCACCCGAGATGCGGTTTCAGATGGAGGTTTAGGACAGTGAGCCTGGGTGGCGAGCAGGACTCCTCCTGGCCATCCCGTGACACCCCGTGTTAGTATTTGCCCCCCTTTGCCCTGCTGCTTCTGGACTGCCTAAGAGCCAGGCTGCTGTCCCGGACTGAGACTCCAGGACAGGACCTGGCACAAAGCCCTGAATGAGGCTGACCTAACAGGAGAGATCAGACGGGCAAGGGGGCACACTTGGGCAGCAAAGGGAGACCCCACCCTTCCCTGGCTGCAGGGCTGAGTATTTGTGCTGTGAGTGGAGGAATGCCAGGCGGGCTCAGTCCTTTGGTCTATGTGTGTGGGGCCCTCCAGATGCCTGCTCTTTGTGGCAGGCTGTTACTGCAGGGCTGTGGATTTGTCCCGGCTCTATAGAAAAGGGACCCACAGGGTCCCCCCAGGCAGCTGCTCTACCCTTGGAATACAGCTCAGGCAGGCCGTAGACCAGCAGCTTCCCTGGGCTGTTCTTCCCCAGAACTGGCAGTGCGTTTGGTGCAGACGAGTGGCAGGTGCCACACGGGGCGATCACATGGCACGGGATTCCTGGCTTTGCCCCTTTAGTGGGTGCCTTGTGATCTGCGTCATGGTGAGGAGGACTTCAGGGACAGATGGCCAGGGATGTTCCCAGGTGGTGGAGGAGGCTCCACTGGCAGAGAAGCAACGTCAAGCTGAAGACATTGGGGTGCGATGGCTGGCCAGGACAGCTTGTCTCCTCGTCCGCACACGGAACGCTGGATTTCACTCTGTGACCCAGCCAGCGGTCTCATCTCACAGCCGCAGCTTTCAGCAGGAAGGAGCCCACTGGTGCCTGCCTGACCTACGAGGGCCCGCACCGTTTTGCCCTCCTAACATTTTGTATTTGAAGTGCTTGTCACAGTCCACAAAATAACCACTCAGAATCTGTTACTATTTTGTTTATATGTTGTATCAAGTGAATGTTAATAAGTCATCTAAGTGTATGCTTTAGTTATAAATCTTGGAAAAATAAAAACTTCCTTTTGGAGGAAAAGTGAACTTACTTTGGTATCAAAATCACACAACTCCAGGTTGGATTTTTTTGTGCTTTAATGTTCGCAGTCACACGAAAGTGGCATCTCCATCAGCACTGGGGCGGCCGCCTCCTCATCAGCCGACAGCTGCACGGTCCCCGCCTCTCATCCATTTGGTCTGTTTGCAAGTTACTAGATCATACAAAAATAACCGCTACAAATTCTCTGTATCTGGCATATAAAAACTGAGCAAAAAGTATCTCTTAAAGCAAAACATCTCAGAAAAAATACAACACAGGTTTAACTTCTGCAGTACTTTGTTCATATAAAACACTAGTAAAATAGGCTTCTTAAAAATTAAATAGTGAAATACCAACCAAATTATATACATTGTTACAGTACAAGTGAATGAGGCAAAATATCCAGTTCTTAGTTTCCCAGGTGGGTGGGGGTGGCCTTCAGTGCGTGGCACGGAGGGGGTGACAGGAAGGCCACGTTCCAATGTCACAGTCAGCGCAGAAAGAGGCTTGCAGCGGGACAAACAGATGGAAAGAACTGAGTCACACAGGGAAGACCAGGGGCTCCTTTGAGGAAGAGTGAGGTCATGTTTTTATTGCTTGCTAATCCGAGGTTTTCCCTGGCCCGATGCCCCTCTAGGTAGCCTGGATCCCAAATGCTGCAGCCCACGTAGCGCTAATCCATGTCACCAAGCAGCCACGGGGAAGCCACAGCTGCTCCAGAGAAGACAGAACTAGGCTTCAGAGCCCTCAATATCTGAGCTGGACCGATCCTGGTCTTTCAGGTCCATCAGGGTCCCACATGGTCCAACTGACACACACGTTTCCCCGCTGACGGCCACGTTCACCTGAGAGCCTGAGGGCGGGCAGTGTGGGCTCATGGCACTGGGATGGTATCACTGTGGCCTGGGGGGTGGCACTCAGACCCAGCCAACCCCCTCAGCGACCACAGTGCCTCGCCCGCTTCTCTGCCGCCACCAGGGCTGAGGGTCTACGTGCGGCGCCGCTTGGCAGCACTGGGACTGGAAGGGTTGCTGTTTGCGGTCAGGACTTTGTCGGTGACCCGGCTGCGCTTCCGCTTGTCTGCGCCTTCTTTGCACCCCAAGTCTGAGGAGTTCTTCTCTTTGTCTTTGCTGGATTTTTCTGATGCTTTCCCCAAACTCCCTGAAGATGAAAAAACTGAGAAACGAAAAATCACTTGGCTGAAAACAGAATATCCAGAATCTTATTTTTGTCTTCCTGTTCAGTTAAAAAAATCTGCATACTGACACGTGACCCTCTGAACCCAAAGCTTCCTCCTGAGCTGGGAGCCCCTTGCATTTGGGCCCACAGAGGGGCCTGGTCCTCCTGAGGACCTGCCTGCGGCGGGCACTGCAGGGACCGCCGCTCAGACCCTGGCCTACAACATGGAGCAGGCACTCAGCTCCTGGGGAGGGGGCACTGCAGGATCCATCCTGTGCCTAGATGACCTGCCTGGGGCCTCTGCACCGCAGGCTCTACGCCCACCTGACTGTGCCCTGCCTGAAGGCAGTCTTGGGGTGCTGAGCCCCAAAGGGCATCAGGGCAGGGTGAGCTCCACACTCACCATCGTCAGCCCCATTGTGGGGGTCCACGTCTTCCTTCATCTCCTCTTTCATCTCCTCTTCTATCATCACTTTTCCTGTGGAGGAGACAGCTGACGCTCACCGAAAACCCACGGTGGTGGCCGACGCTGGGGGATGGTCAGGCCAGGGACTGCTCCGACGCTTGCTGCCCACACAGGCCTCAGCTTCCGTCCAGCCACTGCTCTCAAACAAAGTCCTCTCCAATCCCGGAGGTTCCAAGACCACCCAAGCACAGGTAGGGCGGGGTCTGCGCTGGACCCTCACACCTCCCTGGAGGCCCGGGGTCCTCACCCTCACCTCCCTGCCCTTGGCCAGGGTCTGGCCTTTTCTGAATCCCAAGCCCAACCTTTCCCGAGCCTCACCTTCTCGGACCTCCTGAATGATCTCTTCTGGAAGGACGAAGTTCCTCTCTGGATTCGGGAATGGAAGAATCTCAGACTCATGCTGATATCAAATAGAGAGTTTTGTTTAAGAAACAAGGGTGAAGATGCAGTTTCAAGAAGTCACTAGAGCCGTGTAAGAGCCACTTGGGGAGAGGCCAATGAGCACACATCACTGTGTTGGAGGCTGCGGCGGGCGGGGCAAGGGCAAAGGGCATTTCTTCTTTTTGTGAACAGCGCCTGCCACAGCTGGGCTTTCCAGACAGACCCAGGGAGGGCAGAACCAGCGGCAGCAGATGCAGGAGTCAGGAAGACCCACCGGGGCCAGCATCACTAAGGCGGGCCCTGAGGACCGGGCAGCCCTGGTGACACACACCTGTGGGCTCCGCCTGCCCAGCACGGCCTGCAGTCTCACCATGAGACTGCGTTCCCCAAGGCGGCATGCAGAGGGCACAGTGACAGCCCTGGGGAAAGGCCGCAGGCACCTCGAGTTCTCATCCACGTGGCAGGAGCCCATGGACACCGAGGGTGTCGGTTGGGAGCGCCACAGGCACAGAACCAGGCAAAGAAGAAGAGAGTGCTTGCCAGGCACTGCCCTCCTGAGGTCGCACAGACCAGAGGGAGAGACCTATGTCATACTGATGGCCGGTGTGGCCCTGAGTCCAACGTGGCTGGCACAGACTCTCCACCAGCACAGGTCCCCACTCCTCCTGGTCACCTGACCCCTGACCCCCACCCCACTCTCCAAGTACACCACCTTCTTTGAGCTCCTGGACCCACCACCTCCTGCTGCCACAGGGCCTGGAACACCCACCTGTCTCTTCTGGCCACCCTGCTTACCTAGTTAACCCGCTCGCCCGTCACACAGTGCCAGCTCCAAGCTCTGCGAGGACTGGAACTCTACTTGTCTGACTCCCACAGAAGTCACCAAATTCACCTTGGTGTGACTCAGATAGGGTCACCCTCTGCCTAAAGCACTTCGGGGGCCTCCCAGGAGGCTGACAATGGCCTAAGGGCCCGGGACTCTGCATCCTTCCCTCCCTCCCCAGGGTCTCAGCTGGAGACTCTGGCCCAGCACCCAGTCTAAAGCAGAGCCCCTGAAAAGCTAGCCAGCTGCTAGCACTGTGTTTGTGCTTTCCATGACAGGCTCTGGAGCCCCGGGATGTCCTCCTTAAGGACGAGCCTCACTGCAGGGGTCTCTGCCCAGGGGACCCCAGCAGGCACGGAGGGGCCTCTGCCCAGCTCAGGCTGACCCTGAGAGCTCACTGCAGACCCCAGCAGGCATGGAGGGGCCTCTACTCTGCCCAGCAGACCCCAGCAGACATGGAGGGGCCTCTGCCCAGCTCAGGCTGACTCTCAGAGAGCGGTGTGCGGGTTCGTGCCCCCATCGGGCGGCACAGGGAGGGCGGTTGGGCTCACCAGCGCCTGCATGTCGTACATGGTGCTCAGATGGTCCCAGATGACCTTGGATGGGACCTGCCGCCCGATGTTCTGGCTGAACTTGTCCCGAATACAAATCATGTGGAAGTGTCGGTTCACACCTGAGGGGAGGAGGGGCGGCGGGATAACCGGTGAGCGGTGAGGAGAAAGGGGATGGAGGGGACGGGCTGCCCTGGGGACTGGAGGGGCAAGGGTGGCTGCGGAGAGATGGGGAGGGCCAGGGTGTGGAGGGGCTGTGGGGGGGCAGGGCTGGGTGGTGTGTGTGGGAGGGGGTGGGCTGTCCCGGGGCGGGGGTGGGGGTGGGGCACTGCGGGCTGGGACCTCGCGGTCTCACGGGGGTAGGGGTCGTGGGCGGGGTCCGGGGCGGGGTCCGAAGGGCGCGTGGGAGGGGGCGGGGGTCCCGGGACGGGTGTGGCGGCGGTGTCACGGCCCGGGCTCGGCGGGGAGCGTGGGGGCGAGGGTGTCGCGAGCGCAGGCCCCGCCCCGCCCCGCCGGTTGCCCGCCCCGCCCCCACGCGCGTCCGCAGCCTGGGCGCTCACCGACGGGCTTGTGGCCCAGCATGGCGTGGAAGAGGCACACCTCCACCTCGGGGCTCCACACCACTGTCTCCTCCGCCGGGCTGGTGGCCGCCTCCCCCGGGCCCTTGTCGCCTGCGGCGCCCCCGCCGCCCACCTCGGCCTCTCCCATGGCCGCGGCCCGGCCGAGCAAGGAGCCCCCGGCGGGAGCAGGCGCGGCCACGAGCTCCGCGCAGGCGCACTCGGGGGCGGGCGCGCGCTCCGCCGGGTACGCGCTCGGGCTCACGCGCCGGCGTCGGCGCAGGCGCAGCCGAGGTCTCGGGTCCCTTCCCGCCGGGGACTCCGCCCTGCTCCGCCCCGCGCGGGGGTTCTTAAAACGTGTTCCTCTTTAAAGCACAGTAAGAAATACACTGCACCCAAACAAAAAAGTCTGTGCTTCAAAGGAAACCATCAGAAAAGTGAAAAGACGACCCACAGATGAGAGAAAATATTTGCAAATCCTATATCTGATAATGAACTTCCTTGTAGAAGGTATAAATAATTCTTATAACTCGATAATAAAAAGACAATCTAACTATAAAACGGCTAAGGATTTGGATACACATTTTTCCAAAGAAGATGTACAGATGGGCCGGGCGCGGTGGCTCACGCCTGTAATCCCAGCACTTTGGGGGGCCGAGGCGGGCGGATCACCTGAGGTCAGGAGTTCGAGACAAGCCTGGCCAACATCGTATAACCCCGTCTCTACTAAAAATACAAAAAAAGTAGCCGGGCGTAGTGGCGGGCGCCTGTAATCCCAGTTACTCGGGAGGCTGAGGCAGGAGAATCGCTTGAACCCGGGAGGCAGTGAGCCGAGATCGCGCCATTGCAATCCAGCCTGGGCAACAAGAGCGAAACTCCGACTCGAAAAAAAAAAAAAGATGTACAGATATGGCTAATGAGCACCATCGGTCACGCGAAACTAGAATCAGCCCGCGTGGGGACCCCCTGCCCCGCCGAGACCGCCACAACCACGCGGCCGGGGTGACGAGTGCTGCGAGGGTCAGGGCTCGGGACCCTCGTGCGGTCGTGCTGTGCGGTCAGATGGGCCGCTGCTGCGAAAGACAGTCTGGCCGTTCCTTCAACGATGGAACCGTCTCCCTAGGAAGCAGCAGCTCCGTGGCGGGCGCCCGCGGCAGTGGAACAAGACACAGGTTCAGGCTGGGACCCGCAGCCGCGAGGCAAGCGCCGCCCCCAACCCGGGGCTGAACCTGCGAGGGGCGCCCGGAGCGCGGGCACCCGCACGGCGCAGCCGCGTTCAGCCTAAAAGCAGCGAGCGCGGACTGCGGCAGCGTGGGTGCGGGCTGAGACGAAAGTCAGAGAATTCAGACACGAAAATACACAGCATGGGAATCCATTCACAGGAAGAGCCAGAACTGGCAACTCCATAGGAATAGAAAGTAGATGCACGGTTGCCGGGGACGGGGGAGGGGGAGGGAAACGCGAGTCACTGCGGATGGGGACCGGCTTCTTTTTTGTTTGTTTTTGAGGCAGAGTCTCGCTCTGTTGCCCGGGCTGGGGTGCAATGGCACGATCTCGCCTCACTGCAACCTCTGCCTCTTGGGTTCAAGCGATTCTACTGCCTCAGACTCCCGGGTAGCTGGGACTACAGGCGCTCACCACGGCCGGCTAATTTTTGTATTTTTAGTAGAGACGCGGTTTCACTATGTTGGCCAGGCTGGTCTCGAACTCTTGACCTCAGGTGATCCTTCCTCCTCGGCCTCTCAAAGTGCTGGGATTACAGGCTTGAGCCACCGCGCCCGGCCGGGCCCAGCTTCATTTTAAGGAGGTGAAATGCTCTGGAATTAGATAGTGGCCACGGTTGCTCGCAACAAAACCCCACCGAATCGTGCGCTTTAAGCGGGTGAACTTAACGGTCTCAATAAAGATGTTAAGGAAAAAACAAAACCAGAAACCCCACAATTACTGCAGGCATAGGGCTCGCTGCCCGGGTCTGGGTGCGGGACGGAGGGGCTCACGCCCGCCCCCAGAGTCCAGCGCCTGCTGGGAGAAAGGGCAAGTAGGGGGTCCGGCCCTGCCGGCCTTGACCGCCTGCCTCCGACTCCCGGCCGCCGCGCAGCCCAAGCTCTGGGGAAGCGTTAACCGCGGGTCGCTGCGGAGGCCCCACCGCGGGGCGGGGCCGGGGCCGGACGGTGAAGAGGGGGCGAGATCAGGGCGGGGCCTAGGCTGGGGCCGGGCGGGGAAGCGCTCGGGAGGGCGGCTCGGGGGCGGGTCAGGGGCGGGGCCGCCAGGTCAAAACGCATCCATGACGAGCTTAAGGCGGCCTCCAATCAAGGCCGCCGCGGCCTCCGGCTCCGCCCGCTCCGCCTCTGCCTCCGCCTCCGCCTCCGCCCTGCCCTCACGGGCTTCTCTCCGCCCCATTCCCTCTCGGCCACGCCCACCACGGCCCACTGGCCAGGGAGCCGCTACGCAGATGTTTTCGCCTCTGCGGGTGTAGGCTCCGGGTCGGGCTTCCGGGTCCCTTTCCTGGCTCTGGCGCCTTCCAGCTGTGTGACCGGGCGAGGCCCTGAGCCTCTTGAGGGTTCAGTGCCCTCCTCCGTACAATGGGCCAACAACAGCCCCTTCCCTGGGGATCTCGGTGAGGGTTGGTTGCTCTGCAGGGTGCCCTGGGCCTGTGCCAGCGCGCTCAGGCATCCTGGTGACCAACCACAGCTGGCACTGGTGAACGCAGCCTCTTAGCCCAGGCAGGCTCTGGTCAGCCTCACCTGCTGGGACCGCTGAGTGGTCCAAGAGCTGGCTTGGCTGACTGGGACCTGGGCCTCAGCTTCCCCATCTGTGCAGGGGGCCGCTGGTGATACCGGTCCCTGCCATGCCCTGGTGGAGATATGGCCCAGTGAGACTTCGTGAGGGGTCTAGGCCACTGCTGTCACGTGGTACGTCTTCTACCCTGGCCCCTAGGTGGCCCTGGCCTCAGCCTTGCTCTAAAGAGGAATGAAGCCCAGCCCACAGCCCCTTAGCACAGATACGCTCGGGAGACGGGACCCTCACCGTTACTCATCTCCTTACTGTTCCCTGGACACCTTGGGGTCCCTGCGCCTCTCCACCCGTCCCTGCCAGGTACTCTCCTCCTTCAGTCTGGAGCGCCTCCTCCCTTGGGGGTCCCCTGTGCCTATTGAGAAAAGATGGCATAAAAGCGTGAGACAGGAGCCCGGACCAGGAGACCCGAGGGTGCTGAGCCCCACATTGGGCCGGGTCCACATGGAGACACACGCTTGGCTCATCCCAGCCGGGGCTGTCTGCCTGCTCCAGTGGGAACCTGGGCAGGGGTACTGTCTCCAGGGCTCTATGCTGGGCGGTCGTCATGAAATACCTGCTTTCCCCACACGCCCCCTCCTTTCTGAGGCAGGTGCCGCTGTCACGCCTGCTTTGAGGGGAGGAGTCAGAGATGAGTAGAGTGGGGAACTGCCTGGGTTGAGGGCAGAGCCGGGAATCAACCCTCAGAAGCCTGGCTCCAGCCGACCCCTGACCAACCTCCCTTCTTGGCCTGCTCTAGTCCCTGTGGACCCTCACCTGGGCTCCCCTTGCAAATCACCCTGCAGCCCCCTGGGGTGCAAATGCCTGCCCCCACCCCTTTGCCTGTCTCTCTCCTGCGCAGCCTTCACTCTCAGCTCCAAGGTCACCGCCCCAGCTGTGAGGGTCCCATTTGGTCTCTGTGGCCACACACCTGTGTTTCTCACTCAATAAGTGCTTTGTGGGATACACTTTGCACACTTGTCATTGTGAATCACGGATGATAATTTGTTCAACGTGTGCCTCCCCTGCCAGGCTATCAGCTGGCTCCAGGGGGCCAGGGCTGGGAATGGCGTGGCACCACTGTCCCCCACCTCTCAGGCAAGGCCAACACACAGCAGGTGGACAGTGACCATTTGTGGACTGGCTACACAACCTACTGACCCATTCCCTCCCTTACGGGGATGGAATGAATGATCCTCACTCTTTGATCCCTGTTGCTCAAATTTCCTTCAAAAGATGGATGTGGCTTCCCAAATATCTTGATCCCAGGAACAGAGGACTTGGATCCCAAGTGGGAAACGCTCAGGCCCTGGAAAGGCTTTCCCATGGTCAGTGAACATACAAGCCTTCCAGCTTATAGATCAGTCTTGTATAAGTCTAGCTGCATGAATCATTCCTCAGATCGGCTCTGGGTTCTAAGTGGAGTTTCTTGCCTGGGGAGCTGATGTCATCTCTGGAAGGGGGTGACCACTGCTAACCAGAGGGTGCCCATCTCCCAGCCCCATGGGGACACCTGGTTCTTGGTCATGAGAGTCGGGTGCAATGGAAGGGATGTTTAGAAGGCTTTGCTCAAACATACCCTTGCGTGTCCACATGCCTGTGGTCACAGTTTCCTCCTGTCTGGCTGAGTGTCTGGGACAGAAGTGGAATTCCATTGCAACGAGGCTGACATGGCTGATGGGACTGCTCCCTCTGCCACTCATACCTGAGACCCCAGACACTGTAGAAAGAACGCAGCCTTTGCAGCTGGGCAGCCACTGTGGGTTTTGTTTCCCCAGGTCCTCCTGCTCCACCACAGGCCATCTCCCTGGGCCTCATCCAGACAGCTGGACACTGAGCACAGCTCTGTTGTCCTCTTCCCTGGGCTGAGTGGACTCAGAGGTGCTGGGGACTGCATGGCCGCCGGACGAGGCGGGGGCTTTCCAACCCAACACCACCGAGCCTGCCTCTTCCTGCCCTGGATGCTATGTCTTCCATAGAGCCGCTTTTCCAACACAGCAGGTAGGAGAGGTCGTCACCTAATTAACAGCTCTCATGTCCCCTCCCTTTGCTTTCTTCCTATTTGGGGGAAATTAACGCTATTAAGGTTCTGATCTAATTATTTCCCTTCTGACCAAAGTAGCCTGTGGTTGCAGAAAATTAAAAGTTGGGCTTCAGGGGAACCCCCCATTGAAGGCAACCTGGTGAGGGTGTCCCCAGGCCCAGCCACCAGGCTTGCAGCCAACACATCACACCTCTAGGGGGCGTTTTCCACCCACTGTTTGGACCCAGATCTTGGCTCCTGTCTGAACTCTGCTGGAGGGAACCAAGGGAAGGCGTTTCCGTTCCCTGGGAACCTGCCCACCACGAGGGGGCCACTCTCAGCTTTCAGAAAAGAAGTTCAATTCTTCACATGGGGCATCGGAAGACTCACCATGCTGACTGAAAGGCGGGCTGGTTGTGGCTCTGGGGCAGCGCCCATGATGCCCCCAGCACTAGACTTGGACAATTATTGTTCCCACGATGTCCCCTGCAGGGCCAGGCCACGGCCCCGAGAAGGAGGGAGCTGCAGCGTGCTGGCTTGGCTGCCGCACTCTCGACCGCCTGAGGGGGTTTTGGCTCTTTTCAGGGGTTGCCAGATTTAACATAAAAATACAGGATGCCCAGGTAAATTTGAATTTCAGAAAAACATTGAATAATTTTGTAGTGTAAGTATGCCCCAAATATATATATATATATATATATATATATATATATATATATGTTTGACCAAAGCCTTCTAAACATCCCTTCCACTGTACCCAGCTCTCATGACCAAGAACCACGTGTTCCCATGAGGCTGGGAGACAGGCACCTTCTGGTTAGCAGTGGTCACCACCTTCCTAATAAAATAATATGATATAACATAGCATAATGTAATATAATCCATGTATATATTCGGGACATACTTATACTATAAAATCATTCACATTTTAATTATCAAATTTGAATCAAATTTGAATTATCTGAAATTCAAATATAACTGGGCATCCTACCTTTTATCTGATGATTCTGCTCCTTTTGCCTGAATTACCTCCTGGTCAGCAGCTTGATTTGACTTGAAACGTGGGGCCCACCCAGGTCCACAGCGTCACCTCTGCCCGATGTGAGCTGCATGACTGAGGGGCAGGGTGGGCGGTGCTCTCCCTGCCGGGTGCTCCTTAGGGTCTGTAGAGGGAGGGAGAGAGGCAGGCCATGATAGCCCAGGGGAGACCCAGGACCTGGCTCTCCAGGTACTGCTTTTGTGGGCGCAGAGGATTCCTAGGTAAGGGTGCCTAACTGATTTCACCACGCCTGCCTTGATGGACAGATTCTGCTGCGTGTTTCTGCTGTGAGAAGCCATGCTGTCCTGGAACCCCCGTCCACATGCACACCTCTTATCCTCTGTGGGATGGGACAGTAGGAGGAGGAGGAGGGCTTGAGTTCTGATAGACCCAGGGTGCTCAGAATGCGGGCCCTGCAACGGCAGACTCAGCCTCACCCGGAGACTTGTCAGAAATAGGTATTCTTCCCACATGTGCACATGTGTGTATACATATACACACACACCTGTACTGCCTGCCATGGTACAACACATGTACAACACAGGTACGACACATGCACACACACGTGCACACATGTACACAACACACGTACATGGACACACACATGCACACCCAGGTGCACACACATGCATGTGTATGACACATATATACACACACACACTCGTGTACACGTGCACATGGGCAGCACACCCAACACACAGCTCTGCGGCATCAGACGCTTTGGGGCGGGGCCCAGCACTTCTCCAGGGCTGGTGGGTGCGAGCACCACAGTGGGAGAGGCCACGCAATTGCCACTCGAGCTGTTTTTAAGTTGGCTCACATGGGCTGGGGGGTGCGGGCTGAGCTGCTTCTCATTGTCTTTTTCCAATCTGCTGGGGGAGAGGAGCCTCATGTTTCCTGCCTGCCATGGGGTGTGTGGTCCTTTGAGTTCTCAGTCACCGCCCCATTGTCACCAAGAACCAAGCTCAGCCAGGGACAGTAATCCCAGCACTCTGGAAGCCCGAGGTGGGAAGACTGCTTGAGTCCAGCAGTTTGATGTCAGCCTGGACAACCTAGGGAGCCCTCCATCTCTACCAAAAAAAAAAAAAAAAAATTTCCTGAGTGTGGTGGCACACACTTGTAGTCACAGCTACTCAGGAAGCTGAGAAGGGAGGATGGCTTGACCCTGGGAAGTCGAGGCTGCAGTGAGCTGTGATTGTACCGCTGCACTCCAGCCTAGGCAACATGAGTGAGACCTTGTCTAAAACAAACAAACAAACAAAAAAACAGGCTGAGCTGGAAGGACCTTTGTCCAGCCGGCAAATGGTGACTTCGAGAGCCAAGGGGCCGCACCTTCGTCCTGACCTGTTCAGCCGGAGCCCAGACAACAAGGACCAAGCTGTCGGGATGTGGGAGCGTGTTCCTGGTCACTCTCTGCCCGTGCTGTGCCAGCTCTTCACGGCGCAACATCACTTATGCATCATAGTAACCTCCCGGTAGAGCCACTGCTACCTCCATTGCAGATGGGGAAACTGAGGCGCAGGAGCACTGGGTAATGTGTTTCCTACATCAGGTGGAGGAACCAGGCGGAACCAGGCATGTGCTGAGCCCGCGCTACCCCAGGGCCCATCACCTGGCCTCACCTTCCCTGAATGGTGGGTTTGAGGGGCAGCTGTCCTTTCTCCTGCCTGGGAAGGGCCAGTCTTGTCCATCTTGCTCCCCTTCCCGTGGCCCCCTGGGAGTTTTCTGCAGGCATGGCAGGAATCATCTTCTTCAGGAGAGGTGTCAGATAGCTGAGGGTGGTAGACAGTTGGGGTGCAGGCTGGGGGGTCACCCCAGGGACCCTGCCTAGAGCAAGAGACCAGCTCTCAGAGGCGATGACGTCCGGCAGCAAGGACAAGGCTTCTCAGGTTCCTAGCCGGCCTGGGCCCTTGATCCCAAGAGGCTGGAGTCTCACTGATGTTGGCCGTGGAGCTTCCTGCCCAGGCTGACGGGGAGCCTGGCGCCAGCAGCGCCTCTGCCCATGGAGCCAGCCTCTGCTTGCATGTTCCAGATAAGGCTCTGACACGGCCATCTGTGGTCCATGAAGCCAGCCTCTGCTTGCATGTTCCAGACAAGGCTCTGACATGGCCGTCTGTGGTGAGTGTCACGCATCATTTCACACCGCTATTCTCATCTCCGCGGATCCCTCAAAACCCTGGGACAATCACGACTTTAAAAACACCCAGGATGGAGACATTACACTTGAAAAATGCCACGGAGGCTGGCCTGGCTTCCCAGAGGTTTCAGCTCTCCAGTCGGGTTCCTGTGGGTTCACAAGGGGCAGAATTTATTTTTTAAAAAGATGGAAACTTTCCCCATTCATTCAGCTTCTAAAGTCCAGCTCTGCTTTTTTTTTTTTGTGCAACAAAGGGAAATTATTCTTTGGGTCAACACAGAAAACAGCCAATGTCCTCTTTGTAAAAGGAGCAATTCTTTTCATAGGCAAGAAAAGTCCTTCTGAAGTAAGTCCCTCTGCCCCAGCATGTCCCCTAACCTGGGCTCTGCAGCACCTGGGCTTTGGATGCGTTTTCTGTTGACTGTTAGGAGGGAGATGCTAGGGTTTCAAGGGCCAACCCAGTGGGTGTCAACTGCAGCTCCATGAGGACAACATGGAAGGGAACAGAGAGATGTGAGCCAGGCTCCCGAGTACCAAGCGGGCTTGAGGCAAAGGGTGTTGCTTCCCCTTCTGGCAACATTTCAGAATCTGGAGGGAAGGAGGGAAGGCCTGAGAGCTTCTGGAGAGGAACTGAGTGCCCATAGGACTCAGAGCCAGAGTGACAGCTGCTTGGATCAATGACGCTGGATGCTTGAAGACAAAGTTCACAAGGAACCAAGAACCTCAATTGCAGCCCACATCTTCTCATGTGAGGACAACGTGTCTGCCAAGACCTGGGGTGCTCAGTGCACCTGAAGCACCTGAGCCACAGCAGCTGGGAAGGAGGAGGCCACGGGGACGCAAGGACATGGAGAAAAGGTGAAAGCTGAGAGTGGAAACAAACAGGGCACAGAGAGCCAGTGCTCCGCAGAGTCTGGTTTACACGGAAGGGTTTAGAATGGCATTGTATTTCCTGCCCTTGGACACAAACGTAGCACTTGGCTTCTCAAAAGATGATATTTAAATCGTCATAATACTTAAGTGCTGTTTATCAGGATGGCCTGGTGTATTAGTCTGTTCTCACACTGCTGATAAAGATATAACTGAGACTGGGTGATTTATAAAGGAAAGAGGTTTAAGTGACTCACAGTTCCACAGGGCTGAAGAGGCCTCAGGAAACTTACAATCATGGCAGAAGGGGAAGCAAACACGTCCTTCTTCACGCGGTGGCAGGAAGGAGAAGTGCCCAGCAAAAGGGGGACAACCCCTTATAAAACCATCAGATCTTGTGAGAGCTCACTCACTGTCACAAGGACAGCAACCTGGGTAACCGCTCCCGTGATTCAGTGACCTCCCCCTGGGTCCCTCCCATGACACGTGAGGATTATGGGAGATACAATTCAAGATGAGATTTGGGTGGGGACACAGCCAAACCATATAACCTAGTTAGAATCATCCTATAGACGAAAAAGGAGGTCTCAAATGTATGATTGAACGAAGGCAAATGTCCAAGATCTTAACAACGTGAAGGGGACATAAGGAAAAGATGAGGGTGGGAATGCGGGTGGGAGGGGACCCAGGCTTTCCCTCCGTGGGAGTAGTCAGAAGTCACCAGCCAAGAAGCACAGCTCCAGTGCATTGCTTACAGGTATGAAGTATCCACCGGCCATCTGAAAATAATGCAGTAACTAAGAAAAACAGTGGCGAGAGGAAGGAGTGTCGATGCCCCAAATGGATCATCTTCCAGAGCACGTCTACACCGAGATCAAGAATGAAAAGGTGGGAGCAGATTTAAGGCTCTTGGGCAGCTCTGCGGCCTGCTGTGTTGAGTGTCCTGGTGAGCAAATCTCTCAGGTCTGGGTGGTCAGGCTGGCTGTGGCGGCGGCCAAGGCAAGACAGATGGGTATTGTTGGGCCCTCCTGGACACACTGCAGCCTTGGGACACAGGCAGGTGCTGGCTACAGTCAAGTGGCCTCTTGTCCTTGCTGCGTCTGACCCCCCATCCAGCCTGTGAGCCCTACCTTCCTCTTGGGGCTAAGCAGCTGGAGGCTAGGCTTCCCTCTCAGGGCCTCAGACAGTGCAAGCCAGAGGCGTGGGCAGCTGACCAGGCTAGGAGCACTCCTGGGCCACCTGGGCTCCCAGCAGGGTGGGGGGCTTGTGCCTCTGCCCACGCTGCAGCCACGTGGGCTCCTCTCCTATTCGCTGGGAGCTGGAGCAAAGCATCAGGCTCTGTGCCCTGCAAGCCCAGAAATGCCTGTGGGCACTGGGGCCTGCCTGCTGGCGGAGGCTGAGCTGACTCCAGGAGCCCTGGGGGTGGGTCCCGAGCTCCGTGTGGAGGTGCACAGGCTTGACGGCCACGTGAGAACCCAGATGCTGCGGTGCTTGCTGGGAAACTCCGGGAAAGGCTCTACATGGCCTTTGTCTGACTTGTCTGGGTAATTAGGGAAAACGTCTTCCGGTGGGTTTTTGTTTCCCTGAAGTTTCTGGTGATTGAGCTCCTGGGAAGTGAGGCTGGTTTTTGCTTGGCTACCTCAGGGCCTCAGCAAAGCCTGGAGGGGCTTGGCGGCTGGTGGAAAGGGGCCTTTTAAGCCGCTTCCTCTGGGACTCACGGCTGCGCTCTCCTGGTGGGGCCGTCGCAGGCTGAGCGTGACAGGCAGAAGCTTCTGCCCAGAGTCTCTGGGTCTGTGATGGTTGACAAGCCCCACAGGGCCCCTTTCTCTTCCCCTGGAATAGTGGGGTTGTGTGTGGGTCTCCACCCAGGCCCAGGGGTGCAGGGGCCCTCACAGGGCACAGGGGTCCTCGGGGGGCGTAGGGGTCCTCAGGGGGTGCAGAGGCCCTCGCAGCACTTGCTGTTCTTCCAGGTCTGGGCAAGAGGCCCCGCCGCGTTCCCTTAATTCTCAGGTCTTTGGAGTGAATGCCTAAGGCCTCCAAGCCCCGGGTCTCCTCTGTATCAGGCGCTCACGCTGTGGGAGCTGCTTTCTCTCTGCTCCACTTCTACAGAGAAAGAAAATCACAAGCATTTCCCACACTTCCCCCAAGCCTTGACGTATCACAGTTCACTCATGGAGTTGTCAACAGACACAGGCACACACAGACCAGACTGTGGGCTCGGGAGGCGGGAACAAACCCCTCCTTCAGGAGACCTGGCAGCAGGCCAGGGGGCGCCCCAGGGCCCACCCAGCGCAGGGGCAGGCAGCCGCTCCCTCCTGCCCCTCGCCTGCTCCAGCTGTGGGCACTGGGGGCTGCCCCTGGCCCACCCCGCCCTTCATCCCCTCACCTCTGCCTCACCCCATGCTCCATCCCTCCCATGTCTCACCCATCCCACCCTACCCTCACCCACCTCCACCCGCCCATCAATTCCCCCACCTCTGCCTCACCCCACCCTCCATCTCCCCACCCGGTCCCACCCAGCCCCATCCCACCTTCCATCCCCCACTCCACCCCATGCTACCCCACCCTCCATCCCCCACCTCTGTCCCACCCACCCCATTCCCCTCACCCTTGTGCCCCGACTCTCCAGCCCCATCCCTCCTCCACCCAGGTTATCCTTCCTGCGGTACTTGGTGTGTTTCAGTCTTTAGTAAATTTAAAATAAAATGTGGAATTTTCCCTTCGTAACTGTTGAATCTGGATGCTGTGCACACAGGTGCATGCGATACTAGTCTCTCGACTTTTCTGTCTGACGTTTTTCATAATACAAAGTTGAAGAATATAAACAGCTGTCTCTATGCTGATGGAAACGATTATTACAAAAACTGAGCCAGTCATCGCGCACACAGCAAAAACACTCTGGGATAAAAGAGTCCCTGCTGAAAAGTATCCCCCACCAAGGCTGCCTCCGTTAGGAGAGCTGAATCCCTGCCCCGGGAGGCCTGGGTTTCTGCCATTCCCTAATCAAAAACCAAACAGGTGGAATCCGGCCTCCCCACACTTGCCTCCCTCCCTCGCAGCGTGGCCCGTCCTAGAGGCCAGGCTGTGTTGGCCCCTGGAGATCTGGCCCGGTTAGCACAGTTCTGCTGGGTGCAGGTGCGGTGCCCAGAGCCGTGCTCACGCGGCTGAGAGAGAGGCAGGGGAGAGCCTGAGGCAAGGGAGTCCTTGCTGGGTTGGGAGCTTGAGGAAGGCGGCCCCACCCGAGTGGCCACTGCCAGATACGCTGCCCTCTGCAAGGGGCTTCCTTGGCTTTCGGGCAGGTGATGCCCTAGGATCAGCTGCTGCTGATGCCAGCGGGTGTTGGTGGGGAGCACCCAGCTCGTCACCCCTGGGTGGGAGGCTTATACACCCCTCTTGAGGGCCCTGGAGGGGCTGAGCCCCAGCAGCCCCAAGTGTCACCTCTCTTCTTCCTGCACCTACTTGTGGAGTGTGGCCTGGGGAACACTGGGCCCACCGCTTCTCTCTGAACAGCCACCTCTGTGGGATCGGGGGCTCCAATAGTGGCCAGGTTAGGCACTTAGCAGACTGTGGGCAGGGGTCCAGGAAACCCCACAGCGGGAGCGAGGAATCTGACTTTGCAGCGAGGAGGACGCAGCGGCCAGGATGTTGGGCCAGGCCAGTTCCTTTTGATTTTATTTATTTTTGAGATGCAGTCTCACTCTGTCGCCCAGGCTGGAGTGCAGGGGCGCGATGATCTCGGCTCACTGCAACCTCCACCTCCTGGGTTCAAGTGATTCTCCTGCCTCAGCCTCCCAAGTAGCTGGGATTACAGACACCTGCCACCACACCGAGCTAATTGTTGTATTTTTAATAGAGACAGGGTTTCACCATACTGGCCAGGCTGGTCTTGAACTCCTAAACTCAAGTGATCTGCCCACCTCGGTCTCCCAAAGTGCTGGGATTACAAATGTGAGCCACCGCGCCCAGCGTCTTTTGTGATTTTTGACACAACTTTCTTATTTCAGGAATTGGGATCCTGACACATCCACCAAAGAGCCTTTGAGTACTTCGAAATCACTTGGAACAGGTTCCTGCAAAGCAAACCCTTCTGGGCTTGAGGAGGAAATGGACCCGGAACATTCAGCCCATCTGAGCACAAACTTTCTGTTGACCTGAGAGGCTGAGGCCTTCCTGTTCCCCACTCAGACCCAGGAGGCAGCCTGCCCAGGGGGAGCCGGGGCATGGCCTACGAGCTCCTGGAGTCAGGCAGCTCCTGAGGGGCCGGATGGTCTTGGGCTGGCCAAGCCAGCCTCTGTCGTCCTGTGGATGGTGGGGCCTTGTGTACGCATAGCCTCTGCACAGGGGCACACTGTGGGTGTTTGGACGGACAGTGTCTCAAAAACCCAATTCAGGGCTTGACAGCAGATTTGTCCTCCACTCCATGTGCATATGAGCAAGGAGAGTTAATGCAAAGCTTTCTTCATAGCAGAAGGTTGAAAACAATGTACCTTTCTATCAGCAGAGCAGGCAAGGGGGATACTGTGTGTTTCCCACTGCTGCTGGGACAAATTATAACAAATGTAGCAGCGTAAACCAACGTCCATTTTTCATCTCATGCTCTGGAGGTCAGAGGTTCTCGCGGGTTCTTCTGGTTTTTCTGTTCAAGGTCTCATGAGGCTGAAATTGAGGTTTCAGCCAGCAGGGTTCTTGCTGGGAGGCTCCAGGAAGAACTGGCTTCCTGCTCTGACAAGCTGTTGTCAGAATCCAGGCCCTACAGTTGCAGGACCTGGGTCCCACATCCTTGCTGGCTGTTGGCCAAAGGCTGCTCCCAGCTTCTGGAGGCTGCTCCGTTCTCTGGCTCACGGCTCCATCCTCCATCTTCAGAGCAAAACCAGGTCATGTCCTTACCTCGACTCTCTCTGCCTCCGCCTCCTGCCTTATGGCTCGGCCTCCAGGGAGAAGCTGGCCAATGCGCTCTCTTTTAAGGGTTCATACGCTGGGCTCACTGGGGAATCCAGGATTGTCCCCCACCTTCACCTTAACCACAGCTGCCAAGTCTCCTTCCCCCGCCACACGTCATGGTAGCACATGAAGGGATTGGGATGCTGGCATTCTGCTTCCCACAGACACTAAGCTGCCTCTCTCGGCAGGAGGCGGTGCTGAGTCTCATGGGGAAAGAGCTCTGTGCTGCAGTGAGATGAAGAGACCTCGGCGCCGGTGCTGGGCAGGGAGAAGGTGTTACCGGTGGAGGGTCTGGACTGCAAGTTGTCCAGGTTCTTGGCATTTAAACAAAGAATTGGACAAAATGCACAGCAAAGCAAGGAAAGAATGAAGCAACGAAAGCAGGGATTTATTGAAAATAAAGTACGCCCCACAGTGTGGGAGCGGGAGTGTGCAAGGGCCCTGGATACAGAATCTTCTCGGGTCCAAATACCCCCTAGAGGTTTCCCATTGGCACTTGGTGCTCACCTTATGTAAATGAAGTGGTGACTGCAACCAGTCTGATTGGCTGCAGAGAGCAACCAATCAGAGGCTGAAGTGAAGTTACAAAGTTACACTCCTGGCCAGGCACTGTGACTTATGCCTGTAATCCCGGCACTTCGGGAGGCCCAGGCAGGCGGATCACCTGAGGTCAGGAGTTCAAGACCAGCATGGCCAACACGGTGAAACCCTGCTTTAGTCTCTACTAAAAATACAAAAATTAGCTGGGTGTGGTGGCGTGCACCTGTAATCCCAGCTACTCAGGAGGCTGAGGAATGAGAATTGCTTGAACCCAGGAGGCAGAGGTTGCAGTGAGCTGAGACTGTCCCACTGCACTTCAGCAAGGGCAACAGAGCGAGACTCTATCTCAAAAAGCAAAACAAAATGAAAACAAACAAAAAGCCAAAAAACAAACAAACAAACAAAAAACAAAGTTACACTCCTATGCAAACATCTAATTGGTTGCAAAAAGCAACCAATCAGAGATACTTTTAATTTTCCATCTGCCGGGTTTGCAAAGGGAGTAGCCTCTGGTCCTTTTGTTACTTAGGCCTGGAAAGTTAGAGTTTTCCTTTCAATTTAGAATTTAGTTCTAATAAGTCAGTGTGAAACAGCCTTAGGTTCCCTGACCAGACCCAATTCTCCTGATTCAAAGGGACAAATTGTCCGTAGGTGGGAGAGGAGGGACCAGGTTGTCCCATCCCTCTAGGAGCATGTAAACGCCTCCCAGGGCTGCCTTGAGGAAGAGGCCTGGGGCTGGGAGGACGTGGACTTTGCTTTTGCCTCCTGTGTGTGGCTCCACGTGCACGTGTTACCTACTGGAAATTATACTTTTTTTGAGACGGAATCTCACTCTGTCACCCAAGCTGGAGTGCAGTGGCGTGATCTTGGCTCACTGCAACCTCCGCCTCCAAGGTTTAAGCAATTCTCTGCCTCAGCCTCCCGAGTAGCTGGGATTACAGACTCCCGCCATCACTCCCGGCTATTTTTTTGTGTTTTGGTAGAGAGGGTTTCACCATCTTGGCCATGCTGGTCTTGAACTCCTGACCTCGTGATCCACCTGCCTCGGCCTCCTAAAGTGTTGGGATTACAGGCGTGAACCACCACGCCAGGCTTTATACTCTTATTTATAAGTTGTATACTTTTGAAAAACACAAAAAATGAAAAGACAAGACTCAGAACATGTCCCGGTCACGGCGCACATGGAGGCTGGTAGATTGGGAAGCTATTTTGGGCTTCTTGGCAAGTGATCAGTGAAGGCCTTTTAAAGCCGCCCTTGGCCCCTCCCTTGAGCTCAGCCCGGAGCCTGCAGGTGGCTGGCAGCATCCCTTAGAATTCTCCTTAGACTGGACATGAGGCTGGCTTTCCCGAGGGATGGGAAGGCGGCGGCAGGTACGCTTTGCAGGCCGCACCTCCATGGGCGGAGGCGGGCAGGGTGTCCGAGGCTGTGCCCGGAGTGGGGGCTGGGCCACACTGTTCTCACAAGTGTCATGTCTTGGGGTGTGGCACGTTGCATTCCCTCGGTGGCACCTGGGCTCTTCTCTGAGCAGACACCTCATCTGCCTGTGAGAGTCAACAGCAAAGCAGCAGCCAGGAATAAGCATGGTAGCAGGGCGGAGACAGCGTCGTAGCAGGGCGGAGACAGCGTCCTGTGCAGGGGACTCCACAGGTTTCCTCCCTTGCCCCTTCCTAGTCACATGGAGTTGGAGCATCTCATGGGGTGTTGGAGAAATACAATTAAAAACAAAATCTCTTGCTAACCCCCAGACCTCTCCACTAAGGCAGAAAAGAAAGAAACCCGTTTTGCCATTGATTGAGCATCAAACCAGGATGCCAGGTGCACGACGTGCAAGCTGCTGAGAGTTTGCAAAGACAGAGAGAAATCTCAGCCTGCACACAGCCGGGCGGATGCAGTCCGCTACGTGCATCTCTCCTTGAAAGACAAACAGGAGCTCGTCTTCCCGTGGGACGGCTTGGCGGCACCATTTGTCACACAGACGCCACCACACATCCACCTGGGGACTGGGGTGACCATCTGTGCCAGCTAATTGGCTTTATCCAAAGGAAAAACAAACTCCTCGTGTCTCTACGACGGGAGGTGGTTCTGAAGCACTGCGCCCGCCAAAGTCGGGCTCCTGGGCTTGGGCAGGGAGCGGGGAGGCAGGTGCCGCCTTCCTTGATGTCCACGTTTCAAAGATGGTGCATCCTGCCCCTGGGAAAGACATCCCTGGCTTGTGCCCAGGCAGGGGGCTTATTCAGCTTTTAAAAAGATTTACCCACATTTGGCTGGGCATGGTGGCTCATGCCTGTAATCCCAACACTGGGAGGCTGAGGTGGGCAGATCACGAGGTAGGGAGTTCGAGACCATCCTGGCCAACATGATGAAACACTGTCTCTACTAAAATACAAAAAATTAGCTGGGCTGGTGGCGGGCGCCTGTAGTCGCAGCTACTCAGAAGGCTGAGGCAGGAGAATCGCTTGAACCCGGGAGGCAGAGGTTGCAGTGAGCCAAGATCGTGCCATTGCAATCCAGCCTGGCGACAGAGCAAGACTCCATCACAAAAAAAAGAAAAAAAAAAAAAAAGATTTACCCACATTCAAAGAATCCACAACGAAGAGCTTTCTAACTAAAAGCCGAAAGAAAAGGGGTCTGTTTTCCCTTTTGCAGGAAAGAAGATTAATTTAAAAAATTTTTTCATTTGTGTCGACCCTTCCAGGGACCACCGTCAAACTGTCCGTCTGTCTCTCTGGCCCTGCAGCAGCAGGGATGAGCTCATGTCAGCACACAGGGTGCGGGAGGGTGGGTGCTCCCAGTCTCTGCCCTGCTCCTTCTCACAGCGGGGTGGTCCAGTTCAAAGTACAGACACCCTTGAGCCTCAGTTTCCCACCTCATGAAAGGCTGCGTGGCCAGTTCCTTCCTCAAGTGCTGTTGTTGCAGGGGCGAGACTGCAGAGGATTGGTGAGCACGGCGGACTTCAGCCACCACTGACACCGTGGCCTGTGGGCGGGGCCCCGGGGCCAACAGCTCCTGCTTTCTGAAGGGAAGGTGGGGGCTGTGGGGGCTGCAGGGGGTGGGTGTCACTCAGAGGGCAGCATGGCAGGGAGGGGACCTGTGGCAAGTTTTTGGATCAGAGGGGCAGCGACACAGGGCTAGAACCCTGAGGGTGAGCTGGGAATGGGCAGAGGAGGGCTCAGGGCCTCAGCTCTGCCTCCTGTCGCAGCTGCCCTGGCCAGGTGGCCCGGTGGGACGAGGCCTCCTGGTGGCAGACGCTGCCTCTCATGACTCTTGATGTGCCGAGAAGGTGTGGCCAGGGGCTGTCCTGGCTGGGGCTGGGATGCGGGACGGGGGCCAGGATCCCAGGGTGGAAAAGGGTGGATCTTAAAGTTCATGCCACATCCCCCAACCCAAGGCGGATTCTCTTTCTTGCTGCACCAGTCAGGGCCTGGGGAATGAACTGGCCACTCAGGGTCACGGGCCCACCATCCTCAGCTCCTCTCCCCATCTGTAAATGGAGACAGGGAGGAGTCATTGCCTGGGGCCACCGGAAGCCAGCAAGGCCGGGCCCCAGAGCCACTGCCCAAATGCAGGCTTCCAGGCCTTCTCCCAGACACTGCGGTGTGGGCGTCCGAGACCCAGAGAGGCAGCCTCATGCGCTGGGGCGGGGAGCCAGACGGAGGGTACCCAAGGCCTCCCGCACCAGCCTCATTGATGTGCTGTTCCCCACTGGGCTTGGTACACACAGTAGGTGCTCATTAAATGTGTGTTGAGTGAAACAGACAAATGCAAAGTGGCAGAGTGGGGGCTGCGAGGACAGGTACAGGAGCCCAGGGGCTGTAATCAGGGCCAGGCTGTGTGGTGCAAGGGCCCCGGAGAAGGAGTCATCAGCCTTGGGTCACCTCCTGCAGGCCAGGGTTCACGATGTGAGACAAGAGGCAGGATCACACCAGCCAACAGAGGACCACCCCATCAGACAGGCTGGGGACCACACCATCGAATAGGCCAGGGAACCACACCATCAGATAGATAGGCTGGGGACCACACCAACCACACCATCAGATAGGCTGAGGACCATGCCATCAGACAGGCTGGGGACCATGCCATCAGACAAGCCGGGGACCATGCCATCAGACAAGCCGGGGACGACGCCATCAGACAGGCTGGGGACCAAACCATCAGATAGATAGGTCGGGGACCACACCTTCAGATAGGCTGGGGACCACACCATCAAATAGACCAGGGACCAAGCCATCAGACAGGCCGGGGACCACGCCATCAGACAGGCTGGGGACCACACCTTCAGACAGGCTGGGGACCACACCATCAAATAGACCAGGGACCAAGCCATCAGACAGGCCGGGGACCACACCATCAGACAGGCTGGGGACCACACCATCAGACAGACCGGGGACCATGCCATCAGACAGGCCGGGGACCACGCCATCAGACAGGCCGGGGACCACGCCATCAGACAGACTGGGGACCACGCCATCAGACAGGCCGGGGACCATGCCATCAGACAGGCTGGGGACCACGCCATCAGGCAGGCTGGGGACCACGCCATCAGACATGCTGGGGACCACGCCATTAGATAGACTGGCCAGGGACCATGCCATCAGATAGGCTGGGGCAAAGCCATCAGACAGGTGGAGGTCCATGCCATGGGGCATGAGGTGGTGTCTGTCACCTGGTCCGGGAGCACAGTGTTGCCCATCCGTGCCACCTCCCTGAGGCCCTGGCAAGCATCATTCTCTAATGCAGACAGATGGCTGGGGCGCCAGCAGGAGCCAGACTGCCGCGGAGCAGGAACTGGGCAACTAAGGGTGATTTGGGCCGTAGAGAAGTGATTGATGTGGACAAATGGAGTCTGCAATGCAGGCCCCACGCCACCCTGGCTCCCTGTGCGAACCCAGGGCTCTGCTGCCCTGGCGGGGCTGACTCCATGGACGAGGTGGCTCATGTAGGGCTGGCTGGAAGTAATCATGTCACCCCCTGCAATCATGCCCCCAGGAGATTAGAATAGGACCCTGATCCCTCGTTTCTGTCCTATCCCCTCCTTTCCGTCCCATCTCCTCCTTTCTGCCTCATCTCCTCCTTCCTGCCTCATCTCCTCCTTCCTGCCTCATCTCCTTCCTGCCTCATCTCCTCCTTCCTGCCTCATCTCCTCCTTCCTGTCCCATTTCCTCCTTCCAGTCCCATCTCCTCCTTCCAGTCCTATCTCCTTCCTGCTCCCATCTCTTCCTTCCTGTCCCATTTCCTCCTTCCCGTTCCACCTCCCTGTTCCCATCTCCTCCTCCTGTCCCGCCCCCTCCTTCCTGTCCCGCCCCTCCTTCCTGTCCCACCCTCTCCTTCCTGTCCTGCCCCTCCTTCCTGTCCCGCCCCCTCCTTCCTGTCCCGCCCCTCCTTCCTGTCCCACCCCCTCCTTTCTGTACCTGTTGACCTCATCTGGGCTGCAGTTGGTGACTGCTCGAAGGGGTGGGAGGAACAGTATAAAGTCCTGTCCCCTTCCTGCCTTCAAGGGCACCCCTGAAGGACCATATCCACTGTGGACCCCCTTGGGATCAGCCGAGGTCTGTAGAGGTGACATTGCAGCCCAGCACCTCCCTCCTCCGCCCTGCCCTCCTCTGTCCTCCTTCCACAGGTGTGGCCAAGGGCACTGCCCAGTTGGCCTGTGACCCCCAGCTGAGGCTGCTTCCTGGGCAGCTGACTTCAAGTTTGTGACCTGAGCTCTCCAGGCCCCCGAGCGGCTGGTGCCTTGGCCCTGCAGTTCTGCGGCCAAGACTCCTCCTCTGGGATCTCGTCTTACCCTGCTGCGGGTGCCAGGGCTGCATGAAGCAAGGGCGAAAGTCCCCTTCGCCCGGGCGCTGCCCTCTGCCTGCTGTCCCCTGTGCTCCTGTTCCCCGTGGCTGCCCAGGGACAGGTGTGTGGGATGGAGGACGCGGGAGAGGCTGAGTCCTCCCCAGTGGACCCCCAGATGCAGACCCTGAGGCAAGGGAGAGTGAGAAAGTGAAGGAAAGAACACAGCTGGAAATGCAACCAAGAAGGAACCCCAGCCCGGACCACTGTGAGCAAGGAGAGCCGAGCCCCGGGGAGCCCTGAGACAGTGTGGGAGTGGAGGCCTGGGGCGCCTCCAGGCAAGGCAGCGGGATGTCTATGCCCCAAGCCCTGCCAGTCGTGGATGGAGACGCACACTTTAGTGCGGGCTCCAGAGACAGAGGGAGCCCCAGGCCGAGAGCTGTGGGTGCTGGGCAGGTGGGCATTGGCCAGCATTGCCCCCACTCATGGCGGGTCCACCTTAATTCGACGGGTGTGACACTCTCCTCACACATGTGCACATTCAAGAGGCAACTGTCTGTTTCTATAACTGGGTGCATTTCGGTCTGGAGCCGTCGAGCCGGGTGGTGGCCATGAATCCCAGGCAACTTGGGGGGCCCAATCCAGGGTTGCCTTTTGGGGGCCTTGGGGCGGCTAGTGCAGTTCCACATGCTGTTAAGGACCTTGAGATGGGAGATTATTCTGGATGGTCAGGGTGGGCACAGTTTAATCACAGCCCCTCTAAGAGGGACTGGGAGGGTCAGGGTCAGAGGAGGAGAGGGGACGACGGAAGGGAGAGAGAGGCTGGGAGATGCCGTGCAGCCAAGGAGGGCAGGAACCTCTAGAAACCACAAAAGGCGAGGACACAATCTCTCCCCTGAGGCAGAGACCCAGGGCTGCCCCGCACAGTCGCGCAGATCGTGTACTGCCCTGCTCCTGGGGCTCATTCACACAGGTTGCCATGGCTGTGGGGTCCCTGGGGCTGGGCTATCTGCCAACCTGGGGGACGCTGCACCCTGTTTTCTGTCCTGTCTACTCCAGCTTTTCACACTCTCTGTTGCCCTTGTCCTTGGGCATCTCAGTGACTCGAAGGAATTGGGTCTTGAGACACAGCCGAGCCTGTGAGCGCTGACCTGTGTAAAGAAGACACCAGAATGAGATGTCTCCACACACAGAGAGCTGCAGCCGATGCCGGCCGGTGACTTGGGACTTGGATGCTTAACAGGAGGCTCCCCCTCTCTTGGGAGGTGAGGATGGGGTTGGGAGCATGTGTCTCAGGGGCTGGCTTCACTCGCTCCTTAGCCCCAGCAGGTGCATCTCCCCCCTGCGAGGGCCTGGTTGCTGTAGTTCTTCTAGAAGGCCGCACTGAAGGGACCCTCTGATCCTCATGCCAGCTCTTAAGACATGCTCCACTCTTAAGACAGAGACAGGAGCTCCCGGGCTCGTGCACACCCTCCCTCTGCGCATGTCCAGGACTCAGGGTCACAGCGTGGGCTCGTGATCCATGGGGTGGGACTCCAGCCTGCTCTGCCTTGGGTTCTGAGGCCAGAAGCAACACTTCCCTCATGTGGGTCCTCACAGGGACCAAGTGGAAGACTGGCGGGGGCGGGGCCCCAGAACTCCACCCACATTTGCACACTCAGCCTTCCCACGCCCAGCCACAGCTTCCATCCATCATCATTGTCCTGTCATGGTGGTGAAAACCAAATCTCTGTCAAAGGAGTTTTCTCCACCCCTTTTCCTGAGGTTGTAGTTTGGGGAGAAGTTTTGAAAATTGCCTGTCCTTGCTAGTGGCTGGGAGTGCTGGGGCACCTTGTCCTTGGGTCTTCTGTTCACACAGACCCCTGTCGTGGCTTCCACAGTCCCCTCAGCCCCTGCCTGGAAGGAGCACGCAGGGCCCTCCGCCTGCCCCAGTGGAGGGAGCACAGAGCCCAAGCAGCCCCCCGGAACTTTCCCCAGCTCGGCCTCATGGTCTGGTGGTTTCTTCTCCAGGTAGAGAGCAGTGAGGAAGGGGACTCAGCCTCCATGCCTCCCGCCAGCCCAGCTGCGCCCGAATCACCTCCCTCCTGAAAGGATGTCAGCCTCTGCTTGGACACCGTGGAGACAGGGCCCTCCTTGTGCTTCAGAAGCATCAACGTGTCAGAAAATCATCTTCACGCCAAGTCTGGAAAAAATGGCTTTGAGGTTGTGCACACAAAGGAAGGAGGGAGAGCCCCAGGTGTCGCGGAGGACCATGCGGCTGACAGAGCCAGCAGGGCGGTGGCGTGTGAGCCGTGCTCTGGATATATAAGGATCTGACGCTGCTGGCAATGTCTGAGCTCTATGCTCGCCCATCTGTCGGCTGCTATCATCACCGGGTGGGATTAGCGGAGATCCACTCTTTCATATTTAAATCTTCACAAGAGAATGAATCACTTTTATAATAAAAGAAAAAGACCGTCCATGTTGTTAATGTGCACACAGCAAGTTGGAAGGCCGGGGAGGGCAGCGGGTGGGGACGCTGACCCAGGCGCCCCCCTGCTGCCTGGAACAGCCCCAGGCCTGCTCCACTGTCCCCTCGGGGTTCCCTGTCGAAGAGGCCAAAGAGTGGAGGGGCTGGTGCCTAGAGGGTGTGGAGCTGCAGGTGCACAGTACAGCTGGCACCTGGCAGAGGTGGTTCATTATCAAGCAAAGGATGAACAAGGCACTTGGAGCCCCTTCACAACTGGAACCTCCACTGCAGGCACAAGGCTGGGCTGGACTGGGGTCTCCTCCTCTCCATGACAGCCTTGGGCAACCTGGAGCCCGCCACTGCCCCTCCCCAGGTGCTGTCCCCTTGAAGCTTCTCCCAACGGTTTAGTATTGTAGAGTTGGCACATCTCACGTGAACAAGAACAGCCATCACTGAAACGAATGCTCAGAGCGGACCGGCGTTTTTTCCCAGCCACCCTGGGGTGAGCATGGCTCACGTTGCACACCAGGAAGCCCAGGAGCGGGGAATTGAACCAGTTCCATCCAGTCCCTGGCAAGGGACCACCCTGTGTCCGAAGGCCACGTTCATTTTTCAGATTGCAGGAAATGGCTCAGCCTGAAGTTCAAGTTTTCCTCTGAGCTCCTGTTGATTAATGTGGCAAAGAGAGCATGCTGTGGAATATGCTGGCAGAAATGTCAGGATTGCTAAAGCGTTTCACTGCAAATGCTCAGGCTGGTGGGGAGGTGCCTTGGCACAATTCTGCAGAGGGTATTTGGCAATAGCAACAAAATCACAAAGGCACAAACCCTGTGACCCAGAAACACCAATTTCACGGTAGGAGCTGCTGCCGCAGGGGTTTGCCCAGAGCACAGGGAAAGATGTGCTCACTGTACTCGCTGGGACAAGCAAGAGATTGGAAAGAGCTCAGTGTCGTCATTCAGGGTGTCTCCTGTGTCTCCTGATCGCTATAAGGGGTTCCAGGCTGGTCCCCGGGGGAGGAGCTCCTGATCAGACGCAGGCCCTGCCCCCTCCCCAGCACAGAGCTGGTGAAGGAAGTGGACATTCATTCATTCAGGATGTTCTGAGTATTTCAGCACCACCAGGCCCTGGGAAATCAAGGTCTCAGCAGATGACGGTGGCAGTTTGATTTTTGGCTGAATTGTCCTCTACAGCAGTCACTGGGGGTTGCGTTTTTCTCACACTGCCCAGTCATGCAGCACACGGAAGCCATCCATATGCCATGGGAAAATGCTTTGTCTCCTGCCTGGGCGCCCCCCGAGCCAGTGAGTACAGTCCTGCCTAGTGGCAAGGTGAGTGTCCTGTTCCCAAGTCATGAAAATGCTCTTCACTGGGGCGGGTCTGCCGAGTTGGGAAGGGCACTTACGGTTTAAACCGAGAGACTCTCCCTGCATTTGAAATGAGGACATAGAGTTCTTTTTCTCTTTTCTTTTCTTTTGTTTTTTTGAGACGGAGTCTTGCTCTGTCGCCCAGGCTGGAGTGCAGTGGTGTGGGGTGATGGGGCAAATGGGGCAGGGCGGCCAGGTGGGGCCAGGCGGGCATCTCCCGAGGATGATCCTGGAGGTCAGCTGCCCGGTGTGGGTGGCCATGACCTTGGTAGCCTGTGACCTTGGTGGCTGTGAGCTTGGACGAGAACATTTTCTTCTGCCAGTGCAATGCCTAGAGAGGCAGGCCACTGAGGGCTGGGGCAGTGAACCCCGGGGACATCGCGTTGGGGAGTCCTGCCGTGATAGAGGGCCCCTGGGCACCACAGTGCAGCGTGTACTCCACCGTGGCTGCTGGATGGCCACCCATGGGCAGTGGAGCTGGGGCAGGGATGGCATTCCAGGTCTACAAAGTAGGGAGAGTGACGGCCCAAAGGAGCGAGGGTCCAGGCGAGCCGCACACGGAGGAGCGAGGGTCCGGGCAGGCCGCACATGGGTCGGAGGCTGCAGAGCCCATGCTGACGGCGCACACCATGGGCTCGGCCTGCTGTCCCTAGAAAGTGTGGGGCAGAAAGAACGGATGCACCTGTGTGCTCCTTGCTGGAAGTGGCAGGGGGCTCTTCCCATGCTGGATCTCCGGACACTCCCCTTGGCGCTCTGCCTGGTGGTCCGCCGCTGCACACGGGACACGGCAGGCTCCGTCCCCTCGGCGGCCACTCTGTCCCCTTTTAAGGCATGTCAGAAACAAAGCCCTGGACGGCTGTGGCTGGGTTGGGCGTTCGCCCCAGTCCCTTTAAGCCCTCTGGGAAGGGTGGGAAGTTTCCAAAACTTCCCGTTATCCACACCAAGCTCCTTGACCAGAGTCCAGTAATGGGACGCTGGCAGTGCCCGGATGCCCCGATACAGGCAGGAGAGGCACCGTACTGGGTTCATCCAAGGCCAGCTTAGGTCCTGGGAGCTAGGACGACCAGAGAGGAGAAAGGCAAGGCAGGGACATGGCACTGAGACAGAAGAGACCACCCCCAGAACAGAGACCCCCGAGAGGGCAGAGACCCCGAGACAGCAGAGACCCCCAGAGGGCAGCAATCCCAAGAGAGCAGAGACCCGGAGAGGGCAGAGACCCCAGGAGGGCAGAGACTCCTCAGAGGGCAGAGAACTCTGAGGCCAGTGACCCCCAAAAGAGCAGAGACCCCGTGAGAGGCCAGAGACCCCAGAGAGGTCAGGGGCCCCCGAGAGAGAGGGCAGAGACCCCGTTCCTTGTTTTTCCTTGTTTGCCACCTTCAATGTCATTCTTGCCCTCCCTCCCCCGCCGAGTGGGGGACTGTGGTGGCCTTAGCTACCCTCACGTGGCTTTAGGACCCTCAGAGCATAACTAAGCCCCCGAAGGCTCTGGTCTTCCAACAACATGATCTTTAGGAGGGCAAAGCTCCTGCGGCTCCTGTGGGCTGGCATTGTGACTGCCCTGGGAGGTGGCAGGTGTGACTCGCTGTCCCTGGGGAGGCGGGACCCCCCTGGGCACCTCTGCAGGTGCGAATCGGGGGTGGTCTTTCTCTGCGTGGCTGCATGGGGTGAGAGCCTCTGTCCCAGGGCAGGTGTGGGGACAGGCCCTGGTGGAGCGTGCGGGCCGGCTGGAGCTGGGGTGCCCGGAACTGTGGTTTGTGCAGGCCCAGGAGCCTCTGTCCTCGTGTGATCTTTGTGCACTCAGGACTTCGAGTCACACCTGGATTTGGTGAAGGGCTCCGGTTTTAGTTCCAGCTCTGGTAGCCACACCTCTGGGATCACGGGCAGGTCACACTCCCTTTCCCAGCCTGTTTCCCCATCTGTACGACGTGCATCCTCCTGTCGCGAGGATGTGTAGGTGCAAGAGACGTCCACCTCACCTGGCCCTGTCTGCAGGCATGAGGCTCTGTGAGGCGGGGCCCTCCCTGGGGACTCTGTGGGGATGAGGCCCTCACCTGGGGACTCTGTGAGGGGGGACCCTCCCTGGGGACTGTGTGAGGATGGGGATGAGGCCCTCACCTGGGGGCTCTGTGGGGCTGTGCTGTCAGCTGGGTGAGGGGAGTCCTGGCCATGGTAACAACAGGTCCAGGAGCTTGCCCCTTTGCCCAGAACATTCCTCCCATCTGCCCCCTCCAGGCCTCAGCTTCCACGCCTTTCCCTCCAGGGGACCTCCTCTTCCTTTCCTAGTTCCCCCACCTCCCTCCATATTCACCCGTGCGCATGCCGGTGAGCGGGCGTCCAGGCTGGAGTGCCAGCGTCTGGGTCTGGGTCCCGGTCCTCAGGCTGGAGTGCCGGCATTTGGGTCCCAGTCCTCAGGCTGGAGTGCCGGTGTCTGGATCCCGGTCCTCAGGCTGGCGTGCCAGTGCCTGGGTCCCGGTCCTCATGCTCCCTACACCATGGCTGTCTCCTGATGTTTTTGGCTGACTCTCCCTGGAAGCAGAATGAGGCCAGGGTTGATGTGGAAGCTGTTCATTTCTTTGGGAGGTGACCCAGGAAGACAGGGAGTAGGGAAGGGGATGCACCTGTAAGGGCTGATGGCTTAGTGCCCCTGCTGAGCACCCTCCAGTGACTCCCCTGGAGCGGGGAGGAGGCTGAGTATTTATCCAACTCCTGCCTGTGGGGGTAACAAACGAGGCCGCTCTGGGGGTGCGACTGCCTGATAGCCGGCCTGCCCCAGCCCAGGCAGAGAGCCCTGGGCAGAGCCCCCTATTGCCGCCAGTGTCCTTTCCTAGCGGTCATTCTCACTGCTGTACTTGCAGCGTGGTGGCCCAGTCACAGGCCCTCCCTACCCCCAGGGTTCTGCCCCATCCTGACAGGGCTGGCCAAGAGCCTGGCACTGGGGCCCGAGATGAGACCTCAGTGCCACATAGTGACTGGGGTGGGGGACCGACCAGAGTGGGTGGGAGGCAGGTGCTTTCTGAAGTGTGCCTGGCCTAGCCTTTGTCCAGCGAGCTCTAGACACAGCTGCTGACCCTGAGGGCTCCGGCACCTGCCCTTTTGCCCAGCTGCAGACTGGCTCTCGGTGGCCATGGGCCTTGAACCAGGTCAGATGATGGGGGTTGAGCTGACAGGGCCTTGCTCCAGGCCCTGGGTAATTGGCTGGGGTCTGGGCCTGGCTGGGGGTGTCCCCAGTGGCTCTGCTAGTCACCTGGTTAGTTGGCCTGGCAGGATGAGAAGCGGCTGGTCTCACAGACCCAAGGAACGAGCCCTTCCTGGTGAGATGGGAGGCCCTATGCAGGCTGAATGTGCCCGGGTGTGAGCACTTGTGTGTGTGCACTCATGTTCACATGCCATGCCTGTGTGTGCGTGCAGGCATGTGTATATGCATTTGCCTGTGTGTGTGTGAGTTGAGTGTAAATGTGTGCATGTGGGTGCATGTATGTGCACAAGTGTGCCTGTGTGTACACATGTGTGTCTGTGTGTATATGCATGTGCTGGCACATGTACATGGGTGTGTGCCCATGGGTTCATGTATGTGCACAAGTGTGCCTGTGTGTACACGTGTGTCTGTGTGTGTATGCATGCGCTGGCACATGTGCATGCTGTGTGCATGTGCATGGGGTGCCTGTGTATACGTGCACGTGTGCTGGGGAGGGCCCACTCACCACGTGCTGCGGGCGCCCTGCGGGTGCCAGCCCCTCCTCGTCTGCCTTGCTCTCCTGCCCTGCCTTGGCTCCCTGCCTTCCCCTCACCGGTTCTCTCTCTGCTTGGCGTCATTCCTTTCATAAATTCAGCCTGGCCATGGTTTCCATGGTGCTCTGATAAAAACTGGAATTCCAGTCATAATTGCAGGGAGTTGGGGAGCTGGGAGAGAGGGTGGAGGCAGGAGGGAACATTTTCTATACAGGAAGCTCAGGTCTCAATGGCTGTGGCTGGTTTTTCTTCCTTCAGAGGTATTTAGAGTGTATAGAATTCTCTCTCAAGAGCTCCCCTGTTGCCTCGCGATGGCGACGGGCCGGCACTGTCCTCCTGGGTGGGCCTCCTAGCCGATGGGCTTCTGTCTCTGTGCTGGAACAGGGCGGAGCTCGGCAGACCTGCTGGGTGGGGAGGGGCTTGACCCGGGCTCTGGCTTCAGGGGACTGGAGTTCAGGGGTGCCTGGGGCAGGCTGCCCGGCCAGTGTCCCCAGATCTCCCGCTCCATGACTGAGCTGGAATTCCATGGTTGTATTTCCATTCCTATGATGTTGTCGTCAATGTCAGTGTTCCTCCGGTTGGGGTGCAGTGATCTCCTATGCCCTGGAGTGAACGGGGGTTGTGAGAATTCCTTGCAGGGGCTGGGGCAGCAGAGCCCCACACCCTCCGTTCTGTGCCAGCCAGGGGGGTGCCGAGTCAGCCAGGTCCCGAGGAGCACTGAGCAGATGAATGAATGAATGGATGGATGGATGGATGGATGGATGGGAAGGTATAGGGAGGTGGCTCTCCCACCCCAGGGCGCATCTGACTCTCCTGGATAAGTCGTTAACATGCAGATTCCCAGGCCACCCTACCTTCTGATCGCCTGGGGCTCAGCTGGGGCCTGGGAAACTGGTCTGGAACAGGCTCCCTGGTGGTTCTGACGTGAGCCCGCCCATCTGCCTGCCCAGGAGACACAGGGAACAGGGGCAGCAGGAGCACTGGAGGCCTGTGGTTGGGAAAGGGGCTTTCTTCTTTGTCCCCCAGAGGACAGCGTTTGGCTGTCAACAAGGCCCTGCCTCTGCCCTAGTGGCTTGGGGCTGGGCAGGGGGGTTTGGGGGACCCCTCTGCTATGTGAGATGGAGGCAGAGGCAGGGAGGTGGGAAGGGGGATGAGGCAGGGACACACCCGGCGCAGAAGGCACTTCTGTGGGGCTGTCAGCCCTCAGGGGGGTCCTGCCATGGGGGTGTCTTCTCGTCCTCCTGTGGGGGTGTCCTCCCGTGGGGATGGGAGGGAGGGCCTCATCAGCTCAGAAGCAGATGGTGGCTGGGTTCTTCCTTCCTTCCTTCCTTCCTTCCTTCCTTCCTTCCTTCCTTCCTTCCTTCAACCTTCTTTCTTTCTTTCTTTCTTTCTTTCTTTCTTTCTTTCTTTCTTTCTTTCTTTCTTTCTTCTTTCTCTCTCTCTCTCTTTCTTTCTTTCTTTCTTTCTTTTCTTTTTCTTTCTTTCTCTTTCTCCTTCCTTCCTTCCTTCCCTCCCTCCCTCTCTTTTTCTCTTTCTCTCTCTCTTTCTCCTTCCTTCCTTCTCTCTCTCTCTCTTTTCTTCTTTTCTTTCTTCTTTCTTCTCTTTCTTTCTTTCTCTTTCTTCTTTTCTTTCTTTCTTCTCTATCTCTCTTTCTCTCTGTCTTTGACATGGAGTTCTTGCTCTTGTCACCCAGGCTAGAGGGCAGTGGTGCAACCTCAGCTCACTGCAGCCTACGCCTCCTGGGTTCAAGTGATTCTCCTGCCTCAGCCTCCCAAGTAGCTGGGATTACAGGTGCCCACCACCACGCTCAGCTATTTTGTATTTTTAGTAGAGACGGGGTTTCACCATGTTGGCCAGGCTGGTCTCAAACTCCTGACCTCAAGTGATCCGCCCGCTTTGGCCTCCCAAAGTGCTGGGATTACAGGCGTGAGCCACCGCGCCCAGCCTTTTTCAGTTCTTTAAACGCTGGCGTGTGTGTGGCTGTGGATCCTACGGGGTGTTTATGAAGGACGCTTGGTGTGTCCTTGGTCCCCACGCATCTTACTGCTGCTCCCACCTGCCCACCCGGGAGGAGGCTGACCTTGTTGCCTCGCTGCTCCAGCTCCTTCCTCCTTGGCACAGAGCCCAGGGATCCCTAGAGAGAGGCAGAACTGGAAAGACCACAGGGACCTCAGGCTGCTCCCGCTTGCTGGGTCTCAGTCATGAAGAGCCGTGGGTGTGCGAAAAGCCGGGAGAAACCAAGTGGAAGCCAGTCGGGATGGTGGTCAATGTAACAAAGACCCCAGAGAAAGGAAAGGGCTGTGGGGCTAGGCGGTCTTCTGGGAGGGAGAGTGGGGGGCTCAGAGGGAAGCACGGAGTGGAAGGAGGAGGGCGGGCAGGAGGAGGGGCAGTGACTGTTCTCTCGGTTGTTGATCTGGGTTTGCCTCCATGCCATGTGGCACCCCATGATTTATTGGGGTGATACTGAAACTCACCACCAAATGGTACTTATTCCTCCCGGCTTTAGGCACAGACTTTCTTACTTTAAGGAGAACTATGTTGTCTGAATCCAATAATTTTACTTTAAAAATGTAGCCAGAGTTAAAAAATAGCTATTGGCTAACAGCCCGTGTGAAAATTTGCCGTGGGGAATGAGGGCGAGGACCTGAATGGGTGGGTGGGGGAGGGTGCCCGTCATCCGAGACCACCCATGCCTTGTGTTTGCTCCTTCACCTCTGCCCTCCCAACCTGCGCCCCAGCCCTGCCCCTGAGCCTGACCAGCGTCCTGGGGTCCCCTGCAGAGCCCACCTTGCTGCGGTCACCCTTTTGGTCAACTTGCCTGGGGTGAGAGCCCGCCACATCCACCTCTGCCTGGCTGCCCAACCAGCGTTCCTCCCTGGCATGCTTTCCCCATGCCCCCCAGGGGGAAGAGAGGAGCCAAATGGTTCCCAGAGGCTGAAGCAGACCCCAGGAGGCTCTGGGTGTAGCCTGGACAGTGTCTACACAGCTCGGCGTCTGAGGCTGAGGTGGGAGAGCCTGGGCATGCAGGGTCTCCTGCCGGGTGAGCATCTCTGATTTGGGGGCAAAGCAACCCGTACCCTGTCCTTCATCCCTCTCTGAGCCCCGCAGCCTGGAGCTTCCTCCTGCCACTGCCATCAGTGGTCCCTACCAGTCCCTGGGGCAGCAGCTTGGCTCTGCCCTCTCACTGCTCCTGGGTCTTGGTGTGCTGGAGGCTGGGTGCTTTTCTCACCTGGCAGCTCCTGGGGAGGCGTGCCCTCCCCAGGAGGGGGTCACGGTCCTTGGGAGGTGGGGTCTTCTGAAGGTCCCACAATGGCGAGGGCAGAACCAACACCAGCTCCGTGCAGCTCTCCCCCTCCCTGGCGTCCCCAGCTGTGAAACAGGTGGAGCTCGCCTTCGGCCTGTGGGCCTGCAGGGTGGGTCACCGGGAGCACATGAGGGCTGATAGGACCATGGTCTTCAAGCTTAGGGAGGCTGTGGGTCCTTGGCAGATTACCAGAGCCTTGGCTTCCTTGGCCAGTCAAATGGGAACAATGACCTAAGGATGCTGAGCCCCAGGGCGGCCGGAGGCTCCCTACACACAGCTGGGTTCAGCCAGGGCTCCTAGGTGATGCCTGGCAGAATCTGCGCTTAAAGTCCTGTCTCCCAATCCTCTTCCTCCTCCTCCAGAGATGCAGTCAGAGAGACAGCCCCCAGCTCCAGGGAGGAAGCAGGGAGAGGGAGGAGCAGGGAGAAGAGAGGAGAGGGAAGAGAGGCTCGGAGGGAGGCTCAGAGGGGAGGGAGCCTCAGACCAGGGAGAGGCTTGAAGGGGAGAGAGGCTCTAGAGTGGAGAGGAGAGCAGGGACCTGGTTGCAGGCAGTGCTATACCCTGGGCCACCTCCAGAGTGACAGGAGCGGGTGGCACCAGGCTCCACTGTTGGTGGAGGGGGCTCAGACTAGGCCGGGGCAGAGAAGGAGCCGGGCAGCCAGGCATGAAGCTCATGATTGACACCAATTCCTTAACCTTAAACATCACGGAGTGTCCAACTCTGGGGACGAATCGGGGTGTGGACAGGTTCAGGCAGGGAGCCCGTGGAGGGCAGCAGTCGAGGGCCCGGGTACCGCTCTGGGCCAGGAGGGACACTGGCCTGGCCGCCAAGGCCAGATGCCAAGGAAGGCAGCCTCCGCCTCCCTCCCAGCTCCCCTGACGCGGCCAACCTTGGTCCTGCGGGCCGGGCCCTGAGTGCTAACTTCCACCTTATCCCACGTCCCAGCTCACAGTGGCAGAGCTGGAGTCCAGCCCAGGACCCTGTGCGTCACCACCTGTGCGCTCATGGCTGTGCTGTGCTGCCGGGGGAAGAGCTGGCATCCCCTCTTCACCCAGTGCTCGCCACGCAGCCTCTGGGTGCACAACACAGGCCCCCCAAGGGCTCCACATGGTGGGTGCCCTCTCCCTGTGCCCACCTTGTGGCCACGCACAGCCGAGGGGAAGCGGGACCCCGAGGCAGCAGGCTCTCCTCGTCCCCATCCGGCCTCCTCCTGGCTCTGGCTTCCCTCTGTCGGGGGTTTAAGGCTTCCTAGAGAGAGCAGCTGTTGGGTGAGAGGGTCTTCCCGGAGACCCTGCAGCCTCTTCTGAATCAGGGGCCCAGGAGTCCTCACTCAAGCCATCCCCACCTCTGAGCTGGGCAGGTGCGGCTCGGAGGGGAAGGTGGGGGACCATGCCCTTAGGGTGGGTGGGGTTGTCCTGTGTTTCTGCTGTCCTTTGGGTTAAGGTGTGGGGATCTTTGTTACCAGGAGATGCTGTGGCCACTAACGCTTTAGCACAGATAAGGACAGGCTGAGCCTGGTGGGGATCTGGGGCAGCGCCGCTTGGGAGGGCAGGCGAAGGTGAGTGCTGGGTGCTGGGAGGGAGGGGCCTGGCAGCGTGTGCCAAGATCCCTTTAGATGATCAGGGTTATAGTTTATCTCCCCACCCTCACCCAGACCCCTCCCAGCCCTGCTGCCACCTGGCTGCCCCCAAAGGAAGGAGTCCTGAGCCCCCAGGCACAGGAAAACAACACTTAGAGAATCTCTAAGTGCTGCAGGGAGGTGGAGGCAGGGCCAGAGCTGCTGAGGACGGCCAAGAGGACCCCCTCAGGAAGGGGTGCTCCCTGCCATCAGGACCCAGGAACCATGGCAGGCTCCTGACCACGAGGGCCCCAAGGCTCCTCCCCTCTCCCCCTAGGCCCCTACTCAGCCCCTCCATGGGCGCTCAAATCCCTCAAGCTCTCAACCCGCCTTCTCCCTCCCCTATTGCTCCCCTAGCACCTGCCCTTCTCCTCTCCAGCCACTCTGAGCCCCTCATGTCCCTGGGGAGACCCCTCACTCCTGCACTCTCCCTTGCTCAGGCTCTGCCTCCCACTGGCCCACCTGCCTCCTCCTCCAGGCAGCCTTCCTGGACTGTTCAAGCCCAAGCAAATGCTTCTTTTGCTGAGCTCCACAGGGTGAGCCCAGCACTCCTAATCCTGAGGCCCAGGAGGCTTATGAGAAAGACCCCAGGGCACCACCCTGCAGACTCTGCTGTCACCGGCCTCTTGTGGCTCAGGCTCAGGCAAGCCGGAGAAAAGCTTTTGGTGCCCTAAAAAGGAGCACAGCAGAGAGCCAGAGCCGCCCAACCAGGGATGGAGAATGACCCGGGCCTTGGCGGGGGAGAATTGGAAACGGTGGGTCTGGGAGGTGCCTGGGAACCCTCATTTTCAGAGCAGAAGCCCTGGGGGTGAGGGTTCAGCTGCATCTTCTGTCTCCTCAGTAGCCTGCACGGGGCTGGGCCCAGGCCAGAGGCTCAGTACTGCACCCGGGCCTATCTGTCCACTGCTAAGGCCTCGATGGGGCCATGGCCCCCTCCCCCACAACCACAGGACCCCTGGGCTGGCTAGAGGGGGCCATGGAGATCTGAGCTGAGCGGTCATGGGACCCCGGGCTCCCCGCTTCACTGAGCGTCCTCTGTGTTCAGCTCACAGATCAGGAGACTGAAGCTCAGGAGACGGTGAGGACTTTTGCCCACACAGGCCCCTCGGTGGTCACTAGGCCCTGCAGGGGGCCCACTGCTCCTTGAAGCACTAGGGAGGGTGGGTGGGCTGTGAGCAGAGGGATCCCGGCGCCCCCCACCCGCCAGCTTCTGGGACCAGAGCCCTGTAGACTTTGGTAAGAGGCCCAGTGCAGGCTGGCTGCTGCGTCGGTGCGTGTCTGAATGAAGGAGTGAATGAATGAGTGGGTGGGTGGGCACATGCAGGCCCTCAACACTCAAGTCCACATCGAGGCCCTTCGGCCACCTTTATTGAGAGATACACGGGGTTTGTTTTCACCACCTGCAGATGGTGGGAGTGGGGGTGGGCGTTTGAGCTGTGAGGGCTGTGCCGTCACCAGGGGCCGGCTCAGGGGCTCCGGACTCCATGACCGACGCACTCATGGCACGCAGGGCCAGCTTCCGGGGCCACATCATGACCTGGCCGCAAGCTAGTGATA
This sequence comes from Homo sapiens, assembly GCF_000001405.40. Classification (NCBI taxonomy): domain Eukaryota; kingdom Metazoa; phylum Chordata; class Mammalia; order Primates; family Hominidae; genus Homo; species Homo sapiens. The sequence goes on along the minus strand of NC_000020.11, from coordinate 62,762,554 downwards.
CGAGATCAGGTGTCGTGGGTGTGTCTGTGGTGCGTGGACACGTGTCCCTACCTACGGTAAGTGCACAGATAGGAGCATCAAGACATCAACGGGAAAAGCCGACTTCAGTCACAGCCACAGACCCCGCCCCAGAGACCCCACGTCTACCGAGGGTCTAGGGCAGTGGGGCATCCACTCTGCCCTCTCTCAGAGCACCATCCTGAGAGACACCATTCTGTCTGTTCCGGGGTGGATCCTCCAGGACAGTCTCATCCAGCTGAGAGGGCGGAACGACCACATCTGTTCCTTAGATGGGGAAACCGAGGCTCAGAAATTATGGCCCAAGGTCCAGGAGCCCCAGAGAAGGGTCTGAGGCTGCCCTGTCTGGCTCTGAGTCCAGGTCCTCGTTCAGAGCCCAGCCTGAGGGGCCTTAGCATTTGCTAGACTCTGAGCCCACTCCTGAGCAGGGGTAGGGGCTGCACTGACCTCTGGACATCCCTGGCTGGCAGCAAAGCTCTTCCGCCCAGAGCAGACTATGTCATGGGGGCTCTGTGGGGGAGGAAGGCCCCTCTGTGCTGGCCCTGTTTCCCTGGGGTTGGTGGCCCTTGGGCACTGGGAGGGCTGCCTGGCTGATGACCAGGCTTGTGGGGGCAAAGTTTGGCAGGAAGTGCAGCGAATAGGCCTGACTCCCCTGGGCCCTGTTCTTGGTGAGCCGAAGGGTCCTGTGGTTGGAGAGGGATTTTGTGGGGTTCAAGGAACCCGTCAACTCAACAGCCAGATCCAAGCGACTGCAGATACTGTAGCATTCGACTCTCATTTCTCAGACGGGGAAACTGAGTCCAGAGAAGGCAAAGTGGCTGAACACAGCCCAAGACCAGGTGTCCGGGTCCTGGGTCGACATGGCCGGTGCAGGCAGCCAGCCCAGAGCCCATTTCCCTGGGGCAAAGGCTGCTCTGAGACAGGGAAATCCCTTGAAGAAAAGGCTGACTTTTGCTTCCTGTGGCTCCCAGCTCCTGGCTGGTCCCGGCCAGCTTCTCCTGGGACTGTCTTCTCTTAGGCTTAGGCGACCTTCTTAAGCCAGGGGCCTGGCTAGTCATGTGCTCTGTGGAGCCTGGATCCTAGAGACCAAGGAGGCGCCAGCTTTTTCAACTGCTTGGAGGCCGGGGCCAGGGCTGCCGCCGCCAGAAGGTGACAAATGAGTCTGTGCCTCAGCCCAGGGCTGCCGGCCAGCGGTGCCTGGACACACCGCTCCTTCTCACCTGAAGCCTGAGTTCCTGGGACCTGGCATCTTACTCAGAGACCAGGCACCATCGCCCCTGTCCCACATTCCCCTTCTCAAGGCCCCACCCTGAAGCCAGCTCTGGGCCTGGCTCCAGACCTCAGCCTGCACAGCCACAAGCAAAGCACACGGAATGCGCACCCCATCCTGGCCACGGCCACTCGGGCAGGTGCTGGAGACCAGGCCCCTGATCCGGCGTCCCTTCTGCCGAGCCCGAGAGGCCACAGCTGAAGATCTTGAGGCTGAGGCCTGAGCCCCCTCCCATGTGGTGTCCTGGCAGAGCCCCTGGGCCTTGGCCTGGGTGAGGATGGGAGGGAGGAGGGGAGGCTGGGGTCTGGGCCATTCCAGGCCAGCCCATTTTTGTCCTTTTTGGGCTTGTGGTCCCCTCTGGGGGCTGCAGCTGCCTGCGGCGAGGGTGGTGGGAGGGACTCCCCACGGCGATGGGCCCCCAGCTTGCCAGGCCTGAAGGGGCGAGTCAGGGAGCTTTCTTGGAGCTGCCTGGGGGAGGGGGGCATGGGTCTGCATGGCAGGGTCTGCACGTGAGGCCCAAAGCCACGGAGCCTGCGGGACTGGGGCTGGACTCCCCGAGCTAGACAGAGGGGGTGCAGGCCTCAGAGATGTGGACATGGGAACAGCAGCCGGGCCGCCGGAGGCCCGGCCCCACCCAGCACCTTTCATTTCCTTCTCTGGAACCATCCATTAGTCTGAGAACAAAGAAAACTGCCTTTTGCCGCACACTAATTTCTCCTTGTTAGAGGCCCTTTTCCTATCTGGGAGAGGAGCGCTCTCTTGTTCTGGCTTTCAAAGAGGAGATGGGGGAGGGGTGGGGAGGAGTTGGGGACAGGCCCGGGAGACACTAATGAGAAACATGGGTTAGGGGGTGGGAGGGGGGGGTCCCAGGCCTCAGACTCCAGTGCAGGCTGGCCTCTGCCTGACCCCCATCAAGGCTCCCGGGTGGGGGCTGCTCTGTCTGTCGGGGGCAAGGACCCATGGCCAGGCTCCTCCTGGACACGTTCCGGGGCGCACAGCCTAGTACAGCGTCTCGCGGGTGGCATTGCTGGAGAGGGTGTGGTTGCTGGACACGCTGTCGGCCTTCCTCGAGAAGGCTGGCCTCTTCCTCCTGCGCCGCCACACCGGGCAGAGGCAGGCCAGTGTGGCCAGGAAGATGTGGCGGAAGTTGGCAGAGACGAGGTTGTACAGGATGGGGTTGATGGTGGAGCTGACGTAGAAGAGTGCGTTGGTCACCATGTAGAAGTAGTGGTAGAAGTCATAGAGGAACCTGCGGGGAGAGAGAGGCGCTCAGATCCCAGAGAGAACTCTTGAGGGCCCCAAGGCAGGGTGACAGCCGGGGCCACAGCGGCTGAGGGACGTGGTGGCTCAGACGCTAATTAAAACACCCCTTGAGAATGGTTGTTTGGGGACATTTCATAACAAGCTCCAGGGTCTGGCTTCTCCTGAGCAGCTGCAAGTTCTCGTCGTGCTCCCGCCCAGCCTGGGCTGCTGCTGCTTTTTTTTTTTTTTTGAGACGGAGTCTCGCTCTGTCTCCCAGGCTGGAGTACAGTGGCGCGATCTCGGCTCACTGCAAGCTCCACCTCCCGGGTTCACACCATTCTCCTGCCTCAGCCTCCCGAGTAGCTGGGACTACAGGGACCCCCCCACCACGCCCGGCTAATTTTTTGTATTTTTGGTAGAGACGGGGTTTCACCGTGTTAGCCAGGATGGTCTCGATCTCCTGACCTCGTGATCCACCCACCTCAGCCTCCCAAAGTGCTGGGATTACAGGCGTGAGCCACCGTGTCCCACCCAGCCTGGGCTTCTTTAGGTGGAGCGTGGGCTCTGCTTGTCCATCCCTGCCTCTCCTTGCAGCTGCCTGCATTGCCCTTCGCAGCTCTGTGCATCCAAGGGTCCAGGGCTTGGCTGGTCCCGGCCTAACCAAACAGCCAGGGCAGTAACCCCCTCCACACCTCCCCAGCAGCCACACACCTTGCCCTCAGCTTGTTGCCTCCCCCCACAGTGATCTCACTCCCTCACCAGGCAGCTCAATTACTACCAGTCAGCCCTGAGTTTCAGAAGCTTTTGCAGGGGCCACACTCTGTTCCCCGTGCCTTCTCCTCCTCATTGGTCGTAGGTGCGCCCTCCCTGGTGGTTGTCACTGGAAGGAACCTTTTATTCTGGGATCTGGCAGCCCCACTGCACAGAAAAGGGTTCACAAGTGGGCCCCAAGCTGCCATCTCAGGATGGCCAGCTGGCAAGGCTGGCCTCTGGCTGGTGCCTGGGGCCTTGGATTTTGGGAAGGCTCTGCCATTTTTGGGTGAGAAGGGCTCCCTGCCCCTGAACTGTTGGTGCAAACAGTAGGGGTTTTGCCAGGCAGTGGGTGCCCCTGTGATCGGCCCCCATATCGTCCTGTGAGGCTCCTCTGGGAGGGGGCCCTGGAAGCTGCATCTGGTCTTCCGCTGACCCCACTCCATGTGTCTTTTCCCTTTGCTGACTTTGCTGTATAAGCAAAGCTTTGTCAGTATTGGTGCTCTTGCTGCGATAAGTCACAGCCCTGAGTATAACTCCAGGCTGAGCCCTGTGGGTCCAACCTGGGTGGCCTTGGGGCTCTGACAGCTGCCATATGAGGAGGTGACACCCCCACCATGTCCCCAGCAGAGCCAGGGATGTCTCTCTTTCACCTTCGGGAAACTGCCTGGGCCATCTCTCTTAGGACCAACTTTCTTTCTCTGCACCAGTCTGGCCTGAATAGCCCCTGCCTTGAACCTGTCCCTCCATGGCCTTCTCCCGGCCCCAGTCACAGCACAACCCTGCCCAGGGGGTCGCCGGGGGACTCACCACACCCCTGCCCTGAGTGGATCCCCTCAGCAGTGCCTGCCACACCCACCATCTGTTTTGGGAGCACTTACTTGTCCAGCACCCAACTTCCTGGTTCCCGGTACTCACGGAGTCCACTGCTCATCCGAGATGTAGCAGAACATGAGGCGCCGCACGTGGTAGGGCAGCCAGCAGACCACAAAGGCGATGACCACTGCACCTGAGGCACAGAGACGTGGGCTCAGAGACCCACTGCACCTGAGGCACAGAGGCGTGGGCTCAGAGACCCACTGCACCTGAGGCACACAGATGTGGGCTCAGAGACCCACTGCACCTGAGGCACAGAGACGTGGGCTCAGAGACCCACTGCACCTGAGGCACAGAGACATGGGCTCAGAGACCCACTGCACCTGAGGCACAGAGACGTGGGCTCAGAGACAGGACATGGGCTCAGAGACCCACTGCACCTGAGGCACAGAGACGTGGGCTCAGAGACCCACTGCACCTGAGGCACAGAGGCGTGGGCTCAGAGACCCACTGCACCTGAGGCACAGAGGCGTGGGCTCAGTGGGGGAGACATGGGCTCAGAGACCAGACACAAGCTCAGAGAGGGAGAGACGTGGGCTTGGGGAGGGAGCATAAGCTCAGAGACAGGACACAGGCTCAGAGACAGGACACAGGCTCAGAGAGGGAGAGACATGGGCTGAGGGAGGTAGACACTGGCTCAGAGACATGGGCTTAGAGACACAGAGATATGGCCTCAGAGAAGGAGACACGTGGTCTGAGGGAGATGCAGGGAGACATCCCATGTTCATGGATTGGAAGATTTAATATTGTTAAGGTGTCAGTACTACCCAAAGCACTCTACAGATTCAATGCAATCCGTATCAAATTTCAAGAATGCTTTTGGCAGAAATAGAAAAATCTGTGCTAAAATTCATATGAAATCTCAAAGGATCCCGGACAGCCAAAACAATCTTGTAAGAAAATAAAGTTGGAGGTCTTACACTTCTTGATTTCAAAACTTACTACAAAGTTACAGTGTGGTGCTGGCATAAAGATAGACACGTAGACCAAGGGAATAGACTAGAAATCTCAGAAACGAACCCTTACCTTTATGGTCAAGTGATCTTCACCAAGACCATTCAGTGGGGAAAGGACAGTCTATTCAACAAAGGGTGTTAGGAAAACGGGACATCCACTTGTATGAAGGTGGATCCTCCCCTCACACCATATACAAAAATGGACTTGAAGTGGATTAAAGACCTGAACATAAGAACTAAAACCATAAAACTCCTAGGAGAAAACATAATTACTTTACAACATTGATTTTGGCAATGATTTCTTGGGTATGACACCAAAAGCACAGGCCACAAAAGAAAAAAGTAGATAAATTGAACAACATAAACACTGAATTTCTGTGTATCAAAGGATGCCATCAGGAGAGTGGAAGTCAGCTCACAAAAAAGGAGAAAATATTTGCAAATCACATCTGATAATGAGTTAACCTTGAGAGTATAACTCCTAAAACTCAACATGAAAACAAACAATCCAATTCACAAATGGGCAAAGGACTCAGACATTTCTCCAAAGAAGATACAAATGGTCAACAAGCACATGAAAGATGTTATTAATCATTAATCTTAAATCACTGGAGAAATGCAAATCAAAACCACAACGAGATGCCACCTCAAATCTATTAGGATGGCTACTATTAAAACAACAGGCACACACTGGGACCAGGACACACCTTGGATGTTGGCAAGCCAGCCGTCCTGAGCTGGGGCTGGTCCTCAGGGTTCCGATAGGATGGGCGTTGCCCTGCTGTGGGCTTCGCCAGCCCTGAGAGCTCCGTGTCCAAAGCCCTGGCTGGTTCCCATGAGCAGGGAAGGCTGAGCCCAGAGCCAGGCTCTCTTAGGGTAATGTGCTTGGCTATGGGCCTCTCCTGTGACTGGCCACACCCTCAAACAAGCCCTGAAAATGGGCCAGCACCAGGGAGGAGCTCAAGCCAAATGCTTCAGGCAAACCAAACTGAAGACCTGGGTCTCAGGCATGAAAGGGCTTCATTCTCTCCAGTTCCCATCACACTCTCCAAGCCCTGTGTTGTTGGCAGCGTCTGCCCTGCCCCTGCCCCGCCTTCTTGCCAAGCACCTCCCACCACAGGGCCTTTGCTCCAGCCATCCCCTCGCCTGCAGCTCTGTTGCCCAGATGGGCTCCTGGTCCTTGGGACTTGCAGGATGCCACCTGCTCTGAGAGCCCCTCCCAGCTGCCAGATGTAGTCAGGGGTGGTGGTGGTGGTATTTTTTTCTTCATGCTCATCACTGGCTGAAGGTGCCTGGTGCCTGTGTTTGTGTCCTTGGTGGAGCCCCTGTTCCCCCAGAGTGCAGGGATGCCCCTGCCTCTGCTGCCTCCATGCCTGTGAGCAAGAATAGGCGAGACCCAGGGTGGGCACTCAGCCAACTGCTGAGCAAATGAATAAGTGAGCACGTGAGCAAGTGGACAGATGGACAGAGAGATGGATAGATGGAGGGAGGGAGGAATGGAACAAGGGAGGGAAGGAGGGATGGAAGGAGGGATGGATGGATGGAATGAGGGATGGAGGGAGGGAGGGATGATGGGTGGAGGGAGGGAGGATGGATGGAGGGAGGGAGGGATGGATGGAGGGAGGGAGGATGGCTGAAGGGAGGGATGGAGGGAGGGAGGGAGAGATGATGGCTGGAGGGAGGGAGGATGGCTGGAGGGAGGGAGGGAGGGAGGGATGGAATGAGGGATGGAGGGAGAGAGGGATGATGGAGGGAGGGAGGATGGATGGAGGGAGGGAGGATGGATGAAGGCAGGGATGGAGGGAGGGAGGGAGGGATGGAATGAGGGATGGAGGGAGGGAGGGATGATGGAGGGAGGGAGGATGGATGGAGGGAGGGATGGACGGAGGGAGGGAGAATGCATGGAGGGAGGGAGTGATGGACGGAGGGAGGATGGATGGAGGGAGGGATGGAGGGAGGGAGGATGGATGGAGGGAGGGAGGGATGGAGGGAGGATGGATGGATGGATGGAGGGATGGATGGAGGGATGATGGATGGAATGATGGATGGAGGGAGGGAGGGTGGATGGAGGGATGAAGGGAGGAAGGGAGAGAGGGATGGATGGATGGAGGGAGGGAGGAAGGAAGGGAGGGAGAGGTAGAGGAATGAATGGAGGGAAGGAGGGAGAGAGGGATGGATGGAGGGAGAGGTAGAGGAGTGAATGGAGGGAAGGAGGGAGAGAAGGATGGATGGATGGAGGGAGGGATGAAGGGAGGAGGGAGGGGTGGAGGGATAGAAGGAGGAAGGGATGGATGGATGGAGGGAAGGAAGGATGGATGGAGGGAGGGAGGGAAGGATGGATGGATGGAGGGAGGGAAGGATAGATGGAAGGATGGAGGGAGGGATGGAGTGCAGAATGGCACTCACCCCTCGGGGGAGCTGGCACCCTTGGGTCTTGGCCTGACAGCTCCATCCCTATGTCTTTAAACCTTGCCCAGGCTTGGGGTGGTTCAGCGCTCGCTGCCTTTGCTAGCCCTGGCCTGCCTCCCGCCCCTGGAGGGCCCAGAGGTTACGTACGTAGGACGCGCACGCCGTGCCGCAGGGCCTGGACCCTGCCAGGCTCGATGGCCATGCTGAATGTGCTGTGCTCGCCCCCGACCGTGCACACTTGGCCCTGCTCGGCCGCCTGGCGTACCATGACGGTCAGCTTGTTGGCGATGATGGTGTTCAGGACCGAGATGACCACCATGGGGAATATGAAGGACATGAAGGTGTTGACCTGCAGGAGAGGAAGGGCGAGGCTGTCAGAGCCAGCAGCGGGACTCATGCACCCTCAGCTGGGATGCCTGCCGTGCTGATTGGGGTGTCAGGCCTGCTCAGTGTGAGGTGCTCAGTCAACACAAGTTCAGGAGGTCCGGCCCTATCCCGGCTGCCCGGAAGACATGGCCACCCCTGGCTGCTGTTGTAAGCTGGCCCTCAGCCTGCCCCCGACCCTGCCTCTGACTGGGAAGAAGTTTGCAGACTCCCCTACTTTCATGAGTCCCTCCCGAGGGTCCCGCCTGTACACAGCAAGGAACACAACCACTGGGGTGTCCCAGCTGTGGCAAAGGCCCTAGGCTCTAGGTTCCCAGGTCTGGACATGTTGTGTGCATGGCTGAGGCCCACAAGCACGTGGCTGCCCCACCCCAAGGCCCGTCCTGTGGGAGAGTCAAGCCCTGGCCTTGTAGCTGTGTGCAGACAGTTCTCCTAGGTCCTGACAGCTCACACTAATAGAGGCCCCTTCCTCCCTCCCACCCCAGCTACCTCTCAGAGCATTGAAAGGTATAGGGCCCCTGTTATCAGCACCTGGAGCCCCCACTCCCCACCTCTAGCTTCCACATCAACCCACAAGGCTGGGTCATCATAGCTACCCTGCACCTGATCCGAGTCCTGGACAGGGTAGAGGTCCTGCCCAAAGACTCCAGCGCAAGGGGGGCTGTGCCTGGATTTGAGCCTGGCCTGAGCTGAGTCCCGCTCCTTCTGCGACTCCTGGCTGAGACGTGACTCTGTAGGCACTGGCAGGGTGGCTGTGACTTCCCCAGATGGGCAGTGGCCTAGCCTCCTCCTCAACCAGAGCTGCTGCTCAGAACAGGAAGGGGACATGTCTGCGGACTGGCAGCAGCAGAACCAGCCAGGACGGCCATGGCCCGGCTTCCAATGGAGAAACCGGCACCCCTCCCTGGGGCAGTGGAATAACAGCCATCAATGGCTTTAAAATCTTCCTTGGCCTTCGGTTCTTTGTAAGATGCTCTTCTCTGCAAGCCAGATCTTGGCGTCTTTGGCTGCCACACTTGCGGGTTCGATCCTGTGCCGGGGACGGAGGCTGCCCCCTCTCTGCCAAGCTGCCCGGGATCCTCATGCTGAATTTCTGATTCCAAGAAGCTTTTGGGTGTCTTGGAGAAGCGGCCTGTACTAGCTCTGTGGCTGGTGGCTGTGATTGCGGTAGAAAGTCCAGGGGTATCTGCCGTGGGATTCCCTGGGCTGGGCTGCAGGGGCCACCTCCCTCCCAACCTCCTGCCACAAGGGAGGGCAGAGCCACATGGCCTCAACAGTCCAAGTCAGGATGGTCCCGGTGAGGACAATCCTCGCCGTGTCTCGCTAATGAAGGCGGCGGTGGCCATGGGACAGGGCAGCCACTGAGAGGTGCTGGGGTCGTGGGAATGTCGGCAGGTTTTCTCCCTGGCCCCCTCTGGGCACCGGCTGAGGCACCTCTGGAGGTCCTTCCTGCTCCCATCGAAGCTCCCGGCTCCACTCAGAAGCACTCAGAGGCCTTCAGGAAGGAGGCGGCCTGAGTTTACCCTCACATTCCATTTGAGCAGAGTTCTGCTAACAGATCAGAGGACATGCATGGAGAGGGGGCACTCAAACCCCCGGGAGGCAGCATCCTGCACCTGCCAGCCCAGCGCCCCTTGCTCGTGCCACCTGTGTGGGCTCCTGAGAGCCACCACCACCGCTGCTGACCCTGGCTGGGTGGCGGGTCTGTTCTGCCCTCCCCTGCTTGGGCGTCCGGATCTGAGGCCGTCCCGCGTCCCTCCTGTTCTCCTGCTCTGGCCGAAGTCCACCTTCTGCAGGACAACAAGGTGCTGGTGAGACTGGGGGCAGGTAAAAACTCCCTCTTCCCACTCCGGCTGCTGGGAGCGGGGACAGGGGAGGCCAGGCCCAGCCTCAGGAGATAAACCCATTCCCTGTGAGTCACCGCAGCCCGGGGATAGTTTAAACAGCACCAATGTATCCAACACAGATTTTAAATGTCAAAACATTTAAAATACCAACCTCACCAACACGGCTGGCTGCAAAAATAGCTACCTCTGGGGGCTGGTGGGTTGTAGGGTCTGGCCCCGGCCCCCTGGCTGCCCCCGTTGGAGGATCCTGCCGTTTCCAGAGGGAGGGAACAGAGTCTGCCGCAGGGCCACGTGTGGGGACAGAGGCGGGGCCTTGCAGAGGAAGTCTGGCCCTCCCCCGCCTCCCCCACCTGCCCACCCTGGAGACTGAAGCCGAGTAGGATTGGGGGGTGAGGGGAATGCACCCCGACTCCTGGGGCCGGCCTTCTCTTCCCAGACGCACAGCTGGAAGCAGGGGCTTTGGCTTGCGCCGTCCTTTCCTGTAATCTCTCCCGCTCTGGGTAAGGAGCTGCCCCCCACCTCCACAACAAGCAAAGGGAGCACGTCCATCGGCAGCGCGGGGACTCGGAGGAAAGCCTGCGATGCTGCTGGGGGTGAGGGGAGGTGAGGGGAGGACTGAGCGAGGGGAAGGACAGGCCCCTTCCTGGACAGAAGGACCCGTTGAGATCACGTCTGTGCATCCAGTCCCTATAAAACACGAGAGCTGTTGTGCATAGACACATGGACTCTACAGTTCAAGTGGGAAATAGTCTCAGAATGGCCAGAAAGGCTCTTGAAAGGCAGGTCGCTAGGACAAGGGAGCGTCAGCCTTGCCAGCCACTGGGATGTACCTGAGTGTCACTGAGAGTGACCTTAATGAGGAGAATTTGGCATCGACAGTGCCAGATCAGACAGAAGCTCCATCTGTGATGGAGACAGCATCCAGATCATCGGGGAGAAGACTGGCCACCCAGGCATGGCGCTGGACAGCTGACGGCCTGGACCACAGGAAGCTGGGTCCTCAGGGCCCCTGTCCCACCCGCCTCCTTCCCCTGGGGAGCCGTGCACCCTCCATCCCACTGGCATGTGGCCCAGACCTGGCCAATCAACACATCCCAAAAGGCCTGGGTAGGCCCTCATTGGACAGGTCAGCCAAACATTTGCATCAGTCACATTTGTCTGATGAGGGCCAGCCCCAAACCTTTGCTAGACACCAGCTTTGCCTGGGCTCACTGAGCAGGAAATGCATCCGTGGCCGTCAGTGCCGTTTTCCTACCTTTTAGAGAAGACCTGCCTAAGAATAAAGCCAGCACCGGTGAAGCGGGGCACCCCATGACATTGTTTGTGCTCCTGGGTCAAGCTGCGCCTGCAGCTATTATTCTTGGACTTTCAGTGTGTCTTGAGTGAAATAAATATTCCTTTTCTTAAGGGATAAGACAATTTGACTTAGTTCCTGGAGTTAGTACCCTAACTCATAGAGATCTTACCCCAAAAAAATTCCACATGGTAAGAAGATTAAAACCTAAAACCAAAAACCGTAACATTACTATAAGAAATCATGGAAGTTTTAAATTTAAATGTATATATTTTTAACCTTTTCCCCCAGCTTTATTGAGGGATAATTGACAAATAAAAATTGTATCTATTGGCCAGGTACCGTGGCTCATTCCTGTAATCACAGTATTTTGGGAGACTGAGGCAGGAAGATCCCTTGAGGCCAGGAGTTTGAGACCAGTCTGGGCAACACAGTGAGACCCCATCTCTACAAAAACTAAAAAAAATCATCCAGGCATGCTGGCATACGCCTATAGTGCCAGCTACTTGGGAGGCTGAGATGGGAGGATTGTTTGAGCCCAGGAGTTTGAGGCTACAGTGAGCTATGACTTCGCCACTGCACTCCAGCCTGGGCAACAGAGTGAGACGCCCATCGCAAAAATATTTGTATCTATTGACTGTGTACAATGTGATGTTGTCATCTATGTATACATTGTGAAATGATCACCGCCATCGAGCTAATGAAACATCCGTCACCTCACAGTTACCCCCGTTGATTATGGTGGGAACACAAGATTTATTCTCTGAGGACATTTTGAGTGTGCAATGCAGTATTGTTTTTTTTTTTTTTTTTTTTTTGAGACGGAGTCTCGCTCTGTCGCCCAGGCTGGAGTGCAGTGGCATGATCTCGGCTCACTGCAATCTCCGCCTCCCGGGTTCACGCCATTCTCCTGCCTCAGCCTCTGGAGTAGCTGGGACTACAGGCGCCCGCCACCATGCCCAGCTAATTTTTTTGTATTTTTAGTAGAGATGGGGTTTCACCATGTTAGCCAGGATGGTCTCGATCTCCTGACCTCGTGATCCACCCGCCTCGGCCTCCCAAAGTGCTGGGATTACAGGCGTGAGCCACCACGCCCGGCCGCAATGCAGTATTGTTAACTCTGGTCCTCACACCATACCTCAAAGCTCCGGAATGTACTCGCCTTATAACTGAAACTTTGCAGCCCTTGATCGTCCTCTCCCCATTCCTCGTTCCCCTCCCCCAGCACTCAGTGCTCTGCTCTCTGTCTTCACGAGTTTGGCTTTTTCAGATTCCACACATAAGCGAGATCACACAGCATTTGTCTTTCTGCGCCTGGCTTATTTCACTTAGCATAATGCCCCCAGGTTTGTTGCGGCTACCGCAAATGACCAGATCTGCTTATTTTTCAAGACGGAGCAGCACTCTGCTGTGTATCTGCACCACGCTCTCTCGATCCGCGGGTCTGCTGAGGGACACCTGGGTTGATTCCGTGTCTTGGCGATTGTGAACAGTGCCGCAGCGGACAGGGGCTTGCAGGGATCTTTTCAAGATCCGGATTCCGCTTCCTTTGCATAAATACCCAGAAGTGGGATTGCTGGATCCTACGGTGGTTCTGCCTTTACTTTTTTTGAGGAGCCCCCATCCTGTTTTCCGTAACAGCCGTACCCATTTAATACATTCCCACCAACAGTGCACCGGGGCCCCCTTTTCGCCACATTGTCCCCACCACGAGTTATCTGCCGGCTTTTTGATGATCGCCATCCTAACAGGTGTACAGTGATAGCTCACTGTGGTTTTGATTTGCAGTTTCCTGATGACTAGTGGTGTTGAGCACCTTTTCAGAAACCCATTGGCCATATGTAGCTCTTCTTTGGAAAAATGTCTACTCAGGCCCCTTTTCCATTTTTAAATGGGTTATTTTTCTCCCATTTTGTAGAGACTGCCTTTTCGTTTTGCTGTTTCTTTTGCTGTGCAGAGACTTTTCATTTTAATGTAGTCTCATTTATGTTGCTTTTGTTGCCTGTGTTTTTGCTGTCATAAAAAAATCACTGCCAAGACCAATGTCAAGAAGCTTTTCTTCTATGTTTTCTCCTAGCAGTGTTATAGTTTCAGGTTTTATGTTTAGATCTTTAATCCACTTTAAGCTGATTTTTTTTTGCATGGTGTGAGATAAGGGTACAATTTCAGGCTCTCGAGTAGCTGGGACTACAGGCGCCCGCCACCACACCCGGCTAATTTTTTGTATTTTTAGTAGAGACGGGGTTTCACCGTGTTAGCCAGGATGGTCTCGATCTCCTGACCTCGTGATCCGCCCACCTCGGCCTCCCAAAGTGCTGGGATTATAGGCGTGAGCCACCGCGCCCGGCCTACAATTTCATTCTCTTGCATGGGGATATCCAGTTTTCCCATCACTGTTTGAGGAGACTGCTTTTTCCCCATTGTGTATTGGTGCCCTTGTGTCTAAGTCCATTTTATGTTGCTTATGACAGAAGACCTGAAACTGGGTAATTTACAAAGAAAAGTCAGGTATTTATCATGGTTATGGAGGCTGGGAAGTCCAAGGCCCAGGGGATGCGACTGGTGAAAGCCTTCTTGCTGGGGGGACTCTCGGAAAAGTTCCGCCGTGGCATGGGGCATCGCGTGCAGAGGGGGCAGAGCATGCTAGCTCAGGTCTCTCTTTCTCTTCTTATAAAGCCACCAGCTCCCCTTGTGTGATTGCCCCTTAATCCTATAACTCATTTATTTATGAATGGATTAATCCATTCATGAGGGTCCAGTCCTCACAGATCCCATCACCTCTGAAAGGCTCTACCTCTCAATCCTGCCACACTGGGGATGAAGTTTTAATAAGATTTGGAGGGGACATTCAAACCATAGCACCTTGTCAAAGATGATTTGACTGTACGAAAGTGGGTTTATTGCTGGGCTCTCTGTTCTGTTCCGTGGGTCTATGTGGTACTAGTACCATGCTGTTTTGATTACTATAGCTTTGTAATATAAAAGGAAATTAGGAAGTGTGATGCCTCCAGTTTTGTTCCTCTTTCTTAATGTTGCTTTGACTATTTGAGGTCTGTTGTGGTTCACTATGAATCCTAGGATTTTTTTTTCTATTTCTGTGTAAAATGTCATTGAAATTTTGATAGGGATTGCACTGAATCTGTAGATCACTTTGGGTAGTATGAAAATTTTAACAATATGAATTCTTGCAATGCATGAACATGAGGTATCTTTCCATTTATTTGTGCAATTTCTTTCATCATGTTATATTCAGTGTACAGGTCTTTTACTTCCTTGATTAAATTTACTCTTTTTGATGCTATTGTAAATGGGATTTTTTTTTTTTTTTTTTTTGAGACAGATTCTCATTCTTGTTGCCCAGGCTGGAGTGCAATGGCACAATTTTGGCTCACTGCAACCTCCGCCTCTCAGGTTCAAGCAATTCTCCTGCCTCAGCCTCCCAAGTAGCTGGGATTATAGGCACACACCACCACGCCCAGCTAATTTTGTATTTTTAGTAGATACTGGGCTTTGCCATGTTGGCCAGGCTGGTTTCAAACCCCTGACCTCAGGTGATCCACCCGCCTCGGGCTCCCAAACTGCTGGGATTACAGGTGTCAGCCACTGCGCCTGGCCCTCTTGATTTCTTTTTGGGATAATTCATTGCTAGTGTATAGAAACACAACTTATTTTCATATGCCAATTTTGTGTCCTGCAACTTTATTGAATGTGTTTATTAGTGCTAACAGTTTTTTTTTGTTTTTGTTTTTGTTTTTGTGGAGTCTTTAGGGTTTTCTATACATAAGTTCATGTCATCTGCAGAGACAATTTTACTTCTTCCTTTCTGATGTGAATGCCTTTTACTGCTTTATCTTGCTTAATGGCTCTGGCTAGGCCTTCCAGGACCATGTTGAGTAGTGCATCCTTGCTTTGCCTGACCTTAGAGAAAAAGCTTTCTACTTCTTATCACTGAGTGTGGTGTTAGCTGTGGGTCTGTCATACGTGGCCTTTACACTGAGTGTGGTGTTAGCTGTGGGACTGTCATACGTGGCCTTTACACTGAGTGTGGTGTTAGCTGTGGGTCTGTCATCATACGTGGCCTTTACACTGAGTGTGGTGTTAGCTGTGGGTCTGTCATACGTGGCCTTTACACTGAGTGTGGTGTTAGCTGTGGGTCTGTCATACGTGGCCTTTACACTGAGTGTGGTGTTAGCTGTGGGTCTGTCATACGTGGCCTTTACACTGAGTGTGGTGTTAGCTGTGGGTCTGTCATACGTGGCCTTTATTGTGTAGCATGCATTCAACACCCAGTTTGTTGAGTGTTTTTATCATGAAAGGATGCTGAGTTTTGTCAAATGCTTTTTCTGTATCAAATGAGATGATCAAATGGCTCTTGTCCTTCCTTCTGTTCATGTGGTGGATCACATTTACTGATTCATATGTGCTGAACTGTGTTTCCATCCCAGGGATAAATCCCACCTGCTCATGGTGGATGAGCCTTTCAACATGCTGTTGAATGAAGTTTGCCAGTATTTTGTTGAAGATTTTTGCCTCTTGGTTCTTTTCTCATAGCGTCCTTCTCTGGCTTTGGTATCAGGGTAATGCTGACCTTGTAAGATGAGTTAGAAAGTGTTCCTTCCTCTTCACATTTTCGGAATTGTATAAGGACTGGTGTTAATTCTTCTTTAAATGTTTGTAGCATCCATCGGCGAAGCAACCTGGCCCTGCCCTGGGGTTTTCTTTTTTGGGAGGTTTTTGGTAACTGATTCAATCTCCTTCTTTGTTATTGGTCCTTTCAGATTTTCCATTTCTCGCGATTGACTCTAGGAAGCTTGTGAGTTTCTAGGAATGTATCCATTTTTTCCAGGCTGTCCAGCTGGTTTGTATAAAATTGTTCACAGTTTATTATGATCCTTTTGATTTCTGTGGCATCTTGTAAAGTCTCCTCTTTCATATCTGATTTTAGCTATGTCTTCTCTCTTTTTTCTTGGTTAGTCTAGCTTCCCTCCACCTTTCTCCCTTCCTCCCTCCCACAAACATCACTGCCTTGGAGAAGCCATAGGAGCCCCTGCCGTCAGAGGTCTTGGATCCTGGGGAGGAGAGACCACTGAAAGAACCACCTGCAGTGACTTCAGGGCCAATAAGAGCTACAGACACAGCGATGCTGGCGGCAGCCTGGCTGCAGTAGTGCTGGGGGTTCCGGGAAGGCCTCTGCTTGGAGGTGACTTCTCATCTCTGACCTGATGGCACCCACAAGCCTACAGGGACCCTAAGCTCTCCTGGCAGACGGTCCAGCAAACTCACAGACCTGAGAACTCAGGGGGTGAGAACTGAACAGGAAGCAGACGGCCAGGCTGGGGTAGTGTGGGGGCCTGGTGGTGACCCGCCGGGCGGCAGCCTTGACCTTCCCCCTGGCTGACCCCTTCTCTGACCTCTGCTAGTGTGGCCCCCGTCCCTGCCCAGGCTGAGCGTCTACCTCTCTAGGCGTCTCAGCCCTGGCCACATAGGGTGGCCTTGAGGGACTTTGTCCAATGGACTCAAGCAGCTTGAAGGCCATGCAGGGCCGGCCAGAGGATGCCTCAGCGCCACTGATGCCACAGCACCCTGGCGCCTTTCGATTTGTCTCTAAAGAGAGCAGGGAGTCACCTGGCCCAGCCCCATGAATATTCTGGGGGACGCGTGGTGGCTGGGACTCCCAGACCGCCTGGCTTTGCAATTCCAAGCAGCAGGGGAGGGTCATGGCCAACAGCAGGGAAGCCCTGGGGACGGCGAGGCTGTTCAGCAGCTGTAGAGAAGGCCATCCAGTCCCAGCGAGGTCCACGCCAAGCTGGATTTGGAGGCGAGGCAGAATATGTGTCTCTGTCTGTCTTTGTATCTTTCTCCTGTGATGTCTCTGTGTTTTTCTCTGTGTTTTTCTGTGTCTCTGTCTCCTTGTATGTTTTCCTTCCTGTGTCTGTCTCTGTTGTGTCTCTCTCTGTATATCTGTGTGTTTTCCTCTGTGTCTCTGTCTTTCACTGTTTTCCTGTGTCTGTCTCTGTCTGTGTGTCTCTGTTGTTCCTGTGTCTCTATCTCTGTATCTCTGTGTCTCTGTTCTCCTGTGTCTCTCTCTGTCTGTTTTCCTGAGTCTGTGTCTCTATCTCTATATCTCTGTGTCTCTGTCTCTATCTCTGTCTCTGTTTTCTTGTGTCTCTGTATCTCTGTCTCTGTGTCTCCCTGTGTCTGTTTTCCTCTATGTGTCTGTTTCTCTGTCTCTGTGTCTCTCTCCATGTCTCTCTGTGTCTCTGCTTTCCTCTCTGTGTCTCTCTCTCTGTCTTTGTGTTGCTGTCTGTCTGGGTCTCCCTCTGAGTCTGGTGTGTGTACCAACATCCTCAGGTGGCAGGAACTGGCTGGGCCACCCTCCCTGGAGCCGGCTGGGTAGCTGGGCTCTGGGCCATGGGCCTCAGTGGCTGGGTCTGAGGTTTTAGGGGTGGATGTTCCAGAGCAGAAGGTCATGGTGGGAGACAGGGGTGTCTGCTGTGACAGCCGTGGTGGTCTGGAGGTGGGGCTGCCTCCATGGGAATCTCATTCGTGCTTCTGGCAGTATCCTCTGCTGTGTGCACCCCTCAGCTGCTACCCCTTGCCTCCTAGCCCTGTCTGGGTCTGGGAATGGCGTTTGAGTGGTTGGTAGGGCCTCAAGCCTCTCAGAAGCAGCCGAATGCCTGGGGTTTGGTGCCAGAAGTGGGGGCCTGGCTTGTTCCCTGGCCAGCTGTGAGCTCGGCAGGTCCTCCTGGGCCTCAGGCTCATTTCTCTCTTTTTTTTTTGTGAGACTGAGCTTTGCTCTTGTTGCCCAGGCTGGAGTGCAGTGGCGCGATTTCTGCTTATCACAACCTCCGTCTCCCAGGTTCAAGTGATTCTCCTGCCTCAGCCTTCCTGAGTAGCTGGGATTACAGGCATGTGCCACCATGCCTGGCTAATTTTGTATTTTTTTTTTTTTTTGAGACGGAGTCTTGTTCTGTCACCCAGGCTGGAGTGCAGTGGTGTGATCTCAGCTCATTGCAAGCTCCACCTCCCGGGTTCACGCCATTCTCCTGCCTCAGTCTCCCCAGTAGCTGGGACTACAGGTGCACGCCGCCATGCCTGGCTAATTTTTTTGTATTTTTAGTAGAGACAGGGTTTCACCATGTTAGCCAGGATGGTCTCGATCTCCTGACCTCATGACCCGCCCACCTCGGCCTCCCAAAGTGCTGGGATTACAAACACGAGCCACTGCGTCCAGCCCCTCAGCCTCATTTCTAAAAGAGCGAGCCTAGAGGTGCTGCCTCAGTTCCTGGAGCACTGACTGTGCTCCCTTGGGTGTGGGAAAGGAAGCAAATTGGGGGGCACAGGACTGCGGCTTGGGAGGCTGGGATGGGACACGCTGGGGCGACGGCTGGTGGGGCTGGACCTATGGGAGGGACAGCCTGGCCTCTGCCCCCTCGCATGTGTAATTTTGATGGGGAGGACGGAGGTGGAGTGAAAGGTTAGATAATGAAACAGCAGGTGTGTTAGGGGGATCTGGACCGGGGCGCAGCCTCTGGGTGGTTGGTCTGAGCTTGGCCGTGGAGACCAGGTGGGGAGCGGGAGGGGTGCACACGGTATGCCTGCCCACAGGTGAGGGCACAGCCAGACAGCAGGAGGGTGCCCCCGACACAGGCTCCAGACAGCCGGCCTCAGCCCCTCGACCTCAGGCAGGGCGTTCTCACCTCGCTCTTCGAGAGCAATTGCTTGTTTTGTATTCTGCCTTTCTCTCTAATTCATCCCATTGTGTTTAGATCAAGAGACAGCCCCAGACTGGCACACTGCTTCCCGGCTCCGCAGCCAGCCTGTGCTGAGTGGGAAGGTGCAAAACCCTTTTGCTTTGCAGAACCCAGAGGCTTTGTAAGATGGCTGCAGAGGCTGCGGGGCGGGTGGGAGGGGAGGCTCCTGTCCACACCCTCCCAAGGGGGTGACCGCTGGGGTGGCCTTGCTGGGCTGGCAGGGGATCGCCCTCTCCCTGAGCAGATGACCAGCCCCAGCAGGGCCCAGGCTCACGGACGGTCTTTTCTAACCTCCCAGACAGACTCCAGGTGGAGAGGCCCCCACTAGACCCAGCAAACACTGACTTGGGAGCAACCCTCAGGGTTCTCATGACCCCGAACTGCCTTCCCCACCACAGCTGAGGCCAGGAACGATGGCAGAGTTAATTCAGAAACCCTGTGTGCCAGGGCCGTCAGCACAGGCTTGTTCGAAACCCCAATGATTGGTGAACAACTCAAAGGCTCACCCTTTGGGGCTGGTCGCCATGGCATGACGCACCCACACCACGGGGCACTCAGCTGACTGGACCGGGGGCAGGGAGCAATGAGGCAATGGGTGGGCCTGAGATGGCCGGGATACGTGTCCAGCAGGGGCGGCTCCGTGCTCCCCTCCCAGCCTGACTCTCTGGATTGGAGCCTACCGAGCTGATCTGGGGAGAGGGCAGGGTAGCTGGGAGGGTCTCAGGTGTGTCCCCCAAAAGCTAGACTCCCACAGTGAACTACCTACACAAACAAAGCTAAACTCAGAGAACGTTCCACTTGCCTGTGCTGTGGGTATGTCCCGTGACAGGTGCCCTGGGATGAACAGGAACCCCACGGCCACACCAGAGCCACTGTGACCACCTCACAGCCCTGGAACTGGGGAAACACTGCGGGGAGAGGGATGGGAACCCTGGTGGGTCTCTGCTCCCCATGCCAGAGGTGGGGTGCCAGGGCCAAGAGAGCAAAGGGGTCTTTAAGGTGACACAGCCCAGCGCTTTCCAGGAGTGAGGTCATCCAGGAGGCTCTGACCAGTGGCTGTCCTCAGAGGAGACACCATGGAGGGACCCAGGGAAAAGCAGCGGCCACCCACAGGACACCTGAGACCTAGGGCCCTGTGTAAACAGGTGTCTGGGGAGCAGAGGACGGAAGGCATAAAGAACTGCCAGTGTGACCTTGTTCTAGAAGGTTCTGGTAGTGGCCAGCTTGGGATACTGTGCTGTCCCTCAGTCCCCAGTCTCTTTCCTCGGTCCTCCCTCCCAGGCATCTAAGCAGTACCAGGCCCGGCTCGAGATGCTGCTGGGATCTGGAATGCAAAGCTGTGGGACTTGCTGCCCAGTGGGGACACGCCTGACTCATGGTGGATGGGGGCCTGGAAAGCCGTACATTGCCGCGTGGTCAGCAGTGACCACAGACCTGGCCTGAGGAGGAGCCCACACACCACCTCCTGGAACGCCAGCATTTCTGAGTCCCTGAGGGCAGGACTGGAGAGAGAACAGGCGTGTGACCTGGAGGGGCCATGTCAGCCACCTCGGTGTCTGTGGGACCACTGTGGGGAGGGGATGAAATGGACGGCGCAGCTTCTGGCTAGTACTTGGCCCCTCACGACCCCGTCCACGCCTCCATCAGAGAGCTCTGATGTGCAGGTTTTGGCTCAGTATTAAAAATAACGGTTTGAATTCCTCTAACCTTCACTTTCTAGCTGACATCGACTGTCCTGGGGTCTACACATACTCTGTGTGCACCACCTCAGGCACACAGGTCTCATCTGTGAGGCAGAGGCTCCTGTCAGGCTCCTTTTGTAGATAAAGAAACCCAGGCACAGTTGTGAACCCAGGGGCCTGATCCCACAGCCTGAGCTCCCACTTCCTCCATCAGGGGCCATCCTATGAGCAGATCCTCATCCCCACTGGTGAAGCTTTGTGGCATGTACCTCACCTGAGCAGATGCCTTCTGTGGGCCATTGCCAGGTTTTGAGAGCATCTAGTCCAAGGCTGTGGCTCCTTGGCGACCTCTCAGGGACTGAGCCTGCCCCACAGCCTCTGTCCATGGCTCCTCCACTCTGTTCCCTGCACTTTTCTTCTGGTTTGGAATTTCTGGGAAAGGCTCAAGAGAATGCCAGAGCCCCAGGGAGCCTCAGGGGTTCAGTACCATGGACAATGCCCAGGCATGCTCGAAGGGGCGCACAGACATGGGGTGGGAGGAACATGGTGTGGGGCAGGGGGCCGGTGTAGGGACCCCCAAGCCAGCTGGGGGCAAGGACCCCATCAGGAGAACTCTGGCCACCTGCAGACCCGTCCTCTGAGCGGGGCTGGTGAGTCACCCGTCACCTCTGCAAGAGGTTTGCCCTCCTCTCCTCTTCCAGGCAGCAGGGAGCCCTGAGTGTGGGAGTTGGAATCTTTTCCCTCCTGATTGCTGGAGCTATAGAGGCCATTGTCTGAGTGGGGACTTGGCAGAACAGAAGCCCCTGGAAGCCACATCCTGTCTGTGCCCGGCTGAGCTGCGGGACTGGCAGCAGCCTGGCTGCCGGGAGACCCCTGACTTAGCAGCCTGGCTGCCGGGAGACCCCTGACTTAGCCCAGAGGGCCTTAGTCAGATTAGGGAAAGAGCCTTCCTGACACCCTTGCCTCCTCTACCTGTGCTGGGCAGGTGCCCTCCAGGACAGGAGGAGGGGAGGCCCCTGGCCCTCAGCCCCGGGAACGGCCCTCCCCTCGCTGAGCCTGGCCGGGGCCCAGAACCCCAGTGTGCCCCATTAGTCACTCTGAGGGCAGTGCTGGGGTGGCGAGTTGCTTTTCAGCTGCTCCAGCACTTCTCAAGAGTAAATCACAGGCAGCGGCAGGTGACAGCCAGCGGTTGAGGCTGCGGGCTGCAGGTCTCTGCCATGTTTTCAAATATCTGCCAGCTTCAAGCCCATGAGAATGCTCACACCCACAAGGCATCTGCTGGGAAGCACGACAGGGCTTTAAAAACTCTTGACAAGCCCAGGAGGCTGCGCAGAGCAGTGAGTGAGGGGTGGAATTCTGGCCCCGGTCACGGCCCCCACCTCTCTGGGGATCTGAGCGGGAAGGATCCCTGGTAGGGCCTCGCACTCCTGTTTCTCAGATGAGGAAACCGTGGCCAGGTGGGGGCTCCCCTGGGCTCGAGTCCACAGCTCTGGTCTCCACCCTCAGACTGTCGGCACAACCCTTTTCCCTCCCGCCTGCACGGCTTGTAAGATCTGTCTCCCGCTCACCCTATGACTAAGAATGAGCCCCACAACCCTTTTCCCTCCGGCCTGCACGGCTTGTAAGATCTGCCTGCCGCTCACCCTATGACTAAGAATGAGCCCCACAACCCTTTTCCTTCCGGCCTGTGCGGCTTATAAGATCTGCCTGCCGCTCACCCTATGACTAAGAATGAGCCCCACAACCCTTTTCCTTCCGGCCTGCACGGCTTGTAAGATCTGCCTGCCGCTCACCCTATGGCTGCGAATGAGCCCGTTCGATCCGGTTTGCTGAGGCTTTCGTTCATACTTTTCTAAAACGCAGGGCACTAACGTGACAGATCAGAAGTGGAGCTAACACACTTAGCACAGAGCGCTTTGGAGCCCGGTTCCTTGAAAAAAGCCACACCATCCGGAAAAGTTCTCTGCTCCATGCAGGAAAAGCCCAGAGACCTGCAAACGCAAGCCCTGGGTTTCCGGGGAGTTTGTGCAAAGCCCCAGCTGTGACCAAGGAGGAGCTGCTGTGATCAAGGGGGAGGCCCTGCAGCTGGGGACGAGGCGGTGCGGCCAGGGGCCAGCAGTCCCAGCACGACTTAACTTTCCATGTCAGAGCACAGATTTGGAAAAGAGCAAGTGTTCCCAGTTGCCTGCGGGACAGCATATGCGTCCCGCACCCCGCCGGCCTGTTCTCCAGTTCTGGCCGTCGCCGGCCGCTGCACCTCCAGCCCCACGGTTCTCTGTGTGCTTTTCTGCCATGCAGACATATGGGCATCAGGCACATCCTGCCCCTCCCAGCGCCTAGTGGCCACGCCCTGGCAAAGCTGGCCGCCGTGTCCCACAGACATCTGGCTCTACACAGCATCTCAGCGGTGTCAGTGGAATTAGTGTTCTGCCCTGTTGTGGTGAATCTGATTATGGTGAACACACAGAGCCAAGTGTCCTCACCCACCGGAAGAGGCCGTAGGGGTGAGAGAGGAAGGCCGGGGGCGGCCCCTCACACCCCCAAGTACCTGCATGGGAGGGACTGACTCAGTGACACCTGGCTCTCCTTGCTTCCCCAGCTGCCCAGCCCCTGGGCTCAGGGGGCCCCAGGCTCTGGCTTAACCCCAGATCTCCACCCTTTGTGCTTCAGCCAGGCCCCTTCTGTGTGATTCCAGGGGCTCCAGCCTCTACCCTGAGTGGCCGAAAGGAAGGGCCAGTGCTCTGGAACAGCAGTGGGACCCAGGGCCACCCCATCCAGTGCCGAGTCTGGGATCTCAAGAGCATAGGACGTGGGAGACTTGGTGAACCAAGAGGGCCCAGGGGCCAGGGTCAAGCACAGCCAGAGGGGGCCTGCTGCCCGGAAGTGTCCTGGAGAGCCTCTCAGCCTGTCCCGGTTCAGTCTCAAGAGCCCAACGGGTCCCCAACGGCGCCACACGACATGAGGTTCCACACGCGTCTCCCTCACAGCCACGCAGGGCTTTCCTTTACAACAGTGAGGAGGCTTGGCTTTTCTGTTTTATGAATGGCTCAGTGCATGAAAACACGCGTGTGTAAAAGATAGATCACTGGGGAGGCGACAAGTCCCAGCTTTCCCATTTCTAGATCCTAGAGTCAAGAACAAGGCAGCCCAGGATTTTGGCCTCGCTGAGTGACCCTGAGCATATTTCCCTTCTCGTGCTGGCCCTGTCTCCTCCTCATGATGGAAGGGGATGGGCTGGTCCATTTTGGAGATCTCTGGCCTGAGACCTAGACCCTCCGCCATCTCTGCTGCCAAGAGCAGCAAGGCTGGAGCCACCTCGAGGACCAGCGTGAGCCTGGACGTGTTCCCAGCCTCCAGCCCGGGTTCCTGCCATGCTAACCCCGCGGGCAGAAGAGAGGCAGTGCACAGGGCTCCCTGCCAACACAGGCACGGCTGAGGCCTGTGGCCACCTTGCAAGGTAGGAGCCCATGAAAGCCAGAGGGCTGATTGGCTCCAGGAGAAGCCTGTCTCTAGAGAGAGACAAATGTACGGCTCATAGGCTCGCCGGGAGATTTTCATGATACTTCGCTGGTGGTCATCAGCCTGTCCTTCCACCCTGCAGGAACGCAGCGGCAGCTGAGGCCTTTTTAGGAAACGAGGCCTCCCCATGGCTCGGGCTATTACTGCTGGCAGCTGGGAGGCTGACCCCACAGCTGCAGGCTTCTCCCCAAGCCGGGCTGCAGACCTGAGCAGGGAGTAGTTTGCCTGACTCTTCTTGGAATGTTCCAGAACTCAGTGGCTGCACCTGCCTTGTCTGTCCCTGTCCCTGGGTTCATCCAGGCCGGCCATCTAGCACCCTCCGTCACCCTCTGCGTGCACCTGGGTTCATCCAGGCCGGCCATCTAGCACCCTCCATCACCCTCTGCGTGCACTGCGTGCCCAGGCCCGCCTCGTGGAGCCTTCAAAAGCCCTGACGGTGCACCTGATGCATCCAAGGCACCTGGCATAGGCAGAGGAGGGGGAGGGGGGCAGACGTGGGCAGATGGGCACTGCAGGGAAAGGGATGCGGCTGTTGCGGAGGACCAGGGGGCATGCAGCGTGGTCTGGGGGAGATAAGGGGCCATTTTCCAGAGGAGGGAGCTTTACGCAGAGGCTGCAGGGCTGAAGGGCATCTGTGGGCCAGGAGGAAGGAGGTAAGAGTGTGTGAGGTGGTGCAGGGGTGTGGGGGGTGGGGAGGACCGGGGGCAGGGGTCAGGTCATCAATCCTGGACTTGGAGCAGCTCAGAAGTGGGAAGCAGCAGCAGGAGGTAAAGCAGGAGGCCGCTGCAGCCACAACTGCATTCTGGGTTTGCTCTCAGGGGTGGGGCCAGGGAGGGACCCAGGTGTGGCCTGCATCCGGGGCTGGACCTGGCGATGGGCAGATGTGGGGACGAGAGCAGGTGGGAAGGAAGGAGGATCGCAGCGCCCAGGCAGGGACGGCATCTCTCTCCAGGCTCTCCTCAGGCCGAGTGGGGCAAGGCCACAGAGGGCTCGTTTAAGTGCAGGCGTGGATGCTGCATCCCATGCTCGGCCCCTCCCTGCAAGTAGGACAAGTGGCCCCACAGAGGTCACGTGCCTGCCGCTGTGCCTGATGAGCAGGGGTGCAGCCGTGAGTCAAGGGGCTCTCCGACTGCACGGAGGGAGCCATTTCACCTCTGGACACGCATCCTAGGGTGGGGTGGGTGAATGCTTTCTGTGAAGGTCCAGAGAGTGAGTCACTGTGGCTTCGTGGGCCGGAGGATCTCAACTTTTGAGCAGAACCACTCACTGTGGCCGCTGTGGCCAACACAGCCATAGCAGTACGTACATGAGCAGGTGGGGCTGAGTGCTGATGAAACTTTACAACTCCAGGTGGGTCTGGGTTGGCCCCGTCCTCACGAACACGGGGCTGATCATCGCACCATCCATCCGGGAAAGACTGGGCCCAGGCCAAGTGTGTGAGTCCATTTTCGCACTGCTCTAAAGAACTGCCGAGACTGTGTAGTTTATAAAGGAAAGAGGTTGAATTGACTCACAGTTCTGCAGGGCTGGGGGAGCCTCAGGAGACCTACAATCATGGTGGAGGGAGAAGCAGGCACTTTCTTCACTGGGCAGCAGGACGGTGTGAGTGACAGCAGGGCAAACGCCAGACGCTTCTAAAACCATCAGATCTCATGAGATTCACTCTCACAAGAACTGCCTGGGGGAACCGCCCCCACGATCCAGTCACCTCCCCCTGGTCCTGCCCTTGACACGGGGCATTATGGGGATTACAATTCCCATGAGATTTTGGGTGGGGACACAGCCAAACACATCACGAAGTAACTCCTACGCCAGGTGTGTGCATGTGGCCTGGGCCCTGGTCACAGATGGAAAATGAAGCAGTAAAACAGAGGAGGGTCTCAGCTTGCGGGTCCTATGCTGAGGGTCCAGGTTGTTCCCTGGGAGCCACAGGCCAGGGCCTCGGAGTCCTCGGAGTCCTCGCTGGGAAAGGGGCTCTGCTGGAGGTTTGGGCCCGCCCTGCATAGCTGGGAGCCCTCTCTTTGCCCCACCCACAGGTGGAAGCCACTTCCCTCCTCTCCCAAACCCCCTCTCCTGGTTCCCCAGTTGGAGTGATCCACAGAGGAGATTCTGCGTCTAAACTGGGACTCAGGGAAGCTTCTGGAACTGTGAGAGGGGTTTGGTTCCTGCCTTTCTGAAGACAAAGTGGCGCCTGTCTTTCAGGGCATTGCGCCTGAGGGTACAGAGAGTGGGGCTCTGCCTCTGGGGTCCCAGGGTCTCCCCAGCTGCCAAGGGCAGCAGCCCCAGACCCAGACAGGGAAAGGAGCCTGGCTTCCCTTCCCGCCCTGCTCCATGGGGCAAGTGCAGAGAATCCCCAGCCACGATGCCCCTGCCCGAGGCACCCCAGGCTCCAGGCAGATCTCAGGCCTCCTAACCCAGGCCCTGCCCCGAAGGGACAAGTTTCAGAACAAACTGTCCACTGGGCTAATACCCCGGCTTTTGTGATCACCACATACTGATTTCTATCGAGGGATGAAAATTGACAAATTTAAACGGGAATTACTGGGCTCGGAAATTTGTTCTTTGTAATGAAGGGAACAGTTGAATACAGAATCTGAATTTGGGATTCAGACCAGACCCCCTCAGAGAAAGTGCTGAACCCGTGAGGAATTGGAGGGTAAGGGGAACTGTTCTTGGCAACTCCTGTCCCATTTCCTTTTGGGATGGGGGCTGCTCCCGCCCCCTGCACAGCCCCACAGGTCACAGCGGGGAAGACCCTGTCCCTGGTCCCCGGTCGCAGTGTGTGCCCTTTCCTACTTCCCTGCACGCCAGCCTCAGGAGGTGAGCTCACCTCGCCGTGTCGGGGGGACTCCCGTGTTACCCACCCCCCAAGCCAGGGAGCGGCCTCCAGGGGAGCATGGGGGAGGCTGAGGCCACCTTGCGGGGAGGCTGTTCCTGGGGCTGGGACGCCTCTCTCTGAATCATCCCCGCCCACAGAAGGAATTCATCTCACTCCTAATAATGTGTTTGTCACAAAGACATAATCGGCTCATCTGTGAGACTCCAGCGTGCACAGCGGTGCTGGCTCTTTGTTGTATAGTGGCAGTCTCACTGCAAGGCCGTTGGGCTTTGAGGAAAGGGAAGGAGGCACCCACTCTCTCCCCGGGGGGCCCCTGCCTTCCCTCGCAGTCCCACCTCTTCCGCCTGCCTCCATCACAGCAATTCAAATAACTATGAATGGGGCTACCTGGGAGCCCCACATCCCTGGCTGTGGGAACAGGCTGACCTTCCAGCACAGTGTCCTCCTGGTGCCAGGCACTGCCCCTCTGCCAAGGACCCTGCAGGCCTGGTAGGTCCCCAAGGGCACCCGTGGCCTCCCACCCCCTAACCATGGTTTTGGCACTGAGCTGGCGGCCAGGCGGGGCAGAGGAGGGAGCTGAGCGTCTTTCTTTAGTGTGCACGTCACCGCACACGATGGCACCCCACTGGTTGCTGCCCATCATGCAGGGCTGCCTCCACATGGGGCCTCAGCACCGGCTGGTGCCTGGCACCCCGCACGCGGCACCCCACCCCAAGGGGAGGCTGTACAGGCTCTGGACACACCCCAAAGCCACCCGAGGGCTGCTTCTCATCAGCAGGGAGGGGCTCGGGCAGCACAGTCCCGTGGAAATAGGATGCAGGCCACGTGAGGCTTAAATGTACCAGTAGCTATGTTACAAAAGTGGAAGGAAACAGCTATGATAATTTTAATACGATATCTTATTTAACTTAATGTATTCAAAATATCATATCAACTTGCAACGGTATTAGTGAGCTATTGTATACCGCCTTTCCGCATTAACTCTAAAACCCGGTGCGGATTTCAGGCTGAAGCTCATCTTCACTCAGACCAGCCATGTCTCAATGCCCAGTGGCCACGTGTGGCCCAGGGCTGCCACATTAGACAGGGCTGCCTGCAGCTTTTATGGGAAGCCACCTGGGCCAGGCACACCAGCGCCTGCTCCTCGCTCCCCAGGGGTGGTCTTGGCCCCAGCTCTGCTCAGCAGAGAACCCAGAGCCTCCAGGTCAGCCCCGGACACAGGGCGTGGGCATTGCACAAGGTCAAGAATGAGTTACTCATTTTCAACCACCTAAAAAGATGGCCCCAAAATGAAGCCTGGGTAAGACAAGGGGCCACGTCCTTCCAGGAGCAGAGCTCGGCTTCCTCTGCATCGGCCACAAAGCCCCTACTGCACCGAAGCCCAAGAGCTGAGCCAAGATTTTTTTTTTTTTTTGCGGGGAAGGGGGTCACACTCCAGAGAAGGCTCCAGAAAAGCTCTCATCCCAGACCTCGCTGCCTCCGCCCGCCCCTCACGCCCCATCTCTTGCCCGTCCCCCACCAGGGCTGAAGAGTGAACTCAGTAGTAACCCACGTGGCTGAGCCAGAGAAGGAGGCTGCGCAGGGGACAAGGCGGTCGCTTCCAGGATGAGAAGCGCAGACTCGAGGTCGGGCAAACCTGCCGCCGGCCCCAGCCGTGTGCATCTGAGCAAGTGGCTTCCCCCAGCCTCAGGCTCCTCATCTGTGAAACGAAACCCCCTCCAAGCTGGGCTGGCTCAGCACCCAAAACCATCATTTAAAATGCGACCCTGCCTGGGGGCTGTTCGAATCCTCTATTGAGATAAAGTAGCAATCATACATTCATCAGTCACTACTCCCTGCTGGAGGCCTCTTCCCCAGCACAGAGCCTTCCCTCTCTCAGCTGAGACCCCAGGCAAGGGTAGGGAGAAGAGGGTGCTGTCTCCCTCCCCCTCCTCCCCTCTCTCTCCTCTGTTCCTCCCTTTCTCTCTGTGTCTCTCTCTCCTTCTCTCCCTCTCTTTGTGTTTCTCCCTCTGTTTCTCTCTCTGCCTTTCCCTCTCTCCTCTCTTTCCTTTTCTCTCTCCCTCTCTCTTCTCTATCTCCCTCTTTTTCTCCATGTGTGTATCTCTCCTCCCCATCCCCAGAAGCCAGCCCACATGGCTCACCCTGCATTGCTAGGTGAGACAGGCCTGAGCCCTAAGCCAGGAGTCAGCCACAGCCGAGCTTTCCAGAACTTTCTAGAACCTTCCCTTTCCAAAGTGGAAATCTGGACTAGAAGGCACGATTCCCACTGGGGAGCTGCCAGTGGCTCCCTGCCCAAGGGAAACACAACTGTCCCGAGAGATGCTCATTTGCTCCCGGAAAGGAGCGCAGCAAGCTTCAACCAAGTGCTTCAGGAGGGAACCAAGAGCTTCATTCTTCCCTAATTGGTGCTAATTTTCAGCCTTCCCAGAGCTGTGCCTGGGAGGTGCAGAGGTGCCTCCAGGGTGGCCCTGCGGGGACCGGGATGCACATTTCTCTGTTAGGCTGGTAATCAGCTTGCATTTTCTCTGACAGATCTTCTTCCGAAAGAACGTCTACACACTGCCGATGACATTTACTTCACTCAGAATTTGCAAGTCCAATGCCGACATGAATATGCACGGCACTGCTGCTTGGATACGTGGCCTCAGGGCCACGCCTGCGGGTGATGTGACAAGTCCACAGACTCCCGTGGCGGCTTCTCACCGAGAAACATTCCAGCACCTGGAGGCTGCCAGCTGGGAACCCCCTTTAGGCGACGTCAGCGCCGTTGGTTCTCAGCCTGAGCCGCCCCCTGTGCCCGCTGTGGTCCTCCAGGCCCAGGCAGGGAGAGCCCGAGGAAAAGCAAGCGGAGGGTCAGATGGGGAACCAGCGTGCCTGGAGCCACGCAGGGACACGGACTTAGAATTCTACCTTGCATTTAAGGAACAGATGATAGATACTCTCTACAGTCTCTTCCAGGAAATAGAAGCAGAGGAACACTTTATAACTCACTCTACGAGGCCGGCATTACCCCAATAACAAAACCGAGGATGTTACAAGAAAGGAAAACGCAGACCAGGATGTCTCATGAACACAGATGCAAAAACCCTCAACAAAACAGCAGCAAATCCAGCATCACATACTAAGAATTATACACCACAGGATTTCCCAACCAGCACCACATACTAAGAATTACACAAATAGCAGCGAATCTCATGCAGCGCTACATGGTAAGAATTAGACAGCACAGGATTTATTCCAGGCATGCGAGGCTGCTCCAGGGTTCGGAAACAGATTATCGAAATCCATCATGGCAACAGGAACTATTTTCCAAAACCCAACACCCATCTGTGAGAAAAACCTTTCACAAGCCAGGAATACAAGGGAACTCCCTCAGCTTGGTAGAGAACATCTACTAAAAACCTACAGCCCATGTCATACTCAATGGTGACAAACCTGAAGCTTTTCTTCCTAAGATAGGGAAGGAGGCAGGGAGGCCCCCTATCCTCACTCCTATTTAACGTCATACTGTGAGTTCACAGGATGGACACTACCGATTTCAACACTTGCTATAAAGCCCCAGTTATCGGTACAGTGTAATTTTTTTTTTTTTTTTGAAATGGAGTCTCACTCTGTCGCCCAGGCTGGAGTATGGTGACACAATCTTGGCTCACTGCAGCCTCTGCCTCCTGGGTTCAAGTGATTCTCCTGCCTCAGCCTCTTGAGTACTTGGGATTTCAGGCACCTGCCACCATACCTGGCTAATTTTTGTATTTTTAGTAGAGATGGGGGTTTCACTATATTGGCCAGACTGGCCTCGAACTCCTGACCTCAAGTGATCCACCCGCCTCGGCCTCCCAAAGTGCTGGGATTACAGGCGTGAGCCACCACACCCAGCCAGTAAAGTGTAATCGTGGCTAAAGAACAGACAAATATTCCAATGGAACAGAAAAGAGAGCCCAGAAGTGGACGGACACATGCATGGGCAAATGATCTTTGAGAAAGAAGCAAAAGTTATTGATGTTGAAAAGACTGTCTTTCAACAGATGGTGCTGGAACAACTGACATCCACATGTAGAAAAAAATGGGTCTTATACCTTTCAGGATAATTAACTCAAAAGGCCTCACAGACCTTAATATAAAATGCAAGATAATACAATTTATAGATAATAACACATTTTATTTAATATAAAATACAAGATAATAAAATTTCTAGGTAATAAAATCTAGGTATCTTGGGTATAAAATCTAGGTATCTTGGGTTTGGCAATGAGTTTTTAGATGCAACATCAAAAGCATAATCCACAAAAAAAATGAATAAGCTGGACTTCATTAAAATTAAGAAATTACACGGCTGGGCGTGGTGGCTCACACTTGTAATCCCAGCACTTTTGGAGGCCAAGGCGGGTGGATCACCTGAGGTCAGGAGTTCAAGACCAGCCTGACCAACATGGAGAAACCCCATCTCTACTAAAAATACAAAATTAGCTGGGCATGGTGGTGCACGCCTGTAATCCCAGCTACTCGGGAGGCTGAGGCAGGAGAATCACTTGAACCCGGGAGGCGGAGGTTGTGGTGAGCCGAGATTGTGCCATTACACTCCAGCCTGGGCAACAAGAGCGAAACTCCGTCTCAAAAACAAAAAAGAAAAAACAAAAACAAAACAAAACAAAAACGCTCTAAAAATGACACTGTTAAACGAATGAGAAGACAAGATACAGCCTAGGAAAAAATATTTGCAAAATACTTGATAAAGGAGTGTTATCCAAAATATATAAAGAACTTTTACAACTCAACAATAAGGAAACAAACATGAAGAAATGGGCAAAACATCTGAATAGACACCTCATCAAAGAAGACGTAGCAATGGAAAAATAAGCACAAGAAAAATGCTCCACATCATATGTCATTAGAGAAATGTCGATTAAAACAATGAGATCAAATGAGAATGGCTACAAAAACCAAAACCAAGATCCTGACGACACCAAACGCTGGCAAGGCTGCGGAGCAACAGAACCGCCCTCACCCGTGGCTGCTGGGAATTCAAAATGGCGCAGCCGTGCTGGAAGGCACTTTGGCAACTTCCTACAAAGCTCAACGTATCCTTACCACGTGTTCCAACGATCGCCCTCCTTGGCATTTCTACTCCCAAAGGGGTGAAAGCCACACAGAAACCTGCACATGTATGTTTATAGCAGCCTTCTTCATAAATGCCAAAAACCAAGATGTCCATCAATAGCTGAGTGAATAAACAAGCTGGGGGACATCCAGATAATGGAATATTATTCAGCCGTAAAAAGAACAAGCTATCAAGCCATGAAAAGACAGGGAGAAACCTCAACTACATACTGCGAAGGGAAAGAAGCTGGTCTGAAAAGGCTGCATACGGTATAATCCCAGCTGTGTGACGTTCTGGGTAAGACAAACTGGAAAGACAGTAAGAGGATCAGTGGGTGCCAGGGGTTGTGGGGAGGGAGGAATAAACAGGTGGAGCTCCAAGGATTTTTTCGGGCAATGAAACTCTTCTGCAGGATCCTGGGATGGTAGATATAGGACATTACACATTTGTCCAAACCCACAGAAGGTACAAGACTGATGAACCCTAATATAAACTGCAGACTTTCCTTAATAATGTATCAATATTGGCTCATTAATTGTAACAATGTACCACACTAATGCAAAATGTTAATAACAGGGAGACACCTGTTATTAACAGGTGAGGGCCAGGAGACACCATGGAGCCGCTGTCCTGTGGGCTCAACGCTTCTCTACAACTGTTCTAAAAAATAAAGTCTATTAATAACAATTTAGATGGCCAGGCATGGTGGCTCAGGCCTGTCATCCCAGCACTTTGGGAGGCCGAGGCAGGCAGATCACTTGAGGTCAGGAGTTTGAGACCAGCCTGGACAACATGGTGAAACCCTGTCTCTACCAAAAATATAAAACATTAGCTGAGGGAGGTGGCGGGCTCCTGTAATCCCAGCTACTCAGAAGGCTGAGGCAGGAGAATCACTTGAATCTGGGAGGTGGAGAGCTGAGATCGTGCCACTGCACTCCAGCCTGGGTGACAGAGCGAGACTCCATCTCAAAAAAAAAAAAAAAAAAAAAATTAGAAACCCCTAGCCCCAAGTTCTAGGTCTCTGCCCTGGAGATTCTGATCCAGTTGGTCTGGGGTGAGCCTTGGGGTCTGCATTCTGGAAGCACCCCTGGGGGAGATTCCTGAGGCTATAAGGCTCTGAGCTACACCTGTGTCACCTGTGTTTCCCTCTCCTCCCCTGAGGGCCCACCCTCCATCCATCACCTGCACCACAATCCCTGTCTCAGGCTGTGCTTCTGAGGACTGCCCCCGCTCCATGCACGAAAGAAATTCCAGATCTTTCCATTCTCCCTTTGTCTCATCTCTCCCCAGTGGGCTGGAAGCCACAGAGCCTGTGTTGAGCAGGCCACCCTGGGGCTCCCAGGGAGCTACTCTCTCCCCACCCTGCCCTCCTCCCGGAGCCCCCAAGTTGGGAGGAGTGGCTTTGACCATGCAGATAGCCACTCCTGGGGGCTGCAGGCACAGCAGAGAAGCAGACTTGGGTGGATCTGTGGGTGTCAGGCATTTGGGACATGCCGTGAGTAAGTGTGTCTGGATACAGCTTCAGTCTCAGGTTTAGCTCCCTGCAGGGCACGAGCCCCTCAGGTGTGCACAGACCGAGGACTGGACATCCATCTCTTGGCTCTTGCCAGCAGCTTCTTCTGAGTGTCGCCGGAAGGGCTGGGTGGGGTCAGGGGACAGTCTTAGGGTCCCTTTCCAACTCAGCATCTCCGGCTTCCTTCAGAAAAGAATCTACCCCAAGACCCTTCTCAGTGTCCTGAAGCCCCTCTGTCTGGAGCGAGGACTCCACTGAGGGCCGGTTCTGGGTGCAGGTGACAGAAACTGGGTGGGCACCTGGCTGGGCTGTCCAGGTGACCTGGTGGACGTGCCTCTGGCGTTTGGCAGAAGTGGCTGCCGTGAAACCTGCTTGGCCTCCGGGTGTTGGCCTGCCCTTCGCGACTCAGTTTCCTTTTCCTTCCCCTTCCTGAGCAATGCTGGCACACACAAAGAAAGCCCAGCTGTGCACACAGCGTCTTCCGCAGACACCGTGGCCCAGCCTCCGGCAGGCAGAGAAAACCACAAACGGCCTCCACTTTCACCGAAATGGAAGCAGCCTTGCCAAGGGGATGTTAAGAAATGAACTTCTGCCATTTTTAGAAACTGAACAGTAAAAATCCCCGGGAATGAAGCTGGTGCTGGAAACGGAAGCTCCGTCCCCTCCTGCGGGGACGTCTGTCTGTTCATCACCAGTAGTGTCTGCACCCACCCAGCTCCACCCCCTCCTCAGGGTGGGGCTGCCGCACACACTGACCGCAGGGATGGGGAAACAGGGCTTCATGGAGGAGGTGACCCTGGGGTCCAGCTGAGTAGCCGGGGAGGGAAAGAGAGAGCACCGACCCCAAGGTACCCATCTCCCTCCTGTTGATCAAGGCTCGGATGCTGGGAGACTCGGGGGGACCTGTGCACCACTCCCTTCCCCTGACTTCAAAGCCGACTCAGCCCCTCCTCCAGGAAGCCCTCCCTGCTGTCCAGTCCACACCCCTCATCCACAAGGCTCGTCCTTGTGGTCATAAGGAGCCCCAGGAGGGGGAGTAAAGAGCCAGATGATGGGGCCGGGCCTAGACTGGCCCTTCCTTGGCCCTGCAGGCACCGTGGGCCTGGGGCAGCCCTGAGGCCTCGCTGGGTCCCCAGCACCATCTGCTGTGACAGGAGGTGAGTGAGTGCAGGCCCCAGGTGCTGGGTCGGCCCACGCCGGGAGCGCCGGGAACACAGGTCTGTCCCTTTGCCCACTTGGCCCCACCCTTGCCATGGCACCCATACCCGCCTGCCCTTGCTCTTCTCCCACTCTGGCCCTCGGCTGTGGCCCTGGTGGCCGCTGCTGTGCAGTTCTGAGGCCGGGGCCATTTGCTGATCCAGGGGCTGCTGCTTTCAGCCCACAGGTCCCCCTGCCACCACGCCAGACACAGGTTTTGTGATGAAACCTGTTTGTGGCTCAGGCACTCCCGCCTCCCCTCCAGGAAATCCACGTCCAGCCACCCTCTCTGTGCTATCCCCTCAGTCACCTCGATGCTGGAGGCGGAGGGCTCAGAGCCACTGCCCAGCGGCCGTACCACAGCGGACTCTCCTTAGACCGGTGCTGAGCCCGGCGGCCGGGCAAGGTGCAGAGGTGGCTCCAGACCCGCCGGCAGTCCAGCTGGCGCTATCTCTGGGGCAGAACCCGTGGCCCCAGGCGGTGACAGCCTGTGTGTTTTCAGTGTTCACTCCTCACTCCAGCTCACCTGTTCCTGGCACTCTGGGCTGGGACTTGCTGGGACCCCCCACTTCCACCCAGCCCTTGCTGCTCCCTGAGGGTGGAGAGGAAACCCTGTCCTCAGGCCCTGTGAGCCGGAGAGAGCGCATCTACGTGGTGACAGGTCTGTGGGGCCGGGGAGCCTGCAGGAGCCCGGCTCAGGGTGGGGGCAGTGCGGAGCCC
This sequence comes from Homo sapiens, assembly GCF_000001405.40. Taxonomy (NCBI): domain Eukaryota; kingdom Metazoa; phylum Chordata; class Mammalia; order Primates; family Hominidae; genus Homo; species Homo sapiens. The sequence goes on along the minus strand of NC_000020.11, from coordinate 62,727,186 downwards.
TCACGGGCTCCTGTGTGGGGCTGGTGTGTCCTGCCCTGGCTTATGCAGGCAACCCGCTTCCCAGGCGGATGAGGCGGTCTCTCGGGGACTCCAGGAGGGCCTTGAGCCTTGGAACCAATGAAAACAGGTGATGCAGAAACCCTTCTCCTCCAGCTGTGCACCCCACAAGCTCTGGCAAGGACCCCTTTCATCCAAGGCCACGGTTGTCCACAAAGCAGTTTCCAGATGGGGCTCAGAGGACAGGTGCACCTGCCGTCACCTGGTTCTCAAAACCATCCCAGTGTGGATGGGGCCACATTGGAATCCTGGGCAGGAAGTGCCCGTCCTGTGAGCATCTTGGCCATCTGTAGCCTTCTCCACTAACGCGGCCGGGGCCAGGCTTGTCTTAGGTGCCTGTGCCTCGGGGAGCATGGACCTGTTCCTCCTCACCTAGTAAAATGAGAAAAGCACTCCACAGTTGTGAAGCCATTCCCACCATTTTTTTTTTTTTTTGAGACAGGTTCCTGCTCTGCCGTCCAGGCTGGAGTGCAGTAGTGCCATCACGACTCATTGCGGCCTTGACCTCCCAGGCTCAAGCGATTCTCCTGCCTCAGCCTCCCAGGCAGGGGCCACAGGCACCAGCCAGCATGCCCAGGCAATCTCAGCATCCTAAAGCCTGCTATGCCTGGGATGGCTGATTCTCCTGGGGACCGGTGGGCAGGCAGTGGGGATGCCGTGCTAAGCGAGGTCCTGCTGGTGCCTCTTGGGTTTCCTTTCTAAGCAGCCCACACTCCTGGGCCTGGTCTCGGAGAGCAGCAGTTTCTTGAGGGCAGGAGAAATGAAAACAGGTTTTATTTATGGACAAATAGTCGCAGCAGTTCCATTGACAGACGCAGGCCGATCTGCCGGCTCTTGGAGGCTGGAGCCTCTTGGGAGATCTGTCTCCTCCGAGTCCTGTGCTTGGGTTTTAACTGGGTTTCTGCAAGGTGATCCCAGCTGACAATTTTGGGGAGAGAATCAGGACAATGGCAGCCCCACAGAAAGGGTTGAGACCGGTTCGGAAGGGCTGCTCACCCCTCGGGCTGGAATGGAGCTGCCGGTGACCCGGTGGAGGCTGCGAACCCCAAGGGCAGGTGAGCATGTCCATTTTATTCTACCCCAAATGCTGCCCCCGACATTCTGGTCAAGCCCCAGGGCAGGGACAGGGCAGCAGATCTCTTGGCCCATGAGGTTGGTGTACAGAGATTTCAGGGTACAGGGCAGAGCCACCCAGAGTCCCCCCACCCTCAAGCCAGGGCCGGCCACCTTTCCACGCTCTTCCTGGGCTGGGTGATCCTGGGCACTGCTAGCCTCCCTCCTCCTCCCTCCCCCTCACTCCTCCAACCTCCCCCTTCTTCCACCTCCCTTCTTCTCCCTCTCCCTCCGTCCTCCTCCCTCCTCTTGGTTTGCTGGGATTCAAGGTGGGGGGTGATACCAATAACACTCAGAGCTGAGGCGGCGGCGTCTGTGCCCACCTGAACCTCCCTGTGCCACTGTCAGACGGACCCAGCAGGAACCAGCTGGCACCTCCAACCAGCAGCTGGAAGACATTGAGCTCAGGGACAGCAGATGAGGCGTGGACAGATGGGGTGGCCGGTTGGGTGGCTGCAGGATTCTAAGGCTTGAATCCAGGGGACCTCTTTCCACCTTATCCCCCAGGGAGCAAGAGGAGTGGGCAGTGATGGGACCGGAAGGCAGCGGGGGGGAGACGGGGCCGACAGTGCAGCGGCAGAGGGTGGCAAATGCCCCGAGCCCACTCGCCTCCCGCCTCCCGCTTCCCACTGTGTCTCGCATGGCCTCACCTGGCTGGAGGCCCCACAGGATGAGGCCAGGGTGGCTGTGAAAGGTCACTCCTACCCCTGCTCCTCTTCCTTCCCCCTTGCAGGGAGGCCAGAATGATGCTGGTCTTGGGACTGTTCTAGGCAATTGAGCTGGGGCTGGGGGCTGGGGTAGCCCTTCCAGCCCCTTCCTGTTCCTCCCCTTGCACTTATCTGGGGCTCTGGTGCTTGCTTTCCACCAGGAGCCAGGGAGCCCCATCCTGTGCCTTGGGGAGCACTTGTCTGCCGGGAGAGGAGGCCTGGTGCCTGCTGCCTCTCCCCTTGAATTGTGGTGTTGTGGAGTAATTGGTAGCCCCGAAAAGATACGTCCATTGGAACCTGTGTGACCTTATTTGGGAAAAGAGTGTGCAGATGTAACTGAGGACTGTGCGATGAGATCATCCTGGATCGGAGTGGGCCCTAAATCTAATGACCAGTATCCTTAGATGACACAGAGACGCACAGGGGGAAGCCACGTGGAGACAGAAGCAGAGAAAGGAGCGATTCGGCCACAAGCCAAGGAATGCCAAGAGCCTCCAGGAGCTGCAGGAGGCAGGAAGGGTCCTTCCCTAGAGCCTCCGCGGAGTGTGGGCCTGGGACCCTGATTTCAGGCCTCCAGAGCCACGGAGGACACATTTCTGTGTTTTGAGCCTCTGCAGCCCCAAGAGACCAGTGCCTGCCCAGGAGACCCTCGGGGTTTCTGTGGTTCTTCCTGACAGGCAGAAGCATGAAAGGTATTTGGGGTTGGAGCTGTCAAAACACAGATCTCCACCCCGCTGGTTTTAACTGGAGGCTTTCTGAGCATCTCTGTGCTGATCGGACACAAATGCAGTTATTTTTAATACATTAGATGGGCTCCTTTTGAAGAAGCTGTCAGGAAAATCCACTGCAGGAAGTTTGATGGGTGCCCTGCACCTTGTCTGAGTGCCCTGCAATTACCCGCTTCTAGTCTGTGGCAGGTTCGCCAGGGTAGGGGCCTTGGGGACCCTCCCTGTTCCAGGCATGCTTCCTTTGGTTAGAAGCATGCTTCCAGGTCACTGCACTAGCATCTGAGTGTTTGTCCCTAACCGTCTGGGCCTCTGGGGTTGCAGGGGCCCCACTGTCCCAGGGCTCTGCTGAGAGCTGCTGCCCTCTGAGCTGGGGTCTGGGTGCAGTTTGGCTCCTCCCAGGACTTGGGAGGTCATGGCTCGGGTCCCCTGAGAGTTTGGGCCACTTTGGCAAAGCAAACTTCTGAGCGGGGCAGAATCTTGGACCCTCAACCCTGTGCCAGGCCTGTGGGGACAGTGGGGCCGTTTGGGCAGCCACTCCCCACTGCCTCCTACAAGCTGGTTGAAGCCACTGGGCAGACACAGAGCTGCCAGACCTCTTGCCCATGGCCCCTCCCATCTCTGCCTCCTGCCCCAGAGGCTGCTGCCTCCGCCTGACCTGCTGCCACAGGAAGACCACCTGGAGACCACCCAGGGGGTCAGCGTGTTCACCTGAAGCCAGCTTCAAAGCAACCCCAGTGTTTCGCTGGCTCGGCCCTGACTCCCTCAGCCCATCACAGGTGCAGAGGAAATAAAGCCCCGTGCTTGGGGGCTCCCTGTACTAAGGACAGGCCAGAGAGAGGAGCTTCAGGCTGCTGTGTCTGAGGAGGTCCCTGGGCTGGAAAGACCTCTGTCCCCACTGGCAGCTTCTGTGTCTTAAGGGTGCAGGGCAGGGCAGTGGTGATGGGAAATGCTGGTGAGCCCTGGACCAGGGATCCTGGATCTGGTCCTCCACCATGGGGTCAGCCCAGATGGAATGGCTTATCCCTCAGCTCCAGGCAATAAATAGTGACCCCCGACAGCCGCTTCCTACTGTGCACATCCTGCTGGGCACGCAGCCTGAAGTCGACAGGTGGACAAATGAGCGTTCCTTGCCCTGGCTCCTGACCAGCACATTCCGGACGGCTCTATTCGCAGCTCCGGAGTGACACGGCCCAGACACACTTGCGGTCCCTCCCTGACTCGCAGGAGCCGGGGGCTTCGTGATTCTGCCAATCAACTGGGAAGTGACACCCCAGACAGCAGCATCCCACGGCTGTTGTGAGCAGTTACAATTGAGTGATGCCCAAGCAGGAATGATTCCCAAACAGCTCCCGTACTCTCTGAATGCTGAGAGCCTGGAAGTGTGAGTTTTTAAGGAGAGGAACCGTGTTTGAATTATAAGAAAACAAGGCTCTTGAAATAATTCTCTTAACCTTTAAATATGTCAAAGGAGAGTTACTGAAATTTACAGTAAGTTCACCTTTTCACAGACAACAGGCTAAAAATGTTTAAGTCCAAATAATGTTGCTCTTTTTCATAAGCTTCAGTGTAAGATTTACTCAAACACAGTGGCTGTCCTCAGACTCATGTTTCTTGGATAACTCTATTTCTTTGTTCTGTGTTCTTTTGTAACATTGTTTTAATAATTCCTTTGAGCCCAAGCCTTTTATCATAAGCTGCCTCAGATCTTTTTGAAAGTAGGCAGTGTTTAAAATCTACGGATGACTTTCGCCAGGGGTACTGGACTAGCTCTCCTGCCATAAACAACTATAAAATTGTACACGATGTATCAGGCAGTTGTTTTCAGACCCTGGACAAACCTCAGGACTGTGGTCCCTAAGGGCATGGATACTCACAAGGTGAGCCCATCATCACCATGCCTCTGTTTGGGGACAGTTTCCTGATGGAGACGTAAGAGCTGAGGTCCGGGCAGAACGTTACTATCTGAGCCAAGGAGGCAGAGATCAGAGATGCGGGCTGTGGCTGTGGCTACATCTGCAGAGCCAGGTGCTAGAGAGGGGGACTGCATGGTGACGGTCCTCAGAAGCCTACACCGGCTTTCCTGTGGGATCTGTGCTGGCCCAGCGTGTACAGAACAAGGCCACGAAAGGCTTATCAGAGGGTGGCTGGCATCCTGGCAGAGCTAGGGGGAAGAAGTCTCATTAACACATGAAGCAGCCAACAGAGATGCCAGGAAGCCCATGACACAGGAGGATGGAGAAGCCCTAGAGCAAGGCCTCCAAACCCACCCCAGCTAAGACAGAATCCACAGAGGAGGCTGAAGGTGCCCACTGAGTTCTTCCAAGTGAGAAGGGATATTGGAAAATGCCTTGGGCTTTCCGTAGTTGTTTACTCAACTAAGCATGAAACCAAGCCGACCCAAGTTCAAGATGACGAGTCTGCCACTGAACTGCCTGCTAAAATAAGAATCAACCCTCTCCAAAGGAACACAACACAATCCAGTCTCTTTAATGTGTCATCTACAAGGTCTAGTATAGGTTAAAAATTACTAGATATGCAAAGAAAGTAAAATGTGACCCATTGACAAGAAAAAAATGAGTCCATTGAAACAGACATCAAGGTGGAAGTGAGAAGCAGGAGGTGTCAGGTGTAAATCAGCATGATATGAATCTGATCAGACTCTGAGCACTCAGAGTCCACTCAGAGGCATACTGATATTCCAGGGCAACCATTCCAAGAGCAAATACAGAGAAGTGGATCTAAAGAAGTCAGCAGAGGACATAACATGGAATACTCGGGCTTCCTGGCTGGAGGCCTAAGGAAAGGATCCCTGGAAACTAGAGAGTGTGACAGGAAATCTCAGAGAGGTGAGAGCTGAACAAGGGGATCCCCCAGTTCTGTGTATGAGTCAACACAAGTCCTGGAGTTACCACATATGAGGAACACACCTAAACAATTATAGTTAAGGGCTTGAAAACCGCTGTGATATAAACGATCTCCAAGATCTAAGCCTGCCCCTGAATGGCACTTTCATGTGGAATGGCTGAACAGCAAAAGACCCAAAAACAGGCCTGCATTGGAACCACCACGGACAGACAGTGAGACAAAAGCGGCAGCTCTGACCAAGCGGGCTGCCTCTCCAGAGGATTCTAACATAACCCAAAGAACCACAACAAAATTCAAAATGTTCAGGAATTAATTCAAAATTACTTAACAGAAAAAGAACCATGGAAATGGGACTAACTCTCAAGGAAAAGAGAATCAATATATGCCACCCTCAAGATGACCCAGAGGATGGATTTACCAGACAAAGACTTTAAAGCAGGCATTACAACCATGCTCCTTGAGGTAAAGGTAACTCTCTTGAAATAAATGGAAAAATGAAAGTTCTTAAAAGACAAAAAGAAACTATATTAAAAGAACCAATAAAAATTCTAGAATTAAATACTATAACACTATCCAACAAATTGACCTTCATAGAATAATATACCCAGCAATGATAGCACAGCACATTCTGCTCAAGTGTGCATGTGACATTCACCAGAATAGACCATTATCCTAAACCATGAAACAAGCATTCACAAAATTAGGAATTTAAATCATGCACATTTGTTCTCTAAACATAATAGGGTTAAATTAGAAATGGATAAAAAAGTAATATCTGGAAAATCCCAAACATTTGGAAACTAAACAACACATTTGTAAATAACACAAAGGTTAAAGAGGGAATCTCAAGATATAAAAAAATTTTGATCTAAATTAGAATACAATGTTCAAAAATTTTGAGATGCCACTAAAGCATTAATTAGGAGGATGTTTATAGCATTTCATGTTTATGTTAGAAAAGAATAAAGATCTTAAATCAATAATCCAAGCTCCCACCTTAGGAAATCTAGGAAAAGAAGAGCAAATTAAACCCAAAGCAAGCAGAAAAAGGAAATGAAGAAAGAAATATAAATAAATAAAATTGAAAGCTAAAAGACAATAGAAAAAAAATCAATGAAATCAAAAGCTCATTCTTGAAAAAGAACAATAATGTTAATAAAATCCTAGCCATATTGCCCAAGGAGAAAAGAGAGAAGTCACAGATTACCAATATTAGAAATGAACAAGGAGACACTATTACTGACCCCACAGACATTAAAAGGATGATGACAGAATACCACAAATAAATCTATGCTCTAAAATTTGACAAAATAGATTATATGGACCAATTCCTCAAAAGATACAAATTACTAACACTTACTCAAGGAGAAATATATAACCTGAATATTCCTTTATCTTTTAAAATAATTTGTCTTGTGAGATGGAGTCTCGCTCTGTCACCTAGGCTGGTGTGCAGTGGCGTGATCTCGGTTCATTGCAACCTCCACCTCCCGAGTTAAAGCGATTCTCCTGCCTTAGCCTCCCGAGTTGCCAGGACTACAGGTGCCCACCACCACACCTGGCTAAGTTTTGTATTTTTAGTAGAGACAGGGTTTCATCCTGTTGGCCAGGCTGGTCTCAAACTCCTGACCTCAGGTGATCCACCCTCCTTGGCCTCCCACGGTGCTGGGATTACAGGCCTGAACCACTACACCTGGTTTCTTTGAAAAGAATTGAATTTATAAAAACCTTCCTACAAAACTCCAGGCCCGGATGGTTTTGCTGGACAATCTACCAAAGCTTTAAAGAGGAAATCATGCCAATTCTACACAACCTCTGACAGAAAACACAAAAGGAACAAGAACCTCCCAGCTCATGTTATGAGGCCAGAAAACCAGATGAAGATAACCCAGGAAAATAAACTTACAGACCAATATTTCTCATGAGCATAGACACAAAAATTCTCAGCAAAACACTAGCAAGTCAAAACCAGCTAATACACGACGAAATGAGGTCTATCCCAGGAATGTGAGGCTGGTTCATCATTCAAGAATTAACCAAGGTTTTCCACTTATATTTGGCCCCCGGAGTGGTCAAATTCACAGAGACAAAAAGTAGAATGGCGGTTGCCAGGGGCTGGGGGAGGAGGAGATGGGGAGTTAGTGTTTAACAGGCGCAGAGCTTCAGTTTGGAAAGATGAAAAGAGCTCTGGAGAGGGAGGGTGGAGATGGTCGCATGACGATGTACCGAGAGGGAGGGTGGGGATGATCGTATGACGATGTACCGAGAGGGAGGGTGGAGATGGTCATGTGACAGTGTACTTAGTGCCACAGAACTGTGCACTTATATTGATTAAAGTGGTAAATTTTACGTGATGTACATTTTATCACAACTGGAAAGTAATCAATATAATTCACCACATTAACTGACTAATGGAGAAAATCCACATGATCTTGCCACATGATGAGACAGAAAAATCACTGCACAAAATTTAACATTCATTCACGATGAAGAAAAAAATCTCTCAGCACACTAGGAATATAAGGAAACTTTCCTAACTTTATAAAGAGCTCTAACAAAAACTTAAATAAACGAAAAACTTTTTTTTTTTTTTGAAAGAAAAAAAAAGGGACTGGAAGCAAGGCAAGGATGTCTACTCTCATCACTCCTATTCACCATCATACTGGACGTCATAGCCAGAGCAGTGAGGCAAGACCAGGAGCTGGCCAGGATGCAGAGTGACCACTGCTTCATGTGGGTTAAGGCTAGGGTGAGGGACGTTCAAAACAGCGCATCGCTTAGGAAACACTGGCAAACATACACTTTCTGTATGACCCAGCAATCTGAAACCTACGTATTTACTCATGAGAAATGAAAATGTATATTCACACAAAATTCATCATATGTGAATATTTGTAGCTACTTTATTCATAATCGCCCAAACCCAGAAACAACCCAGAAGTCTTTTGGTGGGCAAATGCCTCAACAAAACGTGGTCCATCCACAGAATGGATCTGACTGCACAATAAAAAGGAACGCCTGGTCAATGCAGGCAACAGCTCAGAGGATGCAGTGAAGGAAGAAGGCCGGCTCGAGAGGCCACAGCCCAGCTGGCTCCATTCACTCGACGTCCCAGAAAAGGCAAAGCTGTGGGGGAGGAGAGCGGACCAGTGGGTGGAGGGGCGGGCATCGGGGCGGGTGGGCCACAGGGCTGGAGGGCGGGGGCCGGTGTGTCTTCTGAAGTGGGGATACATGGCTGCATTTATCGAAGCTCATAGGTGCGAACAAGCACAGAAGGGAATCTTATTGCCTGTCAGTCGAAAAATGAAGTAGGAACAACGAAAAGCACGTCTCTGGTATCCAACCCCTCTCCGCCACCTTCTCCACCCCCACCCTGGCCTAGGACTCCTTGGTCACTCCCCAGGCATCCAGCAGCAGCTTCCCAACCATTCTGACCCCTAAATGCATTCTCCACAAAGCAGTCAGAACTGTCCCTTTAACGTGTAAGTCACGTGGCGGCTCTGCTCAGAATCTCCCACGCCCACTCACTTCTTCCAGAATAAAAGCTGTGGCGAGGTCTACGAGGCATGATCTGCCCGTGGCTTCTCACACGGCCCTCTGCTCCCTCCGCTCCGGCCACCCCGCCAGGCCAGCGCTGTTCCTCCAGCACCCCCAGCACGTGCCTGCCCTGGGGTCTTTGCACCTGCTGTTCCCCTACCTGGCATCTTCCCCGACGCCCACCGGAGTGCTCCTGCAGGGTCTGCACGAGGCCTTCCTGACCTGCCTGCACCCCCACGCTCCCCCCGTGTGGTTTTCTCTGCGGCTCTCGTTACTCCTTGCCGGCCATGTATGGTGCCTATTTATTTCGCTTATTTTCTGTCTTCTCTGATGGGACGTGAGTTCAAAGGGCCAGAACTTTTTGCCAGTTTTTTTGGGCTGCTATACCCCCATCCTGGCATGTGGTAGGTGTTCAGTGAATGAATGATGAGTGAATGAAGGAAGGAAGGAAAGATGTTAGCCCAGATGCTCAGAAGAGAATTCCTCCTGCCTGGGGAGGCTCCCAGCCCTCCCAAGCGCTGCTGCATTTCTGCCGTTGTCCAGGGGAGAACACAAATCATGCTCATGGGCGATTGAGTCCTTCTTCCACCCCAGGCACAGTCTCCAGCGTTTTATGTCATTAACTCATGAGACTGCAGGGCAATCGCTACCTCCAGTTGGCTTATGGGGAAACAGAGGCACAGATGGTCACACCATTTGCCCAGAGTCGTGCTGCTGGCCAGTGGTGAAGCTGGGATTTGAACCTGGGTTCTGGCAAGCCAGCCATTCCAAGCCACTGGGGACAACCCAAAACCACCTATTCTCGGGAAGCATTCTCCTGATCTCCTTCTTGCTTCCCTGACTGCCTTCAGGAGCCAGCCCTGGGTATGTAGGACACAGCCCCCACAGGTGCACAGGGATGTAAAATCCCAAAGTAGGCACGGGTGGCTTCGGGTGGGTCAGCATGCTGGGCACCTCCCCTCTCCAACCTGTGCCAGGTCCACGTGGCACTCCAGACCCAGGGCTCTCACCTTGCCCTCCTGGGGTGGGTGGTGCCCCACTGGCAATGCTTTTGGGAAGAGCAGTGGGCACCAGGGTGGGGCAGGCGCCTTGCCCCGCTCTGGGCCTCAGTTTCTTCATTGACGCTGCAGAGCCCGGTGGTCCCCCTCCGGAGCTGTGCATTCCCCTTGGGGTGACACATGGACGGGGACAGCCCCTTGGCCACTGCGCCTTCACTGGCGATGGCAAGGTCAAACTCCAGGGCATGGCGGGGGAACAGTGGGGGTCTCTGAGACAGGCAGACCCCATGGCTGTGACCTCAGTAACACCATCCCCACCAAGCGCCAAGAACCAGGATCTCTATTCCCCTCCGTGCCCCCCTTGCAGAGCTAGCCTCGTGCAGGCAGCAGCCTGGTCAGGGAGCGAGGGGCTGCCGGGATGGGGGCTCATGCTCTTCACAGCCCTTCATGGCCGTCCAGGGGAGGACGATCTTGAGTGCACACAGGCCCACAGGAGGGAGGACCTGGCCACCCGAAACAGCCTTGAGCGGACGGCAGCTCGGTCACTCTCTGCTGCTGTTGTTTTTCACAGACTCACGGAGGCAGGACTAACACGCGCTGAAATCCACCCCTCAGTCTACAGCCCCACGAGCTTTGAACCACAACCAACACAGACTCACGGAGGCGGGACTAACGCGCTGAAACCACGAGCTATGATCCACAACGAAGATACAGAACATTTCCGTCACCCCAGAGTTCCCAGCGCCCCTATGGCCACCCCACCCCTCCTCCGACCTTCCTCCTGTCCCAACGGCTCAGCGTTGTCCAGAACCTCAAGTGCTTGGAATCACCCAGGGCCTTGGAGTCTGGCGTCTTTCAGCAGCAAGCCTGCCTTCAAGAACCTGCATCTTAGAGAAGACCCAGGGGAGGCCTGAGATTCTGCCAGTCTGAGTCATCCACCTCACCGAGCCAGAAAGCAGAAAAGAGGTTACCAGGCGCTGGGGGTCAGGGTTTAATGGGGACAGAGTTTCAGTCTGGGGAGAGAGAAGGTTCTGGAGGTGGATGGTGGCGACGGTTGCACAGCAATGTGAACGTGCTTCACGCCGCTCAACTGTGCCCTTCCAGATGGTAAAACAGCACATTTTAAGTGATGTGTGTTTCACCATGAATCAAAAATAAAGAAAAGCTTCTTTCTTCTCTTAATACAAACTACTAGATCACCACGTGAGATTTGATTGAGAAAAACGAAGGCAGCCTCTGGTTCGTGCACAGGTCGGACGTCCTCTCGGGCCCTGCTCAGCCCAGGGCCCTCTCTGCCCATCATCAGATGTTACCAGCTGGGAGCCCCAGTGCCCCTGAGAACAGACCTGGAGATCCCTGGGCTGCTGCCTGAGGCCTGCCTCACCTGTGGGGTGGCTTGTGGTGGTTCTTGGCAAGCACAGGGTGGCTGTACCCCCTTGCTGCCCTCAGTACCCACAGAACTGCAGGCACAGCCCCAGGACCCCATTTGTCCTTGGAGTTGAACATCCTCAGAATGCTGTCAGTCCAAGTGCAGGACAGCCCGGGAGAGCTGACCCCGGGTCACAATGCAGAGCTGTGAACAGGTGAGCCTGAACCACTCTGGGCCAAGTCACTCTCGAGGACTCCAAGCCCAGTCAGAGCCAGCCATGGCCAGCTCTGGGCCCCTCACGTTCCCACCCTTGCCCATCTCACTCAAAAGCCTGACCGTTGTCCCCACGGGGAGCACCACAGGGTCAGGCTAGGCCTTCCCTTCTGAGAGCACCTCCAGGCCCTGTCTCTCTCCAGCCACGTGATGTGCACAGGTGGCTCTGCCCTCTGCTTCATCTGGGAAACGGGGTTACGGGGTACAGAGGTGGACCCGCATGTCTGCACGTCCTCACCCTGCCGTCTCCCACCTGGCTCCAACAGGCAGGTCTGGTGCCTGGAACAAGGCCAAGGTCACCTCCCTGTCCTGCCCTCTCACCCCCCACAGCCTCAGAGTCACCATCTGAACGGTGATTTCATACGCCAAATTCTTTATTTCCAACATATAGCACCTTAACCTTTTGAAAACTTTTAATTACTAAATTTTTCAAACATGCCAAAAATGTCATCAACACTCACTTTCCATGATTACAGACTTAAGACCAATCTTGTCTCCTCTGTAGCCCTCCCACAGCCCCTTCCCCCAGATCACGCTTCAGTAAATCTGAGACATTGCATCATTTTGTCTGTAAACATTTCCGCATGTACCTCTAAGAGAGCAGGACCATTTTGAAAACCATACCCACAACAGCTCTGGACAACAAGAATTTGTAGCTATTCACTACCTAGGCTTTTTTGCTGTTTCTTGGCAGGAAGAATGATCAGCTTTGGTGCCGGCTTTCTGCGACAGGTTGACTTGTCCGAGTCTTTGCTAAGAAACCAGGCCACCGTCTCCGATTCCCTCACTGTTTGTAGAACAGAACGAGTTGTTTATTTGGAGCTGTTTCTTGTGGTCTGGGTTTTGCTGGCTGCATCCTAATGGTACATTTGTCCCTGTTCCTCTGTCCCTGGTGTGTCCTGTGTGTTGGATCAGGGGCTCCATGAGATTCAGATTCAATGGCTTTGCTCCAAGGATGCCACGAGGCTGTGTGCACACCAGGGCTCACCTCACACCTAACTCTCTCCCCTTCGTGACCCCAGCAGCTGTCAAGAATCCATGCCTACATCCATTGATTTATGAGGATTGCACCTGATGGGTGGTATTCTGACCATCCTGCTCCTTCTTCACTTATTGATGAACATTTCTGGGCTGAGACACTGCCTTTTATCTACTCTTGGGTTATTCTAAAGTACCGTTTGAATAGAAAAGGCAGGAAAAATACTCCATTCCTTTCCTCTAAAGGGTCATGGGCTCAGACTGGAGGAAGTGTGTGACTCTTGGCCCCACACCAACAGCCCTCTATGCCCTGCGCTGCAGGTGAGGACACTGTGGCCGCTACGGCCAGAGCCAGAGCTGCCCACAGCTGCGTGGCGTGGGTCCCCTTCCCGTCCTCACGGGAGGTCAGAGTGGAGCAGGCTGTTCCTAAGGACCCCTTGAAGAACTTCTTCTGCAACTTTTTTTTTCTTTGAGACAGTTGTCACCCAGGCTGGAGTGCAGTGGTGTGATCTTGGCTCACTGCAACCTCCGCCTCCCAAGCTCAAGCGATTCTCCTGCCTCAGCCTCCCAAGTAGCTGGGATTACAGGCATCCTTCACGACGCCCAGCTAATTTTTGTATTTTTAGTAGAGATGGGTTTTCGCCATGTTGGCCAGGCTGGGCTTGAACTCCTGACCTCAGGTGATCCGCCTGCCTCAGCCTCCCAAAGTGCTGGGATTACAGGTGTGAGCCACCACGCCCGGCCTTCTGCAACTTTCTAACTTGAAAAAGTTCCTACTGCAGAACAGTTGCAGGAAGAATGCCCAGGACACTCAGCTGCCTGTGGCAGGGCTGCAGCCCAATGCCGCATGACCCGCAAGCAGTCTCCTCCCTTGATTCACTGTCTGCTTGCTCTCCTTCCATTTGGCCACACCTTTCTTTCTGAATGATTTGAGAATAAGTTGCAGACTCCACACTCTAAACACCTCTGTATCCTTCCTAAGAACAAGGATGCTGCCTGTGGAGGTTGCTGGGCACAGCCTGGGGCACGGGACAGGAGCCCTGAAATAATCCATGGCCAGATTTCACTGGAACCTGTCTCCTTCCCTGTCTCAGCCGCCTCTCCTTTCCCGGAATTCTGCCAGCCCTGAACGGCTGGGGTGTTTGCCAAGTCGCCCTGTGATCTGTCTGCTCCTGGACGCCTCTGGAGCAGGGGTTGTAGGACACCAGCGCCTCCTGCACAAATTGAGGCCCCTGTCTGCCCCTGGGAGGGAGCAGGTGCCCTCTGAGTTGGGGTCTAACCCAGCGAAGAGCACTGCTGTTTGTACTCAATATGAAGAAGGCTTTCAGAAAAAACAAGGAGGAGGCAGGGAGGCTGAGCCTGCAGGAGCAGGACTCCCTTGGTGCAGAAAATGGCAATGATGAAAGGAGTCCTCACGGCTGCTCAGGAGGGTCTAATGGACTCGTGCCTGTGAGGCTGGGAGGGTTTGCTTTCGTGTGTGGCCATAGTCAGGGGCGGGTCTCTAAAACTGTTTCAAAGGCTGCAGCCACCTCATCTGATTTGAATCGGACACCTGAAGTCCCAGGCCCCTGCCACTGTGGGCCCCTGGACACACACATGTGTGCACACGTTCAGTATACACGCCATGGACAGATGACAGATAAGCATGGGACTCTGATGACCCACCATCTGGGCCATCAGCCCTGAGCCCTGCCACACAGATCGTGTGCCACTGGGACCCTGTCACAGCCGAGGTCAAAGCTGAGCTGGAGGTTGGGCCTGGGCCATGGGGGACCATCCAAGAAGCAAGGGCCATCTGCCCGTGTGGGGCCACGTGTGCGGGTGGGTTAGAGGATGGGTAGGACAGTCCAGGGGAACCCAGGGGCACCCGTAGGTCCCTGAGCCCCCAGCTCCTCCTCCCAGTCACCCTGCTGGCACCAGGGCCAGGTCTGGGGCCTTTGGGAGGGTCCTGGGCACCAGGTCCTGTCTGCTGACCTGAGAGCCCTGCCCACTCCACCATCAACTCCCAGTCCCAGCTACACACTAGGAAAATGCCCAGCTGGCTTCAGGGAGGATTATTGTAAGTTGCTCCAAAGTGTTATCACTGAACCACCTCATTTCTAAACACAATTTCTGTTTGCAAGTGCCCAGGCCAAAATTTCGTAGGAGACGCTGGGGCAGGAAAGGACCCCTGTTTTGGAAAGAGGGGCCATTTGATTGGCCACTGCCCCAACACTTCCAAACATGGTCACTGAGAGGGAGACACTTAGCTCAGGGTATCCAGCCCCTCTTCAGCCAGACATCACCATCTGAAAACCGTGGATGTTTGCCCAGATCTGCCAATGGCCCAGAAGCCCACGTGGGGACCGTAAACCCCCTAATTCCGGGGAAACCTTTCATAAAATGGCAAATGGCGGGGCAGGGGTCAGGGGAAGCCAAGGCCTCTCCTACGAGGAATGTTCTTTTCAAGCACACAGAGCAGCTGGCATCGGGGCCCTGGAAAGCCCCAGGTCATCAGCATCGGATGGAGGAGCACCCTTGTAATCAGCTGCTCCCAGGCACGCAGCTGAGCCCTTTAAAGAAAAATGGAAACTACGTTCTCCAAGGGTGCCTTCAGCAACGCTCGGCCAGCATGGCGTCTGCAGGGCGTGGGGCCGCTGTCCTACGGTTGATACGTCACAGGCCTCTGCGATTGGACGAGTGCCTGTGGCCGGCCGTAGCGTGACTTGGCCAAATCTGCCTCGCAGCCTCTGAGCAACAAGGCTGGGCAGGTGGTGCTTTGGGAGGCAAAGTGATGTCCCCCAGGTGCCCAATCCCAAGTACCTGGCAGAGAGCCCACGCACGCGGGGAGGACACTTTCCGGGGGGCGGAGCCGAGCTGTCCTCACGCCCCTGTGCTTTTCGGCTGTTTGTTTTTGAGGACTGCAGGAGGCTGGTGAGCTCCTGGCCTTTTGCCAGGGGAGCAGGGGGATCGGGGTTCTGAGCGGGGGGATCGGGGATCTGAGCGGGGGGATCGGGGGTCTGAGTGGGGGGATCCGGGGTCTGAGTGGGGGCATCTCCTGGGTGGGCAGTGACAGCGCTGACCCCTCCACTGCCCACCTTCTGAAGGACTGAGTGGCTGTCGCCCCTGGGGCCCCTCCACGCGGACTGGGGAGAGGTTCCCCCTGGCCAATGCCAATCAAAGACAGGAGCTTGGGGAGAGCAGATAAAGCCTCAAAGGGAGGGAGAGGTCATTTCTCACTGTGTTTACCCCACAGGCCGTGCCTACTTCTGCCTCTGGTGAGGGGAGGGACTCTCGCCGCAGAAGCAAAGCAGCCCTGACTCACTGCCTGCCACCAGTGTCTGTGGGAGGGGCCTCCCCGAGATGGGACACCTGTAGCCACCAGTTCTATGTGCAGCCAGGGAGACTGGGAGCTCAGTTCTACCCTCCTCCACCCCCCAGCCCACCTGGGTGGTGGCCAGTGGAGGGTCAGTTAGGGCCCAGGGAGTGACAGACAGGTGACCCCCTGCCCGGCACTGCTGCCCTCACCCCCACCGGGCATACTGGCATACGCGGGGTGCCCAGGCAACTACAGAAGCTTAGCTGGGAGGCTGGCGATGCTGGTGTGTGGGGAGTTGGGGGGACAGCCAGCCACCCTGGCCCCTCTAGCTGGGCAGAGGTAGGCGACTCTGCCCGGATCCTTCACCCTCTGGCTTCCTTAGCCCACCAGAAATGGAGGAAACCCCACACTTCTAAGGCTGCTCATTTCCAAGATGCCTTTCAAAGTTCCCGACCGGCCCTGACTTCCTCCCTGGACACCAGCCTCCTGCTCGGGGCTTTGGTTTGATCAGCCCTCCCCTCCAGCACTGGAACCCCCCGTGCCACGAACCTCAGCCAAACTGATTCCCAAGGGGGCTTCCCACCCGCATTCCCACGGCGCTTTGCTCAGACCCTTGGAGGGCCCTTAGTCACTCGGCTCCAGTTTTACACACCTCACCACAACACCGCCGCCACACGCAGATCCTCACAACCTTCCCCGCAGAAACATCGTCCCCACCATCCCGCAATAATAGTGCCTGTGAGCCCTTCTATGTGTCAGGGGCCATGCAAACACTTCCCACGCGTCCTCTCTCCAATGCTCTACCTTCTGAGGTCAATGCTATCACTACCCCATCACACAGATGGGAAAGCTGAGGCTAAACTAGGAACTGGCCCAACACGGCATCAGGTTCTGTTCTGACTCCCAAGTTTGGGTCAGGGCAGGCAGCTGGGAGGCACCGGCAGAGCCAGTCTGGGGGCTTCTCTGCAGAGGAAGGAACATCACCTGTTGGTGGCACAGTCTTTTGAGAAGCTGATGAAAGTGTTACTCTTCCTTTGGAGACGCAGGTGCCAGCGCACATGTTTCCATTAGGCTTAAGGAATTCAGAGATGTCCGAGGCCCAGCCACCAACACCAGAGAGGTCACAGGCAGGGGCTCCATCCCCTCAACAGGAGGGAAGAAGATAGGGGCTGAGCCTGGCAACTCTGGAGCTGCCCCCAAGCTGCCCCAACCGCCTTCCCAGCCTCGCAGGAGTAGACTGTCTCTGTGACATCTCTCCCACTCCCTACCCAGAAGGCACACCACTGGCACTGCTTTTGGGGTGAAGGAGAGGGGAGCCCCGGGGCTGGTTACTGAGGCTCACCTGTATGACGACCTTGACGGTGGCAGTGTGGATGGTGGGGGTGCACACCAGGCCGCCGGCGTGCTGGCCGTCGGCGCTGCGGTTCTGCTCGCCCATGGTGAACAGCATAGGCACCGCCAGCAGGGCCGAGGCGAGCCAGATGGCGCTGATGAACTTCTTGGTGCGGCTTCGGGACATGAGGGTCTTGGCCTTGAAGGGGTGGCAGATGGCCAGGTAGCGCTCCACACTCAGGCTGGCCACGTTGAGGGCCGTGGCGTAGGTGCAGGCGTCGCGCAGGAAGTAGTAGCCGCGGCAGCCGGCGTCGCCGAAGGCCCAGGGGTGGTGCACCCAGATGAAGTTGTACAGCTCCACGGGCATGGCCAGCAGCAGGGTGAGCAGGTCGGACAGCGCCAGGCTGCCCAGGTGGTAATGCACCGTGCTCTGCAGGCTCTGCAGCGACTTCTTCCGCGCCAGCGTGAACGCCGTCACCGTGTTGCCCACCGTGCCCACCACGAAGAGCGCCAGGTACACGGCGGTCACCAGCACCTTGGAGTAGATGTCGGTGTTCACGTCCAGCTCGCTGCTGGGTGCCGCCAGGACGCGCTCCGACGCGTTGCCCGAAGCGTTGCCGAAGCCCGGGGCCAGCAGCGCCTCCTCCAGTCCGGCCTGCGCCCGCTGGAAGGGGTCGGCGGCCGGCGTG
The DNA here is from genome assembly GCF_000001405.40 of Homo sapiens. NCBI lineage: Eukaryota > Metazoa > Chordata > Mammalia > Primates > Hominidae > Homo > Homo sapiens. Next base: position 62,709,242 of record NC_000020.11, on the reverse strand, counting down.
CCCGGGGTTCCCGGCGCGGAGCTGTTGAGGCGCATGGTGGGCGCTGGAGTCCGCGGCTCTGTCCGGCGCCTCCGGGGCTGGAAGTCCGGGCAGGAGTGGGCGCGTCTCAGGCGGGGACCGATGAACGGGAGCCCAGGGGAGGGCGCGTGGCGAAGACCAGCGGGCGCGCCGTCCAGTCGGGAAGCGCCAGACCCAGACGCGCCGCCCCGGGCTCCGGGCTCCGGGCTCCGCTCTCCTCCGGACTCCCAGCTTCCGGCTCCTAGCTCCAGAACCCGTGGTTCCTCGGGCTGTCTCCCGGCTCGGCGCTTGCCACGGGTTCCAGGTGCCTCCGATCTCCAAACCGCGCGGTTCCCCAGGCCCCCGAGGACAGCGCCCAGCCCGGCTCGGGCTGCGCGGGGCGAGCTTGTGGCGCCGGGAGGAGCGCACGCACTGCTGCCCGGGCGCGCTCCCCTCCCTCGCTCAGAATCTCCTCCCTCGCGCTCTCCGCGCACCCCAGCCCCGCACACCTCCCGCCGCGCCCGCGCCCTCCCGGCTCTGCGCGTCTCCACGGAGCCGGCGGCCGCGCGGCGCGCCCAGCAGTGGGGGGTGGCGGCGGAGGAGGGAGGCAGCCCCCGCCGCCATCCCCGCCCCGCCCGGGTGCAGCCTGGCGGGTCGCCCCCTCGCGCTCCCCGGGGCAGGGCGGGCTGGGGTGAGCGCTCCAGGGAACCAGGATTCCGAGCGGGCGCGGCGGGTATCGTGCACCAGACCCTTCCTGCCACCCTCTTCCCTGTTCTCCGCAATTTCTCGCACCGGCTAGGAAGGGAACTATGCACCTCCCCCAACCCTGGGCTCGCTCAGTTGGGGTGAGGGTGTATCCGGAGGGCAGGGAGGGAGGAAGCTCCCCGCTGGCAGGGCTGGGCGGCTGCGCAGCTGGTTGGGCCGACCCCCACTCCTGGGTGTCCACAGGGTGCCAGAAGCTGGGTGCCCAGGGGGCTCTAGGACCACTGGAGATTACATTTCTGGTGATTCCTTTTAAAATCTGGCCGCAGTCATGGGCGTGCCTGGTCTGTGAATGCGTATTTCTGGGATGTGCCCAGTGGAAATGGTGGGGGCTCAGGGCATAGTTATCACCTGGGGCAGGATGGCGTGAGGCAGTACCGAGGGACACCTGCAGGGGCTGAGGAGCTGAGGGGCTGGGTCCTGCAGAGGCCGGGAGCCACAGATGGTTTCATCAAAGTCTGGGGAGGGGTGAATGAGGGAGGGCAGAAAGCAGGTGCCCAGAGCAGCACCCTCCCCACTCAGGGCCCTGCATCTGGCACCCTGGGCTGGTCTCATGACGCTATGGGATGTGATGCCCTGGGCCCCTTATTACTGCCTGGATTTGTCATCAGAAGCCACCCTGAGAGCCTGCGCCCCAGCAGGATTTGGGAGAGGCAGCCCCAGCACGCATCCTCCCAGGCCCTGCAGGCTTTGCACACTCCCTCCCTCTGAGTGTCCTCACAGGGTGCCCCGGCCCCTGGCTCGGGAGCCAGGTGAGGGCAAGATTCCTGTCCTTTCCGTGTCCCCCCCAGCACCTGGTGGCACTGGCATAGGTGGCCAGGCACAAGCTTGCCCCCCCCTCCATGTCTGGGTTGCCCAGGGGCCCCCAGGGCACTACTGTCCCTTCTCTGGGCCCTCCCCGCCCCCTCCCCTGCTCCCTCCTCCCCAGAACCCCTGGGAGAGGTTGGGTAGAGCTGCTGCCCCATGTGTGCAGGGCTGGGAGGAGCTGCTCGAGTGCAGCCCAGGGAACCAGCCTGGCCTTTGTGCACATGGCTGGCTGCACCTGCTGTGCTGGGAGCAGGAAACCTGGGCAGGCTGGGGCGGGGGTCGCAGGGTGTTGAGGGAAGCGGGAGGCTGAGGAACCCCCTCCCGGGCCCGCCCAGCTAGGAGAATTCAAGGCTTCTGAGCCGGTGGCTGGCAGCGGGACTCTGTGATTATTCGTCCGTTCTCGCCCTGCTTTGGACTTCTCTGTTCAACCGGAGCCTGATACTCTTGTCAGGGGGCTGCAGCTCACAAACATCAGAGCTTAGAAATCTTGGCATCAAAGGAAACGCCAGTGATCCCTTTGCTGGAAGCCAGTAGATAGGATTGAATGTTGGCCCTGCTACTTCACATTTGGGCGAGTGTGCTTAGCGTCTCTGTGCCTCGATTGAGTCGTCTGTAAAATGGGAATAGCGGCTGAATGAAGGGCAGGGCTGTTACTGATGGGTCTCCACGGGGAATGAACGAGGTCGAATGGGCTGTCGGGTGTGAGGTGAGGTGTTCCATCCAACTAGAATAGGCTGGAGTAGGCCAGATTTGTCCTCTGGAAGACACGATTCACCAGTTAAGTACACAGGTTTTTTTATTTTTTTATTTTTTTTATTTGTTGAGATGGAGTCTCGCTCTGTCACCCAGGCTCGAGGGCAGTGGCGCGATCTTGGCTCACTGCAAGCTCCGCCTCCCAGGTTCTCGCCATTTTCCTGCCTCAGCCTCCCGAATAGCTGGGACTACAGGCGCTAATTTTTTTGTATTTTTAGTAGAGACAGGATTTCACCATGTTAGCCAGGATGGTCTCCATCTCCTGACTTCGTGATCCACCCGCCTTGGCCTCCCAAAGTGCTGGGATTGCTGGCGTGAGCCACTGCGCCCGGCCAAGTACAGAGGTTTGGGCGGGGACCTTAGCATCCACACCATGCCAGGGAGTACAGGTGCTGGACAGTGTGAGGTCCAGGCGCTCACCACTGTCTTGGTAACACTGGGGCCTGACCACGGGCTGGGCCATCAGGCGCCTCTGTCGAGACCCCCACAAAGAGGAAGTCCACAGCAATGGCCACTGGAGTCTGTCCCTCTGCCAGCCAAAGCAGGAGGATGCAGCGATTGTGCTCTCCCTCTGCCTAAGCTCATTGTTTGGTTTTTAAACCCCTGACCTTTTGGCTAAGCTGCCCTTATTTTCAAAGATTTATCTGTGAGTTGGCCTGGGAGCTTACAAAATCATAAAAGGCAACATAGTGCAAATATTGTGTTGGAGCATTTGCTTAAAACCACATAGGAAAATGTCACTTGGAAGGCCTTGTTCTACACAAGGCAGATGGCAGGCCTCCGGTGGGGACCCCTGGCAGCCACGCCGCTCGGCCGTTCTGAGCTCTTCTGTGCACTCACAAACCGGATGGCTCAGCGGCTGGAAGCTCTTAACTCCACGTTGTTTGCCCCTTTCTCTTCTGATTTCTGCAGACAGAAGCCCTTCCTAAACAGCTGAGACTCTTTAAAGAAAGTGCCGGTGAGGTGCTTGGGAAGGGACAGGCCAGGTCCGGTCATGCCCATTGGGGATGCAGCCACACCCTTGGCCAGCCGGATGCCTTCACTGACACGTGAAGTCGGGCACGCCTTGTGGGGGGCAGGGCTCCGGGGGCGAGTGTCTCCTGCAAGTTGGAGAGCCTTGGGGACCTGCTGCCCCGATCCCAACACTCCCAATGCTGCCTGTTGAGGAGCCGGCCGGTCCCATGGGCAGCGAGGACCGAGGTCCACGGGCACGGCTGTGATTCTAGGGTGCAGCAGGCGTGCTGAGCTGGGGCAGCCAGTGTGCTGGGGACAGCCTGGCTTTCTGTGATTTCCTGAGTGGTGTGAGCGAGGCATGTCCTTATTACCAAGCAAGGTAGTCATCTGTGCCTGGGGTGACAATCACGTCCAAAGAGTCACCACACAAGAGGTCCTTGGAAGCACGCTCCCAAGGGTGGGGGTCCCTGCTTGTTTCATTGGCTAGCTTACCCTGAGTCCCTCCAACACTGCCCGGCACGGGTGGGGGTCCCTGCTTGTTTCATTGGCTAGCTTACCCTGAGTCCCTCCAACGCTCAGTTGGCGCTCACTGGGTTTGTGTTGCACTAGTGGAGCAGATGCAATGGTGAACAGGATGAGGCCATGCCAGCAGGATGTGCGAAACCCGTCACTGGTTTGCAGCAGGCTTCAGGCTTCCAAATGTAGGAGAGCCACCATCTCTCCAGCCTCCAACCTTCTCTTCCCTCAGGCCCCCAACCGCTGTTGGGTGACTCTTGCTAGCAGGAAGGCTTCTTATTAAAATTGAAAAAATTAAGTTGACAATAACACCTGAATCAGTTATCTATTGCTGCATAACGAAATGCCCCCACACTCAGTGGCTTAAAACAACAGGCATTTATTATGTCAGTGGCAGAGTAGTTGGTTTCCTATGAGGACGAAGGCGGGTGGGGCAGAAACGTGGATGTGTTAGAGGCACAGAAGATACGTAATAAACATAATCGGTAGAGCCTGGCTATAGATTTTCCCACCCACAGCATGGAAATTGCACGTGTTCCAGGACGGACGGTGTTCGAAGGAGGATCTTTAAAAACAGAGCGGCACCTGCACATGTGTACGCACAGTGAGTGTTCGCAGGCGGGCAAGGAGGGCGGAGCCGCTTTCCAGCCTCACGCTGGCTGCGCTCCAGGCATCTCTGGGGCTGTTGGCAGATTCTGGGGGCTGTGCTACAGGCTGATCAAGCCTCAGTCATCGGCATCCTTGTCCTTCACATTCCCAGGCCGCCCCTTGGACCTTGGCCAGCTTTCTGGAAACATGAGCTGTGTTCTCAGGGAAGAACCAGAAGAGGAAGCAGGCGTGGCTGCCCACAAGTGCAGCGGCTGCTGCATGGGATAAGCCCCGGGAAGGCCAGGGATGCCGAGGGCAGGTCGGGGTGGCAGGCTGGAGAGGAGGTGATTTCGAATTCCAGCTTCACCAGGCCTGGACCCCCAGTTTCCTGTGTGTGAAAAGCATGACGTGGCCCCTAGGTCACCAGGCTGCTGTGAGCCTCCTGTGATGTGCACACACTTCATTCCACACAGAGGCCAGGGCTCACCCTGGTGGCTGCAGGGCAGCTGGAGAGGCTGGGTGGGAGAAGGATGGCCTGGAGGGGGGTCACACACTCTGCCTTTGCCTGAGTGGGACACACTCGGGGCGTTGCCGTGGCTGTCTTGTGCGCTAGGCTGAGGATGGAGAGTGATTGGCCACCAGAGTTATGTGAGGTCCCTGTCAGCGTTATAGACACTCGGCAATCCAGTTTTGGGCCTCAAGTGAGCTGGGATGGCTGTTCCACATGGTGTCTGCAGGTTGCCTAAGTAAGATGGCACTGGCAGGCTGGGAGGCTCAGGGTAGGACAAACAACTCACTCTGGTTTTCCTGGGACTTTCGAGGTTTTAAAACAGCAAGTCCGGAGACCTGGGAGCTGGAGCCCTCTCAGTCTCAAGCAGTTGGGGCTGAGGGTCACCCTGGTTGTGTGCTGTGGGAGTTTGCTCTTGCAGCTTCCCTCCCTTCCCAGGCTCTCTCCTGCTCCGTTGACCCTCCCAGCCCAGGTCTCCCCCACTGGGACCAGGTCTCACCACTCCCTCCAAATCCCAAATTATCCAGGGTTCCTTCTCCTTCCACGGCTAAGAAGCCAAGAATCTTCTAATTCAAACCTGACATGGCTCCGTGGAGAGCTGGCTGCTCTGTAATGGGCCTGGTTTTCAATCATGTATTTCCTCCGGGCTCTGATTCAGCCGGATGGTCTGACTCACGCAGTCGTCAAACATATATCAACAAGTGTATCTCTGCCATCTGCCTGGAGGCCAGAGCCTCCTGGTGAGCCCTTGACTCAAGGGCTCACACCTAGTGGGCAAAAGCAGCCAAGTTCCCTTAATTTTTGTGCCCCCCAAAGCCATCTGCCTTCCACCTGGCTCTGCGGGAATCTGGCGCAGGCTTGGTACCCAGTGGACAGGGAGATGTGTGTTGAGCGAATTGTGAGCACCTGGAGGGAACAGCTGGCAATTCACCTACTCAGCCTTCCCCCTCGTCTGGGTGCAGCACCCCCAAGTCTTCCTGTGAACCGCCTGCTGTCCACATGGTGTGTGTGCATGCATGTGTGTGTGCACATGTGTGTATACCTGCATGCGTGTTGGGCTCCCAGACCCAGGGTCTCAGAGGGTCCTCGTTGGCAGAAGCAGGCCTTCCCAGGCTCATCTCCTGTCCTTGCTCTGAGACCCCGCAAGAGGCTCTGTCTCCTCTCCCCAGGGCTGGCATGCACCTGGCAAAGAAGGCTGTGCCCAGCGGGGAGGGAGGAGGGCGTCCTCTGCCTGCCCCGCCATGCTTTGTGTTCTCTCTGCTTAGACGCACAGAGCGGTCTCCTGGCTGCAGCTCCGGGGAACGTCTCCTCCTGCTTGCAGTTGGTTTCTCAATGTGAATGAGACTCTGCTCCACCCGACCAGGCAGAGGGCTCGGGATCTGCAGTCCGACCCAGGGGCTTCAAATCTTGGCTCTGCCACCTCCAAAGTGAGCGACCTTAGGTGACCCTGAGCTTCAGTTTCCTCATCTGAAGTACGGGGATGTTAATTGTGCCTCACATTCATGGGTGTGGATGAGATGGGGCAGCCCACATGGTGGGCAGAGTAAGGACCCCAAGGATGTTCATGCCAGACTCCCCAGAACCTGTGAATTTGTTGGGGTGCCTGCCAAAGGGGATTAGGGGGCAGGCAATTAAGGCAGCTCATCAGCCATGAAATGGGGAGGCTGTGCTGGGCTGTCCTGGGCCCAGAGGAGTCACAAAGTTCCTTAAATGTGGAAGAGAGAGGCAGAAGGAGAACCAGAGTGATGGCAGCCTGAGAGGGTCTGGCACATTGGACACACAGGGAGCCGCAGTGCTGTCCTCACAGCAGGCCAGCTGTGAGCATCCCACACTGGCCGTGTCCAGAGAGCCTGGCTGAATGGTGAGTGAATGAAGGATGGCTGAAGTGGGCTGGGGAGGTGGGAAGAGGCTGCTGGGGCCCAGTCCCTGCCGTGCACCAGACCTCTCCCCTCCAAGACAGCACGAAGGGCCCAGGGTCCCCCAGGCTCCCTCTGCCCACCCTGGCACCAGACCTCTCCCCTCCAAGACAGCATGAAGGGCCCAGGGTCCCCCAGGCTCCCTCTGCCCACCCTGGCTGCACCCGTCCTGGCCTTCATCTCCAAGCAGAAGGCGCTCAGGACTAGAGCCCGGCTCCACACGGCTCGGAGACCACTCCCCTCCTGTCCAGCTCTGGTGTCTCAAGCTGTGCTTCGGGGAGTAAGGACAGACGGGGCCTCTTAGGACAGGCCAGCCCGGGATGAGGACAGAGCATGCAGAGGCCACAGTCCAGGTGGCTGCAGCTGCTCTGCACCTGGAGGTGGGTGTCCAGGAGACCGGGCCCGGAGAGCGGCTCTCCATGTGGAGCAGCGGGAGGCACAGTTAGGGAGAAACCTTGCCCACGAAGCTCCACGTCCCTCCCCAGCTTGCTGGACTGTGAACAGGGGCAAGGACTGGCGCCCTGCATCCCGGCTCCCTGCACCCTGGCATCCTGCACTGTAGTGCCCTGCACCCTGACGTCCCTGCCCTGCACCCCGACGTCCCTGCCCTGCACCCTGACGTCCCTGCTGGCGCCTTGCTGGCTCTTGGGACTCCTACCTGCCCAGCCCACTGGGTGCCTCCGTGCCAGGTGACAGGCAGGGCTGCTACAGCAAGCACGTTCACGAGGAGGGCACTGGATGTCTGGGGGAACTGGCAGAGGTGGGGCAGTTTGGGAAGACTTGTCCAAGGAGGACATGTTCACTGAGTCCTGGAATGTGGTGTGTGAGCAGGAAGGGTGGCAGGCAGGAGGGGGTTGGGCCAGTGTGTGGCCAGAGGCCAGAAGACAGCGGGGTTAGGGACGCGGCTCCCTCCTGGACCTCTGTGCCTGTGACATGGAGTTTTATTCCTGGAGCTGGTGGAAGATGCTGCTCATTCAACCTGCGTCCCGGGTCAGGGCTGGTGGCTCTGGGACCCTGCCTGAGACAGCAGGCATGGGGTGGTGGGGGGAGAGGAAGGAGGGGCACTCGTTGCCACAGCTCTGACTTGACTCCTCGCAGAAGCACAGGCCTGACTCCTGTCCACCCAGCAATCTCGCCGTGCGCCTTTCCAGGCCTGCTGAGGAGAACTGTGTGGAAGGGTGAAGCAGAGAAGGCCTGGAGTCACCTTGGATCGTGAAACCCATCAGCAACTTTAAAGAAATCAGCCAAGAGACACACAAAGAAAGCTGATGTTTTGGAGGAAACAGGGAATGAGGTAGATCATCTTCTGAGGAAAGAAGATCCATTTCCAAGACATGTTTCAATGCAGCCCAGTTTCCTAGAAATTATTCCTGGGAAGGGCTTGCTATGACACGCACCTCAGGCCGATGGACACAGAGCGTGTCCCTTAGAATTTCCTGTGATGTTCCCACCGATTTCTCTGGACCAGAAGGTTTGAAACTGATGAATAGCAGCCCCCAGCCCCCTAAGCCCATTCCCTTTTCTTCTCATTGCCCTCCCTGGCCCCACCTATACCCTCCTCTCTGCCTCCTTCTGCTGGAAGGAGGGTTCCTAATTGCTGGGCCCCCAGCAGAAAGCCATTTTCTTTTTGCAATTTGCTTTTGGGAAAAGACAACATACAGGCAACACACGCAATGCAGAGGGCCAAGCCAGCCCATCTGTTCCATCTGCAAAAAAGAAGTAGCATTTTGTCTGCTCTCACCCAGAAGCTGCGGGCTTATGGCTCTTATGAATGCACCAATTTGTGATGAACTTTCCAGGCGTGCTTGTGAGCATACCAGGCGATGTAAAGCTAAAAGGGTTGCATTTGGCTAATATTAGTCTCCCATTTATTGTCACGAGAGAAGGGACGGGTGGCTCTTGCATTCTCTTGAAGGCTCAGCAGCCCGGCCCCCGAGCCTGGAGGGGATGAGGAGACGCGTGAGGCAGGGTTGGAGTTGGAGCAGGAAGCTGAGGGTCTTGTCATGCCCGCCCTTCCTTCCACGTGGCTCCACCAGGCTGCCCTCTGGGAAAGGTAGGACTGGGCGCCGTGGCGCGGGCATCTCTTCCCTGTCTTCTAGGCTTCTTTCCTCCTTGGGCTAAGGATGGAGTTTGCATAAACATGATTTCTGCGTCTCCAGAGATCCAAAGCGTATGCCTTTATCTGCAGTCAGGAGTCCTCCCTGCTTAGAAATATTGAAATAGGAAAAATGTCTTCCATTTTGTAGTTGCTTCCTGGGAGTTCCAGAAGCAAAACCTTGAAACCGTTCCTCCTTTGTCATTCTTGCCTTGGAGCTGCAAAGGCCCGTTTGAGACGCTTTCTTTAACAACGTGAGGCCATGCCAAGGGGCAAGGAACTCCGGGGGCAAGAGGGGCTGAGGGCAGGTGCCCGGCTCACCGAGGGTGGCCCACTCCCTCCATGATCCTCAGAGAGAGCAGAGGGTCCACAGAGGTGCCAGCATGGGCCTGGCCAGCCTGGGGACCCCAAGCCCAGTCCACACAGCAAGTCTGGGCTCCCGTGAGCCACGGACACAGCCAGGGCCGGTCCACAGCCGCCTGTGGATCCTCCCTCCCTTTCACCCCAAGTCTCAGCTAAGGGCTCCATCTCCCACTTCCCCTGCAGCTAGACATGCCACAGAGTAAGTTCTGGCCGGGGGTGTGGAGAGAGGGCACCCTTGCCGGTCAGGCCGCATCTCCCTGGCTTCCTGGCTTCCCTCTGGCTGGGAGGTGAGGGTGGCGAGAGACGCAAGCTCCCGGGGAGACATCCCAGCAGCAAGAGAGAGGGAGCCTGTCCCGGTCCACTCGGGAGCCTGTCCCGGTCCACTCGGGAGCCTTTCCCGGTCCACTTGGGAGCCTGTCTCCAGTCCACTCGGGAGCCTGTCCCGGTCCACTCGGGAGCCTGTCTCAGTCCACTTGGGAGCCTGTCCCGGTCCACTCGGGGTGCTGACACACAACACCAGAGGCTGGGCGGAGCTCCTGAACAACAGAAATCCCTTCTCACAGCCTGGGAGTTGCAAGGCCAAGATCAAGGGAAGGTTCAGGGTCTGTGGAGGGCCTGCTTCCTGGCTCACGGAGGGCGCTTTCTTGCCGCGTCCTCCTGCGGTGGGAGGGGTGAGGGAGCTCCTTGGGGACTCTTGTGTAAGGGCACTAATCCCATTCATGAGGGCCCCACCTTCACCACCAAATCCCCTCCCAAAGGCCCCACCTCTCACATCTTTGCCTGGGGGGGCTGCGATTCCAGTGCAGGACCTTGGAGGAGCCACAGGCTGCATTTGATTACAGAGCCCTCTCTGGATCTGGACCCCAAGCCTTCCCGGGACTCCTGCCCTCCTGGGACCCCCACCCTCCTGGGCCCATTCCTGGAGTCAAATGGAGCCTGCAGGTTCCTGAGGACACCATTTGAGGCCCTGGCCAGCCCCTGCTGCCCCCTGGACTTCCTGAGGACACCATGTGAGGCCCTGGACAGCACCTGCTGTCCCCTGGACTTCCTGAGGACACCATTTGAGGCCCTGGCCAGCCCTGCTGCCCCCTGGGCTTCCTGAGGACACCATTTGAGGCCCTGGCCAGCCCTGCTGTCCCCTGGACTTCCTGAGGACACCATTTGAGGCCCTGGCCAGCCCCTGCTGCCCCCTGGACTTTCAGTCCCATGGAACCTTTATTCTCTTGAGCTGTTTGACTTGGGTTTTTGCCATGTGCCCCGATGTCCTGGGATAGTCATCTGTGAATTTAGGGGACACCTCCATCATTTATTCACCTCCTAGGGGATGAGGATACCTGGAGGGCAGGCCCTGATACCCTGCTCTCCTGTCAGGGGAAACTGAGTCCAGTGGGCAGAAGACCAGGGCACGGGCATCCGATCCAGGGCCCGACAGAGCAGAGCAGCCAAGCCCAGGAGAGAGGTCAGCCTCTCGGGCAGGCCTCTGAAGGACAGAGTGTGGGGTCTCCCCTCGGGGCCCCTCCGTGGCTGCTCCCCCTCCCCATATAAAGTCACCAGGCGCCTCTCCTCAGGCTGCGGGACCAGGAAGGAGCCCTTCGCTGTACCCAGTGTTGTACCCAGCGCCTTGCCGGTTGGACCCCGTGCTCCCCGAAGGCTGGGCCCAGCTCTCCCTCTCCACTCAATCACCCCCCAACCCCCGCACTTCTAAGTCTTCAGAACCTGCTCTTTCAACCCCCACCAGCTTAGCCTGGTCTCAGAGGACTTCTCTGGGAGAAGAAGCCCAGACCACGGGCCGGGATGCTTAACTGTTGCTCATTTTCTTTTCAGATAATGAATTATGTTGAGCTTGACGTGGATAATTGAATGTAAAACTTTTCTAAAAATAGCATACACAGGTGCTGGGCCCCGAGCACCTCCTCCCACTGTGCTTTCTAGATAGGGAATGAGAGATTGCTCCTCCTTGTTCTAGACACCAGTCCCTGTCCCCAGCTCCCTGATTTTTTCGGGTGTTCTTATTCTCTCTCACCCCCCGACTCCATCGGCAGGTGCTGAGACCACATGAGCTTTTATCCTCTCAGGTGTGTTCTGTGCTGCCTGTAAGACATGTCCCCACCACTGGCCAGGCATTCATCCCGCAGCAGCCCAGCCCCTTTGCCGGGTGAGGAAAGAAGCTATTGGAATAAAGAGCCCATTGTGGTAGGACCAGGGACCAAAAGCCTCCACACCCGGCACTGCAGGCAGCAGGCTTTGCCAGTCACTAGAAGACTATTATCTGTACAGTCCCCAAACATGGTTTATGACTATTTGGCTCATTAAATAGCCTGAATCCCTAGGGGAACAAATCAGACGAGTTCTATTTTTCCTTCAATCACTGCCTTACCCCCTGCAGCTCTGGTGTCCCCAAACCACCCTTAGACTCCGCGATTCTCCAGAAGGCTCACGCAGTGCCACAGACCTGCTGTGCTCACAGTTGACGTTCATTAGAGCGAAGGGGCACCGGCTAGAATCGGTGAAGGGAACTGGCAGAGTCCAGGAGGGTCCAGGCATGGGCTGCTGCTCTCCCCACTGGGCGGCCTGACAGCACTTGCTTCTCCCCGAGCCGATGGCCTGCCTTGGGGTTCAGGGCTTTGCTGGGGCTCAGTCCCACGGGCTCTGCCAAGCGACCACGTGTGGCAGCTTGGTCTCTGATCCCTCCAGAGGTGCAGCTGACACCATGTGGCCCAAAATGCCCACCACAAATCCCATCAATAGCACAGACCATCCAGCCTGGCCCAAGGTCCACAGGTAACCAGGACTGTCTTATCAGGCAGGACAGGCCAGGGCTCAGAGGCCGCCTCCCGTGAGGAGAGAAGTGGCCAGGACTTTCTCAGGGAAAGGAGAACCGTTCGCTGCACCATCGGTCAGTTTCTCTTCCCCTCAGTGACACTTAAGGCAAACCCCAGAAAGGGCAGGTCATGTTTGGACATTAAAGTACACGCAGGCCAGTTAAAAACTTGAGCACCACAACCAATTCCAGAAGCCTCACTGCATAGCTGTGCATAGCACAGCTGCAGTCCACGGCCCCACTCCACACCCCACCCCACACCCCACCCCACACCCCACCCACACCCCACCCCACCCCCCACCCCACCCCCCACCCCACACCCACTCCACACCCCACCCCACACCCCACCCCACACCCCACCCCACACCCCACACCCACTCCGCACTCACTCCACATCCTCACTCTACAGCTGTACCGCACAGCCTCACCGCATGTATTCGTCTGTTTTCACACTGCCACAAACACCTGCCTGAGGCTGGATAATGGGTAAGGAAAAGTGGTTTAATAGACACGGTTCCGCATGACTGGGGGGCCTCAGGTAATTTACAATCGTGGCGGAAGGCGAATGGACGCGAGGACGTGCCTCACAAGGCCGCAGCAAGGAGACGTGCTGAATGAAGGGGGAAGAGTTCCTTATCAAACCACCAGATCTTGTGAGAAAATCATGAGAACAGCATGGGGGTGACCGCCCCCAGGATCCAGTCACCTCCACCTGGTCTCTCACTTGGCACATGGGGATTGTGGGGATTGTAATTCAAGATAAGATTTGGGTGGGGACACAAAACCTAACCATGTCACTCCACAGCCCCACTGCACAGCCCCACTGCACGGGTGCACTCCACAGCCTCGCTGCACAGCCCCACTGCCTGGGCGCACTCCACAGCCCCATTGCATGAGTGCACTCCACAGCCTCACTCCACAGGCACACTGCACGGGTGCACTCCTCAGCCCCACTGCACAGCCCCACTACACAGGCGCACTCTACAGCCTCACCTGCACCATCCATGTAAGAGGCGCTGGAAGCCAGCGCTTCCCCTCAAACGATTGCCGGGTGAGATGCTGCAGCATTGTTAGATGACATGTTCCAATGTGTAGTCTTTTGACAGACAGGCGGGTGGAGGCCTGCCGTAAGCACAGGCCAGTGTGCGTTGCTGCAACGACATGTTGCCAAATGTTGGGAATTACCGTATTTATAAGTGTGCGTGTTGCTCCATTTGCACATTGCCTCATTTGTGTACTTGTGTGTTCCCAAGTGTTCCTGTTGTCCTCTTTGTGTTGCCCCACGTAGACGTTGCTGCATCTGCACGTGGCCCCGTTTGTGTGTGTGTGTGTTGCTGCGTGTGTGTGTCTAGAGAATGCAATGACAACTGAGAGTGGCCATCTCCCTTAGAATTGCTTTCCGAATGCGGACCTCCCAAGCCACCCTCTCCTCGCCCAGCCGCAGGATAGACTGCGGCCCTCCCGCTCTGGACAAGCCTTGATGGGAGTAAATGCTGCCCATCCGGAGCCTCCTGGGGGCCCTGGAGGACGCTGTCCCCGCCTCACAGCTGGTGCAGAGAGGTGGGGGTTTGACCCAGGGATTCAAGGCCCTTCTGACCAGGGCCTTGGGTAGGGAACGTGGCCCCTCCAAGTCTCAGTGCCTGGAATATGGTATGGTGAAGACCATGCTGGCTGCCTTGCCAGGTGGACGAGGGAAGATTAACGAGGCAATAGGGTGGTCTGGTAAACGTGTGTGGGATGGACTTACAAGGTGATAGGCACATGTGTGCCTCTGGGAAAGTGAATCTGCAGCTTAACCAAAAGCTTCCAGAAATTCAGCATGGAAAACGGACATTTTCTATCAAAGGAAACGCCTTGAGAGGCCATGTCCTTATTTCTCTGATTTTGCCGTTGCTCAAGGAGGCCCTGGAATGCCCGCAGCTTCACAGCAGGAAGAGAGCACGGTCCACGTTGCCCACAGGTTCCTGCTCAAATCCAGAGTGAGCCTGCAGGACAGCCAGAAAGCCCACCCAAGGTGCCTCAGCCTGGAGCTCACCCAGGACGCAGAGCAGGTGCAGGTGCAGGTGCAGGTGCAGACGGCAGACGGACGCATCAGGGGCGTGGTGTGAATAACGCCCCGCTTGAGAAGCTCAGGGCTGGATCCTACTGTTGATTTCTGTGGGAATGCCCCGTCCCTCCCGGCCCTGAGGCTTGGTGCCAGCACCACACTTCGCCACTGCATCTGATGCCAGGCAGAGGCGCTTCTCTGCTGTGGAGGACTTGTGATCGAATTGGCCCACCCAGATCATCCAGGATCAGCTTCTGCCATGTTGTGATATAAGAATAAATACGCATTTAAATGGTCTCTGACATAGAGCGACGATAGCCCTTGTAGTTTCTTGACCAATAGGGGTGCTAGGAGAATCTTTTGTTCTGATACTTGGTCTTTGGCCCCAGTTCCTAACAATGAACTCCTATAGCCTTTGCGATTTCCCGAGGAATAGCTGCGTCCACCCAGGGCTTCTCAATCCCTTGGAATTTCTGGGGTGATAGGAGCATTTTTCGAGCTGATGTGGTGGCTCTGGGGGGCTCCTGCACAGCTTCAGGATGGGGGCTGGTGGCCACAGGAACCAACCACATGATTAGAAGGTTCTGCCCCAACCTCTGATCTTCGGGAAAAAAAAAGGGGTTGAAGGTTGAGTTGATCACCGATGGTCAATGACGTAGTCGATCATGCCTGTGTGTTGAAGCCTCCATGAGTCCCAAGAAGGACTCAGTGCAGATGAGCTTTGGGGTTGCAGGACACGTCTGCCTGCCAGGAGGGCGGCCCCCACTGCAGAGGGACAGAGGCTCCTGCACCCGGGGCCTCCCGGACCTCCCCCAGGTATCCACCTGCTGGTCATCTGTGTCTCCTGCAATGTCCTTCATAATAAACCGGTGAGCCTGTGTCCCTACGTCCTGGGTGCTGCTGCAGCAAATCACTCCAGCCTGGGGAGGGGCTCACGGGACCTGGTTTATAGCTGTGTGGACAGAAGCCCCTGAGGCTTGCAGTTGACTTTGGAAGTGGGGGCAGCCCTGTGGGACTCAGCCCTCACTCTATGGGGTCTGACGCCATCTCTAGGTGGACAGTGTCAGAATTGAATTGAAGGACACCAGCTGGCATCTGCTGGAGAACTGCTTGGTGTTGGGAAAAAATCACCACTCTCCGGGTTGGGAGTGCTGTGTTCAGTGCTGTGAGGGTAGGAAGAACAATTTGTTTTTTTCCCATATCTTCTCAGACCTTCCCACCTTGAGGTCTGTACCTTGATCAAACTTGCACTTTACAGGATCAAGGACTGGGGCAGGGACATCTTGAGCCTAGCTCCAGCCAGGACCTTCGGGGACTGTCCTGAGAGCTGCCTTGCTCAACCCAGAGCACAGTGGAGATCAGCCAGGTGCTGCACCCCCGGGGCAGAGCGTGCTGCAGGACCACCCGGTCCCTGGAGGTGGGACAGCTTCTGAGCTGCACCTTGCTCCCTGGGGGCCTGGCTGAGGCGTGGCTGCATCCGGCACTTAACCCTGGGACTTCATCTCGGCCTTGGGGACACTTACCCGAGGGGCTGCTTCTGGGGAACCGGAGCTGAGACGGTGGCTCCTGGGGAGCCTGCCAGGAGGCATTCACTGGCAGAAACACCCCCAGTCCTTCAGGGAACAATGAGATGAGGAGATAGAAGAGCCCACAGATTTTAAGGGACTCTTGGCCAAGGGGGGGCCAGACGCAGACATGTTCCACATATTCAGGCCGATGGGAGGGGTGTCTCGGGCAGCACAGGCTGGCATTCGGCCAGAGTGGGCATAGCAGCGGCTTCCCCTGCGACTGCTGTTGGTGGACTGCGTGGTTTAAGACAACGGGAACTTATTCTCACTGTCACCAGCCACAGGGTATGGAGGAAGCCACCACCTTCTCCAGGGGCTCCACATGCAGCAGGTGTCAGCCCGAGTGGCTCTCGCCCCTGCTCACGGGTGTCCCTGAGGGTACCTTGGGGGTGACTCCTCCAGGACTAGGGACAGTGTGGACCCCCTTTTGGTCACAGTCCTGGGAAGCCTGGGGCGGGGCCTGCGGGATTCCTGTGCCTCCGGCCATGCGCTTCTGCAGGGACCCAAAAACGTTGGCACAGGAGGGCACCGGCTGGTTGGAATCTCTTTTAGCAACCAGCAAGGCTCTGCAATCTGGTTTTTAAAAATATCATTGGAGGGAAAAAAGGAGCATTAAATTAAGGAAAACGTGTTCTGGTAGAAATGAGCAGTTAGAATACAGACCCGCCCTGCAAACCCACAGGACCTGCCGAAATCACACCTTCTCTCTCATGTTCATAAATGACACATGCTCGGCCTGTGCACGCACACATGGGCATGGGGCTGGAGTCTGGTGCATGCCACATGCCTGCATTGCTCTGAATCCTGTTACACGCATTGCCCCTGTTGATACCCACCCTGTTCCTGCCTGCCCGGCCTCCCTCCCTCCCTCTTCCTCTACACACACACACACACACACACACACACACACACACACACACACGAGTCATACATGATATATTAAATATATGCCCATATGTAATGGGTTTGATGGCTAAGAGAGAAGACCTGTTGGCCTGTTATTTTATTTTTCTTTTGAAAAGGGCTGAGGCTGCCGGATATCGCCAAATGAAGAATCTTGCTGTCCACATCCTGAGCAGCCCTCACATCCCAGAGTCTGGCTCTGTAATCCTTTCCAAATGCCACTTCTGTTTCACAAGCATGTCCTCTGGAGGGGAATCTGGTGCCTCTTTGTTGGCCGTCACAGCCGGTCAGGCAGCCCTGCTCTGCAGTGGGCAGCTGGCACCCAGGCATAGGAGGGGCCTTGTGGTGGTTTAGCTTCCCAGACTCACGGGGGCCCCGCCCCAGCCCCGCACCTTCTGCGGGGTCACAGAGAGCCCATCCCTCATGGTCTGGGGGATGGGCTGCCCCCCCCCCAGCAACCAGAGGCCCCATTCCCGAGGCCCCAGGGGTGGGTCTTGGGATGGGGGCATCAGCCAGTGTGGAACCCAGAGCCCTTTCGCTGGGCTTGCTGGGAAGGGCGGCCCCACTCACCGGTTGCCAAGTGGGTTCCTGGTGGCCGTGGGCAGAGCTGGGGATGGAAGAGGCACAGAGGTCTGGGGGTGTTGCTCTAGCCCCTGAGTCCTGCCCTGGGCCCTGCCTTTCCTCAAGCTGGTTTGACTTGGATTTTGTCACCTGCAGCTAGACATCGTGAGCGTGGGCACTGGAACCCAGGTGGCCAGCGGGGCCCTCCAGATGCCCCCCGGGGGTCTCTCGCCAGTGGCTCCTGAGCCTCTTACTCCGCAAGTGAAGGCAGGAAATGGTGGGTCCAGCCCACGGTTTCATTTTCTGTAACCAGTTGGAAAATTCTAACAGCGTCGTGCATGAATAGGTTCTTGTCTTCTCTGGAAATTGCAAGGCTTGATAATAACGACATTAGTTCCTGAGATGCTTCAGTCTGAGAAGAGCCGACTGGAGATAATTTGCTGCTTCCTGTGACAGCTAATGATGAGCTTCATCACAGCAGCATGTCGCTGCCACAGACGGATTTGTCTACACAGCCCAGTCACTTCAGAAAACATGTTTGGGCCGAGGCGGGTGGCTCACGCCTGTAATCCAGCACTTTAGGAGGCCGAGCTGGTGGGATCATGAGGTCAGGAGATCGAGACCATCCTGACTAACACGGTGAAACCCTGTCTCTACTAAAAATACGAAAAATTAGCCGGGCGTGGTGGCGGGCGCCTGTAGTCCCAGCTGCTTGGGAGGTTGAGGTAGGAGAATGGCGTGAACCTGGGAGGCAGCGATTGCAGTGAGCCCAGATTATGCCACTGCACTCCAGCCTGGGCAACAGAGTGAGACTCTGTCTCAAAAAAAAAAAAAAAAAAAAAAAAGAAAACATGTTTGAGGAAATGTAATCCTAGGACCTTAGTATTACTTCTTTTAAAACATTCCGGGGCTGTGGTCCAGCTGGTTTCTACTCTGAATGCTCCTGAACAGCCCTGTATTCGGTTCCTTCCCCGGCCTGGGGTCTGCAGAGGCTGCGCTGAAGTCCTGGGGACTCTGTCATTCCCGGCGGGGTGTACTGGAGACCCCCAGGGGCCATCCCAGAGCTGGGGAGCTTCTCCTTTAACAGAAGCGCCGAGGGCAGCCCCCTGAGACCACTCCTCTCCACTGTCAATCGGCCAACGGATCACTGGGGAATTCTTGACTTTGCCACATAATATTAGAACTATAATTTGGGGAAGACTGTGCGCGGGCAGGTGGGTGAGATGTGGGGGCTGACAGTGGAAGCTGTGACGGCAGGCCCGGGAGGGCGGGTTCATGATCCAACCTCATTCCGTTTACCATGTTCGACATTTCCCACAACCAAGTTAACACAACAAAGTCAATAAAACAAAACAAATGAAAGCGCGTTTATTGAATTGCGGTTCTCTGCCTGGAATAGGATGAACTGTCAGGCCCCGAATTGGAAGCCAGTAGGGTGTTTCCTTTCCATTATTAAAGAATAAATCTCAGAATGCGTCCATGAAAGTATCTCGCTGCAGAGTATGGAAATGTTAATTTCCTTTTGCAGTTTCTCTCCTGGTAAAATGAATGGTAAATCTGAGATAATAGTGAGTAATAGCACAGCCAGGGCTCTGGCCTGCGGCTCGGTGGAGGGCGGGCGTGGAGTGAGAGCATGCAGCTCCCTCCTGTTCTGTGGCTGGGATTCCCGGGGCTCCTGCAGAGCCTTCCTTGGCTGCAGGGTCAGAGCCTATGGTGACCTTGTGCAGGTGACACCCTCTGTTGAGCTCCGTCCTCCCATGGAAAACTGTCAACCCCACTCCCCTGGAGTATCAAAGGACTTGATGAGACGTCGGACACCCAGAGGTTGTCTGTCTCCCTGTGGGCCCCTGAGACAGAGGGGAGACTGGGGTCAGGGGCAGGAGGTTTACTGGGAGGACACACAGGAAGCACCGCTGGAGCAGAGAGGTGGCCGATGCGAGGGAGGGGGCCAGGACCATCGCGGGCACCCGAGGCACCATGCAGCTGGGGAATCCACGGCAGACAGGCCCACTCACCAGGCAAGGGGGCTGGGGTCGTTCACCTGCCGCGCAGGCGCAAAGCAGGCACAGAGGCCAGGGAAGCCCATGTGAACAGGAGTGCAGGCGCTGGCTGCAGGCGTCGACTCAGCCCCTGGGGGTGAGGGTGGGGACGCGGGTCCCCCGCATCTGCTCCACCCCTTTCATGATTATTTCTGCAGGTAGGGGTTCCCTCAGGTCCACCCCCTTCCTCGGCCCCAGACATTCCTGGGTGCCCCGTCCCACACATGGAGTGGGGTGAGGATGATGTGGATCCCCCTGCCAGGAACACAAGGAATCGGGCAGCTTGGCAGGATCCCTACAGCTCTGCCTGAGCCCCCGCAAGTTATTAAGGCATGGCGGTCGCCTTCCGGAGGGTCTGGGGGTCTAAGATGACCAGGGCGTCTTTGGAAAGGGGCGGTCCCCAGGAGGGGCTCAATGCGGGGTGGAGACAGCTGCTCAGGTGAGTGCTGTGCTGGGCACCCGGCTCGCTGGGCCCTGCTGGGGCTGGGGTCCCCTCTGCCACGTCCCCCGTAGGGACCTGCTGCTCATCCAGCCTGGGAGGCCATGGGCCAGCACCTGAGGAGGCTGAGCATCTGTCCGTCTGTCCGTTCGGGCAGCTGGTATCCTCAGTGCCTAGGGTGATGTCTGCGAGCCCTGGCTTCTGCACGAGCACCGGTGTGATGGAGGAAGGACTGATGGAGAGAGGGAGCCACTCTGCCCAAGAGACAGGCCTGCGAGGCACGGGGCACAGCCGGGGACAGGCCTGCGAGGCACGGGGCACAGCCGGGGACAGGCCTGCGAGGAACGGGACACAGCCGGCCAGGGACAGGCCTGCGAGGCACGGGGCACAGCCAGGGACAAGCCTATGAGGCGCGGGGCACAGCCAGGGACAGGCCTACGAGGCGCGGGGCACAGCTGGCCACGTGCAGGCCAGGGAAAAATGGGATGAGGGTTTGGAGATGAGGGCCTGACTTGATTCCTTAGAGACCGTCCATTTATGGGAAAGAATGGGGCGCCTCCGGCCACCTGCTGGCTCCAAGACTAACCACAGGAGGAAATGTCAGAGGAAATTAACTGTGCTCGAGCTTTTGTGATGAGCCTGATTTTCCAGCTTCTAGAAAGCTGTGCTTCCATGCTGAGGCTTGTACTCGTTCGGTTTATTGGGAAGAATTAAAGGGCTTCTCGGAAAATGTTAATGTCTCCTTCCCACCAGCCTGGCCACCCCAGCTTCCCCCAGGCCCTGAAAGTTAGGTCTCCCCTGTGTTTGGTGCTTCTGACATTGCAGAGGGACTCCTTCCTCCTGGCAGCTCTGCCTTCAAGCCCAGAAAGCCATTGCTGGACACAACCCAAGTCAGGGGACCGGGTTTGCTGGAGTGGGTGGCAGGGGGCATGCATCCCCCACCCCAGCCATCTGCTGGCTCTGGAGCCCTGCTCTCACCCAGTTGGTGTCTCCTGGGCCCTGCGTCCATTCCATTTTGCCTTCAAAAGCCTGAGCTGCTGCTCTTACTCACTCAAGAGAGCCTCCAGTGTCCAATGTGAGCCCCAAACCCCGAGAAAATATAGGCAGAATTGTGTTTGCTGTGTGCACACAGACTGAGCTTTTGCTTAAGAACCTGGTGGGGCTACAGGTGAGCGGGGTTGGGGTGAGCAGGGTCAGGGGTGAGTGGGGTCATTGGTGCACGGGCAGGGTTGCACAGGGCTGGGGGGTGCATGGGTAAGTCCTAGCACTGAGTGGTGTAGGGGGCAGCCTCCCTCCCAAAGAGGCCTCGTGGGGGGCCGCGGGCAGGACCTGGGCGAGGTGTTCTCGTAGGGACCCCAGGGATCCTCCTTGCCCTCTGGGATGGGCTATCTCTGCTGCTCAGTGGACGCCCAGCTTCTGCGGCTTGCATATGGGGTGGCGTGTGAGTCAGCCCCTTCTATGTATGTGTGCACGTGTGTGTGTGTGTAGGTCTCTTATGCTGCTGAGAGCCTGGAAGGCAATGAAGTTGGTGGTGCTGGGACCTGGAAAGCAATGAAGCTGGTGGTGCTGGGACCTGGAAAGCAATGAAACTGGTGGTGCTGGGACCTGGAAGGCAATGAAGCTGGTGGGGGTGGGTAAGGCCCGGGGGTGGCTGCAGCGCGGCACTAGTGCCTGGTAGGACATGGCCGGGAGGTGAGTGGGGATCCCCTGGGGTACCTTTTCCTGCACTCCCATGTGCTCAGGGATACCCCTGAGGCTCGGAAGGCAGGTTGGGCCATGGCTGCCCTGGAGGCTGTGCTAGGCTGGCAGCCTAGTGGCCACGCTGACGACATGGGACCCGCGGCCCCAGCAGAGGTACAGGGAAGCCGGTGTCGTCCTTCCGTGTCCAGGAGCGGCCCCCCACAGCCCGTGCACCCCGAGGTGTGGCTTAGGCCCAGCCCTGCCCTTGGGGCGCAGAGTCTGGCTGGAGAGGCCCACCCAGAGCGGGGGATGGCAGGGGCCTCCCAAGGGACCTCCCCCTCTCTGGCTCAGAGGCTCTGCCCCGTGCGCTGCCTCCTGGCGTGGCCCTTGCCGGGCTCATTGTGTGGGTGCCAAGTGCTCCTCAGATGGTTGGTGGAAGGACGTGTCTCTGCATCCCGCCCGGATGACGCACCTGCCCTGCCCTGGACGCCACTGCGTGGTTTCTTCCGCCTCCTTGGCCTGCTGGCTCCTCCCCGGGCCTCGGCTCAGATGGCTCTTCCTCCACATGCCCTTGGCCTTCAGTGTAGACGCCCCAGGGTGGCCACTGTGTCTCCCGTGGCTGTGTGGCGTTTGGTCAACTTCATGGACCTTTGGAACAACGTGGGGCCAGGATTAGGAAGCTGCTGCCACTTGCCTTCAGAGGCCCCCGCTCCTGTTTGGGGGTGCCCTTTCCATCGCTCCTGTTTGGGGGCGCCCTTTCCATCGCTCCTGTTTGGGGGTGCCCCACCCATCGTGCCTGTTTGGGGGTGCCCTTTCCCATTGCTCCTGTTTGGGGGTGCCCTTCCCATCGTGCCTGTTTGGGGGTGCCCTTTCCCATTGCTCCTGTTTGGGGGTGCCCTTCCCATTGTGCCTGTTTGGGGGTGCCCTTCCCATCGTGCCTGTTTGGGGGTGCCGTTCCCATTGTGCCTGTTTGGGGGTGCCCTTTCCCATTGCTCCTGTTTGGGGGTGCCTTTCCCATTGCTCCTGTTTGGGGGTGCCCTTCCCATTGCTCCTGTTTGGGGGTGCCCTACCCATCGTGCCTGTTCGGGGGCACCCTTTTCATCTGCCTGCAATGGGCGCCCTGGCCAGCCACCCCTTCTCTGTGGTGCTGGGCACTCTGATACTCTCTTCCTGTCTCTGCACCGTCCAAACCTGCCCTTGGTAAAATAGCTGATATACTAATTCAGACTAAAGGGCCAACCATGGCTAAGACTTAGTGTACTCTCCTTTTCTTTTCACCTTATAATAAAATATTTTTAAAAGAAAGAAAACAAAACCAAGATCTGACTCTGGAATGGTGTTCAGCTGGCAGGGAAGGTGTCTGGGGTCAGAGGGCCCTCGGGGGCTCAGAAACAGCAGGAGGGCCTGCTCTTTAGGCAGCTGCCGGCCCCTCCCCTCTTCCCCGCTCCTGGCGCCAGTGTCTTCTCACTCTGTCCCCGGCCCTTGGTGGAGCGGAGTTGCATTCATCCTGAAGCTTTAGGACATGACACTCAGTCACAACTGTGACATGAGAAGAACTGCGAGCTCCACGCCGCTCTGCGGTTGACTGTTGTCCTCAGTAAACAGGGAAGTGCCTGTCACTTCTCAGCTGGGGGGAGGAAGGCTCGTTTCCACCCGGTGCTTGGAGATAATGTCCTTATGAATAGCTATTTAGACACCACCTGCCATCCTGTACCAGGAGCTCCGCACTGGGGCGGGAGCTACACGGAGACACTCAGCTCATTATTCTGAGCCGTCTCCATGGGCGGCTGCACTCCCCAGGTACAGAGATTGCCCTGCCCAGATGGGAAGTGGCCGCGATAAACAGGAATGGACGCAGGGGCTCTCGGAGTCCAGAAGCCCCCCAGTCCCCGGAGGGTACCTTCCCCACACTGTCTTGCTAATTCAGCGGCTCTCATCATGGTATGTTCTGTCATCAGAGATGGGAGTGGCCAGGGAGGACTTGCTCAGCCATGGATCCACACCGAGGCTGTGGGGGCGCCTGGCTACCTGTTTACCAGCCCTGTGTCTACAGCTTGGAGGAGGACGGAGGGCTTCCTGGAGGAAGAAGCCGGGAAGCAGCTCTGCAGGTTTCACACCCCTTGCAAGGGCAGAATTCTTAGGAGGGCAGAACCCTTTATTTCCTTAGAACGGGCGCATCTGCACACTTATTATAAGATCTTAATTCTATATGAGTGTGCCATGCTGGGTTTCCCAGGTAGAGAATCCACCCCCTCCACTTCCGTTGTTTCGTCCACCTCTTTCGTGCCCTGGGCATCGGAAGCAAATGCATTCTCTCCCAGGAGAACACAGGCAGTCCACCCTCTAGAGAAAGCCTGCTCTGGAAGACGTTGTCAGAAAGCCGAGACTCCACATCCATCACGGCCTTGGTGAAAATCCAATTCAAGGAGATCTATGTGTAAGGCTCAGATGGGGTTTACAGCCTTCTAAATTCATTCTCTTCTTCCTTAAGAAAAAAACAACAAACAAAGCAAGAAAACAGCCCGCTTGGTCAGGCCACAGCAGAGTGGAAGGGAGCGGGTGCAGTTGCCCCACGAACCCACCCTTGGGCACCGACCAGCTGGGGAAGGTGTCGGGGGGCAGCCAGGGCAGCCAGGGCCCAGCCCCGACCCAGCCCCCACTCCCCACCACCCCCCTCCTCCTGCCCCCACACCCCGCTGCCACCCTCCCCTGCCCGCCTGCTTCACTGCACCCAAGGCCTGCCCGTGCCTCCCCACCACCCCCCTCCTCGGCAGCTGAGTGCCCTGCTCTGACCATGTGTGTTTTATGACCCTGGCTGGTCACACGTGCCCCAACCTCCATGCACTCCATGCACTGTGGCCTCACCCCAGACCCTTGGCCCCTGCTAATCCGCCCCATTACTGGTCTCTCTGAGGTGCTGCAGGAGCCCCTGGCGTGGCTGCCTGTGCATGCTTTGGCCGGGCCTTTCTGGGGAAAGTGGAGAGTAGACAGTGCTGCCATTCTCGCAGCTCTCGTTGCCCAGCTGGTGTGGTCGGGTCGTTGCTGCAGACTAAACTCACCACGGCCATGGGGTGGGAGGTGGAGCACGGGCTAATGAGGTCTTAATGAGCGACTTCCAGGTGTGGGGATTGCTGGGGTGGGGGCTGCCCTGATGAGTTATGGGGACCCCTGATCGCCCTGGCGGGAATGAGTGTGTCCAGGGCAGTGGGGGGGTTTGCTTGCACACTCAGGAAACTTGAGGGAGGGAGTGGGGGGATGAATGAGCTCGTGTCAGTGGCCTAAACTTAAATGACAGCCCAGTCCCTGGGATGCCAGGGAAAGACCCTCCCTAGGGACTGAACTGGTGCCAGGGTGGCCGGCCCTGTGCTGACAAGCAGTCTCCCCTGTGATTGTGGTGGGGGCATTGGACAAATCTAACCCCAGTGGATAGATGTTCTGGGGAGACCGGAGGCTCCCAGAAGAGGCAGCGTAGCCTGGTGGGGGTTGGCTGATGAGCTCTGAGGCCATCACGGGCCAATCAGCTCCTTGTGCCTCGGTTTCCTCACCTGTCAGGCAAAGGTGCTGATGGTTTTAGTGATTTAACAAACACATGTACTGCACTTCCTATAATCCAGGCACCCCAGCTCATCACCCCAGTGAAACTGAGACTGTGGTATCAGCCCCATTTCAGAGGGGAGAAACTGAGGCACAGAAAGGTTAAGTAGAACACCCAGGACCCCTGGGGCTGCCACATGCCCCTGGACCTCCCACTGCTGTTGGGGGATGAGTGTGTGTGGGAAGCGCGTGGTCACGTGAGATCTTTGCGTGAGCGTGTGTGGGAAGCGCGTGGTCACGTGAGATCGTTGCGTGAGCGTGTGTGGGAAGCGCGTGGTCACGTGAGATCGTTGCGTGAGCGTGTGTGGGAAGCGCGTGGTCACGTGAGATCGTTGCGTGAGCGTGTGTGGGAAGCGCGTGGTCACGTGAGATCGTTGCGTGAGCGTGTGTGGGAAGCGCGTGGTCACGTGAGATCGTTGCGTGAGCGTGTGTGGGAAGCGCGTGGTCACGTGAGATCTTTGCATGTGTGGGGAGCGTGTGGTCACGTGATCTTGCATCCGGTGCAGCGTTGCATCACTTACTGATGGAGAGAGTTTTGAGAAAGTCGGTGTTTGGTTGCGAACACCGCAGAGTGCACTCACACAAACCCAGACGGTGTCGCCCACGACACTCCGAGGCCACATGGTGTCGCCCGTTGCTCCAAGGCTACAAACCCACACTGTGTGTTGCCGTGCTGAATACAAGAGGCAACTGTAACGCAACAGTGAGCATTTGTGTCTCTAAACACACCTGAACCTAGAAAAGGTGCACCAACAATAGGTCTCATATTGTACGGGACCCTGTGGTATTACAGGTTCATCACTGGCCTGAACATTGTTCCAGGGTACGTGACTGTATTCTTGCAGTCCTCACTGTCGCCGTCAACCTCAACATCAACTATTCCCGCAGCTTCCGTCCCGCCAAGCGCCCATGGAGCTGCCCCTGGAGCAGGTGCCCCCACCGAGAGTGATGGAAAAGCCCGTCCTCGCCACCTCCAGGCATGGCCAGCAGCGAGCGGCTGGCTCTGCAGGAGAAGTGCTGGGTCTGAGCTCCGTCACGGCCGCTCCCGAGAGCCCGAGGTCCAAGCCCAACACGACTTGGAATAAATGATCAAGTTATGAATTAAACACAAGAGAAATGTAATTACCACAGGAGCCAGCTGAGAATAAAATGGATTACGCACATCACAGTCATTAAACGGTGATCACATGCGCCTTTCTAATGTGCTGCCGATTAAAATCAATCTAAGTGCAAATTATGGTTCTGAGTAATCGCTCCCTATGGTTCATCTTTTGTGTTCCCCAAAGAGCTGACACTGAGAGGAAGCACCAGGGCGCCCTCACAGCCTGCGCAGCTTCAGGGTCCATCCGCGGCCTCGAGCCTCCAGCTCAGCACAGAAAGAGACCACTGTGTGGCCCTGGACTGGCGAGGATGCTGGCCGTCCTCATGCTGTGTCCAGCTGTGTCCCCAGAGCTCTGCACAGGTGCAGCGGTTAACCCTCGCCATGCCCTATGATGGGGGTCCCTGTATGGGCCCCATTCACAGATGGGGACACTAAGTCGGGGGTGACATGATCCACACAAGTTCAGACGACTTGGAAGTGGCACAGCCAGGATTCGACCCCCACTTCAGGATGGGCTAGGAGCCCCCATTCACCGGGACACTGCATGACAACTGTGTGTGTGTGTGTGTGTGTGTGTGTGGTCACATGGTCACATGCACACACATGCTGCTATCTGATGGGATGATGCCTGGACTTTGGCAGGTGCCCCAGATTTCTGCAGACTCATGGAATGTCCCACTATCCCCCTGAGTGGAGAGCCTCAGTCCCCTCCGTGGTCTCCATGCTCATCTGTCCCCTCAGCGGTCACCACGCTCATCTGTCCCCTCTGTGGTCTCCACACTCATGTGTCCAAATGCATGGGCATTTGGGGAAAGTGCCATCTGCCATAGTCGACTCTGTGGCCCCGGCAATTCACAATTCTCCCTCATGCAAAATAAATTCACCTTCTGCCCTGGCTCCCCTATGGTCTCTTTCCATGGTGACATCAAACTCTGACTCAAGCCCAGAGTCTTGTCCCGCAAGCCAGGTCCAGGTGTGGACAAGGTGCTGCAGGCGTACGGCTCCCAGGTGCACCCCCTTCTCCATCTGAAGAGCTGTGAACTGAAGAGTTATCTGCCCCTGACAAGCTAACACCAGTAGTGGGACAGACAGACCACACCGTCGGCTCCCCTTTCAAAGAGCAGGGAGGGAGAGGCACGCAGCAGTCTCCCGGGCATGCGGTCCTGAAATCTGGGTGAGTGAAGTTACGGGGCCCGGCTGAGGGCTCAGTCCTAGCTCAGGGGATGGCTCTCCAGGGCCGCCCTGCTGTCTGAGCTCTCAGTTCCATCCTCTGGGTCAACCTCCCTTTTCCATAAAATTAGTTCATCCTTGTAGCTGAAAAGTTTTTGCAAACTACCAAACTCACCCAAGAAGCAACAGATAAAGTGAATAGTCCTGTATTTATTAAAGAAACGGATTTTTTTTTCAGTGAGACCTTCTGAAAAAGAAATCTCCGGGCCTAGATGTCTTCACTGGTGAATTCTAAGTAACATCAATTTATGCAATCTCTTCTAACAAATATACAAAGGGATGGGGGCACTGCAACTACCACACAACCTGGTGATTTTACCCAGAGAGATAAGCTCTTGTTCACACAAAGCCCGTACATGGATATTCGAGCACAGTCAATACAAGAACCTGCACAGAAGATAAAACATCACACGGATTAACACACACACACACGAGTGTGTACACACGGTTTAATACACACACGAGTGTGTACACACGGCTTAATAAACACGCGCACACATGAGTGTGTACACACAGCTTAACACACACACGAGTGTGTACACACGGCTTAATACACACACACGAGTGTGTACACAAGGCTTAATAAACACGCACACAAGTGACACGGCTTAATACACACGCACACGAGTGAGTATAAGCAGAACCACGGAATCAGAATAAGGTTGATGGGCTGGCTGTTTGTGATATCAAAGTACAGTTTTGTAGAATGTTACCATTGGGGGAGACTGGGCAAAGTGTGCAAGGGATCTCTTTGTATTGTTTATTTCTTACAGGTGCATAGAAGTCTAACATTATTTCAACTTAAAGAAAAGAAGGCCAGGAAGGGTGGCTCATGCCTGTAATCCCAGCACTTTGGGAGGCCAAGGGATCAGTTGAGCCCAGGAGTTACAGACCAGCCTGGGCAACAAAATTTACACAAATTATCTGGGCGTGGTGACTTGTGCCTATAGTCCCAGCTACTCAGGATGCTGAAATGGGAGGATCAGCTGAGCCCTGAGCCTGGGGAGGTTGAGCCTACAGTGAGGCGTGTTCATGCCACCGTGATCCAGCCCAGGTGACAGAGTGAGACCCTGTCTGGAAAAACACAAAGAGGATGAGACATTTCCCAAGTTATTTTATGAAGCCAGCATTACCCATATACCAGAACCAGATAAAGACAGTACAAGAAAATAAAACTAGAGACCAATATCTTTCATGAACGTAGACACAAAAACCCTTAACTCAACACCAGCAAATTGAATCCAGCAACATTTGAAAGCATAGCCCATGATCAAGTGTATCCCAGGGGGTGGGGGGCAGGCTTAACATTCTGAAAGCGACCAGCGCAATCTACCACATCAACACTGAAGATCTACTGTGGGATTGTGTCAACAGACTCAGAAACGGCCATCAAAGCTCAACACCCATTTATGGTTAAAAAAAAAAAAAAACCATCAGCAAACTAGAAATAGAAGGGGAACCTCTTTAACAGATAAAGGGCTTCTATTAAAAAAATACATGCAGCTAACGTCACACTTCACATTGAGAGGCATTGAGAGGTGGACTGTTTTCTCCTAAGGCGAGGAACAGGTAAAGGATGCCTTCTCTCACCGTTCCCATTTGACATTGTACTGGAGGTTCCAGCCAGTGCAATAAGGCAAGAAAAAGAAATGAAAGGAATATAGGTCGGAGAGGAAGAAGAAATTAAAACTCTCCCTCTTCACAGATGACATGGCTGTTTATGTAGAAATCCCATGGCATCTGCACAAAAGTGGGCCTAGCAGGTTTCATGACACAGGGTCAGCACACGGGACTCAACCGTCATCTCTATACACCAGCAGAGGGCACTGGGAAATGAAATTTCAAATACAGCAGCAGTTTCTACGAACGTTGAACTCGATCATTATAAAAACACTGTGGGTCCTATGGCTCTTCCTTGGGTTCACCCCATCAGCCCAAATCTCGATCTAGAAATCTTGTCAAGACGAGCTCTCCTCTCCTGGGGGATTCCTGGGGGTAGCCCTGGAACAACTCCCCAAAGATTCTTAGAAACTCTCTGTTTCGTGTAGAGGGTCTTTAAGGTATACCCTCAAGATCCACTGCAGACCTTTCCTTTATTCGAGAGAGTCTATGAATAATCACCTGAAACTTTTCTGACGTTTTAACAGAGGAGTTTTGAGCCACATCCTTGACTCCCTCCTTAGACTCTCTGCTGCTGCTGTGGCCTGGGCCTGACGTCCTTTCATTAATTTAAGAATCCTTTACCACCTGGAGAATCTTGGAATGAGAAACAGTGTTTTTGATTTTATTTTTTAAGCTATTGTGCAGTAAAACTGGCTTGTAAAAAGTGATTCCATAAACCAGGCATGGTGGCTCACATCTGTAATCCCAGCACTTTGGGAGGCCAATGCAGGAGGATCGCTTGAACTCAGGAGTTCGAAACGAGCCTGGGCAACATAGCAAGACACCCTATCTACAAAAAATACAAAAATTAGCTGGGCGTGGTGGTTATGTGCCTGTACTTCCAGCTACCTGGGAGGCTGAGGTGGGAGGATCACTTGAGACCAGGAGGTCAAGGCTGCAGTCAGCCATGATTGTACCACTGCACTCCAAGCTGGGTGGCTGAGGGAGAATGTGTATCAGAAAAAAAAAAAAGGAATTTGATGAGTTTTGACACATGTATGGATTTGTGGAACCACGTCCACCGTCAGGACACAGATAGCTTCATGACCCAGAACCACGTCCACCATCAGGACACAGATAGCTTCGTGACCCAGAGCAGCTCTGCCATGCTACTTTTTTGTTGTTTGTTTGTCTGAGACAGAGTCTTGCTCTGTCGCCCAGGCTGGAGTGCAGTGGTGTGATTTCGGCTTGCTGCAGCCTTTGCCTCCCAGCTTCAAGCGATTCTCCTGCCTCAGCCTCTGCAGTAGCTGGGATTACAGGCATGCTAATTTTTGTATTTTCAGTAGAGATGGGGTTTCATCATGTTGGCCAGGCTGGTCTCGAACTCCTGACCTCAAGTGATCTGCCTGCCTCGGCCTCCCAAAGTGCTGGCATTATAGGCGCGAGCCACCTTGCCCAGCCCCATGCTACTTTTAAAAGCCACAGTTTCCTCTCCACCCCAGCCCCTGGCAACGGCTTGTCTCCTCTCCATCCCTGCAGCTTTGCCTTTTGGAAGCTGTTGTGTAAGTGAAACCACACACTACTAACCTCTGGGGTCTGGTTCTTTTGCTCAGCGTGGTGCCTCCCAGGTTCGTCCCTGTTGCATATTAACAGTGCCCCCCTCTCACGGCTGAGTCTATCGTGTGGCTGTACGACTATTTATCCTTTCACTTCCTAGAGGACATTTGGGTGGTTTCCAATTTTGTTGATGATTGTGAAAATTCGCTTGAACCCGGGAGTAAGAGGCTGCAGTGAGCTGAGATTGCACCACTGCACTCTAGCCTGGGTGACAGAGCAACACCCGGTCTCAAAAAAAAAAAAAAAAAGAATAGCGCTGTAAGAAACATTTGTGTACAAGATTTTGTGTGAACATAATTTTGCCTTTCTCTAGGAGTGGAATTTCTGTGTTATAAGAAGGTTCAGGTCTAACTTTATAGTAAACTGTCGAGCTGGGTTCCCGAGCGGCCGTATTGCTCTCCACGTCTACCGGCGACGGGTGAGTGTTCCAGCCACCAGAGTCCTCATCAGCACTTGGCATTGTCAACAGCTTTCTTTTAAATTCTGTTAAGTCCTGACTTCTTTAATTTTATCTAAATTTTGCTTGAAAACTGAAGTTAAACAAAACCCTCTCTTCTCCTTCTTATGCACAGCTGCAATAAAGCCTGCTGGCGTTTCTGCCTGGAGTCGCCGCTCGCCCAGGGCATCTGCACGTTTTCTGCCTCTGTGTCCCTGCAGGCCACAGCGCTGCATAACCTACTGTTCCTGTCTTCTGAGGTTTTCCCTTCCTCCAGCTTCCATCAACCTTTGCCTCACTTTCTTTCAAGCCTTTACTGACAGCAGAGGCCCTCAGGCTGAAAACAGCATCCTTACTTCTTTCCTTCCCAAATCTGCAGGTGTGGCTAGGTGGGAAGGGCTGATTCCCTCCCCTAAGGGGAAGTGGGGACAGAGAGCCCAGCTGGGGACTGGAGCACCCAAGACGGCACCCCCATCACGGCGGACTCGGCCTGGCTGACAGCTGGTGCCAGAGCGGGGGCTCCCATGACCTGGGCTTGCTCACAGCGTGGCGCTGGGTTCCCAAGTTGAGCGTTCCCAGAAGGCACTGCCAGTAGAAGCTGTGTCACCTCTGCCACGAGGCACTCCCAATCGCCTGCCAGGCTCAAAAAGAGGGTGCACAGACCCCACCTCCAGCAGAGGAAATGGGACATATTGTGGCCGTTGTTGGAAAATATCTGCCTCAGTGGGGTTGGAGTGCAGGTCTCTACGCCCCCTTCCTGCCTCCTGCCATCCTCTGCTCAGTGGGGTTGGAGTGTAGGTCTCAAGCCCCCTTTCTGCCTCCTGCCACCCTAAGGAAGTGAGCAGGGAGGGAGATTGTGGTACATCTGAACATGGGGCCCACACATGCTCTCCTGGCAGAGTTGCAGTTATGGAACAGACACCAGAAAGTTATGGAACAGACACAGATCCCCCAACAGATCTCCATGGTCTACAGGAGTGAAAGCACAGGGCAGGCAGTCAGCGATGAATGCATGGATGGATGTATTTAATAATAGCTTTACTGAGATATAAGTCACATCCCCAAATATTCACCCTTTAAAGTGTACAATTCGGTTTTTTAAGCATGTTCACAGAGTTGTGCAACCATCACCGTTATCTAACTCCAGAACATTTCATCACTGCACCAAAACGCCCTGCACCCATGACAGTCGCTCCCGCCTCACCTTCCCCCAGCCCCTGGCACCACTAGTCCATTTTCTGTCTCTACAGATTTGTCCATTCTGGACATTTCTTACAAAAGAATCACAAAACACGTGGCCTTTTGTGTCTGGCTTCTTTCACTGAGCATGTTTCAAGGTCCATGCGCACCTGCACACCATAGCGCAGGGCTTCATTCTTTCTGATTGACGGCCAAGCAAGACCCACTGTGTGGACAGCCCACGCTGATTTACCTACTCATCAGCCAGTTGACATTCGGGCTGGTGCACTTTTTGACTGTTATGAGCAACATTGCCGTGAACATTTGTATGCATGTCTTTATGTGGACATATGTCTTCATTTCTCTTGGGTAGATACTAGGTGTGGAATTGCTGGGTCATCTGCTAATTCCATGGTTAACTTTTTGATGAACCGCAAAACTGTTTTCCAAAGCGGCTGTGCCATTTTACCGTTTTACATTCCCACCCATAGTGTGTGAGGATTCCAAGTTCTCCACGACGTGTCGTTTTCTGGTTTTGTTTGTTTGTTGCTTTTGTTTTTGATACGGTCAGCGCTGTGGCTTTGGTTTGCACTTCCCTGAGTGGGAAAATCTTGAGCATCTTCTCCTGGGCTCGTTGGCCTTTTCTATGTCTTTTGTGATGAAATAAAAGTCAAATCCTTTGCCCATTTTTAAATTGGATCATCCTTTCATTGTTGGGTTGTAGGAATTCTTCTTATTATTATTTTGAGAAAGAGTCTCACTCTGCCACCCAGGCCAGAGTGCAGTGGCACATTCATGGCTCACGACAGCCTTGACCTCCCAGGCTTAGGCGATCCTCCCACCTCAGCCTCCCAAGTAGCTGGGACTACAGGCGCACGCCACCATGCCCGGCTAATGTTTTGTATTTTTTTTTTACAGAGACAGGGTTTCGCTACGTTGCCCAGTTTGGTCTCAAGCTCCTGGGCTCAAGCGATCTGCTTGCCTCAGCCTCCCAAAGTGCTGGGATTATAGGCGTGCGCTGGCGAGCCGGCCGAATTCAGTGATAATTTTTAAATGCACAGAAGAATAAGAGGAACTGGTCCAACAACCAGAAAATTTGACGTTTCCAGCTGCTCCTGGCGTCTGACTCTTGAAGAACATTTAGTGCACAGCACACAGGAGGCCCCCGCAGCCCTCATCCCAGCAGCCGTGGAAAATCTCTCGAGGGAAAACCAAGTGGGCTTGGAGGACTCCTGCCTGCCTCTCCCTCTCCCAGGATGCATGTCTTTCTCCTCCCCACAGGCAGCCGGGCCCTGTGGCCGGCACCTTCCTGGCTAATCCCAGGGGCTCCTCCCAGGACGTGGGAGGACAGGGGCTGGCTGTGGGAGGCATCCAGGACCCAGGCCAGCATGCAGCCGAGGGCGTATCCAGGGCCCATGTGCCCACCAGGCTGGGTGCGCCCGTGATCCCGGAGAAGCGGGGGGCCTGTGTGGGCATCTGCAGATGCCTTCTGGCCTCTGTGGCAGGGCCAGGAGCCACACGCTCCCTGCACTGAGTCACACAGAGGCTGGGTCATCAGGCCTGGGGGGCTGGGGCCGGGACCAGGCTGCAACCAGACTGCTTCCTCTCTGCCCCTGTGTCCCAACTGTCCCTGTCAGCCATCTGCTCCTGTCTCCTCCCTGGGCCTGAGTCAGAGCCAGGCGGATTGTCAATGGGGAAGGCAAGGGGAGCTTAGATCGAGGCGAGGGCAGCAGAGCTCAAGAGCTGCAGAGACCCCGCAGCTCTTGGGAGCTGCCTGAGGGGTGGCAGAGCCCGCGTGGGTGGCCGGCAGCCCGGGCTGCCCACTGGAGGGGCCCTCCTGGACCTGGGAAGGGAATCTGGGCTTGGTGGCCTCATCCATCACGCACCACGAAGTCTCACTGCCGGCAGGGAGATGGATGCCTTGCAATGCCGATGAGCAGCCCAGCATACACCCAGTCGCTTTGGGGGCCGCTCCCTGGAATACCTGCCCTCCATCCTGGGCGGGAGCCTCCACTGTGTGCCCTGTGCGAACATGCTGGTCCTCTTCCTTCCCTCTCTCTGTCCTCTCTGCAGCTCGGGGCGTTTCTCTTCCTTCCTGGCATCCAGGGTGGGGGCAGGGCATGGAGCGGGACAGTCCTTGGAGCCCCCAGACCGGAGTCGAAACTCTACAGCCTCCGTCAGCTCGGCGGCCATCACAGAACCATAGCTTGGCGGCTCAAACAACGGACGTGCCTTACCCACATTCTGGAGTCCCGAAGCCCACGAGCAAGGCTGGGCTCCCAGGGAGGGTCCTTTCCTTGGTCTGCAGACGGCTGTCTTCTAGTCGTGTCAGCACATAGAGGAGAGAGGAGCTTGGTCTCTTCCTCTGTTACAGGGCTACGAATCCCATCGGGGGGCCACCCTCACCCCCTCATCTCACCCTAGTCACCTCCCTGAGGTCCCAGCTCTTAACACCATCACACTGGGTGCTGGGGCTTCGACCTACGAACTGGGGGATGCTGTCAGTCCACAGCCCCTGCCTCTGCCCATTTGTCACTGTGAGACATCGGGGAACACACAGGGCCGCTCAGACCCTTGGAATCGTCATCTGTGAGTCAGAGACCATCTTGACCACTGGCAGCAGAGAGGGTGCACCACCCTTGGTGGCCAGACCGCGTGTGCCGCCTCCCTCTCATCCCTTCTCCACCCAGTGTCCCTGGGCTCTTCCCCCCTTTCCCTGATGTGAGGACGCAGCCTCTTCCACCTGCTCAGTCCTGAGGTCCCCGGGTTCCATTTGGATCTGCCCAGCCTTCCCGGATGAGCTCCCCTGACCAATCTCAGCTCAGCCCGCAGGCTGACAGCTCCCATGAGTCTCCCCGAGGGCCCCATGGACACCTCCACACGGATGCTCAGTGCCACACGCCTCTGACAGGTGCGGCCAGCTGTGCCCCAACACCCACACTCCGGTACCAGAACACCTCCTTCAGCTGGGAGCACGGCTGGTTCCTGCCTCGCCCACCACTCACTGGGACCACGGGACGTAGCTCTGAGCAGAGGGCTTGAGGGCAGGCATCCGCCGAAATGGTCTCGTGGGACTCTAGGAGGAGATGGCTGGCACCTTCCACCCTGATTCCCTCCTGCCCCAGCCCAGTGGCCAAGTGCCAGCCACTGCCATAGACGAGCCTGGGGGGTGAGGTCCATGCCCATGGAGAACAGGTGAGCGGCAAAGGACTGGCCCTTGTTTTGTGCTGTTGCCCAGTGTGTTGGTTAGCTATGGCTGCAGAACAAACTGCCCCAGAATTTAGTGACTTTTCGCAGCACACGTTGACTATGTCAAAGCCTTTGTGGGTCCAGAATTCAGGCACCACGGAGCTGGGTCTCTGATGTGTCTGCAGTCCAGGTGCTACAGGGTGTCGTCCCCTCTTGGTTGGCTCACGTGGCCCTTGGCAGGATTCCAGTCCTTGAAGGCCAGGGCTGAGCATCCGGTTTCTTGCCGACCGTAGGCAGAGGCCAGTTCCTGGCCATGCGGGGTTCCCGCCAGGGCAGCCCTTGAGAAGAGTGGCGAGAAGGTGGGCTGGGCAGTGTCGTGGTCTCTTATAACCTGGTCAGAAGGTGGGCTGGGCAGTGTCGTGGTCTCTAATAACCCGGTCAGGGATGTGGCATCTGCCCTGTGCTAAGTCCTGCTTGTTGGAAGTGTGTCCCAGTGACACCCGGAGGAGGCAGGTCACTGGAAGCCGGCACTGCCCAGCATGCCCGAGCCTCATCCTGACCCTAGCTCCACCCACCTCTGATGACTCCTGATGAACCGGACTCCTGATGAACATGGCAAAGGTGGGACCTGGTGAGGTTCCTCGTCCTCCCCACTCCCTTCTGAGTGGCGATCCACTTCCCTGGCTCCCCAGAGCCCCTGTACTCCCTCTAGGGTCTGTTCCTGCACTCCCTTCTGTCACCTCCCTCGGGAAGTTTCTCCCTGCACCCCCTGCTCCCCATCATTTCCCAACTTGGCCCTCTGTGCCCCCCCCATGCCCCTCCCTGGCCCAGCAGTCACAGCAGTGAGCTCCACACAAGCGTCCTGGTGAGCCCAGGTCCCCTCTCCTTATGGCTGTGTTTTATCTCCTTACTTAGCAAATCAAAATGTCACCAGCACCGGATTGTACCCTAATTTGGGGGGGATCTTGACCGACGCATTGGGTTTTGAGAACTCCTGGCAGGCGCTGCAGACTGTGAGCACCGGAGGGCGAGGGTGGCGTCCATCCTCAGTGCTGGGGACCACCCGGGGGTTCTGATCTGACCCACCTGAAACTAAGTCCTCAGAGAGGCCCTGGGGCTGCAGGGCTCAGCGAGTGGGAAGGGTTTGGCCATAAGGAGCTCCGGATGGCAGAGGTCTCTTAAGGACACCAGTCCTGTGGGACCTGCACCCACCCTTATGACCCCGCACATAATCATCTCCTAAAGGCCCTGCCTCCAAACACAGCCATCCTGGGGCCGGGGCTTCAACATATGGCTCTGGGGGACGCAAGGCAGTTGATACCAGCTGTTCACCCCATGAATAACGAGGGAAATGTAACGCAAGATGAGGAACAATTTTACTGTGACACGTTTATATAAGAACATATGTACACTCATGTATGTATATTTGTATGTGCAGTCAGCCCTCCGTACCCTCCAGTTCCATCTCCCACAAAAACTGCATTTTCCATCCAAGGTGGGATGAATCCTCAGCAGGGGAGCCTGTGGATAAGGAAGGCCGACTTACGGGGGAGCCTGTGGATAAGGAAGGCCAACTTTTCATATCCACGGATTCCACAGGGCTGACTACAGGACGTGGGCCAAGGATGGCGAGACCACCAAACTCTGCAAACTCATAGAAATAAAGCACGCGGTACGGGGACGCAGGCTTAAATAACAAAATATATTTCGATATGCACAGTTTTAACTGAGGACACACAAGCCTTCCTCAGGCTGCAGGCCCACCGCCCTCCCAGTGGGATTCACAGCCCCTGCGGAGTTTGTCCTCACGCACACCACACACGATCGGGTATAAAACACATTCTATAAACACGTTCTGATGCAAACTGTGTGTCCATAAATATATATTTATGCAAGTTCCTCCCACCCACTGCAGGGCCGTACAGCTCTGGGGACAGGAGGTCACAGCCGACTTTAAACCACAGGTTAAGTAGAAGGTTGCAGGTCAAATAGAAGTTCCCGTGTGATTGCATCACCCAACGGCACTGTTCTGTCATCAGGAAATGCTGAGTGCCCGCCGTGGCCGGGTGGGCGCGGGCGGTGGTCAGACGCTGCTCTGGAGCTGGCTATCTGTGGCACTGTCAGGGGCTGAGGACTGGCTGGGCAGACAAGTTTCCAGGCCATCTGAAGACTCCGACAGGGGCTTGTATAAGAAGCAGGCTATGGCAAAGAAGAGGACGCCCAGCACCTGGGGAGAGAGGAGCCCGCTGGACCTCGTGGGGAGCTCGGCCAGAGCCTTTGGATACTGGTGGGCCTGTCCCAGTCCTGTCCCTGCCCCAGCCTGCAGCACCCTCACCAGGTCCACGGAAACCCATCCTGCTCTGAGAGGGTATCTTTCCCATATAACCGGTTTGTAGAGCAGACGCCAATATTGTTAAAGAGGGAATGAAACACACCCTTTGACTAAAAACAGAGGCACAGGACTGAGGGGCTTGTCATGGGTTGAACAGTGCCAGACACCAGTGAATGGGACCTTTTTTGGAAATAGGGTCTTTGCAGATGTAATTAAGGATTTGAGATGAGACCATCCTGGATCTAAGGTGGGCCCCAAATCCAATGACTGGTGTCCTCATGAGAGAAAGGAGAGGAAGACTTGAGGCAGGGACAGAGGGAAAGGCCACATGCAGCTGCAGAGAGCCAGAGCGGCGGAAGGAGCCCGCCCTGCCCCCACCTGCAAGCGAATCTGGTTCTGCTACATCAGGCCACCCCGCTTGCGGTCCTTTGTCGTGGCGGCCACAGGAACCTCACACAGAGCCAGTCGCCGGTCACCACCACAGCCGGGGTTCAAGCCCCGGTGCCACCATCATGGGCAGTTCTGAACCTTCAGGGTCTTGGTTTCTTTGTCAACAATGAGGGGCTGCACCGACTTTGCAGGGCAAGAGGACGATGTGGCAGGAATCCCACGTGGGCCCCAAAGGCGGTGAGGTCCAAGCACGGATGCTGCCGCAATGCCCACGCAGAGTACATGTGCACCACTATGATTTCCACGCTGGGCGTGGACCAGAAACACCCACTGTGCCTCCTGGAGTGTCAGCCTGGCTGATGGCCCTGAGCCTGCATTCAGGGAGTGAGGCTGTTTTGACTCGGTGCAGGACAAAGTGGAATGCGAGGGTGTTTATAAGGAGACACCGTGTGCTCCCCCGCTACAATTAACATGGACGCATGCGCTGCTGAGGCCAACTCTGACCCTCTGGATACGGCTCCCGCTGGCTGTGCTGAGCCCAGGGGATGGCTGCGTGTGGAGGGCTCTCAGCCTGCTGCTCCCAGCTAAGGGATGCATCCAACACAGCAAAGAGAGAGTCTGGGGACGGCTCCCTGGGAAAGTACAGC
Source organism: Homo sapiens (assembly GCF_000001405.40). Lineage (NCBI taxonomy): Eukaryota > Metazoa > Chordata > Mammalia > Primates > Hominidae > Homo > Homo sapiens. The sequence goes on along the minus strand of NC_000020.11, from coordinate 62,670,607 downwards.
AGCCCCCTCATCCGCAGACACTGAGACCCCTGTGGACGCGTGAGTCTAAGGGTAGTACTAAGCCCAGCCAAGGAACTACACCTTCTCGCTGAAGGAGGCGCCTCCGGCTTCCCATTGGCAGAGCTGAACGGCGGCGTGAGTGCTCCGGTGCTTTGGGGCCATGATTAGGTAAATAAGAGTGGCTTGAACATGGCACTGTGATATGGTGATGGGGGATGTGGGAACCACACCGGCTGCTAAGTGATCAACAGGTGGTGGCATGAATAGCCTGGACACGCTGGACAAAGGTTATGTCTTATGAAGTCAAATGGTCAATTTCCTGATGCTCATGTGCCTTTGGGCTTCCCCAAACACCACCACTCCCTGAGCAGAGACGCGCCTAACAGAGAGTCAACCGTTATTTTATGCCAAAGCGAAAGGCGTATCACAGAGGGCTTGGGCCTTAGTATCCAATATCCCCAAAGCTCCCTGCAGAATAAGTTCTGACCTTGCCTTCTTCCAAAGTTGGACAAAGGGAGAATCCGAGTCCTGGGCAGGACAGATCAAGATCTCACCAGACTGTGCAGAACGGCGCGTGCTTTAAAGGTTATGAACTGTTTGCTTCTGGAATTTCCTATTTAATACATTCAGACTGTGGTGGACCTCTGGTAACTGAAACTGTGGAAAGTGAAACCTCAGATGAGGGGGAAACCGAGGTGTATGTCTCCTTAACCCACTGCTTCTCTCCAGAGCCACACAAGGCCCTGCTCAGACTCGCCTCTTTTCTGCTAATCCGAGGGGAGGTGAACCAGCTGGGCTCCTTCCCTTTCTCTAACCTCCCTCCTGGAAAGCCTGAGGCCACGGGTTCCTGCAGGATGAACTCTCCTGGGTCCGTCACCCAAGGAAGAGCGTCAAGATCCTCTGAACAGCTGGCCGTGGGACCGCATTTTATTTAGAAGGCTTTGTGCTTTATCGTCTAATGGGGGCAAATTCCAAACACAAATACTGCGTTTCCTCCCAGGTAGCATACGCCAAAAGTCACAACAGAAAGTTTCTGTTAGCTTGAAAAATGAGGGCCAGACTAAGAGATCCAATGGAATCCAAGGCGCACTGATCACGGAGAGGCTGCAACCTGCCCGCCAGCCCCCCAGACTGAGGCCCGGAGTGGACCAGCTAGTCAAGCCGCTCTAACAGGAGCAGCCACTTCTTATTTCTGCAAAGCTTTTAGTTAACGGGCATCCCGGGTACGTGCAAGACCACACTGTGGAGGGGCAGTCCCAGGAGGTGGGAGAGGGAGCAGGGCCTGGGCCTGGGCTTTGCTGGAGCTGCTGGGGGCCTGGACAGTGAACCCCAGGAGGAGGCCCTGCAGCCCACCTGCCTCTCCCCACAACCAACTCATGAGGAATGTGGGAAGGGCCTTCTACAAACTGGCTGCAGGAACATCTGTGATGTACTAGGCTGTGGTCCAAGCTGCTGGAAGATCGCGGCATGTTCGGAGCCCCCAGCCACCCTCAGAGCAGACCCTCTGTCCCCTCCCTGGGCCTGCTTACCTTGTACAGGAGCCCCATGATGAGTATGTAGCGGCTCATGGCCGAATTCTGGTACACCAAGCAGGAGCCCTGCTGGCCACACTGGTCCTGCCACAGCAGACAGGCCTTGTCGATCACCCAGCCGAAGGCGATGGGCCCCGGGATGCCCCCTGCGGAGAGAAGCCCACTCAGCACCCACACTCCTGGTGGGTAGGGGCTAGGCAGGGGGCAGGCAGCCAAGAGGCCTGGAATGATGGGCTCTGGGAAGGTGATACTGGCCGTTGGAGTTCTCAGGGGGTGCAAAGAGGGCTTAAACGTTCCTTTCTTTGGGCATTCGGCATTGGGGCTGCGAGTTTCCCATGATCTCCCAGGGAAAGCCTTTGGGCAAATAAATGACGATGGGCCCCTCTAGTGGACAGTTAGGGAATGGACCCCTTCCCAGGCGGGAACAGCCTCCTGCTGGGAAGCACATCCCCTTGGTGGTTAGACACTTGCCCATGCCCTTGTGCAGTGAGCACACTGTGCAACTGACCATGGCTTCCTCACACTGCACAGTACCTAGTATTCTAACTACAATCCACTGGATTCCCAGGGCAAAGGATCTCTGAGGGTCACGGACACATCTGCAATAGAAAACCACAGCGTCAGCACCCACAGAAGTGGGGTTGCATGCCAAGTCACCCCCTAGGCCAGTGGCCTCCTGGACCAGTCCCCAGCCACATCATCACCCCCCCCCAAGTGGGAAGCCCCTCGTCAGAGATCAGAGACAGTGAGGTCTCTCCTGCCACCAGTGACAGACAGGCCCGCTTAGACCTGGGTGTTTCCTGGAGTGCTCCTGTCTCAGGATCTGCAGAGCTCCGCCTCAGGGTGCTGCAAGGAAAGCTCTGGACAAGCGCACACCCGACCCCAGCTTACCGTAGAGTTGCCGTTAGTGCAGGAATGCTGCTGAGGAATGTAAAGAAAATTACAACGAATATGAAAACCAGAAGGAGGGGCTTTCTCTGACAAGTTGAAGTGCATTTCCCTGCAGTGGCATGGCCAAAACCAGAGGAAAGATTCTGAGGGATACAGCTACAGTCTCGGTACACCTGGGAAGCCCAACAATAGCTCCGATTACAAGGGGAAGGCACGGGGGCCCCTTCCCAGGGTCCAGGGGAGGACAGGGGCGGTAGGCAGCGGCTCCACTCACCTTCTGGCCGTCCACATTCGTCTCCGTGGCTGCAGGGCACCCTGCGTGGCACAGTGAGAAGTACATGAGGCCGTCCGAGCCGCACACAGGGCTGTAGTGTTCTGGCTGGCAGCTGCAGGCAGCGTTGCAGGGAGCCGTTAGGTTCAGGTGGCCTTCGGGCAGGAGGCTGCAGAGGGGGGACAAGCGAGTGGTAGGGTCCAGGCCAGAGCCATGCTGGCGCCCAGCAGGCACAGGGTCAGCCATGGGGCTCGTCCCCATGCAGCCTGCATTTCGGGTCTACAAACTTGCCAAGCTTGCACCGCCCCCAGCACGCTGGGCACTCACACTGGGCACTGCCTTCTGGTGATAGAATGGTTTTTCCTCCTCACGCAAGGAAGGCACACCCATGCCCCCCAGCACCGTCCGCCTGATGCACAGCCCCTTTCCCTAGTTCATTTGTTTTTGGACAGGCAACACATTCATATGGATCAAATACAAACATTAGGAAAGAAAAAGCGCCAAGTACACAAAGGCAGCCTCGTGGCCCCAGCCCCACCCCAGTCCTCGGTTCTCCAGCCACAGGCCGGCTGTGCATTTGCAGGGGTCGTCTGCACGTACACGCCCCTCGGCAGTCACAAACATCTGCACTTCTCACTTGAATCAGAGCACACTGCGCCCATTGTCCAACTCCTTCCTTTTTCCCACTTCACAGTATGTCTTGGCAGTGGCCCAGGATGAGCTTCCTCCACTCCTTTGTGGGCAGGGCCTCTGTTGTGAGGACAGCGTAGTGACCCCGTCCACCCTGATGACTCTTAGGTTCCGATAATGCCACAACGGCTGCTTTGTGCTTCTCGGCCTTGCACGGCACCTGCAGGTGCACTCCCGGGGCCCGCAGGGCAGGGCCGAGGTGCAGGCTACCTACGTGTATTTTGGATATTCCCTAATTGCCACCTGACCAGCAGGTGTCCCTCCCACTCCCAGCACATGGCAACTCCAGGAGCACATCCTGGGACACTTTTTATGTCACCGAGAGACCAGCCTCAAGGACCCCGAACACTAGGGCTGTTGTTCCATTTGACACAGCTACAGAGCAGAGTGCTGAGGCCCAGAGAGGCATATGACTGCCCGGGGGCACAGCCGGGACCCAAGCGCAGGCACTGCTGGGGGCTGGCATGGTGCCTTTTCACGTGGATGCTGCCGGGTGCCCTGCTGAGCGGGTGTTGCCCTTGCCGCTGTCCTGTGACGTAGCCCTTTTCAAAACCACCTCTCCCAAGTGCTGCACCACTCCTCCTCCATGCCCAGGGACCGCGGGTGCTTGGGGCCCCGACGCGTACCCAGGTGCCATCTGGCCCTCACCTCCCGCCGTAGCTGGCTGTGACGCCCGCCATGGGCACACTGGGGCAGTGCAGTGAGAAGACGAGGATGCCCAGCAGGCTGACAACGGTGCAGAACAGGCAGAACTTGATGACCGCGGAGCCCCGGAGCCTGAGCTTGTTCACAAAGAAGCCGCCCAGGAAGGTGCCGCCACCACCCGCTGGCACCACCAGGTACCCTGGGGAGAGGGAGGGATTCAGCCAGGGACTCAGGCAGGGGGCCGTGGTGGGAGAGGGTGGTGGATCAGCCGGGTCCACTTTACAGGTGGGGAAACTGAGGCATAGAGGGATCAATTCCTGCCTGCATGGCAGCACTCAACACCACACCTGAGTGCTTAGCTGTTGCGCTGATAGAGCCCTAGGAGGGACCTCTGTCCAGAGCCCACAGCGGGGATGCCTCAGAGGGGAAGGGGAAGGGGAAGGGGAAGGGGAAGGGGGAGCGGGGGGGCGGGGCGGGGCGGGGGGAGGAGGAGAGCCCAGAGTGCTCCAAGGTCAGCGGCCCCTGCCCCAGTGGGAAGCCAATGACTCCTCCACTGACCCCCCTCCAGGGCAGCCACACCCCCTCCTCCCCCAGGGGCCTCTGCCGAGTCCCTGCAGGCTGTGACAAGGACATTTGTCGAAGCCTGAGTGGCCACCAACAGTAAAAAATTGCGATTAGCTGGCATCTAGCTTCTGGGCTGACAAGTGAGGAGGGCACAGGTGAGGGGACAGGTGGAGAGGGGACAGGTTTGGGGGGACAGGTGGGGAGGGGACAGATTTGGGGGGACAGGTGGGGAGGCTCTCCAAGGGGCAGTAGAGCTGACCTCTGGGGGGCTGTTGAGTGTGGGAATGTGGGCTTGTGAGGTCAGCCCAGAGGGGCCAGGCCAGGATGGGCCTGTGGGGGAGGGAGGGGAGCCCTCATCTGATGCCCTCTTCCTGTCCAGATAGTGGACCCTGGAAGGGTAGAGCGCGGTAGATTGGCGGTGGTGGCCCACATGCCTGGCACCTCTGCCATGGCCCAGGGTACTCTGTGAACGCTGGCAGGAGGAGCAGCTCTGAGGAGGGGTCCCCACTTTCTGCAGACCTGCCCAGCCTGGGAAGGCCAGCCTGCCTCTGGCACCGAGAAACCCCCAGCTGCACTGTTCCAGGAGGTCCTGAGGCACCAGTGCCTGGCTCATGGAACAGCCAGGTCCAAACCCTTCCTGCACCAAGTCACAGAAGCCAAGACTAGGTGGCTAGGGGGTGGAGCCCACCGTGGACCCTTCCACCTACGGAGCATGTCCCACAAAGAGGGCAGGACCACCACTCTCCCGGCCTGTGGACAGAGTCGCTCAGCCCCCGTGGCGCTCTCCACACCTGCTCTGGCAGCGGGGGTGGGAGGGCACTCACTGCCATGTGCCCTGTCTGGGTCTTTCTAGAAGATGCCCTTGAAGACTCTGTTTCTGAGAACTGACATAAAAGCAGAGGACCCCCAAGATTCAGTTTTCTCACCAAACAAGGTGGCAGCTTCTGAGGCACTCAGGCTGAACTGGGACTCCAAGAACTTGGGGCTGAACGTGGACATGCCGGTGATGAGAGTGGCCTCGGTGGCCCCGGCCAGGCAGAGCAGGATGAACGTGGGGTTCTTCAGCAGGAGCCAGATGGAGCTGGGCAGAGGTGGGGGTGTGGAGAAGAGACTGAGGGTCAGAGTGGTGGGCAGAGGTCGGGGTGTGGAGAAGAGACTGAGGGTCAGAGTGGTGGGCAGAGGTCGGGGTGTGGAGAAGAGACTGAGGGTCAGAGTGGGCCAGACCCAGGGTGGGAGGAACCTGCTGTTCCTGAGGCTGTCAGCTCCCCGGTCTGATTACAAAGGGCCCCTGTTCCGACAGGGAGTAGAGTGGGGTGCAGGCAGGTGGGGGACACCCACACTTATTCCAGAGAAACCCAGGGGGCGCCAGGCTGAGCCTATGCCTGTGGCCCACTTGTCCTGAAAGCTGCAGTCCCTGATTAGGGAAAAACCTTATCAGTGCCTTGGCCAGAGCTTCAGCTCAGGTGGGGAGAGACCCCAAGTGACCCAGGACCCTGTTCCGTCACTGGCCAGCAGCAGGGCCTGAAAAAGGGAACTGGCTGGGGCAGGCAGAGGCCACCAAGTCCAGGACCGGACAGGCCCTGGGATAGGGGAATGGAATCACGGGAATGGGGACTGTGGCCAGTCCCCAACCGCCAGCCCCTGGGAGAAGTGGGGCAGGAAGCCACTGGGATTCGAACCCTCCATGCAAGAAGCCCCTGGGTAGACGGACCTGGCTAGCTTGGTTTGCACTTGGGGGCCAGTGGCCCTGGGGGTGGTGAGGCCTCAACTGGGGCGAGTCCTTGGTGCATGGGCCTGGAGCCCTGGGGGGAACTGTGGGAACTCTGAGCCGTCTGGCCCTGAGGGCTCAGCCTCAGCCTCCACATCTGCCTGTTGCGGTCCTGGCTGTGGGGTCTCAGGATAAGGACATAGCCCCCTGGAAGCTGGGAAGGCCCCACATCAGGCCTTGCAGTTTCTAACCCAGGAGGTGGCCGACAGCAGTGCGTCGGGGCTGCCTGTCCCTGCACACGAGGCCCTGGGGGGTGAATGGAGGCTCTCCCTGTTTTTGTTAGCATTGGAGGCCTGAGCAGGGCTAACGCCCAACCGCTGCTTAAGCGCATAAGATGCTGAGATGGAAAACGTGTTGCATGGTGTAAACCACGCAAAGCCCTCCCAGCCAGTGCAGTGATCGAGGCAGACAGAAGGGAAACCGCCTCTGCAAAGAGAGGCTCGGCTCTCTCTGGGGTACACAGATCACCCAGACTGGGCAAAGCTCACATTCATCCCAGCTCACAGCTGCCTGCATCCTGTTCACAGCACGCTCCTGTGCGTGACCCTTCTCCCCCACTGAGTGGGGGGCTCTCGGCCTCAGGTGGGGGTGTTTGCAGACACAGCTATTGTCCTGTCCCTGGAACTCATAACATAGACCAGGGGCAGAGACTGTTCCTGAAGCCCCAGGTCATGGCACAATAGCCTCTCACATCAGCCCACAGTAATGCAAATTTTCACAATAAATGACATGTCCATGTCGCCTCTGCTCACACCGCAGTGTCGCTGACTTGAACCCCTGCGTCTGCAGCTTAGTGACATCCTGTAAACCTACACTTTCCAGCCTCTCACCAGAGCAGACTGTCGGCCTCACATCACCCCCACCTGCAGGAGGGCGGCTCTTTCCTCTCGGCCACACCTAGAGCCTGGTTCCGATGAACGCAACTCTGAATGCCTGGAACATTCAAATGCTCTTGTTTGAGGAGGTGGCCAAATGTAAATGGATTCTGAAGAATCAGGAACAGACGGTGCAGCCCTAGTTAGCCTCTGAGCCCCAACAGGCCCACAGGTGCCTTGCAGAGCTGATGTTGGCGTCAGAAACTCCGCTCCAGCCTCACAGGCACTCTGCCTGCTTGGAGGTGTTCGCTGGCTCGCTCAGACTGACCTCAGCAGCCATGAACATGGGTTCTTTCTGTCCCCTTCCCTGATTAAAATGGGAGAGCCCAGTTCTTTCAAAATTTATTTCCTGACTTGAGGATTGAAAAGCCTCTTCTTTCTGGTTAACTACTTGGGTCCCACGTCTTGAAAAAGGCAAGACGATGGAGGACAAAGGAGACCCCAGCCCATGCCCTCCCTTCCCCAGCCAGTTCTGGCATGTGGGGTGACAGACCTGGGGTGGGCACCCTGGGGGGGGTCCCGGCGTGTGGGGGGATGGGGCTGGGGTGGGCACCCTGGGGGGGTTCTGGCGTGTGGTGTGACGGGGCTGGAGTGGGCACCCTGGGGGGGTCCTGGCATATGGGGGGATGGGGCTGGGGTGGGCACCCTGGGGGAGTCCCTCCCTGGGGCTTTTCCCAGACCTGCCCAGGCTCCGGGGTGTGTGGCTGCGTTAGGAGGCCCTGACTCTCTGAAATGCTATGCAAACTTCATTTCTTAATCACTGATTGCTCGGCTGAAATTCTCGTGTTGAATTTGCCCAGAGAATTAGTCATGACTTTAATAAAGGGAACATGTCCCATGATTTATTTCTTCCCAGCAACTGGTTTAGGGAACTAACCCTGGACATAAACCTCCTTATCACCTGATGAACTGAAAGAGCCCCAGGGTTCCTAGGTCCACACTGGGGGCTCACAGCCACGCTGGGAACAGGGCGCCTGACCCTCAGCTCTAAGCCGCTCTGCTGCTGGGTGGAGGAGAGAGGGTGAGCCAGTGCCTACACGATGTTCCCAAGTCCTGGGAACGTGGCCCCGGGTCAGCTTGGCCCATGGGGTCACCCTCCTTAGCAGGCAGCTCCCAGCTCCTTTGGGGGGTCTATCAGGGTCCTAATGAGGCCTCTCTTTCCCATCTTCATCCAGCCCTGCTCCTCTCTGCCGTGGACAGCTTGGGGCTTTCTGAGGGGCCACCTTTGGCCCTGATGCCTTCCCTCCTATCCTGGTTGAGGGCAGGCAGCAGGGACTCACCCATTGCCCACACCCTCCACCCACTATGGCCAGTGAGACACAGCCATTTGTGAGCTCAGGGACCTGCTGCTACAAGGGCACAAGAGTCTCCCCGTGCTGGGGCCTCAGACGCTGAGGACTTGGGTGGTGGCCACCCTGAGGGCCACCTGTGCCCAGCCCTGGGGAGAGCCCCCCAGGGAAGGCATGATCCCCAGGAGAGGCCGGGAGGGCCCGGGCCCCTCTGTTGTCCCTCTAGGACCCCACCGGCTCAGGGCCCCGGGTTCACCCTAGCAGTGCAGCAAGACAGCAAAGCAAGGCCGGACCACACTCAGCAGAAAGGGAAGGCAGCCAAGGCAGACGGCAAAGCAAGCAACCTCCCCAGAGGGTGAGCGGGACACGCCGGGTAGAGGGGGGAGGTCCTCAGAGACTCTGAGGGAGGGAGGGAGATGGGGGGGCAGCATCCCAGGGCCCGGGGGGTACGGCACAGGTGACACCTGATGAAAGGGAATTAGAGTGTGGGGGGTCATGGTGAGGGAAGGGTCTCAAGTCAAATGCAGCTTCCCTGGGGACCCCGGGACACACAGGCCACGGGGAGACTTGCTGGTGTGGAAGGGATTTGCTCCGTGGCCACTGGGAGCCAGGCGCAGCCCACAGGAGTCTCCACACTGTATGAGTGAAGTGATGGCTCCCTGGGTGCGGGCCGAGGCCCCGGCCCCACTCTGGGACTCTCCCACGGCTCTGCAGCCCTGAGGCGGGGTCTGCGGCCCCTGGCCCAGAGGCTCTATCTGTTGCTCCTTAATCTCTTGGCCCAGGGTCACGACAGAGGTTAGGGGCTGCGTCCCCATCATGATCCCGGAGGGGTCTCAACGACTCCCCCAAGATGGGGACCATTAAAGGGTCTGAGGACACTAGGAACCCTCCCGACTCCGGTCCTTACAGAGGCAGGTCTCTGATGGTTTTCCCAAAGTCCGGGTTGCTCGCCTCCCCACGGCTGCTGTCCTTCAACTGGTGCATTTCCGCCGCTCTCATGACCGCGTAGCGCTGGGAGCCTGGAAGGGCACAGAGTGAGCTGGGGCTGGGGGCTGGGGGCTCCCGGAGGTGGACTTCTCCGAGAGAGGCTCTGCCCCCACTCCTCTGCCCCTCCCCGGTCTGGGAACGTCACTGTCTGACATCCCTGCAGCCCTCGCAGCCCCGGGGAGGCGGCACTGGAACAGAAACCACGTGAGAATGCAGCACAAGCCGGGTTTGGAGGTGTGGGAGAGCTGGGGCCCAAAGTGGGGCTGGGGGAAGGAGGGGATGGAGGCCCTGCCCTGATTGGGACAAGCCTGTTCCGTGGCCTGAGGGGGAGAAGCCGCTGGGGCAGAGGGGAGGCCACAGGACAGGATGGACACACAACCTGCCTTGTGCCACAGCCAGGAGGCGTCTCTCCACCCAGATGGGAAGAACACTGAGAATGAGGGTGTGCCGCAGACTTGATCATGGCGGGGAAAAAGACAGCAGAGGAAACGGGGTGCCCCCTTCGCGAAGACTAAGGGACAGTCTCCCAATGTGAAGGCTGGGCTGGGGAAGGGAAACCCACCTGGCAGCTGCCGAGGGTAACCAAGGATGGGAACGGCGGTGAAGAAAGCAGCGGCCCCAGAGCCCAGGAAGCCGACCCACCAGGCGCCGACCCACAGTGGGCTCTCGGTGGTCAGCTCCGTCCTGTGGAAGAGGCAGTGGCACCTGGGTCAGCGTGCAGCCCACCTGTGCCCTCCATGGCACACACACTGGGGGCTGCTGGCCCCTCCTCCGGGCAGACCTCCAGGGTCTGTCTGCACGCTGGTCAACACAGGCCCCTGGTGCTGCTGGCCACAGGTCCTGTCCCTTCCTTGCAGACTAAAGCAAACACCACCTTGGCTTAGCTGTCCCCCAAGACAGATGGCTCCATGCCTTGGCCCACGCTCCAGGGCTGGAGATGCCACCTGTGGCCTGGTCCTGAGACCACGGTGGGGTTGGGCACTAAGAGGAGCAGCCTCTCCAGGCAACAGCGGGAGGAGGCATCCCTCCCCACAGTGCAGAGGATGACAGATGGGGTTCCCAGGGACGCCAGAGGGCTCAGCTGGAGCTCACTGAGAGCTCCCCACGAAGGGACTGTTGTGCACGTGGCAATTTGCACATAAGTGCTTTCAAACGAAAAGGCGAGTGGAAAATAACCATGGGCTGAGGCGGCCGTGGAGTGGTAGAAGCCCATCCAAGCTCTGGGCATCCAGGGACGCGTCTTCACAGTGAGGACAAGCTCTGGGCTTTCGGGGATGTGTCTTCACAGTGAGGCAGCGGCGGGAGGGCAAAAGGCCAGCAAAGGCCGGGAGCAGAGCCGCAGAGACAGACAGAGGACACAGGGAGCGCCAACACCCTGCAAGGCTGCAGCCAGGCGGCACCTGCTTGCTCCAGCGCAGAAATGCTGCGGCCGCCTCCGGGGGCCAGACCCCGCTCTGCCTCCCCACTTTGTGCAAAGTGGGCCCAGATCCCGGAGCCAGAAGGGGCACAGAGACTGAGAGAAGCATCCAGACCCGGGACACGAGCTCCAGCCTACCTCCAGGCTCTGCCCAGAACGCACACACTTGACCCCACATTATCAATCCGAGGCCAGAGGGGCTTTTGTAAGAGGTCAGAGTGCTAGAGACCTCCAGGAGAGGCGCCATCTGCAGAAAGAGTCCCAAGGTGCAGCGGTGCCCAGGCCGAGTAACAGAGGACCTTGGAAACTTCACAAGTGCAGGATGGGCAAGGGATGAATGGGGGGCCCAAACCCACAGAGCACTGGCGGTCAGCAAGGACATGTCTCCTCTGCCTCCCCATCTCCATCTGTCTCTGTCTCTCTCTGCCTGTCGCTGTCTTCTTTCTGTCCCTCTGTATCTCTATCTCCATCTGTCTCTGTGAATTGGTCTGTCTCTACGTGTCTTTCCCTCTGTCTCTCTCTGCCTCTCCCTCCACCCCTCCTTGCTTTCTCCTGCTTACATTTACAGAAACTAGGGTCACACACACAAGATACAAAGAAAGGAAAAGAAACAGAAAAATCTCAGTTTCATTAGGGAACTAGTGGCCAGGGCTCGCTGGGCTTTGCAAGCGCTTAGGCCTCGGGCACTGCCTGCCTGCCCTGCCTCCTGCCCTGGGGCCGACTCCCAAGGCCCCTACAGATCCTCCGAGTCCTCCAGAGCCAAGGCCAGCCTTGACTCCCTCCAGCCCGGGGGGTGCCCAGCACCTGCGCCGCGCCCGGCCTGACTCAGAGTGGGCCCTGCTGACTCTGAACCCCCTTCCAGAGACACGTGGGCCTCTCCAGCGCAGGCAGCTGGGTGCGCGGCCACTCACCGTCGGCCCATTTCCGTGTAGATATTCAGCAGGGCACCTCCAATCAGGTAGCCGGCAGCTGGGCCCAGGATGGCCGCTGTGTAGAAGATGGCTGCGAGAGAGGCAGAGGCGTCAGGGCCGCTGTGCACCACCCAGGGGCTGCGGAGGGCCGTGTGGGGCCCCGTGCCTGGGAGAAGCCCCGCACCCGCCATTCTGCATCTCCGGCCCACTCCCCTCATGGGCCTCTTTAAGTTAGATGAGTCTGTGCAGTTGCCACTGGGCCTGATATGGGTCAGCATCAATCTTTAAAAATCCCCCTCAAAGCCAAGTGCACTGTCTTTCCCTTACGAAAGGGCAAAGGCCCTCGAAGCCCCGTTTGCAGGGCGTCTAAGTAGCCGCACAGATGGACACTGGCAGGAATTAGGGGCCCAGGGTGGGGAAAGGGACCAGAGAGGCCTGAGCCCCTCCGCCCAGCCACGCTCACTCTCCCACAGGCCGGGATTTGGAAGGCTCGGTGTGGTGGGACGTCCCCTCGCTGGAGTGAGGTGATCTCAACACCCGCCTGGGTTCTTGGGACGAGCACTGCCAGGTGACTGGGATGAGCAGAGCTCAAGGAGGACATGAGGAGGCTGAGGTCACTGCAGAGTCCGGCTGGGGCCAGCTGCTCCCCGTGACCATCCTACGATGCCCTTCCCGGGAGAGCCAAGCCAGGCAGGGGGACGCCGAGAAGTGGGGTCAGGCGGGCCGTGCACTGGGTCAACTCGGCCATGTCGGACGGGCCATGGGGCTTCCCTACATCTCAACAAACAGGAGCAGGAAGCCAGTGAGGGGCCCAGGGCTGCCCCAGGGCAGTGAGCTCAGCTGCCTAGCATAGAGTTATAACATAGATCTTTACTCTTAGATAGCTGTGAAGCAGCCATGAGCTGCTTCATGTTATTTTTCCCCTTAAAGTTCTGACTCTCCAGATTTGCTCGGTCTTTTCCACACCCCTATGTGGCTGCCGGAGCAGACACGGTGCTTACGGGCAGACGTGGGTGTGGTCTCAGGGCTCTGTCCCTCCACCTCTATGTGGCTGATGGAGCCAACATGGTGCTTTCAGGGAAACATGGGTGTGGCCTTGGGGCTCTGTCCCTCGTCACTTATCCCACATCAAACTCCTTCCCAGGCAAGTGCCAGGTTCCCAGCCGGAGCATGAGGTCTGCCGCCATTGGACCTGGTGCCACCCAGCGCCTAGTGACTGTGCCCCTTGGTCCTGGCAAGGTGGGCTGGACACCACGCAGGGGTTGCACTGAGGCTCCCGGGCACAGCGGCCTGGAGCCCTGAGCAGGGTCCACATGAGAAAGCCGGAGTCCCTTACATCAGCTTTGGGCCTCAGGGCGGACCCTCCTCCCCTGCCAACTCTTGCAGCAGCCCCAGGGCCATGCAGACAAGGGGTACACGAAGGCAGGGGGCGGGGCTGGCTCCGGCCAGTTACCCTCACTCCTGCAACACTGCCCTCAGCCACCCCTGCCAGCACTTACCCCGCCAGCCCCACTCACCAATGTAGACGGGCGAGCAGCTGGACTTGACGTTCTCATCCAGGTAGGTGACGCCCAGCGTGTAGAGGGGTGTGGCACCCACGCCATGCAGGAACTGGCCCAGCATGAAGACCAGCTGGTAGCGGGACAGGCCCGAGGTGCTGTCCGCACACACCGCGCCGGGGTTGGCAGGGCACGTCCTGACACCCGCGTCCAACTCCACCTCATAGCGGCCAGCCGTGAAGTGGGGCAGCGCGAACACCAGCGACCCCGTGCCCATAAGCAGCACGCCCCAGCCCAGCCAGCGCGGCTTGTGCCCTGAGCCCCCGAAGTAGCTGACGAAGGTGAGGCAGAGGCAGGCGGCAATGTCGTAGGAGCTGGCGATGAGCCCGCTCTGGTAGCTGTGCAGGTCATAGCGGCGCTCCAGGGAGGTGATGACTGTGTTGATGAAGCCATTCACAGTCATCCCCTGCAGGAATGCGGCCGCACACAGGAAGAACAGGATGCCCTTGGGCGTGTTGAGGACCTGCAGGCACGGCGGTGCGAAGGCCCACCAGCCGCACGCCACGCTCTGCCCGGCCGAGACGTACCGCACCTCATGGGTCCCCCGGGCGCCATGCTTCTCGGCCCAGAGCTGGCAGAGGGGCTGCTTGCTGGTGTCCAGGGGGCTATGGGCAGCGGAGCGGAGGGAGCCGGGGCTCAGGGGTGTGCCCGGGGATGCCCTCCTGCTGGGTGGGGTGTGGTCAAGCCCGTTTTCCATGGCTGAGTTGGGGCTGGGGAAGGTGAGCGGCTTGTCCCCCAGCTGATGCAGGGGCATCTCCGCGCCTCCGCCTGGTGACCTCGAGGCTTCAGCCACGCAGTGGGAGTGGCCTCAGCGGGAGTGGCCAAGTGGTATCCGAGGGGCTGGTGTGTCCTGTGAGAAGAATGTCTGGTTAGCAAGCTCACGTCTCTCCACGGGTACAGCACATCCAGGAGGGAACATTCCAGCACACCCATCACGGGGGTGGCTCAAAGCTCTGCCTGCCTTGTCTCAAGAGCCTCCCAAATCCAGGGTGGCGTCTGGCCAGGCCCACACCCAGGCACTGTGTCTCCCAGCCACAGCTCCGCTGCGGAAAGGTGGGGGGCTGTGCCCAGCTTGCTCACAGGGACTCAATTCCTGCCCTTTTTAGAACTGTTGGAAGGAGAAGCTGCCGCTTCAGCGGTGTGGCGTCAGGGCTGTGACGGGGGCAAGGCCTACTGAGATGGGGCCACGCGGTGGAGAGTGGAGCTGAGACGCAGAGGCCGAGTCAGACACTGGGGTCCCAGGTCACCCCGCCCTGGCCCCGCTCGCTGTGTCAGCCACGTCCCCTGCCATTTGCAGCCAAGTGGCCCTGATGGACTCCACCTTGGTCCTGGAGCCTGACCTTGTTCTTCCTTAAGTTCACACCCGGCAGCTCTCTGCACCCTTTGGCGTGAGGAAGGAGCTCCTCTCCGTGCAGAGTTTGGGAGGTGCAGGAATGAGCTGGAAGCAGCCTCCTGGGCCACGTGAGCCCCCAGCACCGGAAACACCCCCGGCCGCCAAGCTCCGGCCGCTGCTGGGTCAGCCTGTGGCTAACAGGAGTTGCAGTCGGCAGCCATGTAGACCAGTTACCAGGAGAACGTGCCCACGTGCCACCTTCCTTCTGAACCCTGCGCTGCCCCTGCCCCACTGCCCTCACCAGCCCTGTTCCCCACCATCCCGAGGCTCCACAGGGCACCGCCTCACTCCCCACACCAATTCCTGGAGCAACAGCTCCCCCCTACTGCCCAAGGCCTTCTGGGGAACCCAGGTGGCTGTAGCCTCTCTGCATCTTAAGGGCTTTCCCCGTCAGAAATAAACCGGCGAATAAACAGGGCTGCTATGATGCGGAACACCTGTGCCGCCCCCGCCCTGGGAGGGTCCTTCCCGGGGCTGCTGTGATACAGAACACCTGTGCCGCCCCCACCCTGGGAGGGTCCTTCCCGGGGCTGCTGTGATACAG
Organism: Homo sapiens; assembly: GCF_000001405.40. Taxonomy (NCBI): domain Eukaryota; kingdom Metazoa; phylum Chordata; class Mammalia; order Primates; family Hominidae; genus Homo; species Homo sapiens. The sequence continues at coordinate 62,655,271 of NC_000020.11, read as the reverse complement.
AACACCTGTGCCGCCCCCACCCTGGGAGGGTCCTTCCCGGGGCTGCTGTGATACAGAACACCTGTGCCGCCCCCACCCTGGGAGGGTCTTTCTCGCAGACCTCAAGGTGCTTGCCATCTGGGGCACCTCCTGTTATGGCTGAATTGTGACCCCTAAAAGAAGCTGTCTTGGAGCCTTGACCCCAATACCTCCGAATATGACAGTTTTTGAAACTCAGGCCTTTAAAGAGGTGACTAAGGTTAAACAGGGACATTGGGTGGGCCCTGATCCAATCTGACCGGTGTCCATATTATAAAAAGGGAATGTGGATGTGCAGACCATTCCCCTGCCCGGGAGGGAGGCCGGAAGTAGCTCCTTCCCTCACAGCCTCCGAGGGGGGCCGGCCTTGCAGACACCATGATCCCTGATTTCTGGTCCTCAGCAGTAAGAGAGGGCCCGTTTCTGTTGTCTAAGTCCACAGTCTGGGGTCTTTTGTCTTCACTGTGGAGCTAAGGTGGGGTGGGCGGTGGCGTGTCCATATTGGGCCACATTGTATCACATTCAACAGGGACCCCGGCGCTTCTGGAAGCTTATTCAGCCCACGAAACATCACAACCTGGGAGGCTCCAAAACACAAAGCGTGAGAAATGCTGCCCACTGACATCAGGCTGAGGCCGGGGCCACATCAGCCATGCTCAGGGCTCTGCAGAGTCCGAAGCCCTAAGTATCCGGCCTTGGGGTCTCCTTCCAGCCACAGCCGGCGACGCGCAGAGATGCACGGAGATGCAGGGACAGCAGGCAGTCCCGTGGGGACCTGGGCTGGGTGATACCCCAGGATCCTCCTGGCAGCTCCTCACAGAGTCTGCTCACTGGGCCTGCGCTGGGGCTGGGGTGGGCGGACCGGTGCCCCCCGTGTTCCCCGGGCAGTCACGTTCACCTGGGACCTGAGCGCATGACCTTATTTGGAAAAAGCGTCTTTGCAGATGTGACAAGTGATCTGAGAAGAGATCATCCTGGATTAGGGTGGGCCCTAAACCCGGTGACAGGTGCATTTTTAGAGGAGAAGATGACACAGAGAAGGCCACCTGCAGACAGAGACAGAGACGGGCGTGGCGCTCTCAGGACCACCTGGAGCCCCGGGAGCCACTGGGGGCAGGAAGGACCCTCCTCAGAGCCCCAGGGGGAGCACAGCCTGTGTGGACTTTGGGTTCCTGGCCTCCGGAGCTGGTGGGAATAAACTATTTTTTTTTATTATTATACTTTAAGTTCTAGGGTACATGTGCACAACATGCAGGTTTGTTACATATGTATACATGTGCCATGTTGGTGTGCTGCACCCATTAACTCATCATTTACATTAGGTTTATCTCCTAATGCTATCCCTCCCCCCTCCCCCCACCCCATGGCAGGCCCCGGGGTGTGATGTTCCCTGCCCTGTGTCCAAGCGTTCTCATTGTTCAATTTCCACCTATGAGTGAGAACATGCAGTGTTTGGCTGGGAATAAACTATTTTTTAAGCCCTTTGGTGTGTGGTCATTTCTTACAGCAGCCCCCACGGAGGCAAACAGGTGTCACATATGCCCCCGAATTTGGGAGATGACAGAGGCCTGAGGAGGGCCCAGAGAGATGACCTTGGGGTTGAGGCAGAGTTAGAGCTTAACAGACACACTAACTCTAAGGTCAGCGTGGCGGGTGGGAGCGGAGGCGCAGCCGGTGATCCGCCATGGGGCTGCGAGGGGACACAGGGGCCTCAGTGAGAACCAGCCCCGGGACAGGCCTATGCTGACAGACACTACAGCATTTGGGGATGACAAATTGCTGGCTTTTTTTGTTTTGTTTTGTTTTTTAATAAAGGGGCAACTTCATCTGTGAAGGCAGATAAACCGGGCCCAGCATGGTCAGGCCGGGAGCAGGCCATGGGATCTCCCCCAGGTCCAGGCAAGGCTTGTTTTACGTCTGGAGAGATCTGGCGGTACCAGCACCCCTTCCCCAAGGCCACAGGGATCTCAGGATTGAGCCCCCAAAGCTGGGCTCTGGGTCCTCCCGCCACGTCCTCTGCCGAGGCGCGGTCCCCACAGGGCTCCTCTGTGGAATCGGAGGTCTCGCCCTCTCAGCGAATGGATGCCTCAGCCCCAGGCTCCTTGGGACGAAGGCGGGCAGCTGCTGTGAAGAATCCCGCTGGGTGGCAGGGTGCTAACACCCGCTGTGCACACTGAGCACCAGCTGTGTACCAGGCACCGTCCCAGGCCTCACAGTAGGGGAAGAAGGCCCAGGGGGGTCAGTCATTTGCTCGAGGCCACACAGCCCGCCGGTGGCAATGAGGATGCAGCCCCCGCAGTCTGGCCCCAGAGCCAAGCGTCTGCGTCACAGCTGCCTTCTGACACCTACTGAAAGAGCCGTGCACGCTCGTGTGGCACTCACGTGCAGCCGCTGTTGACCTTGGACACTGCCGGGAGGCTGTTTGAGGCCGTATTTGGAGGCCTCGGACAGCAGAGATTCCACAGCATTCATGCCTGGGGCCTGCTCCCTGGGTGCCCGCGGCCACACCCGGGGGTTTATTTACAATGCCAACACCTATCCACGAGCTGGCAGGCCAGGCTGGTTTGGGACCTGCTGCGTCAGAAAGGGAGTGTGCGTGGAAGGAGAGACATTCATATTGTAAGAGCAATGCTCCACGCCTCCCCAAGGGGCAGAGAGCCACCCACGGCCACCCACGAGCCACAGGCTTTCTACTGAAGCGAGCTGTCACAAGGATGACGTCCCAGGAGCATGTGTAACACAAGAACTCGAATGCCAGGAGTCAGCGGAAAAGCCGGAGGAGCAAGAGCCCCGGGGCGGGACTGACGAGGAGGCGCAAGGGCTCCACCGGCCGCCGGCCGCCGAAACAGAAAGCAACCTCAGAGGCCCGGAGGAGGACAGGCCAGGCTCAGAGCCACGCAGACTCCCCAGGCAGCCTGTGGGTGTGTTTCCCTCGCATTGTTTTTCTTAGTGCAGGAACACAGAGCCAAGAACTACCCTGAGGACTGCCTGGAGGTCAAGGTCCACCCACACACACAAACACGTGCACACGCACACACATAAATAGCAGAAACTTGACCTCATTTCCGGGCTGGGCCAGAACATGAAGGGAAGGAGCCTCAACAGGGCCAAGGAACAGCCTGACGCAGGCGGGAGAGTGCTCAGAGGTTCCGCCTAGCTGCACGTGCTGGCACGGGGAGGGGGGCCGAGCGGGGGTGGGGGGTGTGGGGCGGGGCAGGGTGGGGGAGGCGGGGGCAGGGGGAGTGGGTCGGATTCGGCAGCACTTCTGCAAAGGATCTGATGGGGTCCCTGGGATGCTCAATGGTGGGCAAGCCCACGTAAACCATTGCGAACCAAGACGCTGGCTGCCGTGAAACACCCGCTCAACGCCCGGGCACTGGGCTTGCCTCATACAGGCAGTTTGTTCAGCCCTGGCCTCAGGACCAGACGCTGGGGCCAAAGCAGGTAAGGGGGAAGGGGGAGGATCCCGTCTGCATAGCTTTGAGAGGAAGCCAGATTGCTAAGTTTCGTGACCAGCAATGGCCACAGAGAAACAGAAGGACTTCCTTCTTGAAAATGAAAGCCACAACTGAGAAAGAACAGGTAGTTGTAGGTGTCCAAACAGCTCCAAGCTGAAGGCTGTTTTACCTGAATTAAAAGCTCTGACATAAATATGTAAAGCTCAGCCGAAAGTTACCTATTATGCACATTTAAATCAGCAAATTTAAAATCCTCTTTTAAATATCAGCCATGTGGCTTCCGACAGATGCCCATCAGACGGCCGCAGACGATGAGAATTACATGGCACCACTCAGCTCACCAGCTGTGCACCTCCAGGGGCTTCCGTTGGGGCCTCGTTCTGACGTCTTTCTGAGATCCAGCAGCGACCTGGCTTCGGGCCAGCCTCCCTTATCTGAATCTCACGCAAGCAGCATGTGTGTGACAGTACCCATTCCATCTTCATCATGCCCAAGAGTTTCAGCTCCGGGTTCTCTTCTGAAGCTGGAAATCTTCTCTGGGAGGCCGTTTCCCCATTAAAACAGCGGTGTCTAGATTGGAAAGGGGAGGGTGGGCCTTCCATGACTCAGGGCTAAAGGACAACAGGAGCAAACATAAAAGCTGGCTATGATGGGGCGTCTGGCCTGGCTCCTGCCATCCAGGGGACAGATGGGTTGTGGAGTGACGCTGGGCAGGCAACACTCTGGACTCTCAGGGCGATGAGGAGGGTCCCACATTCATGCATTTCCCAAAGGAAGTTTCCAGGATTGTACCAAGACCTCACATGGATACGTCCTAAGCACTGGCATTTACTGAGCGTGCCGTTCTGAGCTGGTGAGCCAGAGGGATGAGAACTCTGCCTGGAGAAGTGGGTGCCCAGCATGTATGTCAAGGCTTGGCCCGGACCTGAGGGAGTCCTTGCTGAACGTGCGGTGCAGGACTTACATTTCAGGGCTAACGTTTGCCACGAAAACCAGCCCAACGTGGGACATGAAAGCATCTTAGCCGCAGCAGCCGAGTCCAGCAATGTGGACAGCCAGACGCATGCTTGGTGGAGGCAGCCAGCGCCCCCATCCTGGTCTCGGTCATCAGTTCCATCAATGACAAATGCTGCTGGGGCCCATGAGGACCACCCGCGCCACTCACATGTTGCTTTCCTTCTGCGATCTGCTAGCTTCCGAGATGGCCAAGGCAGATGCACTCATGGCTCAGTGAGAAGGTGAACGTCACCTCTGCGTTCACTGCTAATGGAGACTGGAGTAATGATGTCTGGTCCGCGTTAAGGCGGGCAGCTCGGCAGCCCACACCTTTGGTTTTCTGGTCTCAGGCCCATTATGGATAAGCTGGTGTGGGGTGGGGCAGGGGAGTTTCAGGGGCTGGAAGGGCCTCATGGCAGCCCCACGTAGAGGCTGCCTAGCCCCTGGACTGGCCCCACCAAGGGGAACAGGACATTGCAGCTGGGCTTGGGGAAGAAGGGAGGCCTGTCCTTTTGATTCTTCTTTCTGGCATCCTGTGTGTGCACGTCTGTGTAGGTGTGTGTACACATGCACACCTGCCTATAGTTTCTTTCCACTTGGAATTGGTTTTGACAAAAAGGTGCGTCAGCTTCCCAAGCTGGTCCCTGTAACAGTGAAGGATGGAGCCTCATCCTCATCCCAGAGCCACACCCTCAGCTTCCCCTGGAAAAGGCAGCGGCTTCTTCCGATCCACACCCTCAGCTTCCCCCGGAAAAGGCAGCAGCTTCTTCTGATGCATGGATACAGCCCCCACTACGGAGCTGGGGAGGGAGCTGCAGGCAGCCTTGACCCCAGACCAAATTCAAAGGACCTGCCTCTTCCAAAGGCCTCCCTCCAAGGGCCACGGGGACCCCATGACCGTCCTCTCATCCCAAGCTGGCTGCATGGGGTGGGCTGGTTTATACGCAGATAAGACTGCACCTGCTGATGAGGCCAGATGCAGGTGAACCCCGGTGCTGCAAATGAGGAGTCTGCAGATGGGGTGAGGCTGAAAGGCAGTTGTGGAAGGCCGGGCAGTGGCAGCCACGTGGCAGAGGAGGGGGTGGGAGACCCGGGGCAGGGATGGGACAGCCATGGGGTGCAGGAGACTGCACCCCCTGTGAAGGACAGGCCAGCGGCCAGCCCCCAGGCCACCCTGGCTCCTGTCAGCATCCCAGGTCGAGTCCACTGTCATCCTCATCTGAACACCCTGACTGCATCTAACACCAGGGCATCTGCTTCCTGGCCTCTGCAGGGCCCACTCTACAGCCTCTGACGCTATGTGCGATGGTCTCAGGGTCAGGGCCAAGAGCACTGTGATAGCGAATTTCATGTGTCAACCTGAGTGGGCCTTGGGTGCCTAGACATTTAGCCAAGCATCGTTCTGGGTGTGCTGTGGGTGTTTCCAGGTGAGATTAGCATGTGAAGGGTGGCCCTCCCCAGGGTGGTGGGCCTCGTCCAATCAGTTGGGGGCCTACATAGATCCAAAGGCTGAGTGAGAGGGCCTCCTCCTGTGACAGCTGCAGCTGGGACCTCGGTCTTTTCCTGCCTTTGGGCTTGGACTGAAATGCCAGCTCTTCTTGGGTCTTCAGCCTTCAGGCTGGAACCTGCAGCAGCATTTCTCTGGTTCTTGGGCCTTCAGACTCAGACTGGACCGAAACCATCAGCTCTCCTGGGCCTCCAGCTTGCCAACGACAGGTCTCGGGACTTGCCCCTTCCATAAGTGCTTGAGCCAGGTCTTCAGGATAAATCTCTTTCCACCTATCCTGTTGGTTGTGTTTCTCTGGATAACTCAGACTAATACAAGCCAGTCCTTCCATACTTTGGTACCGACTTCCTAACGCCTGCTATGTGGGAAACCTGGGCTTCAGGGACTCCCAGGACACTGTCGCACCCACGAGGAGCCCAGGGGCGGTCACTCGAGAGCTGGGTGCAAAAGCTGCCCATGGCTGCGAATCAGAACCGCCTGGCCGGTGGGGACAAGAGGCCCGGAGCCTGGAGTGAATTCCAGTCATCAGCCAAGGCCCTGGGAGCCAGGCTTAGGGAGGAGGCTCTGACAGCACACCACCACCATCGCTGCCCAGGAACCTTCTGGAGGCCTGAACCAGCTGAGCTCTCCTGTGCACACACAGTTACTGAAATCTGCCCCATCACGGGAGGAGGGTCCATCACCTCCATGGAGTAGGGTCCTCTCCCATGGCCTTGTACTCCTGACGGCTGCTCCAGAATGAGGGACAAGGTCTCCCCTGGGGCTCCGGCCACACGGCTCCCATGCAGCCGGCAGGTGGGAAGGAGCCCCTGGAAGCAGAGCCTGCCCATGTGCCCAGGCCCGGAGCCCTGACTGGTGGCCCCGCCCGTGAGCCACTTCAGGCCCCCTGTGGCTGCCCCGCCCCAGGGCACCCACTCACCTCTCGGCCCATCCTTTCCCCACTGCCCTGATGCCTCTGTCCATGGGAGAACATCTGAGGCGGAGCCTTAGGTGGCTCTCAGCCCGAGAGAAACGCAAACCACCCCGCCCCTCCGGTGCATCTAGAGAGCCAGCTGCCCTTTCCCTGGGAGCTTAGCCCCCTCAGGCCCTGTCCCTGCTCTAACCCACAACAACCCCGCAGGGGAGGAAGGGGGGATGTTGCTGCCAGAGGCCTTGGCAGCCAGGGTGTGAATTAGGCCAAGGCGATCAGCCGGGGGATAATGTGTCCCTGGAGCCTCCGGCTGGGGGCAGGCCTGGGGAGGGTGTATGCGTGCGTGTGCGCCTGTGTATGGGTCAGTGCCCGCTATTTTAGGAGGAGGCCATGGGGGCCAGAGTTCTCTTCCGATTTCCTCATGCTGGCCTGGTCAGTCAGCTGCATCTCCGGGATAGGAGGCCCTGACTCCTCTGCTAGGGTCTTTTAGAGGCGAATCCGGCTGACCTCTTCCTCCCCCTCCTCTCAAGCCAGGACAGTGACCTGGGAGGAGCTAGTGGCCACGTGCGGGTGGCTGGCACAGCCCAGACTGTGGGAACTGGGGTGCCAGCCTGTATCCCCGTGTGTGGGCAGCTGACACAGCCCGGCCTGTGCCACTTCTAGAAGCCCACCTACTTCCCTAGGCCCCATGCACTTACTTCCCAGCCTGGCTCCCTGCAAAGCGCTCTCAGCGCAGTGCGTGGAAAGGACGCAGGATCTCTGAGAAAACTATTTTAAGCTTGCCAGCCCCTGGGCCTGGCCTGGCTGACCTACTGTGGCCCAGCAAATGTCCCCAGGGAGGCCTGGAGCTGGGCTGGGTGGGTAGCACCCCTCCACATTAGGGGATGTCCCAGTCCCGGCTTCCAGGCCCCACTCAGAATTTGGAGGCCAGGCAGGACCATAGGGTCTCAGTTCTCCTTTCTCTTCAGATTCCAGCCCAGGCACTGCCTGGCAAAGCCGAGTCCCTCCTCCTGGCACCTGACGGCTCTGAGGCTGCCAGCCACAGCCACATGCCTGCCCTGCACCCAGCCCCGCCCTGAGCACCTGCCTGCTCCCCACACCATCTTCAGCTGCCTCCCCTGCCACACCAGCCCCCCAAGACACCTGGGACTCTCTCCTCTATCTCCAAATTCACTCCAGGGTCTCTTCCTCAAGCTGGATGAATGAATGAAAGGAGCTTTCACTTCTTTAGCTTGAGGCACAGACTCTGGGATCAGCATATGGGGGCCTCAGCTGTGCCTGGTACACCCCAATTTGCATACCTGGTGACCTCGCACAGGCGAGCAGGCAGGAAGCCATTGCTTTGTATGGGGCCGACAATGAAGGATTGTCTGAGCAAGAGGGAGCCAGGGTGCGGCAGCAGGGCCAGCCCAGAAGGACCTGTCCCTCAACCTGCTTGCACCCAGTCTCCACCCACTGAACCTGGGAGCGTGGGGAGGACGGGTGAAGCCACGGGTGTGTGCAGGTTTACTCTTCCTTCCGACTCATCATCCCATCCATGGAACTGAAAACTCTCCTGCCATTCAAGGGCATGTTTGAGAAGAAGACGGAGGCTGGCTCCAAGCCACGCAGGTCACGGGCCTCTCTCTGCCTCAGTTTCCACCCATAACAGAGACATCATGAGAATGAGAATGAGCCACTGAGCGTCCTACTCAAAGTGGGCCCAGTCAGCACTGGAGTTCATGGGAAACAGACTCAGAATGGAAATCCACCCTGTCCGGCCCCGGAGCCCTGCAGGCCCTGCCTGCCGCAGGTCCCCACTGCTGCCCTGGCCTCCTCAGCCTCCTTCCATGGCTGGGGTGGAAGTGGCTTGCCCTGCCCATGCTCAGGACCCCCGCTGTGCCTCGGCTACTGGTGAGTGAAGGCGTAAGTGATGCCACAACTCATGTTTTCCTGCATGTGGGGGGACCCCTTTACAGACCCGTGGTGTTCACAGCTCTCTTTGTCCTCTGGGGAAGAGGAAAGGACCTCCCCAGTTCTCAGGCTAGTCCTTGGGCACAGGGCCTGCTTCCCAGCCTGCTGTGCAGAGCAGCCAGGGCTCTGGGACTCCTGAGGGTGAAGGTGAGGAGGCAGGGGATGCCCAGGACCTCCCTCCTCCAGGAGAGCCCTGTGCACCACAGGAGGCAGGGCGGGTGGTGGGAGGGAAGGGCGGGCAGCTCAGAGGTCCGCCAGCAAAGGGGCTCAAACCTGACCCCCAATGTGTGGGAGAGACAAGACCCAGAAGGGCCCTCGGGGAGCTTGAGAGGCTGCAGGGAGCAGGTTCTGTCCAGATGAGGAACCTGCCTGGCACAGCTGGGCCACTCTCCTCCCAGGTGGCCTCCTAGGCCCATGGGTCCAAATCTCAGGTCCACAGCGCCTCCCGAAAGGCAGAGTCCAGTGGCAAATGCAAGGGCCCCAAGTGAGCCTGGGGCAGACTGGACGACACACGCCACCCAAAGCATCGCAAGCTCTCCCTGCGGCTTGGGCCAGAGGGGCAATGCCTCAGGTGCCCCCCAAGGCTTGCCAGATTAGAAAAACCACCAAGAAAAGGCAAGGTCCGTGGGCAGGAAGGGCCTGGCTGCGCGTGGGAGGGAGAGGAATCTGGGCTCTCTGGCACCCAAAAGCGACCCCAGCCACTGGTGCCAAGTCTCACCCTACGCTTGGGCTACGTGGGGAGCGGCTTCTGCAGAAGGCACGTGGTTTGAAAAAGCAGTCACCTTCCGCCAGAAATGTAGTCCCAGGGTCTAATTCTGTGTGATGCTGGTGGGAAGGAGGCTACTGAAAAGAACTGAAGGGTTGGAGACAGCCGGAGACCCCAGTGTCTGAGGACTGAGGGTGAGGCTGCGGGTGAGGATGAGGGTGAGGGTGCGGGTGTGGGTGGGTCCTCACCCGCACCCTCATCCTCACCCGCACCCTCACCCTCACCGTAGCCTGAAGGGCCAGCAGGGGCCAGAGAAGGCAGCAGGGTCCCCAGGACCAGGTTGTTCTTTGTAGTCCCAGTCTGCTTCCTCTGCAGAGGCCCACAGGAGGACACGCCCAGAGTCTGTTGTCCCAGCAGCAGGGCCAGTTTCCTCCTCACACCCCTGGCAGGGCCAAGGCTCAGAGTCACCCAGAACCTGTTAACCTAGCATGTGAGTTACTGGCACCTCCCTCCCTGTTCAAGGGGTGCAATCCCCACGTGCCCATTCCAACAAGTGGGCAAGACCCAGATCCTGCCTGAAGTCAGCTGACACTCAGCAAGCTCACTGGGGGGCCAGACAGTGGTCCATGTCCCAGAACGAAGGCAACAGCAAGGTCTGAGGACTGTCCCATGTCCTTGTCCAAAAGCCAACAGTGTGCACCTTGCCACTTGCAAATGAGGCAGTCATGTGGCTCGTGAGGGAACGTTTTGTGGCCTCTGTCCACAGCCCGCTTGAGGAAGCAGGAGGGCTGGCCTGGCGTGGCTCTCTCCCAGAGCTCCAAGGGCCCTGCTCCCTCCTGCCCCCAGCACCAGGCTGCACGTTGGCTTTTCTGTGGCTCATCTCTGACCACCTACAACCATCTGCTGGGGAGAGCACCAGGACCCAACACGTTCCAGTGGACGAGTCCAGGAAGCCAGGAATGTATATTGGCTCAGCAGTACCCACCCCAGAAATGGATTAACACTCATGGAGACATCCGGATCGAAGACCTTGTAGGCACAATACTAAGCTCGATGAGTTAACTTTTCATTCTACAATGGGCTGAGAAAAATTTTGCCATTTGGAAGTCAGACCGACCTGGAGCCAAAACTGCAATGGGGCTTGGTCAAGCCAAGGGGCCCATCAGAGCCCCGAGGAGAGCCGGCCTCTCTGGGCTTAGTCTAGCAAGGAGAGCATGTCCATCCACCTGGCCACCCTTCACCTGGCCCAGCCTGCCCTGCCTGCCACGTGCCCAGCCAGCTCTCCACCATGGGAGGGACTTGCCCAGCACCTGCTTTAGGGGCCACACCCAGTGAGCTACAGATTAGGTCACGGCCACTCGGGAGGGAAGCTCCCTCATGAAGAATTTTCCAGGCACCACCTGCTGACCTTGCCCAGCAGGAAGGCAGGACACAGCCTGCTGAGGGCGGTCAGGGCAGCCTGGCTGTGGTCAGCGTCCAGGTCTCACCGAGTGGCCGGCCTCTGCCCTGGCTCCCTCCAGCAGCACAGAGGGAAGTCGGGCTGTGTGGTCTCGGCCCGAGCAACATCCTACTGGTGTCCTGCGATCACTGACAACCCAGAACAGACACTCTGGCCCAGTAACCGCAGGCCCAGCTCTTGGGACGCTGTTCTGGGTCTCCGGCCTGACCCTGCAGTCGCCTTTTGCCTCTTTAAGAACAGAGTCGTAAAACAGGAGCCCAAGCCTGGATCAGACAAACCTGGAGTCAGACCTCTTCAGCACTTACAAGCTGTGTGGCCTAGAGTCAATCACTTAACCTCTTGGTGCCTCAGTTTACTCATCTATAAAGTGGGAGTGATAATGGCCACCTCGTGGGGTTGCTAGGGACTGAATGAGACGATGCTCAAAGCAGGGGTACCATGCCCGGCACATTCCAGCACTCAACACCTAACCCCTGCTGTCACTGTCCTTGTCATTATTACCAGATTCACAAGCGGAGCCGGCTAAGGCCAAGGAGCTGTCCTCTGAGATCCATTTGCTCCCGCTGCTGGGAATGAAAACGTCGCTGACACCGGGCTCTGCAGAGCCAGTTTCTGATTAGATGGAGGTAACCCAAGTTCCAAAAACCACAGCTGAGGAGCAGCAGCTGACAAGCTGGTTGCATGGATGTGGAAAACTACCGCGTTCCAGCCGCCTCCAGACAGAAACAGGACGCATAGCCAGGTCCCACGGCAGCTCCAAAGAGGGCCTTGCACGCCAAGCGGGGCACCCCCCAGCCTGAGGGTTCACCAACCACGCGGACCACGCGGAAACCTAGCTGGGCTTCTCTCTCCCCTCGGGGCGCCAGTGCGGGAGGCGGTTTCTCCCTTGGAAGTGGAAGTCAGATCTGCTTCCAGGTTCCCGGTCTAGGGCCGGTCTAGGGCAGCTAAGCCTGCCTGCTCCTTCCTTTCCATCCTCCCTGGTCAGGGGAGCCCAACAGCAACGCGAGGGCACCCGACCCTCTGCCTGCACCTGGAGGGCGCCCGGGTCCCCCCAAGCCACGGCCAGGACGTCGCGTGGTGGGGCAGGGAAAGGGGCGCCGCCGCTGCTGGAAACTAGCCCTGTGCGCTCCGCCCGCGCTCCCCTCCCGGAGATGTCTCGAGCGCCTCTGGCGCGAACAAAGCCCGGCCGCCCCCGAGAAACTTCCGTGCATGAAGGTTTCCTCCTTGACTCGGCAGCAGCGGCCGCCGCAGGTGGGTGACTCCGCAACTCTGGAGCTCCGCGGAGGCGCGTTCGTCCCCAGCTGGATCTGTGGGGCCTGCGCCTGCGCGCGCTCCGGGCCACCTGCCCAGGTCACCTGCCCCGGCCACTCCGACAGTCCCTGCCAGGGCCGCAGCCCCTGCTCACCCGCTTCCCCCCGGCACCCGCTGCAGCGTGGGGCCCCTTCGCCTCGGTCCTCCTGCGGGCGACTCGGGAGCTCCTACCTGCGCAGCCGGCGGCGGGAAGCGGCGAATTTGGCCTCCGATTCCGCTCGGTCCTGCCCTCCCCCGCGGAGAGGCTCGGGGCGCTCGGCCGGTGCCCAGGCCTCCCGCCCCCGCGCGCATCCCCCCGGCGCTCCAGCCCCTGCCCACGATGGCGGCACCTGCCGCGCTCCTACGCCAGCAGGTCGGGCCCTGTGCACCCGCGCCAGCTCCCCGCTCCCCGCGCACTCACCGTCCCCGTCTCGAGGGCCCGGCCGCCGCGCCGCGCAGCGCTCCACGCTCTGGCCTCCCCGGCAGCCACGCGCCGCTTCATTCATCCGCTGGGGCCGCCCCCGCCGCAGAGGGAGGGGCGGGGTTTCCTGCGCGGGGCCCGCCTCACCCCCCACGGCCAATGGCAGCGGCGACCGCCCCCTCCTCCCCCCCAGGGCACAGAGGCGGGAACGCGCGGCGGGGGACCAGGGCGTCTCTCTCCGGAGCGCTGCCGCCTCCTGGACTCCCCGCTCCAGCTCCAAGGACCGGCATCGCTGCCGCAGCCGGGAGGCCGAGAACGCGCGGTGGCGACGCCGCCCCAGGCCACGCGGCGAGGCGGTTCCGAACGGACTCGGGATTCGCTCCTGGGCGCTGTGGGGCCGAGTGGAGCCAAGCGGCCGTTTTTCAGCTCCGCCCTTCCGAAAGGCTGCCGCAGGGTCGGGGCCACGTGGGGCCCGCGGCAGAGGGGCTGGGGGAACGCCACGGGCGGCCCTGGTGAAGGTGCCCGCCGGTCTCGGCCTGACCCCCAGGCCCTGTTCTGGCACGCGCCCCACCTGCGCGCACAGTGAGACCGGCGCCCTAGCCTGGGAATCCGGGGAATCTCCAGCCCGTTGCCTTTTCCATAACCCCGTCTTCTTTTTCACACTAGCTCTGAGGGTGGAAGGCAGGGAGGTGCCAGCCACGTTCCCTTCCACAGAGGGAACTCCCTGTTGGAATTCCTACCCCGGCTTCCTGCCGTCTGTCCTGGAACACATTGCTCCAGGCCTCCGAGCCTCAGTTTCCTCGTTTGCAAAATGGGGGCGATAACAGAGCGTCCTCAAAGGGGATAAGACGGAAGAAGTTGGCTCATATCAGGGCTCATAATTGTTGCCAAGTATTAACAGGTAACCACAATCACACTCCACAAAGCTTCCCTTTTAGTGTCAGTGAAATTAATTTAAAAGAAGTTTCCGAAAGTCAAGTGTGTGTGTGTGAATCCTGAGATAAGTCAGGTAAGGGGGGAAATGACCACCTCACGGCCCCAGGCTGGTGAGGAAGTCCTAGCCACGGAGGCGGTGCTGCAGGACCTGGCCTGGTGGCATAGCGTGGCGGGCGGGTTCACCGTGGAGAGACGAAGGAGGTGCTGCGGCTTGTGAGAAAAGGCCCACAACCCCATGCAGTTATTTATGAAATGGTTTTCCTTCCTCCAGGGCTTGGGGCTCCTGCCCACTCGTATCAGGTCCCGGGACCCCCCCGGTGGTGTCCTCAGGGCTCCCGCCGTCCCAGGCCGCCCTCCACTTCTGGAAGCAGACACGAGGCCACGAGACCCACTGCTTTTGGGTATCTGCTTTCATTCCTGACACTGCCCTTTAAGAGAAAAAAGTACCCACATTGTTCCCAGATGGAGAGGGTCCCTCCCAGAGGGTGAGGCACTGCCACAGGGGCTCACGGCCCTGCCAGGAGTGGAAGGTGCACACCCAGAAGTATTTCTCCTGTGAAGGAAGGGGGCTGAGCTTCGCTGCAGACCTGGCCTCAGGTGTGGATGAGCTTCGCTGCAGACCTGGCCTCAGGTGCGGAGTCTGCGGGAGCAGCATTTCCAGGCAGACCTGACAGAAGGTGCCTTTGAGAGGTGGTGAGCTCCGTGTTACAGGAGGCTTGTGAGCACAGGTAGCCCATCTTCTGGTGATGATGCTGGAGAAGCAATTCAAATGTCAGAAGCAGGACTGGACTCTGTTTCCAAAACTCACGTCTGGATTCTACCCCCTGAAAACATTATTTACACAATGTTTTTCCTTTAAACAATTCACACATTTGATTAAAAGGGTAAGTTTATTTTTTAAAAAGTCAGTGTCAATTACCACAAAGAGGTCACCATAAAAATAGATAAAAAGAAACAAAATGGCATTAAATTCTAGCCAAATATTGCTGCCTGTGGAGGGCTCCCGGCCTGAGACCCGCCTCAGACCCCACCAGGCATTCTTTGGGATTCCTGCATAGGCACCATTGGAAAGGTAAATCCAGAGCAAACATTTCAGGTACATTCGTGCAAAATGCAGGCCCTCAGTCCTGTCCTCAAAGGCAAATGCTGGTGCCCAGGCTCCTCAAGAGGCCCCTAGGAGCACCAGGAGGCCTTGACCCAGGTGAAGGGTCCTGCCGCAGGCCATCAAGGGGGTCTGCAGGTCTGGCCCAACTCCAGGCCCTGCGTGGTGGGGTCCATCTGCACCAGCTTTCGGGAGCCGACTGTGTCCTTACTCTTGCCCTAGAGGACTCGGGGGTCAGCTACAGAGCACAGCAGTGTCTTGGAACAAGGGCAGCCTGATTATGTGCCCTGGAACATTCTGAACTCAATAAGTTCTATCCCAGCAGGGCTTTTTTTCTTTCTTTTCTTTTTTTTTTTTCTTTTTTGAGAGGAAATAATTAAAAGAAAAAGAAAGCGAGAACCCCCTGGCTCCCCTGTGGCCTTGCAGGGTCGTACTGCTGCCTGTCCGGGCGGCTTCAGGAGGCTCGGAACAGATGCTGCACATTTGTGGGCCACTTACTGTTCTCTGACATCATCTTTAGAGGCACCTCAAAGAGCTGAAATGTGACAGCCTGTATTTCCACCTCCCTCTCTCTTTATGGACATTGTCACTTGGAGGAAAATCGATCTAAAGATCAGAAGAGAAGTGTAGAGAGAGAAGAGAGAGAAACGCTGTCAGGTCAAGGGGCAGGTTAATGGCCAACCCAGAAACAGCGTGGGATCCCGGTGCCTCTGCCTGGAGGGTCCAGCCTGGAACACACATCATTCCTAGCTTTGACCAGGAATGGTATCCAAAAAATGACCTCACTTAGCTATTAGTACTTGATTGGGATAATACTTAAAATCCTGCTAATATTTCTGTGGTTGCTTCCATTCTGTAGTCATAGTTCATTTCTATTTTCTATGAATTTGGCGTATGTCTTAGCCAACTCATTTGAAACTGCCTGTCCTTCCTTGACTTATAAAAAAATGGCCATTTCAGCTTCGTGATAATGGGCAAGTCTCAGAAATGATGAAAACATCATTTAATTGTTTCATTATTTCAAAGTCTCAGGCTGTGGCCATGTGGTGGAGGCTCTAGAGAAAGTTTCTAAAAAATATTTTAAAAGTTACGACTGCACTGTTTTGCATGAGAAAGAGGATTTTGCTAAAGATTGAAGGCGATCGGGCTGCAGGCGAAATGTGGCTTGAAGTCCCCAGCTCCAGAGTGGCACGTTTCAGTCTGTTAAATGCTGTGTTCAGGTGAGGAGTTAGGATCATGGTACAACCCAGATGTGGGCTGGCGGCTGGCACACAGCTTAGCAAAGAAGAGACGCACAAGGCCAGAGTGGCCTTAGGAAAAACTCAGCCTGGAGTTGTCCAAATGTCCGCGATGGAGGAGTTTCATGGGGGAATTAAGATTGTCAGGTTAGGGAAGGGCACAGGTAGCTGGGAGGCTCTTTGGTAGCAAAATTCCATAGAAGATAAAAAGCATGTTCTCTCTTGGAAATCATCAGTCCATCCTGTCGGAGCCCCTTTGGAGCAGGGTGTGGCTGGAGGGCCTGGCTTGCTGGCCACGCCTCAGTCACAGCATTGGCTTTCCTGCGCTTCTGCTTCCTGCTCTTCCCGGTGATCTGCGTCCTGCGGGGCGCACAGCAAGCCCTCCGTGGGACGAAGATCTTCGTCTTCCATCCACGCTGCTTTGCTCACCTGCGACATGACCTGAGGCTCTGGCCCTGCTGAGCTGGGCCCTTGGCCAGTGCTGTACAAACGCCATCCACCATCTGGTGACAGCAGCCTAGCAATTGACCAACAGAGGCCTCCCACTGTCCTCCCTCCTGCCGCCCTCCCTCTGCATCTCCCAGAGCAGGACGACTCCAGGGAGACAGACTCAATTCAATCTTTTTCTGTTTCAGAGAATCTGTCACCATTAAAAGCAGCTACCAGGGAATCTGATTCCATTGCACCAGGTCTCAGGTCTCAGGTCTCAGGCGTTCTTCCAAAATGCTGGTGGATGGTGGGCTCTCGCCCTGGGATTATAGATGCCCAGATAAACCATATGTAAATAACACTGCATTTAACCCGCCGACAAAGGGTGGCCTTCTTGACGGTGGTGAAGGAAGTTTTGACCCAGGAGAACAGAGGTCGTCATTCACAAGCACTAGGGTCCGGTGAAAGCACAGGCTTCAGCGTCTGGACAGGCAGCTACATGACGGTATCATGTTCTCTTTAGAAGCCACCAACTGATTCCTGTGTGTTCAGAGCCTGCTGTTAGAGATTAGGTGTGGGGTAGAAAAAATTGGAATCTGGACTTCCCTGCCTGGCGAGATGGCCCTGAGCTCTGAGACATGACCTGAGGACACCTGGAGTGCCCTGAGTTCCAGGGGACACATAGCAGCCAAGTGGGGAAGAGGCCACTGAATGCCGGTGGCTCCGTGGCAAAGGCACATGGAGCTGTAGGAAGAGACATGCTGGGGCCCCCAGCACCTGGAGAGCAGCAGCCCTGTCCACACCTGGGGCCTTGGCTGCCCACAGCCTCTCTAGAAGGGTCATCTGAATTTCACTGGTGATCTGCTTGTGAGGTCTTCTGCATACACTCTTACTTACAAAGAGGCAAACGTCTGCCAGCCCAAGGGCTTCTGGAACTGCCTCGGTCTGCCTGGCTCCTGAGCCTCCCCGCGGGTCTGGGGGTGGAGGTGTTCACAGGGTTCACTTGGCTGAGACCTCACATTCTGGAAGGGCCTCGTGTTAGGTGAGTGATTATCTTAGCTTCCAATACAACTGTGCATGCAGTCCGGACCCGCCGAGGCACAGACCCATCAGGTCTTCTGCTAACTCTCATCCCGGCCCACCCAGCATGACTAGCAAGATTATATTGCATTGAGAGTGTTTACAGTAAAAGCGTTAAATGTAATCATTTACCTTGTTGGCGATTGTTTGCAGCCCTCTTTGAGCATTCATTCCCTCATGTTTCATTTGCTGAGACTTTGGCAAATGGAAGTGGGCAGTCCCTGTCCCCATCTCCAGGGCCCTGCCTTGGCACCTTCCCCACCAAGCTGACACCTCTGTGAGCTTCAGAGAAGCTAGAAGCTTTGGAGCTTTGTCCAAGGACATGGACACCCCATTGCAGCCTCACTCACTTGGGGGTGAAAGGAAGGTGACCTGCCCAGCCCTTTCAAAGTTCCCTGACAATGTGCAGAGCTCCCTGGCTGTGTGCAGAGCTCGCTGACCGTGTGCAGAGTTCCTGGCTGTGTGCAGAGATCCCTGATGGTGTGCAGAGTTCCTGGCCGTGTGCAGAGCTGGCTGACCATGTGCAGAGCTCCCTGGACGTGTGCAGAGATCCCTGGCCATGTGCAGAGCTCATTGTTGGGGGAAGTCAGGTGATAGAACCCAGAGGCACAAAAACAGGGATGCCCACAGGTCCCTGAGATTCCTTCTTGGGCGGTGTCTGCTGTCCCCAGGGTCCCGTGACCGTGGAAGGCACCATGACCATGTCCATCTTGTGCCAACCTGCTCTGCCCTGGAACATGTTGCCCAGGGCCTGGGTGGACTGTCAGAGCTAGTGAACGATATTTAAGCCTACACAGGGGCAAGGAATCTTCCAGAACTTTCTGTGTTTAGGTGCCACGCAGTCAGCATCCTGCAGGCAAGCCGGACCCTTTCCCACGTAGGAGACTCACAGAATTTTCATCTTCCCCATCACAAGGTAGAAATGGGCTTTTCTGGCTCACTGAGAGGCCTGGATGTTCTACTTAAACCCCAGGAACGTGGAGCTCTAGAGGAGATTAGAAGAGCCAGCTCAATTTCCTGACCCCAGATGGTTTGTTCCATCTGCAGGAAGGGGGTGGCTCCTGCGTACGGGGCCCAGGGCTGAGTCGGCGGCGCGTGCTGCACCTCCCTGGGGTGCCTTCCTGGGCTCTCTCATCCCCCGGCCACTCCTCTGGCTGGCGCTGGAGCCAGGCCTGCTGGGCCCCTTTGTGCCGTCACCCGTCACAGAGCCTCGATTCCCCCAGACATGCTCCCCGCAAATCCTTCCAGACGCTCTAGCCAAGCGGCTGAGGTTGTCAGAAAACCTGGGCACTCCCAGCGTCTGTGGGGCCACCTCCCCTCCCTACCCGCACTGCCCTCCCCTCCTCCGCTGCCCTCCTGGGCAGACGCCCACCCCGGCCCCTGAAGAGGCAGCCACATCCCCCTTTCCTTCCCAGGGCTTATCCTGTTCCCTGTCTTTCCATCCAAGCCCCCACACCAGGTCCCCCGTCCTAAAATGCCGTGAATTCAGTCTGTTCGCTCCATTCGCTCTGCTCCACTGAGGCACCCCTGGGAGAGCAGCTTCCTCTGGAAAAAGTGTCCCCTGCTTCTCAAGTCCTCACCCCACCGTCACCTACTCCGCCTCGGCAGCCTTCAGGGCAGGCCTAGCCCCGGCCACACCCTGGCTTCTGTGGCCGTCTGTGTCCTGCACAGCCCCCGGTCATGTCTGCAGCGAGGCATTCTCCACGTTCTGGGCTCAGAGAATCCCATGCCCCAGCCCCTCCTCAGGTCCAGCCCCATCTGCAGCCTTCCCCCTGCTGCCTGCAGGCGCCCTCCTCTTCCCCCACGGGCTGCGGGCTTCGGGCTGCGGGCTGCGGGCTGCGGGTGGACTGTGGGCTCTGTCTCTCCCTCTCTCTCTCTCTGCCTCTGTCTTTCTCTCTGCCTCCTCTTTTTGTCCCGGGAATTTTATTTTCGCAAAAGCAACATTACACAGTATTAAAGGAAATTTTTAAAGGAGAAAATTTGCTGAAGGCCCAAGGACATGAGTCCAGCAGCGATTTTCCTATTTTCCGTATTTTCTTCTGGCCTTGCCCGATGGTAGCCACATTGATGATGCCAGCTCTGGAGACGGCCTCGCCTCTGTACTGTGTGGTCTGCGTTTTCCACAGAGCTACAGCCTCACACCGACAGCCATGGCCACACTCCTGTGTGGGCACACGGCTCGCGGCCATCTTCCCGGTTTCATCCACGCAGGCTGACATGTTCGTGCTGTTCCTTGTCCTGGAGAAACGTCTCAGAGGTCCCCGGAGGGAGCTGGCAAAGGTGACATCAGCAAGGATTGGGTGTGGGGTAACCTGCCAGGGCCTTTTGGGAGAATAACCTGACATTGCCTGTCATCAGATGGAATGCACGCGACCCTGGCTCAGCAAACTGCAAACAGCCTGGAGTCTGCCTGTGGGGAGCGGTCGAGTGAGTGACAGGTTGGGAGTGGTGGGCATTATTGAGGGAGAAATGCTCAGCCTTGCTGCCATCCCAGAGAGCAGGCTGCACCGCAGCTTGGGGCCCTGAAACCGTGGTGCTCTTTCAGGGAGGGGGGCACCAGCCGACAGCCCAGTGGGGAGGGAGGGACACAGGGCAGCGGGACAAGGTGCCACCTTCTAAACGCTCCTCACTTGGTCCACTGAGCACCTATTTCTTTGTCTTAAAAAGTCCACCGAGAGAGAAGCGCTGTTTCTTTGGATGGGCCTGTCCTAAGGCAGGGTGCATTCCTCCCGAGTGGGTGCCGGCTCCCCGGGTGGCCCCTTACACCCAGCAGGAATCACCACAATCACAGCCCAGGGCACATCTGTCCCGAGCCAGGCCCCACCACACCAGGCATCTCCCAGGATGGTCCGTCAGGGGCTGGGAAGACGGGGCCTCCAACCCGCTGGTGCCTCCCACCCTCACTATCCGTCTCTGTCTCTGTCTCCCGCCCCTCCTCCACCTGACCAGAGGTGTCACCATCCAACACACAGCTCAGGCCCTCCCTCTCTGCCACCCCCCAAACCCCGCTGACCCCTGTCCAGGACTGCCCTTGGCCAGCATGCCCCTGGGTTCCCCCGCTCAGTCCAGGAGGCTCATGCCCCCAGCACCCCTACTACCACCAGCAGGAGGACGCCGCTGAACCCCAGGCCTGGAGCCCCCAGAGAAGCTGACCCACCCCTCACAACCCCGTGGCTCTGGGTAGGGCCTCTGGATGGGGGTGGGGTCCCAGGAGAGGGAGGCTCCCGGCAGGCAGGGCAGGCTAGGCCAGGTGACATGGGACAATTTCCGGGAGAAAATAAGGGGGTACGCTAGGAGCTTCAGGGAGACCGTCCCGGGGCCGGAGGCTGGGGGCCTTGGCTGGGCCTGGTTGTTCTCAGCCAACTTCCCCTTCTCCTGGGCTGGTTCTGAGTGTCAGACTGGGGCACTTGGCATTTGGTGGTGCCCCAGCCTTGCCTCTGCCCCCCCTCCCTTGAGGACCCCACTCCCCGAGCCTGGAAGCGCTTCCTGTGTCTGAGGAGCTGCAAGGGTCTTGGTTCATTCTCGCCTCCTGTACTGACGGCACATCCTCTTGATCTTAGCCAATGACGCCTGAGTGGCTGCTGCCTGCGCCAGAGCTGCAGGGGAGGCTCGGTGCTGGGAAGAATGCACGTTCCAGGGCCCTCTTTCAGCCTCTCTCAAGCCTGAATTTGGGAAGACTGCGGCCAGTAAGGGCAGCCAACAGGGCCGCCCCCGCCCCCCGCCTCACAGCCCCCGACTCCCTGCCTTCTGGGAACTTCAGGTTTCAAATTTTAATTAATTCATTTTTTAAAAATCCACAGGTAAAAATGCTCCATAAAATGTTCCACATGGTTTCCGGCGCGCGTGCGCTCTGTGAAATGGCTCGAGAAGCGATTAGCACGACCATCCCTCACATACTTACATTTTTTTGTGGTGAGAACATTTAAAGCCCACTCTTTCCAGTTCTTAAGTATGCATTAATAGCTGTAATCACCATGTTGTACATCAGAGCTCCAGAACTTACTCATCTTAGAGCTGAAACTTTGTGCTCTCTGGCCGGCGTCTCTGCTGCCCCCTCCAGCCCCTGGTAAACACCCTACCGCTCTGGATTTCATGAGTTCAACTTGAATTTTAGCGTCCACGTGTAAGTGAGAGCACGCAGTATCTGTCTGTCTGTGCCTGGCTTATTTCACTTGGCATAATGTCCTCCACGTTCATCCAGGTTGTTGCAAATGACTGAATCTCATTCTTTTTTGTTTTTTGAGACGGAGTCTTGCTCTGTCACCCAGGCACCATCTCAGCTCACTGCAACCTCCGCCTCCCGGGTTCAAGCGATTCTCCTGACTTAGCCTCTGAGTAGCTGGGATTACAGGCATGTGCCACCACGCCCGGCTGATTTTTGTACCTTTAGTAGAGATGGGGTCTCACCATGTTGGCTGGTCTCGAACTCCTGACCTCAGGTGATCTGCCCGCCTTGGCCTCCCAGAGTGCCGGGGTTACAAGCATGAGCCACCGCGCCTGGCCTGAATCTCATTCATTTCTATGGCTGAGTAGTACTCCGCTGTGTATCTACACTACATATGTAAAATTCACTCATCTGCCATCGGACTCTTCCATATCTTGGCAGTTGTGGGCAGTGCAGCAGTGAACACGGGGGTGCTGATGTCTCCCCGAGGTGCAGAGTCCACTTCCCTTGGGTGCCTCCCCAGCAGAGGGATTGCTGGATCCTAGGACAGTTGTATTTTTAATTTTTTGACGAACTGCCATAGTGTTTTCCATAATGGCTGTACTAATTTACATTTCCACCAACACTGCACCAGGGTTCCTCTTGTCCACATCCTCCCCAACGCTGGCTGGCTTTTGTGTTTTCATAATTGCCCTCCTAACAGGTGTGAGGCAATAGCCCATTTGGTTTTGATTTCCATTTCCCTGATGAGTGCTGATGGGACACTTTTGTCATATGCCTGTTTCCCATTATCCTGTCTTCTTCGGAGAAATCTCTGTGGAGGTCTTTGACCTGCCTTAAAATTGAGTTCCTTATTTTCTTGCTGGTGAGTCCCACATGTATCTGGATGTCCATTCCTTATCAATGTATGACTGGAAACATTTTCTCCTGCCCGGAGGAAATATTTGTTTTCCTCTGCTTGTTTCCTTTGCTGTGCTGAAGCTGTTTAATCTGATGCTGTCTCGCGTGTGTGCGTTTGTGCTGCCTTTGTTTTGATGTCATATTTCCAGGGATTTCTTAAAAGTGCACCTGCACTCACCGTTGATGGGAACGCATGACGGTGCGGCCACTGTGGAAAGCATTAGGGCTGTTTCTCAAAAAATTAAAAATTAAATTCCACTTCTGGGTATATACCTCCCAAAACTGAAAGCAAGGGCACGAAGAGATATTCGTCCATCCCTATTTGTAGCAGCCATATTCACAATCACCAAAGGTGGACACAACACGGTGTCTCCTGACAGATGCATGGTCCATCCACACAAGGGGATATCACTCAATCTTAAAACCAAAGGAAGCTCTGACACCTACTACAACATGGAAAGACCCTGGGGACATACTGCTCAGTGAAGTAAGCCAGTCACAAAGGGACAAGTACTGCATGATTCTACTTACAGGAGGTCCCTAGTCAAGTTCACTGAGCCAGACAGTAGGATGGGGGTTGTCAGAGGCTGGGGAGAGGAAAAAGGGGGAGTTACTGTTTACTGAGTATAGAGTTTCAGGTGTGCAAGATGGAAAGTGTTCTGGAAATGGATGGTGGTGATGAATTCACGTTGTGAATGGGCTCGGTGCCACTGAACTGTACCCTTCAACATGCCAAAGGCAGTGATGGCTGCAGCATGTGGAGTGTCTGGAGCGGCTGCTGCCATCACACCAGCTGCAGCAGGAAGGTGCCGGCAGTGGTGGCAGGAGTGGCTGCAGGAGCAGCAATGGCGGTGATGAGATCCCCGTGCCCCACGTCCCCGAGGCAGCCGACTGCACCACCCCCACCCTCACACAGCCGGGCAGGACCCACTCCCAGGCCCAGGGCCTCCACCACGGCCTCAACCTCACTCCCCACTGTGTCTCGGGAACCCCTGAGCACTTGGTGGAAGGCACAGCGGGACTTGCGGGGCCGGCCCCGAGTGTGTCGGGTTCATTTGTGCAAAGGTGGTTGAGACCACCTCGCCACCTGCACTTTGCCCACTGCCACTGCAGGGAAGACACGGAGAGGAGGCAGGCAGTCCCCACTCCTGGGACCCCCCACCCCACCGAGCCGGCTGCCCCTGGGAGCCACCGCAGTGGGGCTGGGCCAAGTCACCCACTGGCAGGAAAGCAGCATGGTTGGACATGGAGGGATGGGCAGAGAGGGGTCCTGAGGCACAGCTGGCCCCCAGGGTGGTGCCACACTCCACAGAGTTGGCCAGAGCTCCCCAGGCACAACTGCGGCCACCCAAACCGCAGCTGCAACCTGGTCACCCCGTGCTCTGGGAGCTGGGAGCAGGCAAGAGCTCCACCCTCCCGGGCATAGCTACGGCCTCCCAAGCCATGGCTGTGGACCCAGGCATCCCTGCACTCTTGGGAGCCCGGGAAGGCCCCCCTGTCCCCACAGGCCCAGAAGTGCTTCCCACTGTCTGACTTCCCACTGTCGGCACCAGCCCTGATCATGGAGGAAAGCTGAGGCTGAGCCTGGGCACTGTTGCAGCCTGGCCAGTTGTGCGTGCATTTGGGGCAGCGCTCACATGCCAGCCCCCTGCCACCTCAGCCCCCTCCAGATTTTGGGCGCCAATGAGCATGTGAGGGTGGTCGAGGGAGATGCTGAGGGCAGCTTGGTGCTGAGCTGCAGGTGCCCCTTGGCACAAACAGCCTGGGTGCAGTGAACAGCAGCAGACAAGCTCCCTGGTGGAAAGGGGTGAGTCCCTGGTGAAGACCCACCTTTAAGCAAGGGAGGGCCTGAAACCTGGGGGCTGGGCTGCTGGTTCCATGGACCAGACTGGGAACTTGTGGTGCTTTTTCCAGGCCCGTCCATGGCCACCCATGGACCAATCAGCATGCACTTCCTCCTCTTTGAGGCCCATAAAAAGTCCCAGACTCAGCCAGACCAGAAAAGATGATGGGACAACCAGCTGCAGAGAGGACCTGCCCACGGCGGGTCTCCTCTGAGCTGTGCTAACACTCAGTAAGGCTCCTCCTCATCTTGCTCACCCTCTACTTGTCTGCATACCTCATTCTTCCTGGTCGCAGGACAGGAACTTGAGACCCACCAAATGGCGGGGCTGAAAGAGCCGTAACACAAAACACCCCTGCTCAGCACGTTGAGGGTGACAAGAAGGAGAGAAGAGAGAAGGAGAGAAGAGCTGTGGCCTTCCGGGGAGCCCAGACCTAGGCGCTCCCGGAGCCAGGGCTGTGACACCCTCTTTAGGGCTCTGCAGTTCCTGGTAGCTCCAAGCTTCCAGGCACCACTGCGTTCCCTGGTGTCAGCCATGGAAGCTGATTATGGTCCGCCTGGTCCAGCTGCAGCCTCACAGGGAGCCGGTGCCCATGCTGGTGTCTGGAGCTGCCCGCCCCGCCACAGCTGGCATGGCTGGCTGTGAACAGTGGCCGGATCCCACGCTCACTCACACACCCCTTGCCACTCCATGCCCGGCTCACCCTCAGCAGGTGTGGGATCCAGGCTGGTAGCATGAGCCGAGTGCAGCCTGCCTGGCTGAGTGGATGGAACAAGCCTAGCAGGCCCCAGCAAAACTCGGGCAAAGTCACCAGCAGTCACAGAGGCTTCTAGCTGGCAAAGCGACACCCCAGGATCCCGTAACAGTAGGAACTTTTACGTGATGTGTTTTTAAAAAACATTTTATAGTTTTAAAAAATACGCCTGAAGACAGGGCTCCTCCACACTGCTGGTGGGATGCAGAAGGTGCTGTGTGCGGAAGTGTGGCAGCTTCCTCCCAAGTGGAACAGGCACCTGCTGTAGGATCCAGCAAACCGGCTCAAAGAAAAGTAAGACCTCACATCCACACAAAGCCTGAACAGAAATGTGTACAGAGGGGTTATTCGGAACTGCCCCAAACTGGAAACAACCACACGCCCTTTCCCCGGGCACGGATGGAGAAACAGGAGCATCCACACAACACAGCAAGACCCTGTTGCTCTGTCACTCACTTTGCTTACACATTTATTTGTTTATTTAGAGATGGAGTCTCACTGTGTCACCCAGGCTGGACTGCAGTGATGTGATCTCGGCTCTCTGCAACCTCTGCCTCTCGGGTTCAAGTGATTCTCCTGCCTCAGGCTCCCAAGTAGCTGGGACTACAGGCATGCACCACCATGCCTGGCTAATTTTTGTATTTTTAGTAGAGACGGGGTTTCACCATATTGGTCAGGCTGGTCTCAAACTCCTGACCTCAGGTAACACACCTGCCTCAGCCTCCCAAAGTGCTGGGATTACAGGCGTGAGCCACCGTACCTGGCCTTACACCTTAATTTAAATACCCTGTATATATATATAGCTTACTTTATATAATACCCTGTTTTTATATATATAAATAATATCCTATTTATATATATATACACACACATATAAGTATATTTGTGTGTGTGTGTGTATATACCTTACTTTAAAAATGATTTTTAAAAACTGCCTGCAATGGGCACTTGCTTTGTGTGGCACAGGCTGGAGCAGTGTGTGCAGCTGCTGAGATCACAGGCTTGGGATTAGCAGACTTGGATGGGATTATTGACTTTGAGAGATACCTGCTGTGTGACCTTGGGCAAGTGTATTAATTTCTCTGAGCCTCAGGATTTTCATCTTTAAAATGAAGTTAATAAGAACATCAAGCTCATAGGGCTGTTGGGAGCACCGATGCCACGACACATAGAAAGGGTTCTGCCTGGCAGGCTTGGGGCCAGGTAACCGTAGTGATCCATTCACTCCGCAAAGTGCATCAAGCCCTGCAGGGGGCTGGGTCTGGGCTCCAGGAATGTGGCTCTCCCAGGGCACTCGGGGAAGATGGATCAGAAAGATAAACATGCAAATAAACAAGCTGACTTTAAGTAGTGATGAGACATACAGGGAAATCTCACAGACCTACCTGGCCGGGGTGGGGGGTGGGTAGCACAGGCCTCTCCTAGGGGATGGCATTTAGGCAAAGACCCCAGTCATCAGTGGATGACTGGCCAAAGTATGCCCTAGGAGGGGGCAGCAAGAGCAGAGGCCCTGAAGGCAGGCACAGAGGCCACTGGAGTGGCCAGAACAGAGCAAGGAAGGGCTGAGGGGAGTTCCTGATCTCAGGGGCTACTGCGGATTTCGCTGGGGGGTCAAGTGGCCAAGAGGTTGTCTGTGCCTGGATCTTGGCCCTGGCCGGATGGCAGGTTTTACGCTTGGCTGAGTGAGGCAGGGGCCACTTCCTGGGCCTGGCTGACGCAGCTCCTAGTGGCAAATTATTCACAGCTGCATCAGATCAGGGAAATGGAAAAACCCCAAGAGTGCTAATAAACACTGTCATCATAACCCTCATTATTTATATCTCTAAATGGTCTGAGAGGTGTTAACTCGTGCAGTGGTTTGGATATGTCCCCCCATACGCTTGTGCTGGAAACTTAGGCCATGAGGGCAGAGCGAATGGATTAATGCCATTACCTTGGGAGTGGGTTCCTTATAAAAGGACGAGTTCAGCCTCCTCCTGCTTTCTCTCTCCTGCCTTCTCTTCTGACTTCCCCCATGGGGGGATGCAGCAAGAGGGCCCTTGCCAGACGCCAACCCTCAATCTTAGATTTTCCAGCCTCCAGAAGTGTGAGTCAATGCACTTCTGTTCTTTATAAATTATCCAGTCTGTGGTATTCTGTTATAGCAGCACAAAACAAATGTGGACAATTCCCTTTGAACAGGCCTCATTCCCAGTGATAGAGGCACTGTCTGGGGGTGTTCCTGCCTCCTGGGTCTTGGCTTGCCACTTCTAGGGGGTGAGCTTGGAGTATCAAAGCCTGTTTACACTGAGCCAAGACCCTCTCTTGCTTTGTAGGCAAACTACGATGATGATAGTGATGATGCTGGCAATGATGGTGATGGTATTGGTGGTGGTGATGGTTGTGATGATGATGGCTACCATGAGAATGGTGGTAGTGGTGGTGATGGTGATGATTGTGTTGAGGATGATGGTGGTAATGATGGTGGTGATGGTTGTAATGAGGGTGGTGGTGGTGGTATTGATGGTGGTGGTGATGGTTGAGATGATGGTGGTGGTGATGATGGTTGTGTTGAGGATGATGATGGGATTGGTGATGATGGTGATGGTTGAGATGATGGTGGTGGTGATGATGGTTGTGTTGAGGATGATGATGGGATTGGTGATGATGGTGATGGTTGAGATGATGGTGGTGGTGATGATGGTTGTGATGAGGGTGATGATGATGGGGTTGGTGATGGTGGTGATGGTTGAGATGATGATGGTTGTGGTGGTGGTGATGGTTGTCATGAGGATGGTGGTGGTGGTGATGATCATGGTGATGGTAATAGTTGAAATGATGAGGTTGGTGGTGGTAATGATGATGGTGGTAGTGATGGTGATAAGAGTTATGGTGATGATGACAATGACAATGATGTATGAAGGTCTTCCTCATGCCAGCCCTCCTCCCAACACATGGTAAAGAGCTCGAACTTTATCTAAAGAGCAACAGAGAACCGCAGAAATTTTAACTGCGTATGACATAATTTGATGTGTGTTCTTAGGAGATCTTGTGGCATGGAGAGGGACTGATGGAGACAGGAGACCAGGTAAGAGGTGATGGGCAGGAGGGGTGGCAAGGAGGCCACAGACTTGAGAAAAGTTTTGGAGCTAGGGCTCAGGACTCACTCTTAGGCCAGAGGTGGCAGACGAGGGAAAGAGGCCATTCTCGAGGTGAGGAGGACAGGTGGGGCAGGGAGAGCCAACTGGGGAAAAGCCGAAAAATTTCTGAGTTAGACAGGAAAACTCTGAGACACCTGCTGGGTGCCAGACGTGATAGTGGATCAGCAGCTGGACATGGAACTCTGGGTTTTGGGGGCAATTAGGCTTAGAGGTGAGAAATCCAGGGTCATCTGTGGAGGTGAGGTGGCATTTACCTAGACCAAGGCTGGTGCCCTCTGGGTGAGGCTGCTGGTGAAAGTGACCGTGGGCTGGAAGAGCAGGAGGGGGAGGGGGTGTTGGCACATTGCTTGTACCCTGGGGCTGCCAGCAGTGCCCAGGGAGCTTGAGGAGAGGCTATGACCTCTCCCTGGTGCCCCTCTGCCTGGGAGGTCAGTCCAGAGGCCAACACATGCTCAACGTCAGGAGGAAGCCCCTGGGTCCTGCCAACCCCACAGGCAGCCTGGGAGGCTGCACCCCGGGTGGTCCAGTGGATGAGGCAAGAGTGTGGGGGCGCCTCCTGCCCTGGGTTGGGACTGCGGTGGGGAAGGCCAGCTCGGTCTGGGAGCAGGCACAGCAGGCGGGAGCAGTGGCACCGCAGGGCAGGACTGTTCAGGAAGACGCCTGCCGGGTCACACCTCGAGGGCACCCGTCCCTGCCCTTCCTCTGGTTTCCCCCCTCAGAGCCTCAGCTTCCTAGCTCTGAAGGCAGCGGGACTGAACTGTGACCCAGAACCCCAGTAAGTAAGACACATATGAGCAGAACCACTGTGGTACACAACCCTGCCGGCCCCTTCCCCAGGCCCACAGACCCGCCCCAGGCACTGCAGGGCCAGTCTGGAATCCCTAAGGACCTGCACACCCAGTGTGAGGCCTTGGCGGGTCCTGAGGTGTCTGGAGCTGGAGGGAAGGTGCTGCGAAGGGAAAGGCACCCAGAGGGGGCTCCGGGGACAGAATGGGCTGCCTTGCAATTCACAGTGCCACCCACTCCATTGTCCGTCGGCTTGTCGCTCTGAACCAAGCAGCCCCTATGGGACCCTAGTGCGGCTCCACTGTGCCCTTGCTCATGCCTCGTTCCAGCTGAGATGCCCACGAGGGGCCGCCGCGCCTGCGGGACATGGGGTCCGGCCAAGTCAATGCTCCACCTGCCTCCAGAGGGTGAGACTTCCTGGGGATCCCGAGGCTGCTCCCATTTCATGGAGCCATGTTTTTCTTGTCTCTTCCGACGTCCCACATCACAACCCGTGTCCAGGCCCAGATGCCCCCGGCAGTGTGCGCACGTGCCCTGCTGAGGCTGGGGGCCGCTCCTCTCTCCGCGGCTTGGCATGGCTCTCCCGGGCTGACCACACCCTGGGCAGGGCCGGGCCCAGTGGTCGCCTGGCATGGCAGCTCACTCAGCCTGCAGCATGGTGCCCTGGCACAGCAGCTCAGCCTACAGCACGGTGCCCGCCACCCTCCATGGCCCCCTTGGCTGTGTCTTGTCTTGGTTCACGCAGCATTATCTTACAAGCTAAGGAATGAAAGGGTTGGAATTTCGCGGGGCTTGGTGGTGTGATGTGACTGTGATGATGAAGGAACATGCTCCTTGGCCACACGGAGGACACGGGAGAGCCACCTCTGGCCTGCGCCCACCCGCCCATCCTCGTGCAATGGCCCTGCTTGACTCAGCATTCGGAGGCCCGGGCCGCGTCGCTGCAGCCTCGTGCCAGTTCTTCCTCCACATCCCAGAGCATCACTGTGAACGGAAAAACCGAGCTCATCCCTGGGCCTTGGATTCACGTGTTTTTTTGCCGTCATTTGTGGGGAGGGAAAGCAAAGGCTGAGGTCTCTGTGTGCCTGAACCCGGAGCCCGTGCCTGGGCACACGCTCACCTGCCTGGTCCGGTCACTGCAGGCTCCGTCCAGGCCGACTCAGGTGACTCTCGGGAGCACAGGCTGCTGTTGTTCCCAGGACCCTGGCACTCCTTACAAAGACTTACTGAGTGGACAGCCTTGTTCCTCCCTCGAGTGGGGCGGACGTGCCCTTCCTCTCTGAGTAGACTAGGGGTTTGCTCTGTCCTTTTAAGCACCGAGTTCCGGCACAGTCTGCTCTTTCGGTAAAACTGGCAGAAGTGTGGTTGGATGGTCGTTTCCCTTTTTTGATGATGACATCTTTGGATAATAAAGAGCTTCTCCTAAAAATATCCAAATACAGAAGTACCTGGAAGCTGCTTAGGAGACAGGCTGGGCTCCTGGTCCTTCTGGGCCTCATCCTGGCTCTGAGGTGTGTCCATCAACACAGACAGATCAGGCCCCACAGCAGCCAGGGCCCTGGTCCCGCGTCCCTGCACGGGCCCCCGCGGGCACCACCTGGAGGCTGCAGGTGTCGCTGCCAGGGCCAGGGTGCACTGCACACTGGGTCCCAGGGGTCTCCACTAGAGGTGACACGCGGCCCTTCCAGCCACTTTCCATGGGCCCAAGCAGCCATGCGTGCCCCCCTACCCCTGGGGGAAGTCAAATCCTGCCCCTTGCTCTCAAGGAAGGGCAGGAATATAGGATCAATGTGGGAGGCTTTTGTCTTGGTTTGGGTCTGGTTTCATTTCAGGGGAAGCCACACTCCCTCTCATCTCCACAGTGGCTGGAGTCCTGCGACCTCAGGGCCGAGAGGAGACCCGGGCGGGATCATCACAGCTTCCCAGGTGCTCCTGCCAAGGTCAGCGGGGAGCGGGTGGCCTCCTGCAGCCCCTGCCCCTCTGGCGGGGATCCTGAGTCCTTGGCCTGTTGTGCTGCCTGCCCTGGAACGTTCTGTCCCTTGCAGATGCTGGTGGGGCGTGGCCAGACACACCCCTGATCTGCAGGTGGGAGGGGCCCCGACCACTGCTCCCCACAGCCCCGCCCCTGAGGCTGAGTGAAGTCATGCTCTGGGCGGTTGTGACTTCTGGTCCGGTAGAAACATTTCTGGTTGAGCTATCAGTGGCTGAAGGTCCTTCCTGCCCTGGAGAGGAAAATTTCAACCCTGGAAAATTACCAGGGCAGGCGGCCAGGGAAGTTTCTGCCCTGGGGCGGTGGTTTGAGAGTGAAGTTTCCTGGGCTGGTCTCAGCCTGCAGGGGAAGCACTGGCTCCCAGGAACTTTGACAAGCCCAACTCCCCTGGTTCTCTGGAGGCCAGGAAAGCTGTCCAAGGCTTTCCCGACGTGGGCAGGAACCAGTCATTGTCACAGGGAAGCATGGCCTTTGGGACAGGTGCAGGCTGTTAGCTGTGTGTTCAGAAGGCACGTAGACTCCTTCCAGCAAGCGTAGCCTCACCCACCTGACTCACGCCTTCATGGCGCCAGCTCCCCTCCCCCAGCCCCTTTAGGGAAACTTTTCAGAGCACCCGGAAGCCAGGCAAATACCAAGGGAGGGTTAAATACCCATTAAATCATTAAAGCAGAAAACACATCTCCTCCTTCGTCCCACCCCTCCTCTTCACGCACACCCCCTCTCTGTGGGTGGAGGGCACCTGACCCCCTCCGGGTCTCTCTGCCGCTGCTGGGACTCCCAGGCCTGTGCCACACGTGCCAGCACACACCTCAGGCTCCACGGGCCCTGGGAAGGCTCTGAAGTGCTCCAGAGGAGACACAATTAGGAAGCCATGCCCAGCTCCGCTCTGAGTGAACCACAGAAAACTTCACTGATGGAACCAAAACCACCCGGGCAGCCCTTTGGCTGTGGAGGACGGTGTGAACGTCCGCGGCCTCGGAGGCTGTGGAGGGAGGACGGTGTGTACGTCCGTGGCCTCGGAGGTCCCAGCTCAACCAGGTCAGGCTGCTCTTCCCGCCTGTTGGGACTGATGGGCCTGCCATAGGCCCTGGAGCCAAGGCCACCTCCGAGGCTGGGGAGCGTCACACGGCAGGCACTGTTGAGGCCGCCTCCCCTGGTGACCGAGTGGCGTCCCCGGGAGGTGACCGCCCAGGAGGCAGCACCAGCCTGCCTGGCACTTACATGGCCCCAACCCAACCAGTTGGGCCGTCGCAAGGGCCAGCACCCAGGCAGCACTGGGCCTCGGCTTGTTCACCTGTAAAGCGGGGGACACCAGGACTGTGAGGAGCAGGGGGACGACTCTATAGAGAGCCCAGAGCAGCGTGAGCCGTGGGCCAGGGCTGCCTCCGGGCCGGACTCCCACGGTGGCTTCTAAGTTAGAAACATGCAGGAGACCACGTCGTTTCCTGCTGGGAACCTCCCGAGGCTCCTGGGGCCTCAGAGTGAGACCTGCACTCCTTTTCTCGAAGGCCGGGTGAGTTTCGGGGGCTGCAGTAACAGCCCCAGCGAAGGGCCGACACAGCTCACAGGTCACCTTACAGTTCTGGAGGCAGAGGACTGAACTGGGGCACCAGGAGCCAGCAGGAATGAGCTCCTTCCGGAGGCTTTAAGGCAAAATCCATGTCCCTGTCTTTCCCACCTGCATTTCCTTGGCTCAAGCCCTTGCTTGCAGCCCTCAGACCTCTACGCCCCTCCTCTGCCTCGGACCTCTACGCCCCTCCTCTGCCTCGGACCTCTACGCCCCTCCTCTGCCTCGGACCTCTACTCCCCTCCTCTGCCTCGGACCTCTACTCCCCTCCTCTGCCTCCGACCCTCCTGCCTCCTTCCTAGATGGCCCTGGTGATTATACTGGGCTCACCCGGATAATTCAGGCTCCTCTCCCATTCTAAGGTTCTGAACTCCTTTGCCAAGTAAGGTGACAGTCACAGACTTGGGGGATTAGGACATGGTTGTCACGGGGGCTGCCATCCAACCTGCCTGGAGGGCATTCCTGCTCGGAGGACCTCCTCCCGTGCGTGGTCTCCCCTGATGCTGGCTTTTGCCCCCATGGTCTCTGCTTCCCAAAGCTTTCCCTCCGCCTCAGCCCCAGCTGTCCTCCCCACTCTCAGGGTCCTGGCCCCAGGTCCTTTCCCCAGAGGCCAGCCTGGCTGCCGGGACTGCTCCCATGAGCTCCTTGTCAATGCAGTGTCTGTTGGCCTGCAATCCACCCTTTCCCCATAGACTGAAGTGGCACCCAGGCAGGACAGCCCCCCTCATCCCCGAGGAGTGCCAGGGTTGGGGCACGTGTGCCAAGGAGCCCAGACCTGCCCAGAGCCAGACCGGCTCCTCTTCCTGCCCCTGGGTCACGGCTGCCCTGAGTTCTCCAGGCTGGGGTGAGCTCCGCGTCTCAGCCGTGCTCGGGAGCAGGGCACTCAAAGCTTTTGTCACAGTTTTCTGTCTGTGGATTCATTCTTTCATCTGGTTTCTTGGGCTTTGACTTCATCCTAGCACTGGGACGCGGTGCAGCCAGACAGGGTCCTTCCCGACGCCACAGATACCACGGGTGAGACAGCCACGGAGGCACAGCCACACAGGCGTGGTCGCAAGCCAGCATGGTGTGTGTTTGGGAGCATTTGGCTGTCACAGGCTCTGACCTCGGCAGGGCCAGGGGCTTCCTGGGAACATGACTCTGAGCCGGGATCTGAGGATTAGCAGGTCCTGCCCAGTCGAGGGAGGGCGGGGCATGGTGAGCGGCCGAGCAAGGGCCCCGTGGCAGGAAGGAGCTGGACACACACAGAAAAATGCCAGGGGGTAGTAGGAGGGCATCGGGGTGGGGAGGCGGACCGTGTGGGTGATGCCAGGCTGGCCGGCGGGGATCGGGGTGCGCAGGACCTGCCAGGCTGCGACCCCAGGGCAGCGGAGGCACGGGAGGGGTGGAGGGGGAGGCACGGGAGGGGTGGAGGGGGAGGCACGGGAGGGGTGGAGGGGGAGGCACGGGAGGGGTGGGGGAGGCACGGGAGGGGTGGAGGGGGAGGCACGGGAGGGGTGGGGGGAGGCATGGGAGGAGTGGAGGGGGAGGCACGGGAGGGGTGGGGGAGGCACGGGAGGGTAGGGGAGGCACAGGAGGGGTGAGGGAGGCACCGGAGGGGTGGGGGCACAGGGTCTGCCTCTTGCACTTGAGTGCTCTTCCCCCCACCCCCAGGCCTGGACGTGGGCGGTGACGGCTTTTGCATGGGTCCTCCGGGCAGCAGGCAGGGCTTGCACAGGGGTATGGGGCTTGGGAGGGGCATGGTGCTGCCATCTGTCCAGAAGAGGGGTCTAGGGCGAGCAGAGCCCCCCGCCCCCCGAGTGCTAACAGCCTCCTGGGGAGGAGACTCTGTGCCCACAAGGGCCTGGACGCCTGGGCTCAGTCAAGTCCGCCCCTCATGGTGGGGCTTCCCAGGCTCTTGTGCCCTCGGTGTGCAGTGCCCACCTGATCCTTCGCTCGCCCAACCTCAGAGCCCCTGCTTCTCCCACAGACACTGATAACACTCATCTCGTGGCTGTCAACCCAGAAGGGATGCCTGCAGGTGGGGGCCAGCAATGAGGCCTTCGAAACCCCAATGCCATGACTCTGTGGGGGATTTGGCACAGAGGGTTTTATTGTATTGTCTTAAAAATTTAAAACCAATACCCATTTCCATTATTAAAAACTTTCAAGTTTGTTTGAAACAATTTGGGTGACAATATACTTTTTTACTCTACATTTTATTAAATCTAAATACAATCAAGGATTTCTGATAAAAATTTAGTGTCTGATTGAGATGGTCTATAAGTGTAAAACAAACACTAGATTTTAAAGACTTAGTAGAAAAAAGGGAGAGTAAAATCACTCTTTAATAATTCTTTAGGCCAGGCATGGTGGGTCATGCCTGTGATTCCAGCACTCTGGGAGGCCAAGGCAGGTGGATCACCTGAGGTCAGGAGTTCGAAACCAGCCTGGCCAACATGGCGAAACCCCATCTCTACTAAAAATACAAAAATTAGCTGGGCATGGGGTGGCACACGCCTGCAATCCCAGCTACTCGGGAGGCTGAGGCAGGAGAATCACTTGAACCCGGGAGGCAGAGGTTGCAGTGAGCCGAGATTGCGCCACTGTGCCCCAGCGTGGGTGACAGAGCGAGACTCCATCCCTCAAAATAATAATTCTTTGTATTGATTATCCAAGTGATAATATTATGGCTCTATTGGATTTAAATAAAAATAGTATTGGCTGGGTGCCGTGGCTCATGCCTGTAATCCCAGCACTTTGGGAGGCCGAGGCGGGCGGATCACCTGAGGTTGGGAATTCGAGACCAGCCTGACCAGCATGGAGAAACCCTGTCTCTACTAAAAATACAAAATTAGCTGGGCGTGGTGGCGCATACCTGTAATCCCAGCTACTTGGGAGGCTGAGGCAGGAGAATAGCTTGAACCTGGGAGCTAAAGTTTGCAGTGAACCGAGATTGTGCCATTACACTGCAGCTGGGGCAACAAGAGCGAAACTCCGTATCAAAAAATAAATAAATAAATAAAAAAGTATTAAAATTAATCTCATTTGTTTATTTTCCCTTTTGTCAGTATGGCTGCCAGCACAGGTAAACTTACATGCGTGGCTTTGCTACATTTTTACTGGACTCTGCTCTTCTAGATGCTCAGAACTCTTCGAAGCCTGCAGGTTTGAACACACCACCTAGCAGAAGCTCGGAAAGGGCGGCTTGCAGCCACACAGCTCCGCAGCTCCATTATCTGGTGCCCAGCAGGGGAGGGGGTGTGGCGTGTGAGTGGGCATGAGCGTGCACAGGTTTGTCGGCGTGTGTGTCTCTGTTTGGGGGGACTGTGTGTGGGTGTCCATGTCACTCTTCTGAGGCAGGGACAGTCTGGGCCGTGGTTCCTAGGATGGGACCAGAGGCCTCTCATCTCGCGCCGAAGAAACCCTGCAGATGAACAATCTGGTCTGGCATTTCAGAGACAGAGTGGCCCATCCCCCGACTGGCCCAGCATTTTGGGGATAGAGTGGGCTGTCTCCACTGACCCCCCGCTTTGTGGAAGGAAGCTCTGCTCACCAGCCAGGGGGCAAGAGGAGACGCTGCTCCCCGTGCAGAACCGGGGGCTGCTTTAGGTTCTTGGGTAGTGGGGCCCAGCCTGGAAGCTTCCTCTTTCTCTGGCCCCACAGTCAGCCCACACAGGATGGAGCCTTCAGGGAGGTCCCTGGTGGTCCTCCAGCCCTGGTGAGTCAGGAGCGTTGGGCGGGAAGGTCGGTCTGTGTGGCTGACCTGACACCTCCACCTGGGTGCATTTACCCGGGGGAGAGAATTCCTCCCCTCAGAGCCCCGGGGAGGGGCTGGGCTCTGGGGTTGCTGGCTGCTCCTGGCCTTAGCTGCCCGTGTCAAATGCCACATCCTGGGACCTCGTGATCTCAAAATTACTCAGACCTGGGACCCCCTTGTACAGGAAACGGCAGGTCATGTGGGGTCACCGGGGTTTCACAGTGAACTGTCATGGGGAACCAGAGTGGAAATATTTGCAAAGCCATCATTCTTTTCTTAGACAAAATCTCCCATCTTCTGCATGGGTGGGGCAGTTTTCCAAGGCATGACCTACGGATGTGGAGGGGGTTGGGGTTGTGACCTTTGGCTGGGGGCAGGTGGGGGTCAGGTGTGAGGCCAGACCTAGGCCTGGCCTCGAGTCTCTGCCCTATGCCATCTGTAAAATGGGCCCACGGATCCCTCCAGCCTCCTGGTCTCTGGGGGAGAAACAGACGAACCCTGTGGGGCTCTCAGGGCTGGCCGTGCAGGAGACAGGTCCTAGTGGGGCACAAACAGGAAGCCTGCCTGGGGTAGTGTCGGCTGAGGAGCCGCCACCCCTTCCTCCTCGTGTCTCACAGTGGGCCTGGCAGGCCGATTCGGGGCCTTCCCGGAGCTGCAGAGCCCTGGCATTGCTGAGTCACATCCGAGAACAGGAGGGTGGAGAACTCCCAGGCGGGGACAAGTGTCCTCAGGGTCTGCTGTCCCGCTGTGTGCCCGGAATGGCCTGACCCACCCACCTCCGGCTTCTCTCCCGGTTGTCACGTGAGACTGTGAGACCCCAAGGAGGCGCCAATGGCTTTTATTTCATCAAAATCTCGTGGATTTCAAGAAAGCAGAAGACCTGGGCCACTGTGGGTGTCACCCCTCCGGGTGCCCAAATTGGCTTTTCCTGGAGCCCCTTCCAGCGCCTCAGCTGGGCTCTGGAGTGACACGCAGAGTCACAGGTGCCCCAGGCTCACATCTTCATTGCTCAGTGATGTCTTGGCCCCAGGCAAGGCTGGGCCCCTAGGTGGCCTTGGGGCAGGGGACCCCACTGACCTCACTGACCACTGCCTCCTGGGATCATCCCAGTATGTGCTGGTGACTTCTGCATATGCTGCGGGCATTTTTCTATGCATAGACATATTATATTTTTGAAAATATAAGAAGGAATAAAAGGAAACACTCACCCAGATCCAGATCTCTGTAACTGCTGCATAAGCTGCCCCAGGCACTGTGGGGGCCCACCTGGTTCCTGCTGCCCATGAGGGAAGGAGGTCACCTGCAGGCCCACCTGGCCATTTGTCAGTCTTGGGGGCAGAAAGCCAACACCCTCGGGGTCTCATGAGAGCAGGGAGGGCCTCTAGCAAAGCCGCAGCTGACCACGGCCACACTTGTGTCCCTCGGGGCTGGCTGGGATCCGCAGCCACTGCGTTGCCCCATGGGAGGGAAAGACTCTTGCGGGCCCCGCTCCAGGGACGATGTCTCCATAACTCGGTGTAACTGGGAACCATTGAATCAGAGCACTTCTTTTTAAACGGTTTTCAGTCATGCTTGAGGGAAGGAGCCTGTTCTTCCACCGGTAGGTACAGCTGCCAAAGCTGACATCTCAGGGTCTTTTTTTAAAAAGTCTTTCTCGTAACTCTAATCAGTTCTGCATGCAGGAAGTCCAATTGGGCCTCACGTCACCACCAAATGCGTGGGGTTCCGGGAGGCACAGAGGCCCCAACAGCCCAATCCCTGCGTGGGGTCCACTCCTCTCCCTGCGGGTGTGGACCTGTGAAGTCCCCGGGGCCTTCCCACTGGCCTCCCAGGCAGTGCCTCTCCTGGCCATGAGAGGGCAGCCTCGCCCCTGCTGAGCCCAGGCACCCAGCGACCCCAGCTGGAATCTGCTGCTGTGTGGATGTCCGTCGGCCCCTGCTGGGAGCCCTCCTGGGACTCCTCGGAAACCAGCATCTCTGAGGAGGAACAGGAAGGTCTCTGATGAGCTATAGTCCCCACGGCCCTTGATGGGCACCCTGAGCAGGGTGGAGCAGCGGGGTGGATAGATTTGGGATCCCAGAACACTAAGGTGCAGGGAAGCTCAACTTCAGCATCTACCTGCAAGCTCCAGGTGCAGAGGTCAGAGGAGGCCCCCAGCACACGGGTAGGGGAGGCCCAGGTGCCTCTAATCAGTTCTGCATGCAGGAAGTCCAACTGGGCCTCACATCGCCACCAAATGCATGGGGATTACAGACGTGTGCCACCACGCCCTGCTAATTTTTGTATTTTTAGTAGAGACAGAGTTTTGCCATGTTGGCCAAGCTGGTCTCAAACTCCTGACCTCGGGTGATCTGCCTGCCTCAGCCTCCCAAAGTGCTGGGATTACAGGCTTCAGCCACCACCGCGCCTGGCCGGAAATACATTTTCTTTCCTTTTAAAAAACCAACACAAGTTCATTATAGAAGTTTAGAAAATAAGAATAAGTCAAGAGGCTGGAATAAAAGTTGCTTCTAATCCCACAGACCCTGAAAGATGGGGGCACTGGTTACCCAGGTGAATGAACAGCCTTACCACCATTTGAAACCATGACAGCATGTTTAGATTCTACTCATCACTTTGCCCCCTACCCACCAAAGGCCAGGACCCCTAACCCAGGAGGGCAGGAGAAGGGGGACTCCCTGACCAACTGGAATCTTGGGGGTAAGGGGCAAATGAAAGCATTGTTCATGCCTTTCAGAATGGGGACCCCTCCTCACTCTTACCCACCACGATCCCCAAGAGATCCAAGCCCAGCCCCAGGCAACGTGCCGGGTCGGCTGGTCGGTCTCTACTCTGCAGCCCCCATGATGTGACAGCGACCTGAGCCCGCACAGTGCTCAACATGTGATCGAGTGAAAGATCATAAAACACGCACCACGTTGGCTCATTTGACAGACATGTGCAGCATGAACATTATAAACACACTGGCGTGATGCAGATTCATGGCCTACACAGACAACAACATGCAGGAACATGTACACAGACAACAACACACAGAAACAACATGTACACAGACAACAACATGCAGAAACATGTACACAGACAACAACACACAGAAACAACATGTACACAGACAACGACACACCAAAACATGTACATGGACAACAACACACAGAAACACGTACATGCAACCGCTACCACCACCCACCATCTGAACTTTCATCATCCCAAACGGAGGCTCTGTCCCCATGAAACAGCAACTCCCTGCCACTCCTACCCCCACTCTACTTTCTGTCTCTACGCGTGTGGCCACTCTAGGAACCTCGTACGAGTGGAGGCACGCAGGACCTGTCTTTCTGTGTCTGCTTATTTCACTCAGCACAGTGTCCTCCGGGGCCGTGCAGTTCGTAGCCGGTGTTAGCAGTCCCTTCTTTTTTAAGGCTGAGTAATATTCCGTTGTGTGAATAGACCACATTTTGTTCATCCACCGAGGGGCGCTTGGTGGCTTCTACCTTTGGGCTACTGTGACTAAGGCTACTGGGAACACAGGTGTACAAGTGCAGAGCCAGCTTTCAGGTCTTCGGCCACATACCCGGTTTCCAGAAGCGGCACTGCTGAATCCCAAGGTGATTCTACTTTTGATTTTTGAGGACGTGCCACGCCGTTTGCCAGTTTGGCCTGTTCTGTGCTTCCGCTGGGCAGAGTCACTCAGTTCGCGTCGTGCGTGCCAGGCTGTCTCACGAGACGTTAGGTTGCGAGATGCATCCAGGTTGTTGAGCACAGCTGAGGCTGCTCCTTCACGGGGCCATAGTGCATGGCAGATCCCACAGTGTATTTACTCACACGAAATGGTTGGCAGGCGTCTGGGCTGCTTTCAGCTTGAGATAATTATGACCGGGCGCTGTCAACTCTCTAGCACACACATTTTGGGAACGACGTATGTGCTTCTGATGGACTCGGTGGTGCAGGGCGTGCACGTGCCTCAGCTGGATGTTCATAATCTCCATCCAAGCCAAATGCTCTTGGAAAGAGGCCGTGTCTGCTTGGTTGTATGCAGTAACAATAACAAGGTTAACAATGGCCACGCGCATTTATCGGACGCTTCCTTCGTGAGCGGTGACCCTATGATAACTCGTATGAACCTCACACCAGACACTACCATGTCCCACATTCGAGATTAGGATAAAACAATGAGGAGCCGTGGCTGCCCGGGTCCCATCGCCAGTGAGCGTAGAGCTCGCACTCAAACGCAGGCAGACGCCAGCAACTGCTGCACACAGTCTTCCTCCACGTCTGAAAGGTGGCTGAGCGAGGCCGGCCACGCTCCTGCACCTCTCCGTCACTCGCACGACCTTTTTAACAAATCAGTTTTAGCTGAAAAAAAAAATGGTGATGGCAGCTGCCCCTGCCACCCTGCTGCTTCTGCCTCCTCCGCTGCACCCAGGGCTCACTGGGTCTGGTGGCCACTGGCAGAGCGTGCAGCCTTCCCCGGGCTCTGCACTTGCTTGTGAGTCCCAGGATACCCCTCCCACAGGATGCTTCGAAATTACTGTGGAGAGCGATCCACGGGACAAAATCAGTGGGGATGGAAGGTGGTGAGTCAGCATGTTAGATAAGAAACTGACCCGCTTCTCTAGTAATCTCTTCTGATTGACAGCAAGAAAGTTCACATGGTCCCTCAGTTCCCCAGAGAGTGTTTTTGGGGAGAACCAGGACTCGCATGCCCTTCATCACCTACTTCTTTAATTCTTCACCTTCTTTCTTACAGAATAGTACACACGTGATGTTCACCATTTGTGCAACTCTCTTTTATTCTACGTGTCAGCCTAGCCTGGACACCATTCCATGTCAGTGAATAACATGTCAATGAATATTCTACAACACTTTCAGTGGCTGCGTGCCTTTCTACCATGATTTATTTAACTTTTGAGACCGTTTCCAGCTTTTCGTATTATATGTAATGACTGTTCTTCCATGCAAATTTTTGTGCAGAGACTCATCCTCTTAGGACACATTTTAATGAGTTTTATTGGGATTGGGTACATTGTTCCAGAATGCACCATTGCCCCCACCCCCATCCCCAAGAAGATGTGCCCATTTATTTCTGCTAGCAGGTATTTTCCCAATTCTTAGGCCAGAATTGGTTTTACAATTTAAAATGGTATTTGCTAGTTTGACAGAAGATAAATTGAATATCACGGATGCTTTCATTGCATTTCTTTGATTCAAGAGAAGTCAGGCATTTGTCATAAGCTTATTGGTTAGAGTGTAATTGGCAAATATGCCTGTTCACGTCTTTTGCCCATTTTTCTAGGGGTGGGCTTGTCTTTTAAAAACTATATTGCTTTATGAGAACACAATTAACTCTTTGTCTGTAATGTCTATTGAAAATATGTTCTCTTAGTTTGCCATTTGCTTTTAATTTTGGTTTATGGTATCTCTAACTATACAGATGCTTTTAATTTTCATGTAGTCAAATATATCAATCTTTTCCTTTGTGATGCTTGGAAAGGCCTCACTCATTTCAGGGCCATAAAATGATCTATATTCATTCCAGTTATTAAACTGTCAGTAGATTTAGGTACGTGGTGACATAAGACTTCTCATCTCCACTTCAAATAGCTCATTTCAATAATTGGTCGAGTGAGTAGAGATCACAGATGGAATATAATTATATGGTTTGAAAATGGATAGAAGTGGATATTTCCTGTATATTTCCAAGGAACTCCCCTCATACAAACTTGTGAGTCTCCTGTCCGTGGGGAGGACTGTTTTTCCTCTATCAGTCACCTCTCCGTCCACTGGGACATGACTTCCTGAGGCCTGGGGCCAGTTTCAACCACTGCTGACCCCGGAGTACAGACTCCTGATCTTGCTGAGGATCTGCTGGACAAGCAAAAGTGATACCCAGGGAATATTACTCAGCCACAAAAAAAGAATAAAATCCTGTCATTTGCAGCAACACAGATGGAACTGGAGGCCATTATGTTAAGTGAAATAAGCCAGGCACACAAGGACAAATATCGCACCCTCTTACTCACACATGGGAGTGAAAAAAAGCGGGTCTTGCTGAGGCAGAGAGAAGACTGATGCTTACCAGAGGCTGGGAAGGGGAGGGGAAGGGGAGATGAAGAGAGGCTGATTCACGAGGGCAAACACCCAGTTCGATAGAAGAGAGAGGACCCAATGTTTGACAGATCACTAGGGTGACTATAATTACAATCAGCTATTGTCTATTTCAAAATAACTAGGAGAGAATCATTCTAAATTGGACAAATATTTAAGCTGATGGATATCCCAATTACACTGATTTAACCTTTACAAATTACATGACTGGATTAAATTATCACACGTACCCTGAAAATGTGTACATCTATTATGTATCAAAGATTTTTAATTAAAAAATTTAAAAAGCACAGAGAGAGTGTCCCCTAGATATGGGGGGTGCAGGTGTGATGATTCCTTTGGGAGACACCCCGTGCTTGTGTCTGCTCATGTTGCGTTTGGACGTCAGCACGCGAGGGGCCTGGGGTAGGGTGGGTGTCCCAGGGAGGATCTCCGACGAGGCTGCCCAAGGCCCCCTGTGCCTGGAGGTGCTGTTGAGGGGAGCGTACCTCTTCACTGCTCACAGCACACGGGCAATAGAGAGAAGATCTGACTTGTGGAATTTCATCAATCACGACTATTTTAGTTTCAAGGGTTGAAAATTGATTAAAGCTGGAGCCATCATGCATCGTATGGATCCAGGAGGCCCATCTCTCCTCTCTCTCAGGCGTGCTCCCTCCCAGACCCGCGTGTCAGCAGTTTTCCGGGAAAGCAATCTTTTTATGTGTAGCATTGCCGCGGTGGATTACTGTAATGACGCTGTCTGGCTGGTCTGCGGGCAGCTGCCAGCCTGGTGGGGCGGGAGCTGGAAGGAGGGCATCTGCAGGCCCCTCCGCCTGTGCTCTGCGACTCGGGCTGGGAATTCGGGAGTTCGTTCTCCCTCCTGAGCTCCTTCAGGGAGGCGGTGGTCCTTCCAGGGCCTCTTAGTTGGACGGCCGCTCAACCTGCCCATTTTCCCACCTGAACTGTTGATCTCGCCAGTATTTCTCCGTGTGTTTGGCCTAGGTTTGCACTGGCATTTGACACGCCCAGGGACAGGGGGCCTTTGAAAAAGATATTTTCTCCTTAATGGACATTTCACCCAAAATGATTCCCTGTCAAGGGCTCCACCTTTGTCAAAGTCTTCTTCCTTTTACCTGTAGTATAAGTTTTGTTGGCATGTTTCTCTCCACAGAGTCACTGGGAAACGAGAGCACACTCCCGGGTGGACTCTCAGCCACGGTTCTCCCCTCCCCACGGCAGCAGCATGTTCCCACACCCTCGCGTGGG
The DNA here is from genome assembly GCF_000001405.40 of Homo sapiens. Lineage (NCBI taxonomy): Eukaryota > Metazoa > Chordata > Mammalia > Primates > Hominidae > Homo > Homo sapiens. The sequence continues at coordinate 62,611,530 of NC_000020.11, read as the reverse complement.
ACCTCAAGGCAAGAAGAGTCTTCTTCCACCTCCTGGACTTGAGCTCCACCACATAACTTCCATTGGCCAATGGGATCTTGGTGAACATGGCACAAGTGAAGGTTTGAATTGCACATGGGCAGTCAGGCTATGTTCTGGCACTTCCGTCCTCACCATGGCAGGAACTGGCCCCAGGCAGCCTGCTGGTCCCAGGAGGACAAGAAACAGCAAGCAGAGCAGACCCTTGCCCACAGCCAGAACCAGCTGGATCAGCCCGTGGACATGGGACTCAGAAAGAAATGTTGTCTACTGTCTGCAGCTGATTGTGGCTGTTTGTTACACAGCTGTAGCTGACTGATACAATAAGGAACTCAGGTGACAGTGTCTGGTGTTGATCTTATTGGTTGATCTCCCAAATATCTTTGGTGTTCTTCATTCCCCATCTCTGTCACCCTTCCCAGGTTCAAGCCATCACCTTATAGAACAGTAACAGCCTGATACTCCCTGCACCCTGGAGCATCCCTGCTTCCTTCCCAGCCAGCCCCTCCAATCCAGTCCCTTCTAGCATGGAGCCCCTTGATAGCTCTCTCCTGCTCTTAGAAACCGACCAGACCCCTCTCCAGGTCTCCAGCCTCCTGCCCCTCCCACCCCCGTACCATGTACGTTTTAACCACAGCAACATCCACGCCATGCTCTTCCCTCCCAGACAATCTCCAGTCATCCTCCAGTCTCAGCTAAAATGTCACCTCTTCCAGGAAGCCCTCTGGTTAAGCCCAGACTCTCTGTCATATTCTAAGCACTTATCATGTTGCATGTTCTGTTAGTGGGTGATCATCTGATTCAAGCTGGCCTCACCCACTGGACAGTGGCCCATGAGTGGGGACCCTGCCTTCTTGCTCATCTTCATATCCCCACACCCAGACAGGACCTGGCCTAGCACTGGCACCCCATGGAGAGCTGACAAATGGACAGACGGTCCAGATGGCCAGTGAGGGACAGCAGGGCAGCCCTGTGGCTCTCTGCTTTCAAGGGGTGTGGCAAAGAGTCCTGGGTGGAGCTCAGCCAGTAGCCTCTCCCATGAGGTCCTGGAAATTGCTAGAAGCCTGGCGGAGGCACATTCAGCACAATGGAGGGATGCTGCTGGAAGCCAGGGGGCAGCTCAGACTGGCGCACCCTCTGCCCCAATCTGTTCCATCTGCCCCAGCTGGGGTCCTGATGATTCTGGGGGTCTGTAGGATGCTGACCCTGAGCCCCCGTCATCTGACTCTGAGGGCCGTGCTTGGGAGATGAGCTCGAGAAATCTCAGCGGCCGCCTCTGAATTTAGCCTTGGAGGGTGCAGGGTGCTCCACGCCTCCCTCCTCTGCCAGGGCCCGTGGGCAGTGTTGCTGGCCAGCCACAGCCCGGGACATTCTTCCAGCAGGGCGGACAGCAGGCGGCCCCCACAGCAGGGCGGGCAGCAGGCGGCCTCCACAGCATTTCCATCCTGGTTTTCTGCTGATCCTGTTAGATCTTTCTGGGATTTCCAGGCTCCCTTCACACAGAGGAAGGAGCTGGCCTGGGACCTACGACAGGACCTCCTGGCACTGGGGCTGCACCGGCATCCCGGGCCCCTCGCTGGCCTGTGGCCCCTCACGCCAGCAGGCCTGTTCCTGCCGGGAGTTCATGCTCCTTCCAGCTTCTGTTTACCTGGAGAGACCTCTTAATGCCCCGGGGTGGGGAATGCCACCCCCCAAGTCCCCAGCCTCTGCATTTCCTCTCTGCCTGTCCCCTGTGGCTCTTCTGTACCTGGTGGGGCAGAAGAGGGACAGTTGTCCCCTGCGGGATGGGAACATTGCCTCCACAGTGGGCAGCTCCTTGTTGCTCAGCGTCTCCCCCACCAAGTCCGTCAGCGGTTCAAGGCCTTGGTTTCTCCCAATCCCGTATCTGCACCCAGGCTTGCCAGCATTATTGCTCAAAGCCAGGGCTGGGGGTGTCCCTGATGTCACACACATCCTCCCCCATGTCACTCCCACACAGCAGCTGCCAGGAGCCTCTGACTTTTAAAAAGCTCATCTTCATCATGGCTGCGGGGTCTTACATGGGGATTCTGAGCCCTTGCTGCCCGCGCAAAAACACCAGCGTCCACTCAGCCAGCAGGCCAGTTAAACCCAGGGCTGGGCGGGGCATTTTCCACTCTGGGACTTCATCATTGCCATCAACTGCTCTTGGCTCTCTAATAAAACCATGGAACCCAGGCACGGTGGCCACGTGCCTGTCAAACCTGCTTCCTCATCTCCTTCCAGGGTTCTGACCAAAATGTGAACAAGTAAATTAAATTAAAGTGCAGTTCGTTTCTGAAAAAACATTATTTTCCTCAATGAATGTTCAAATTGTGTTTTATTTTCCTCTTTTTAAAATACTTTTTTTAAAGAATTGTTTTAGGCCGGGCATGGTGGCTCATGCCTGTAATCCTAGCACTTTGGGAGGCTGAGGTGGGCGGATCACTTGAGGTCAGGAGTTTGAGACCACCTGACCAACATGGTGAAACCCCGTCTCTACTAAAAATACAAAAATTAGCCGGGTACTACTCAGGAGGCTGAGGCAAGAGAATCGCTTGAACCCGGGAGGCAGAGGTTGCAGTGAGCCGAGATCACACCACTGCACTCCAGCCTGGGTGACAGAGCGAGACTCTGTCTCAAAAAAAAAAAAAAAAGAAAAGAAAAAGAGAAAAAAAAGCCAGGTGCAGTGGCTCACGCCTGTAATCTCAGCACTTTGGGAGTCTGAGGCGGGTGGATCACCTGAGGTCAGGAGTTTGAGACCACACTGGCCAACATGGTGAAACCCCATCTCTACTAAAAATACAAAAATTAGCTGGGCGTGGTGGTGAGCGCCTGTAATCCCAGCTACTCGGGAGGCTGAGGCAGGAGAATCACTTGAACCCGGGAGGCGGAGGTTGCAGTGAGCTGAGATCGTGCCATTGCACTCCAGCCTGGGCTACAAGAGTGAAACTCCATCTCAAAATAAATAAATAAATAAATAAATTGTTTTAAATTTACGAGACAGTTGCAAAGATAGTTCAGAGAGCGCCACACACCCACGCCCAGCCCCCCGGGGTGCTAAGGTCTCACGTCACAGGCGACATTGGTCACGGCCAGAGTGCCAGCATTGTCCACGGCAAGGAGCCGGATGCTGCACTTCCCTGACGCCCTCCTGTCCCAGGGCCCCGTCCAGGACCCCAGGAAACATTTGCTCCTCACTCCGTGGGCTCCTCTAGGCTGTGGGTTTCTCAGACTCGCCTTGTTTTTCATGACCTTGGCGGTTTTGAGGACTGGTCAGGACCCTGGTGGAATGGCCCTGGGTCTTCCCAGTGTTGTGCCTTTTCAGCTGCCTGGTGGGAGCCTCCTGAGGGTCCCCTGCATGGCCATGCTGCCCCCCATGGAACCCGAACACCGGCAGGTCTCCAGGGCATGGTAGCTGGCCAAGGACTTAAGATTAGAAAGGTGTTGCCATGGCCTGATTTCTCCGAAGGGTCCCATCTAGTTTGCCTTGTCCTTGCAGGCTGGCCTCTCCCAGTGCCAGGACAGCAGCAGCAGGACAGCAAGCAGCAGGACTGGAAAGAACCGAGCCTACTCCTCACTTCCAGGCATGGACTCGCCCGCCTCACCGGGTCACGGGCCCGACCCCCGACCATTCACTGCAGCTGGGCAGCCTCATCCGGAACACAGAGGGATGGAACAGGGCAGGGCTGGGTCCCCAAGGCAGGACTGGGGCCACCACCTCAACAAGGGGTCCCTCCGCAGTGTCCCAACAGACACCATCTCCCTGCTGGCCTGAGGATTCTGGAACTCGGCTGGGAATGGCCCCAAGAGGAGGAGGTGTTCTTGAAACATCTTTTCGAGGTTTATGAGACATTCTATTAGCCCAGCCTCAGACAACTGTTCGTGGGAGATGCAGCATGTGCACCCCTGCGATAATTTTCTAGGCAAGAGGCAATAAAAAGAAGTGGACTCTAACACGAAGGCACTGCCGCCTTGGTTTGAAGGTTTAAGGCAGGCCCTATATTTGGGGGCCAAGAGACAGTGAGCACATAAGCATTTAATCGGCAACATGGGCAAGGATCATTTCAGAGCGTGCTATATAGACAAGACCCACTTTAATCTATTGGAAACTTGTTTCAGGAGGTGACAGTTTGCTCGTTCCCTTAAACGCTATTTAAAGAGGAAACCAAATTATCTAAAATCGGTGTGGACAGTGGTGGACACACAGCTGACCCTCTCTGTCCTCAGTTTGCAAATACATAGGATTCTGGCTGGGGCGCAGCTCGAGACTAGCCCACGATGGCGACGTGGCAAAGAGGTTTCCAGGTGCAGCCTTCACGGGGCGTGGGTCACATATGAGGGGGCCAGACTCTGGGTCAGCCATTCGTGCACAGGTGCTTTGATCTTCGCAGCTGGTGCAGATATTATCGCCCCGCCCCCGCCCCGTCTCCCAGTTTGGGATTCCAGATTCCCCAGGGAGCGAGAGCTGGCAGCCCGCCTCTGCAGCAGCCCCGTGGGCAGGGCCAGGTGGGGACAGTGTGTGCGCTGCAGGTGCAGAGTCCCCAGGGAGGCCCCGTGGTGTAGCAAGGAAGCTGCTGCATGTGGCTGTGTGGGGGCACTGGCTCTGTGGAAATGGGCACTGCCTGGCCTGGAGCCCAGCACCCCCTGCACCCCTCTAGCCACAGAGGCAGCCGTGCTGGGGCCCTGCCAGCAGCTGAGTAAAACTGCTAATGAAATAGCACCGTTAAAAATGGGCCTGCCGTCCACGCCAGAGTGCTTCGCTGGCCCCCAGCCCAGTGCTCCCTAGCACGGGGTCAGGGTGTGGGTCCCCAGGGAGCAGCTACAGCTGAACACTGCCCCCGCCTCGCCTGGAATGTGGTCCATTCGGCCTCGCGGCCGTTTGCTGTTTGCCTCGCGGCCGTTTGCTGTTTGCCTCGCGGCCGTTTGCTGTTTTCATGCTCTTTCTCCATCCAGGGGGTTTCTTGATGCCAGGAATTTCACCAGCTTTGGCCCCTTCCTCTCCTCCCTTCCTGCCTTCCTCTCCCTTCCTCCCACCTCCAGCAGCGTCTTTTTCTCCTTTCAGAATTTCAGATGGTGTCTTCCATTTGCATTAAAACCAAACAGTTTAATCATCATATTTAAATAAAGGCGTTGCCTGGAACTGCTCTCTTCCTTAATAATGAACCTTGGCATGAGGAAGGAGCCTCTATTTGTATTTTTAAAATTGCTTTTACAAGGTGTGGGGAGGGCCCTTCTGGAAGGAGAACTTTCTTTGCTATTTCTGAATGAGGAAGAGTTTGCATTTCTCTGGGTTGCCCGGCCCAGTTGTTCGTGTTGTCTTGGAGTAACACGGGGAACAGCTGTTCATGATAAATGTGTTGCTCACATGGCCTCAGTGGTCCCCACCAGTGGCTTCTGGGTATTTAGCATGGCCTGGAGGCCTTGAGTTACGAGGGCTCCCCTGTGGGCTCTGCTTTGTGCACCACTGAGCTTCAGGAAGCCGCTGTGAGGTGTCAAGCCATGCCCCCTGCTCCCCCCAGCTCAGCACGTCCTGAGCCCCTGAAAACTCTCACCTTCTCCAGACAGACAGGACTTGCTGGCTGCTTTAGATACTAGTACAATATTGTGGATGGTCGGGGGGGTCCCCAGGAATGGCCAAGGGAAGGGGGTGTCCTTTAAACCCCTGAAGCTGGGTAAGGAGGCCTTTTAAAAAATAGGGCTGTTTACAGGGGGCAGGGCCAGCTGAGGCCTTGGACCTCCAGAGACACTTCCTCCCCCAACTTCCTCCACCCCCAGCCCCATGCCACCCATCAGGCCTGCTCTGGCCAAGGCCCTGCCTTTCACCCAGCTCCCTCTCCATCAGCCAGAGAAAGGATGCTAGAGAAAAGTGCACCTTCCCTAGAGAGGCTACAGGAAGATTCCCGGTCCCGGTCAGGTGGGCAAGTCTGGTGGGCAGTGCCAGCGGATGCAGGGCTGAGCTGCGCCTGGCAAGGGCCAGCCAAGTTCACGGAGGGTTGAGCTCAGCAGGCGCACCACAGGCCTGCCTGCTAGAAGAGGTCATTGCGGTGGTTTCTGTGGGTCCCCAAGGCTACAGGGGTGTGGGTGAGGCAGGAGGGTTGGGGGAAGGGGCAGGCTCTGACCTGGGGCACCGGCTGGGAGGGTATAGCAGTAGGTCGGCTCTGCTAGGAGTGTGTGCACTTTCTACACCTTCAGGTTCTGAGCAGCGAGTCCTGAGCCAAATCTTGTCTCTCAGGAAAACCTTGGAGGTGTCTGTGTGTGCATGGAGGTGGGGTGCACCTGCTCCCACAGGTGTATGCTCCCGGGGGGTCAGGGTTGGTGGAGCATCCAACCCTTGCTGAATGCAGACCTGGGACACTGAATGGGGCAGGAAGCCCCCGGCTGACCGGACTGCAGCAGAACTCGGGGCTGTTCTGGGGCTTGCCTCCCTCCCCTGCAGCAGACAGGGCTCCAAAGCTATGGGGCAGGTCCTGGCAGGTGATGGGGCAGGTCCCGGCAGGTGATGGGGCAGGTCCCGGCAGGTGATGGGGCAGGTCCCGGCAGGTGGCATGCACGGGTGGGCTGTGCATGACTCGGGGCCTTGCTGGGTGGCCACACGAGTGACTGGAGGCATTTTCAAAAGATGCCCCATGGGTCTCCCAGCCCCAGGCTCTTCTCTAGCATGACCAAGGCTGCTCCCATGGAGGGGTCTCTGTCCCCTCTTCTGGAATCTGAGGGCCTCGTGACTGTCGGAAAGGATGCCAGGTGGCTCCGCGTCTCGGCTTCCACCTCTCTCTCAAGTGCTGGCCTCGGGAAGCCCACCCATGTCACATGTGGGGCTGCCGGAGAGGCCCAGCCCGAGATCCCGGCTGCAGGTCCCACTGATGGCGGCATCGTCTGTAGGAGACTCCCTCTGGAGTCTCCAGGCTCTGGCCCCAAGGCTTCCCCGAGGAGGCTGCAGACCTTGGGGAGGAGGCCTGGGCCATCCCAAGTGGCCTGTCGGAGTCTCTGACTCACAGGCGCTGTGAGCAGCAAGCATGGTCGTCCCGCAGCCTAGGCCTGGGCGCCTATTGTGCATCCCAGAAGCTGGAACGCGTGCTGGGCACAGACAGCTCCTCAGAGCAGAGTGGCCAAGCTGTGGCACGTCTGGGGGCCGATCCCCGTAGGGCTGAGTCTGCCAGGGGCACCAGCCACAATCCTGAGTACTGATTATGCACTGGCTGAACAAGCTGTCCCCAGCGGCTCTGCTGTGGTTCTTTGGTTGAAGCAAACGCTGGCGCTGGGTCTCACCTGCCTCCACACTTGCCCTGGCTCCTGGAGGCTCCAAGGGATGGGGCATCTCGTGAACAGGTGGGGCCTGGGTCTGGCCAACTGTGTTTGCCTCTGGCGGTGGCCAGGTCCAGCACCAGCACTTTGCTCACTCTGGTCCCCAGAGGGCTGGGCAGGTGCTGCGGCAGGAGGTGCCCCTGACCGCGTGGCCTGCTGGAAAGGAGCCTCCCAGCTCAGCGGCAGCCGGAGACAGTGTCCAGAGTGCCCGCAGTGCCACCCGAGCTCAGAGCCTCTCCCAGCGCCAGCACGATCAGAGGATGCTTTAACCGAAGCCATTAAGCTGTCACGGCCCATCCGCCTCCCGCCCCTTCCTGTCAGTTACTGCAGGCGGGGGGGACGCGGGGGGCAGCAGCAGCGGGGTGGGGGGAGCCCCTCCGCTTCCCTGAGTCACCGCCATCCGGCCAGACTGCCCACCACCGGCTCTGAGCTCATCGGCTCTGCGGTCAATCACTTCCCTCTGGAGCTGGGCAAGGCACTGGGGAAACGTGGGCCTGAGCAGGACTTTGCAGCCAAGGCCACTGGACTAGCTTGAGAGTCCTGGGCAGCATCCAGGCACGGGCTCCAGGCCTTCTGCCCCAGCTCGAGGTGCCATAGCAGGTGCCTCTCATGGGATTGGGGCAAGTGGCACAGTCTTGAGGCTCCCCCAGTCAGACCCTTCCCCCTTCTCCCCAGGCCATGGTGGGCAGGTGGCCACTTCCGTTGCTGCCTGTGTCTGAGGACATTGGCCCAGGGTTGGCAAGAAGAGGAAGGTGTTGCATCAACATGCAGCACATTCACCTGACAAGGAGCTGGCCGCAGCCTCCGCTGCCAAACGGTGACGGTGCTGGCTGGTGCCCCCAGGAGCTGTTCACCACCTCCCGGGCTAATGGCGCTTGCTGCCTGGCACACAGCAGGTGACTACACTGCATGGCTTATAAATGTGGCCTCTGCCAGGAAATCCTGGGAAAGAGCCAGGGAGGTGACGTTTTATCCACGAGCCTGCTATGGCTTAGCCTAGCCCTCCCCTAACTGTGACCAAGCTCTGGATGAGACACAGACAACTACTGAGGACCTGCAAAGTAAGGAGACTGCAGGGCGGAGGCGGAACTTGGAGGAGTGACCTGCCGTGGAGTTTCTGGTTTCCTCCTTGTGGCTTTGTCTGGAGGGCAAGCCCCACTCTCAGATCCACATGGCAACACAAGCAGCTAAAACGCAGATAGAAACCCCAACCTGGGAAAAGGAGTCCTACAGGTAAGAAAGGGGTGGAACCCCAGAATGGGGAGAGCCGGGGAAGAAGAGAGGGGTGGAACCCTGGAAGGGGGAGAGCCGGGGAAGAGAGGGGGCAGAACCCCAGAAGGGGGAGAGTGGGGGAAGAGAGGGGGCAGAACCCTGGAAGGAGGAGAGCAGGGGAAAAGAGGGGGCGGAACCCTAGAAGGGGGAGAGCCAGGGAAGAGAGGGGGCGGAACCCCGGAAGGGGGAGGGCTGGACACGGCAATTGCCTAATTCTGTGCATGAATCCGCATAAGTCTCACAGTGCCACCCAGCAGTGCCAACCCAGCAAAGGTCTTGAGAACCACACTGAGAGAGGTGGGGTTTGGGATGAACCTGGCTGCTAAAGTGGAAACAGCAACGTTCCCCGAGGGCTAGGACAGCACCCAGAGTCCACACGGTGTGCTCAGACGTAAAACAAAATTACTCAATAGACACAAAACTAGGAAGGTGTGATCATCCTCAAGAGAACAGACAATGCTCAGATGCCAGCCCCAACTGACACAGATGCCTACAGCAGCCGCGGTAACTGCTTTGCGAGTTGCACGCATACACAGCACACGCACACACACCTCAGAAAGGAGCATTAGATGAAATGAATAATAAACCTCACAGAGAGGTAGGAAAAAAAATAAACAAATGAGTATTTTTGAACTAAAAGAATAGAGTATCTGCAATTAAAATTGTACTGATGGACTCAATAGCAGAATGGAGACAAAGGAAAGCCAGCGAACGTGAAGACAGATAAATAGAAAATATCCACTCCGAAGAACGAAGATAAAGAGGAAAAACAAGAACAAGCATCACGGGCCAGCTGGGGTCGTATCGAAAGGCCCAGCACATACCTGGTTCCAGAAAGCAAGGAGGAGGTTGGGGCAGAAAGTTATTTGAAGGAATATTGGCTGAAACATCCCAAGTCTGGTGAAATACATAAATGTAAGCATTCAAGAAGCTCAGTGAACCCCAAAGAAGATAAACAGAAAGGAAAATAGACCCAGACATAGCATCATCAAATTGCTGAAAACTGAAGAAAACATCTGGAAAGCAGCTAGAGAAAAACAACACATTTCGTACACAAAAGCAGTGACTCCAGTGACTACAGAATTCTTGCCAGAAACCACGGCAGCCAGGAGACAGCAGAACGATGTCTTTAATGCATGAAAGGAAAGGTTTCTCCTTGCAAGGTGTTTGTTCATTTCTTCCAAGTTGTGGAATATATGGGCAGAAGATTGGACACCATCCCCCTCGACTCTTTTTTCCCATCTGTAGGGTCTGCGGTGATGTCCTTTTTAGCCTCCATGTTTGTAATGAGGGTCTCTTTGTTTTGGGGTCAGTCTGGCCAGCAGCTTATCAATTGTATTGATCTTTTCAAAGAATCAGCTTGGGTTTCATTTATTTTCTCTATTTTCTGTTTTTGTTTTTTGTTCAGCTGATTTCCACCCTGATCTTTATTACCTTCTACTTTCCGCATGCGTTTTGTAATTTATTTTTCCCTTACTAGTTTCTCCAGGTGAAAGCTCCTATCATAGTTGGCAAGGGTTTTCTGTAAAGGGCTAGAGAGTAAATATGTTTGGTTTTGTGAGCCACGTGGTGTCTGTTGCAACCACTCAACTGCTGTTGTAGCGTGAAAGCAGCAACAGAAAACACATAAAATACCAAGTTGTTCTCCAGCATAACTTTATTTTCAACAGCAAGAAGGGGCCAGACATGGCCGGTGGGCTGTAGCTTGCTGGCTCTTGGCTTAGAGTGATTTGTGATCTCTTCCTTTTTTATCGTTTCAGCAATTACTGCTGTAAAATCTATCCTAAACACCAGTCAATCTGCATCCCACAAATGTTGATATGTTGTTTTAATTTCCATTGAATTCAAAATAGTGTCTAATTACCTCTGCATTAACCCTGTGCTTCTGCGCTTTGACATCTGGGGTGACCCAGGAGGGGCTCCCCCTCCAAGGGCTTCCCAGCAAGATCACCCTTCATAAGCAAATCAAGGATTCCAGAGCCCACACCCCAACCGCTCCCCAACTGGGCCACACTCTGGGCCAACGTCCCCCTGCCCTAATCACCCCAGGGCCAGGAGCTACACCCAGACCAGCTGGCATTAATGCAACCAGCCAGTTCTCCACCTGTCCACCCCCTGGCCTGGTCCTTCCCACACCACGTTCCTCGCACCCTCTGCCTCCTGGCCTACCTGGTGCTTGCCCTGTGCCCCTTCACCGTGGTGATGCGGCCAGCTCTGTCCTCTTGGGACCCGTGACAAATCATCTTTTTGATGGTGGTTGTCTCCTGACCTGTGGGCCTCACCCTACCTGAATAACAATGAAAGTTACATTTTAAAAATACCAGGTCACCTCCTCTGTTGATATGTTGTTTTAATTAACAACTTCTAAACAACTCATGAGTTCTTTTGGTTTTTTTGAGATGGAGTCTTGCTCTGTCAGCCTGGCTGGAGTGCAGTGGCACAATCTCGGCTCACTGCAACCTCTGCCTCCTGGGTTCAAATGATTCTTGTGCCTCAGCCTCCCGAGTAGCTGGGATTACAGGTGTGGGCCACCATGACCAGCTAATTTTTGTATTTTTAGTAGAGACGGGATTTCACCATGTTGGTCAGGCTGGTCTCAAACTCCTAACCTCAAGTGATCTGCCTGCCTCAGCCTCCCAAAGTGCTGGGATTACAGGCGTGAGCCACGACGCCGGTCGCTCACGAGTTATTTAGAATTGAGTTGCTTAATGTTTCAGGATGTTCTGTATTGGGTTCTCCTTTCATTCTAATTCTGGGATAGTCAAGGAACACAAGTCTCAACAAATCTTGAGATTATTCTTACTTTGTTCTCTGCACGACTTGAGTCTTTTAAGATCTACTGAGACTTGTGCTGGGACCCAGCGCGGTCGGCCTTGGTCACTGCTCTGCGTGCCCTGGAGAAGCATGCACCGCTGCTGGGGTGCAGTGTCTGGCACGTGCCATGGTCCAGCTGGCCCCCGATGTTCTGTGGGGGCATTGCTCCCCAGCGTGTCCGGACAGGTTCTTGCTGAGCACCGGAACCCTGAACATCCAGGGAATGAGGCGTCAGACACAGTGGGGGAGCTCCAGCCAGCGAGCGCCTGCTCCCGCTCCGGGAAGCGCTCCTGGTCCATGGCATCACCGTCCTCAGGCGCAGTCAGGCCTGGGGATGTTTCCTGCCACCGGAAGTGCCCTGAAGGTGTCCTGGTGGCCGCCGTGTGAAGGGATGATGTGACTGTGCACCACAGTCCCCATTTCAGGAGCACGATTCACCCCGGGACGCGGTCCTGAGACCGTCCCACTCTTTAGGGGCTGTGGGGGATGGAGGAGGGGCTCATGAGAGTCACCCAGACCCACAGTTCACCCTGCATTTTCCCAGTGGTCCTGGGCAGGCCACACTCTCGGCCTCCAAGAACTCGCACCCCTCCCATGACAGAGGAGCCTGGGATCAGGGAGAGGGGATCGTGTGCTCGGGGGCACCAGCCCCATGAGAGGACCTGTGTGGGAGGTGTGTGGTCCTGGCACAGGGCCTGGAACTGCCAGGGCAAGGGAGGGGAAGGACACCCAGCACTACTCTGATGTGCAAACCCTAGAGCTGCCTCGTGGCCACCCCGGGAGGAGAAGGAGGGAGTGTGCAGGGCTGGAAGGGCTGACAGCGCTTTAGACACCGTAACTCCACATTTGTGTTTTTCATGCTTGGAGCTTCTGTAGGAAGATGGAGGTTGGCCAAAGTTTCAGTGACTAAAAGTGTGAAATTCATTTAAGTCCATCAAACTCAAACTTGTGCAGGCACCAGGCAGTCACCCTTGATGAAGGCAGCTGGCCAGGCATAAGGGACACAATCCGCAGAGCCAACGAGACCAGAAATGATGCTGGACCACAGAGCGCGTGGACAGTGAGGAGCGGTGAGGCCTGTGCAGAGGGCAGTAGCCAAGCCCAACACAGCTGAGTGCAGCCACGCACAGCCCAGCCACGCCACACCACGCCCAGTCACATCCAGCCCAACACAGCTGAGTGCAGCCATGCCCAGTCCAGCCACGCCACACCACACCCAGCCACACCCAGCCCAACATAGCCATGACCAACCACACCCAACCCAGCCCAGCCTAGCCACGCCCAGCCCAGCTCAGCCGTGTCCAGCCCAGCCACGCCCAACCCAACACAGCCACGCCCAGCCCTTGGAAGCCACACCCCACTCCCCACACCACACCTGAATACAGGCCTAGTGTTACCAGAACTTCTAATTTTCCAACAGAAATGTGCAATTGGGGTCATTATGTTCAGTTTCCCAGTTTTGAATATAGTTTCAACTATCTTGACCAGCTCTACTGAGGATTATTTGACACAATCAACTGCACATGTAAAAGTGATGATTTGGAAAGCTTCGACCTATGTGCACACCCACGAAACCCTTCCCATGGTCCACGGTGAACCTCGTCACCCACAGCATGTCCTCCTGCCTGTGTCCTCCCACCCCTGTCCCCAGGAACCACCGATGTCACTACAGACAACTGCATTTTGCAGAATTCCATATGAACGAAGTCACATGTATACACGCCTTCTTTCACGCAGCATAATTATTTTCACGTTTGATTTTGTCATGTGTTTCAAAATTCCACTCCTTTTTATTTCTGCGTTGTATGGATGCACCATGATTTGTTCATCCAATCACTTGTTGGTAGACATTTTGGTTTTTCCCCCAGGTTTTTGCTATCACAAATAAAACTGCTATGGACAGTCATGCATAAGTCCTTGTGTGAACGCGTTTTCATCCCTCTGGGAAGAATTCCTAGGAGTGGAACGGCTGAGTCTCTGGTAGGGGTGTGTCTAGCTTAAGAACCTGCAGGACAGTTTTACAGAGTGGCCGAACCATCTTCCATCCCCCCCAGCAGTGTACGGCAAACTTTCAACAGCACTGCACAGCCCTAAGACGCACATGCCTGTGGGTGCTGCCCAGCCGTGGCTGCCAGCTTGTCTCTGGTCCAGATCACTTCTTGTTCAACAGATGGGGAGGCCTAGGGAGACCACAGGCCATGCCAAAGGTCATGCAGCAGCTGTCAGCTGAGCAAGGCTGGCAGTGGCCCAGGCTGGTCATGCCCCCTCCATGCTGGCAACTGTCTCCACCAAGGCACACTCTGGTGGAAGCTGGAGGCAGGGGACACTACTCTAAGTGGAGTCATCTGAGAGATGCACCGACCACACCTCTTCTGTGTTTCTATCCCCGAGCTCCCAGGGGCCAGGACCACCTGCCCAGGGAGTGCTCATTGTGCCAAGAAGAACATGACCCAGCACAGGGTCACTGCAGGTCCCTAAGCAGAAGGGCTGGCCCGGGCAGGACCCCAAAGGCTCGGTAGCAAGGTGCTCCTCCCGAAAGCTGTGATTCCCGGAGTGATCCGGGCTCCGGGGTGGGACCTCCTGGTGCAGGGTCCTGAGCTTCGCCTATGCCAGGCTTTGGAAGCATCCTCTGAGGGCCCCTTCGGAAGGAGCATTGGGATGAATTAAACAGCAAGGCAGGGCTCGCCTAGTGCATGCTCTGCTGACAAATGCGGTCATTTTTCTCGATTCTGGGAAAGAAGGGATACGGACTTGTTTCGTCTTGCCATGTCTAGAACTCCTCTCGGAGTCTCCAGTTAGTAGGGAGAAGGGAGTGCCGTGGTCTCTGGGTCCTGCTGGCACGTGGAACCCAGTTCTGCAGGGTCTCACACCTGTCCTCTTCTTGTCACCCTCTCTGTCTTTCTCAGCAACTTTTCAGAAGCTTCAGAAGAAGGACGCCGGAGAATGCCCGCCCGGGACTCCGAGGTGCCCTGTGCTCATGGATTGGTCCTCCTGGCTCCATGAGTGTGAGTGAGTGTCTGCAGGTCCCTGGCACAAAAGCTGCAGTGCTGAGCAGGTGGCTAATGGCCCTGGCTGGGTGATTTTGGACAAGTCACCTTTGCCTCTCTGGCCTCCATTGTCCCTCTGTCAAACAGGCCCCACGACAGCAAGCGTTGGTTATTGTGTCTATGGTCAACATCCCACCTGCCTTTCTGGGCAGAGACGTTTGGGAGCAGTGGCTGTATCCCTGAGCACGTCGTAAGGGCACTTTCCTGCATGCCCTGGCTGGAGGGACCTGTTGCTGGGAAAACTCCCCAGAGTGTGAACCGGCGGCGGCTCCACCATCTGGGTGCCGTGGGCATGGTGCATGGCGGGAAGGAGGCCGGCACCACAGAAGGGTGGCAGCTGTCCCCGGAAGGCTCTCCCCTGAGGGCGCCCAGGGCTCCACCGCTAGCCAGCCATCTCCTTGCAGTAAGGCACGTTTCCTCCAGATCCTCTCGGAACTGCCGGGAGTGGCTGCCCCACCCGCCCAGCTCTCCCTGGGTCCTGCCAGGCAGGGAAGCGTGAACCGAGACGGGCTCGGGATGGCTCTCAGGCCCTCCCTGCTCTCAGCACCAAGGGAGGCACCCAGAGACTGATCTGTGGGGGCAACGGAGACTCCGGGTCCCCCCACCAGGATACGTCCCCTTTCTTTGCATCTGATGCTGACACACACATACGAGGAGCCCAGAGGCAGAAACGGGACTCAGAGCCTGACGCTGAGGCTGGTGTGTGGGGCTGCCTCTCCCAGTGCTGAGGCTGGCGTGTGGGGGCTTCCTCTCCCGACACTGAGGCTGGCGTGTGGGGCTGCTTCTCCCGACGCTGAGGCTGGCGTGTGGGGCTTCCTCTCCCGACGCTGAGGCTGGCGTGTGGGGCTTCCTCTCCCGACGCTGAGGCTGGTGTGTGGGGCGGCCTCTCCTGGTGCTGAGGCTGGCATGTGGGGCGGTCTCTCCCGACCTTGAGGCTGGCATGTGGGGCTTCCTCTCCCGACGCTGAGGCTGGCGTGTGGGGCTTCCTCTCCCAACCTTGAGGCTGGCATGTGGGGCTTCCTCTCCCGACGCTGAGGCTGGCATGTGGGGCGCCCTCTCCCGACCTTGAGGCTGGCATGTGGGGCTTCCTCTCCTGACCTTGAGGCTGGCATGTGGGGCTTCCTCTCCCGACGCTGAGGCTGGCGTGTGGGGCGGCCTCTCGGGAGCAGGCGGCCTCGGGGATCCTGGGGGTCAGCAGCCCCTCCACAGCTGCACCTCCCGGGACTGACCCTGCAGAACCCACCTCCCGCCAGCCCCTCCACAGCAGGACAGCACCCGCCTCCTTTTCCAAGGCCGCCTCGCCCAGTGGAGGCTGCAGCTCTACTGGGTGTGAGTCAGGAGGAAACGCTCGCAGCCAACACAGGCAGGACACGCCCACGTGACATCGGATCCCACGGGGAGGAGTCCACTGGGCAAATCTGAACAATGTGGGGGAAGATATTGATGAGATGTTAAACATAACCCATAGAAGAAGAATCTACAAGTCCGTACTGACGTAAATAAATAAACAGGCATTGGGGAGAGACAGCTTTTCCTTACCATAGAATTCCAACTCAGCCGCAGAATCCTGGTGGGAACCGTCATCAAAGTCAACGGGAGCAGACACCACCAAACCCCAGATCAAAGTCAGCATCGCCAGCAACGGGCACACGGACACCAGGAAACTCCATCAGCATTGCTTTTGCTGTATTCTTGACAAAATTGTACAGTTTAATTTTTTTTCTTTTTTCTTTCCTTTTTTTTTTTAGAGATGGGGTCTCACTGTGTTGCCCAGGCTAGAGTACAGTGGTGTGATCACAGCTCACTACAGCCTTCCGTGGCTGGGACTACAGGCACACACCACCACATCTGGCTTGTTTTTTTGTTGTTGTTCTTGTTTTACTGTTTACTTTGTAGAGATGGGGTGTAGCTATATTACCCAGTCTTGACTTCTGGCCTCAAGTGATCCTCCCACCTTGGCCTCCCAAAGTGTTGGGATTACAGATGTGAGCCACTGTGCCCAGCTGTATAAGTGGAATTTAATTATGAGGAAATCTACAGTGAATCCAAATTAAGGGATAGTCCACAAAATAACTGACAATATTCTTTAGAAGTGTCAATGTCATGAAAAAACAAAGACTGAGGATTCGTCCCAGATTGAGAGACTAAGGGGCCACGAGGACTAAACACAACATGGGACCCTGGACTAGGAAAGGGTGGTGAGTGGGACGGTCAGCAGGGGTGAGCGGGACGGTCAGCAGGGGTGAGTGGGATGGTCAGCAGGGCGTGCATGAGGGGTTTGCTGGGTGATCCTGTTGTATCAGTGGCCATTCTCTGATCATTGTACAATTGATCACTATCCTCAAAGCTAACTTTTTTTTTTTTTGAGACGGAGTTTCACTCTGCCACCCAGGCTGGAGTGCAGTGGCGCCATCTCAGCTCACTGCAGCCTCCGCCTCTTAGGTTCAAGTGATTCTCCTGTCTCAGCCTCCCAAGTAGCTGGGACTACAGGCACCTGCCACCACACTTGGGGAAATTTTTGTGTTTTTAATAGAAACGGGGTTTCACCATGTCGACCAGCCTGATCTCAAACTCCCGACCTCAGCTGATCCACCCACCTCGGTCTCCCAAAGTGCTGTGATGAGTGCCCGTGAGCCACCGCGCCCAGCCTCAAAGCTAACTTTTGGGGACGTTGGATGAAGAGTCCACAGGAACTTTTCTACTGTTTTTGCAACTTGTTAAAACCCTGTAATTACTTCAAAATGAAAAGTTAAAAAATGATCTTTTAAAAAAGAGTTAATACTTGCAGTATATAAAGGACTCTTGAAAATCAATGAGAAGATGAATGTCCTGTGGAGAGCACATGGGCCGCGATGCTCCGGGAAAGAATGGCACAGAGCACAAGAGAAACAGCTCACGGGCACCACTGATTAGAGAAATGCCAAGGCACTCAATGACGGCCAATGATGGCGTTTGAAAACATTAGACTGCAAACTAGTGTTTACACCGTAAGGGTGCTCTCGTGTTGCTGGGGAGAGGGGGACGAGCATAGCTCGCCTGCAGAGCAGTTTGGCAACTTATCAAAAGTCCAAGCTGTGACCTTTCTCTTTTTGACCCCTACGCTGGATGTCTCCACCCCAAAGCCCCCTCCCAGTTTGTACCTGGATACTGAACTGTAGGGACCCCCAGGACCTCTGGCTCTCAGCTGGTGCAGCCAAGGGGAGGCTGGGCAGGAGACCAGGTGGACGGCTCCCACCCAAAGGATGCCCCAGGTTGGGGGACAGGGCAGGACACCCCCTGATCTTGGAGGTAAAGTCATGTCTTACCCCAACCCCAAAGGTGCCCTACATGCCACCCATGGGGTGAGAGTAATATGGCAGCCACTGCCTGTCTCACTGATGTCCAGCCTGGACCATCTGAGGGGAGGGGAGGGAACTCAGGAAGCAGAGGTCGTGCTGCTCTCTGGATCCCCCCATCCTGTCTCCACCCCTGTGTCAGGGGGTTTCGGGTACCCTGGGGCCCTGACAGCCAATCCCACCAGGAGCAGGGCCATTTCCTGCCCATGAAACTCCTACTAGGACCTGTGGGACCCGAGGGTGACTAACAAAGCTGTCCCAGATAACACCACCATGGAAGGGGTTGGAGAGCAGGGCCGCCGCTTAGTCCAAAGGAACACAGACATCTGAAGGATGGATTCTAGGCTGTGTGGGCTCCGCGACCTGAAAGGCAGCGCATTGGATAGGCCTGATTCTGGTTCTGGTTAAAGGTGGAGAAGTCTCCCTGAGCCCAGGAGGCTGAGCGGATCACAGGGGCACCTTGAGAGGGAAGATCGATTTTTAGGGTATGGCCCAGCCTTCCCTCAGGGCTGAGCAGATCCACAGTTTTGAGAACACGGCTGAAAGGCGGGCACACACTCACACACGCATGCACACACACACCCCCATACATGCATGCACACACACACACATGCACGCACACACACCCATGCATGCACACACACACATGCACACACACCCATACATGCATGCACACACATGCATACACACACTCACACATGCACACACACGCATGCACACAACCCATACATGCATGCACACACCCATACATGCATGCACACACACACACCCATACACACACCCATACACACATGCGCACACACACCCATACACGCATGCACACCCACACACACCCATACATGCACGCACACACACACCCATACACGCATGCACACACTCACTGCCATGTGCACCATGAGGGCTCACTCTCCCCAGCCCCAGTGGGTGACCACATCCCCTGCCCCCTGAGCAGGATCCATGCCCCTTCCTCATGGCGAGGACCAGTGTCCTTTCTCCTTGGGGAGGATCACAACCCCATTCCCCTGGGGAGGATCACTCCCCTTCCCCCTGGGGAGCACCACCATCCCATCTGCTTTGAGCCCTGTGCGTCCAAAGCTCCTCCTCCCTGTGCAGGTGCCCATCACCCCTATTCCATCATTCCCATCCTCTCTGATGAAACCCAGACACCATTTCCACGTGCTCCTCCCAGGCACCTCCCACTAGAATGTGGGCCACCTGGGGGCAGTGGCCTCGTCTGTCTATTCTCTGAGCCCTCCTAGAGGCCAGGGCTGCCTATATCCTAGTGAGGAAACTGGGACACTAGGAGGCCAAGGTGAGTCCCAAGCACACAGTTGAGAGGGGTTGAGGGTGTCTGAACCCAGCCTCAGCAGACAGAGGGGCTGTGCTCCAGGCTGCCTGTGGACTGCTCACAGGGTGGAGTCTGCTGCCATGGGGTCCATGCCTGGCCCTGGGCAGGCATGGGGGCTGTCTGCACCAGCTGGGCTGCCCAGCTGCCAACTGGCCTGCGGACTCCACCAGAATGTGCCTCTCTGCCACCCAGCCCTGAAGTCAGCCCTCCCAGCTCACTCTCTGCAGGGCCACAGCGGGCAGACGGGGATGCCTGCATCTGAAGAGCACCTGGGGACGTGGTGGTCCCTGGCTCCAGAGGTGGGGGTGTTGCTGATCTTGGAGGGATCCTGAGGGCATCTCCTCAATAAGCCTGAGGCCAGGCCTGGGAGGCAGATAGAGACACTGTGGCCAGGGAAGAATGAAGTAACCCCCACACGCATTCCCAGCCTTTACTGCCATGGAAGAGCTCTGTTTAGAAACAAACACCACTCCTCCAACACAGCACCCACACACGCGTGCACACCCACACACACACAACCGTGAACACACACACACATGCACACCACTCTTCCAACACAACATACACACACACAACCGTGAACACACACACACACAGGCACACCACTCCTCCAACATGACACACACACGCACATGCAGACATGCACACATACACACACGTATGCAAATGCACACACACGTGCATATGCATGCGGGCAGACACACAAGCACACACGCACATATGTGGACACATGCACAAGCACTGTGCCCATGCTGGGTGCTGCTCCTCCTGGGGTGTGTCCCTCTCTGCCATGTGCATGGCCCCTGTGATGGAGCCGCTTCCACTGGGGCTCAGCTCTGGTGGGGGCCTGGGGCTGGTGCAGGTGCCTCTGTGGGCTTCCTCTGAGGGCCCCAGGATGCACCAAGGTCATAGCACAGAGCCCTCCTCATGTCCACCTGAGCCCCATCAAGACAGTGACGGTGGGGGCTGAAGTGGAGTTGGGCTCTCCCTGTAGCTCCCCCTCACCTCTCCCAGCGCTTCCCCCCAGCCCCCGTGTGGCCTCTCTGCCCAGCTTCCCAACATCCGCAGGGAGCTTCCCCAGCTTTTCTGAGTGGCAGGGCTGTGGGCTGCCCTCCTGCACCGGACCTTGCTTCAAATGCCGAATGCCACCAGTCCTGCAGAACCTAGATCCCAGCGGGGGCCTCGAGCACGTGCGCCTCGGGGTTCTGTGTGCAGTTGAGTTTGAGAAATGCCCTTGGAGGGTAAAGGATGGGACAGCAGGTCAGAAGGGGGTGGGGCGGCCTCTTCAGGGGTCTTCAGTATCTAAGGACAGCCACCTTCAGAGTGGTCACAGCCCAGAGCTCTGATGCACGCGGTGCAGGAAAGACAGCCACGTGGGTCTGGCTGCCAGTGTGCAATGCACTTGGGGACATGGGAACCCCAGCATGCAGGGGAAGAGGGGACGGGGTCCATGCCCCACACTTTGCTGACACCCCGGGCTGCTGCTCAGGGAACCAGAATGAGGGTCCTGCCCTGAGCTCCTGGGTGGGGAGACGTCACCCCTCCACATGCAGCCACCACACTCAGCCCCACAAGGGCCTGGGAGTGCCAGGCAGGGCACCCGCAGGATCAGGAGGCAGGGCCAGTGCGTGCAGGGAAAAGTGAGGGCATGCGGTCAGCAGGGGGTCAGCAGGTCCCTCCTCTCATTGGGGGACCCTCAGCAAGTCCCTGGGCCCCCAGGTCCTGGTTTCCACGGCTCTCCCCAAATCCATCAAGCAGAGGCGGCCACTCCGCCTACCTATGTCCTGCCTGCCCTTTGCCTGGCCTGAAGCCCGCCCTGCTCACTTCCTGTCTGGGTTGGCCTCTGCTGAATTATTCACCGGGCATTACTAGGGCAGGCCCTGCCGGAGGAGGCTGGGTGAGGCTCTCCTGGACCGCGTCCCATCCCTCCGCACTCCCTTAGTCATCTCTGGCTCCAGCTTGGAGATGGCTGCTAATGGAACCATGTGGCTGCCTCTCCCGTGGCTGCCACAGCCAGCCGGGACCCTCCCTCTCCCGCAGCCCCTCTCTCTGACTGGAGTCCTCATGCCCGCTGCCTGCTGGCTCTGGGGCCAGAGCTCCGTGGCACATGCGCTGTGTCCAGCAGTGCTTGGCACAGTGTTTGCAAACACAGACCCCAACCAGTCACCATGCTGATACCCAAACCCTGTCGTCAGTGGCATGAAACTGGGGGAGGTGGGGTGTGCTCCAAGACTCACCAGGCTCCAGCTGCTGACACTTTTGCTTTGCTTTCCCAAAAAGTGCTTCCCAGGGGCCAGCTTTGCTTTGGGCTTTGTGTGTACGTGTGTGTGTTTGTGCAAGTGGGTTTGCATTGGACCTGGAAGCGTGCATGCTTGTCTGCATGTGTTCACAGGCGTATGCATATGGGTGTGAGATGTGTACAAACACATTTCTGTTTGTGTATGCATGCGCTTGTGTGCACGTGTGTGTGCATCTGTGTACAACTGTGTCACATGTGCAGTACTTTACACCCAACACAGCTTCCACTGCCTTCTGACTCTTGTGCACGACCACACTCCCACATACCCACGTGTGCAGGCCCAGAAGATCAGGACTCGCAGTGCCGCAGGCCGGGGTCCGCCTCGTTGCTCCCAAACATGGTTTTTGGCTTGTCTTCGCTTGCCGCTTCCTGGCTTGTTCAGCCAGGGACCCTCTCCCCTGTATTAGGGTCCCCCCTAAATCTTTGATGCCAGTTCCTGTCGAGAGAAGGGCCCGTACATCCCCAGGTCTGTGCCAGCCCTGTCCTAACCCAGTTCCTGCTGGTAAAGCATAAGATGTCTCCCCCCGGACCTCCCCAGGCCAGGCCCTCAAACTTCAGCTGGCAGTGCACCGCCCCCCTTAAGTTCAGGCTGGCTTGGAAAAAAAGCGAGTAAAGGAGAAAGGCCGCCCACCCAGGGCATACCTCTGGGCTCCCAGCTCCAGGCCTCGGGGAAGACAGTGTGCCTGCCCCCTCGTGCCCTTGCCCTGCTGGGCAGACATTCGCTGTGGGTGCTGGGAAGCTTATGGGAGGAGCTGGCCTCTCCCCAGTGCGCCTCAGGTGGCAGGAGCTCACTGGTGGAAGTGCTGGGGAGGGGACTCCAGGCCGACTTGGAACACCCCGCTGAGGCTGAGGCTGAGCCTGTGAGGTCGGGACCACTGCACTCCCAGAGGGAGAGCTGCAGCTTCAGGGCCAGCTGCCTGAGCCCTCACCCCTACCATAGCCTCTGACCCTCTCCACCTCACACAGATACCTCTGGGCCTCCTGTCTGATCACCAAGGTTTTATTAAAAGAAACTTCATTTGGAAGCCCTGGGGAGCTGAGAGCTCTGCCGGGCGATCTTCCTCTGGCCTGTGAGTCAGGGTTTCCTTAAACAGAGCAGCTGAGAGGAAAGCCAGGTGGAGAGGAGACGCTGCAGCCTCTAGGCCTCCCCGGCACTGGGCCTCTCCTGGGAGGCAGCTCCAGGGGCTGCAGTGGAGGAACTTAGGGCCAGGGTGGGTCCTGTGTCTGATGCCTAGACAGAGGTCCGGGATCACCAGCCATAGCTGCTGCACAGGCCAGGGGTGGGCAGGTGCTGTGGTGGGGCTCAGCTCCTAGCCCTGTCCACGCCTCACCAGCCGCCCCAGGCACTCAATTATGTGGCAGATTTTCCTGATTTGGAGCCTTCTCCTGCCCTCAGATGGCCCCCGGCTACTGGCCATTTTCCCACAGGCTGAGTAATTCTCACGGGGATTTTATGGCTGGCATCGGCTGTCCACACATTTCTCTCCCCATTAGTGGTCAGAGGGACTCAAAGTCACAGGGACTCAGCCCCATCTGAACACGGGGCTTGTCCAGCACCCACCAAGATACCCCAGCAGAGGGCTGGGGTTTGAAGGGTTTGGCGAGTGTTGGAGCTGCCTGAGCCGGGGTCTGGAGACAGCCTGGTGGCCACACAGGTGTGGGCACTGCAGCAGGTTGTACTTCCCAGCTCCAGAGGGCCGGGCGCTGATCTCTAAGCAAGCTCACTCCAGTGACTGCCATGCTATAAACCCCACGACGCACTGGGGAGCTGAGAGTGTCCCATGAAAGGCCCCAGAAGATGGATTTGATTTGTTCATTCTTATTGGGAACCCTGATTCACAAACCCCGGCAGCTTTGAGGAAATTGGTTATTCATGCCCAGAATGAATCAGCAAAGCCTCCCCACGTCAGTCGCCGCCCGGGAAGCTGTCACCTCCATGGCCGCAGCACTCTCTGCCTTGGCAGGCAAGTGGCATAAAACACTGCCTTCAAAGTGATTCCCAGAACCAGGCCAGGCCAGCCCACTGCCTGCCTGGGATCCGTGCTTCCGGGAACAGGCACGGACCCCAGAATGGGACCAGCTGCAGGTCCAGAGAGCACACGGGCCCCCAGGAACACAGGAGCCCCTCAGCTGCTCTCCTTGGTGCTGAAAGAGCCTGGTGGCAGAGCTGCAGATACCTGCGGCAGAGACGGGGTCCCCACCCCGGCACCCCACAGGCCTCCTCAGTGCCTGCGCCCCCCACCCGAGGACATCTCTGGGTGTGAGTGTGTGGTGTGTGGGGCTGGCTAAGTGTTAGGACTTCACTCGCCCTGGAGAGACCCCCACCAAGAGGGGCAGGAGTTGGCACACTAATTCCCAGGGTTCTCAACACCCAGGGGGTCCCTCTGGATCTGAGCTCTGGTCCCCAAGTGGTCACCGGCTCCCTAACTTGCTCTCTGTCACCTTCCCTCCCCCGGGCCTTGTCTGCCTGTGCCCATGCTGCCCCGCAGCTGATGAACCCCAAAGCGGCCCACTCTGATCTTACACTCAGGAAACGTGGCTCGCTGGGCTGCAGCGTTCTAGGACATTCCGCTCTAGGAGGGGCTGGAGCAGAGCCCCGGGTGCTCCACATGCTCCTCTTTATCTCAGGGGCTTGTGCATCCAGCATATTCCAGTTATTCTTGAGAACTACAAGCAAGAAAGGAGGGAAGAGCCGGGCCTCCAGGGATCTGTTTTACAAGAGGGTCCTCAGGAAAATGACCCTCTTGCATGGCTCATGCAAGGAAAATGAAGCTGCGGTTGTTCAAAGTGGCCACCTGCCCCTCACTCACGCTACCCCTTCCCTGCCTCCCAGTCTCACCTCCCCACCACGCACCCTGCTTGCTGGAATCACCTCCCGCATAAACCCTGTGCCCCAAACCCTCTCCCAGGGTCTGCTTCTTTGGGGACCTTGAAGGAAGACACCAGCGTTCCCCACTTACAGCAGGCTTGGGGCCCAGACTCGGGATCAGCTTTGGAGATGATGTCACACCTGATTTTCTGTTGGGAGAATCCCTGCCTCTGCCCTCTGGCCTCACAGGTGTTGCTGGCTGCACCGGCCAGGGTCAACCCCAGCTGTCCTGTGTGAAAGTCTGGCTGAAGCAGATCTTTCCAGAGCACGTGTCCCCAGAACACTTGGCCCCACCAGATGCTCCAAGAGCCGTCTGGGCAGAGCCGTGCAGGCTGCCTCCCTGGCTGTCCTGAGGGCTGGGGTACGTGCTGCCTCCCTGGCTGTCCTGAGGGCTGGGGTACGTGCTGCCTCCCTGGCTGTCCTGAGGGCTGGGGTACGTGCTGCCTCCCTGGCTGTCCTGAGGGCTGAGGTGTGCACAGCCTGAGTGACCAGCTCGGGAGGCTGTGTGACTGGCACCAGGTGTCTCCAGGAAGAATTTACCAGAAACCCTTATTTACTTATTTTTTCTTTTTGTTTTTTTATAATTAGATACTGGGGCTAGACACGGTGGCTCATGCCTGTAATCCCAACACTTTGGGAGGCTGAGACAGGTAGATCTCCTGAGCCCAGGGGTTTGAGACCAGCCTAGGCGACATGGCAAAACCCACTCTCTACAAAAAATACAAAAATTAGCCAGGCATGGTGGTGTGTCTGTAGTACCAGCTACTTGGGAGGCTGAGGTGGGAGGATCACTTGAGCCCAGGAGGTGGAGGTTGCAGTGAGCCGAGATCACACCACTGCACTACAGCTTGGGCAACACAGTGAGACCCCATCTCAAAAAAAATTAGATACTGTGTCTCGCTATGTTGCCCAGGCTGGTCTCTAACTCCTGGGCTCAAGCAATCCTCCTGTGTTGGCCTCTCAAAGTGCTGGGATCACAGGCGTGAGCCACTGCACCCAGCCAGGAACCCTTATTTTTGCTAATGCCTGTGAGCTCGTGGCCCGAAACCTGTGCCCCTGAGGCCCCTGGTGTGAAGAGCTTCCTAGCAGCTCTGAGCTCACCTACGAGGCGATCAGATTTGCTCTCAGCAGCTGATCCCACCGTGCATCTAAGCAGCGTGAAGTTACCAAAGTCAGTTTCCACACTCCGTCCCAGGAACACAGACGTGACATCCTGGAAGCACAGGGGATTCAAGGTGTCCTCACTCGTAGTTCCAGAGCCCACAGCAACACAGGACATGCAGGCTGCAACTGTGAATTGTGTGTGAATTGCTTTCCTGAAAGAGGCCCTTCTGCAAAGCTGCCAGACCCGGGGGTGGGTCGGACCCGGGGCCCTGCGAGGCTCGGCCACCTCTCTGCCTGGGTCTGAGCTTGACCAGGCGGGTGTCAGTGGAACGTGCCTTTGCAGAGCGGCGCTCCAGGGCTCAGTGCACCACACTGGCTCTGCCGTCCCTATTCCATAGAGGAGAAAAATGAGGTCCCGAGAGGAGCAGCAGCTTGCCAGGGTCACATGCTGGAAATGAAGCCAGGCCTAGCCCCGTCCCCCCGCGCGTGTCCGGCTGAGCTTCCTGAGGAGCAGTGGCCACATCCACACTGCACCAAACCCTCCTGCAGCCGGTTCTCACCGGAGAGACAGTCCCCATGTCAGGGCGGGTGAGCAGCCACCCGCAGAGTGTGTGTGTGTGTGTGCACGCGTGGGGGATGTGTGTGTGTGTCATGTGAGGGACGTGTGTGGGTGTGTGTGTCACGTGAGGGATGTGTGTGTGTCATATAAAGTGTGTGTCACGTGAGGGATGTGTGTGTGTGTTATGTGAGGGATGTGTGTGTGTCATATAACGTGTGTGTGTGTTATGTGAGGGGTGTGTGTGTGTTATGTGAGGGATGTGTGTGTCACATGAGGGATGTGTATGTGTCACGTGAGGGATGTGTGTGTCACGTGAGGGGTGTGTGTGTCATATAACGTGTGTGTGTCACGTGAGGGGTGTGTGTGTCATATAACGTGTGTGTGTGTTATGTGAGGGATGTGTGTGTGTCACGTGAGGGATGTGTGTGTGTGTCATGAGGGACATGTGTGGGTGTGGGTGTGTCACATGAGGGATGTGTGTGTGTGTCATGTGAGGGATGTGTGTGTGTCACATAAGGGATGTGTGTGGGTGTGTGTGTCACATGAGGGATGTGTGTGGGTGTGTGTGGGTGCATGAAGGATGTCATCCCTGTTCCGTGGCCCAGACATGCCTCACCTCACGCAGCCCTGTGCTCCGGGAAGGTGGGTCTGGTCCCGTGGCCCTAGCTGGCACTCCTCTGTCCCCTCCCATCTTGGGGTTTAATCGCCTCCAACTGTCCAGGTCCAGCTGAGGAGCCGCCTCTCCCAGGGCCATTCCTGATCCCCAGGGACCACTCCCCTCTGACCTCCCTGAGCACACATCTTTGTTGGAGGCATTTGTCACCCTGTCATCTGGAGACAGTGACTTCCTCTCATGAGAAGGGGAGCTCCTCGAGGGCAAGGCCTCTCTGTCCATGCGCCCCGGGAGCTGTCTCACGCTGGACCCAGCACGCGGTGGGGGCTTGGTAAGAATGGACTGACCCGGGTCTCTGAATGAGTGAAATTTAAATGTCTGCCTTGTGAGTTGGGTTTTGAGTGTGGGGCTCCGGTTCACATCCCTGTTGGGTTAGCCCAGGGCAAAGCGAGGGTCACCCCCCAGGATCAGCTCCACGCTTGCCCTGAACACAAGAGCCACTGGTGTTCGGGAGAACACACTGTACCCCAGAGGGCACCCAAGTCCCAGGCAGCCAGCAGTTCTGGGGACAGCCTGGAAGGAATTCCCCTGCTCAAAGCTCCTTTCCATCATTTGGGCCTCATTTTACATGTTCCTTCCTCCAGGAAGTCCTCCCTGACCACCCACCAAACCAGGTAAGCAGCAAGTTACTTCTCCCCTCAAACTCAAAGCTGTCTCCGGCTTTCCAAGCCCCAGTTTCCTTGGGTCCCTCATGGCCAAGAAGCACAACATGAGATGTTCCCCATCGTGCCCCAACACTCGTGTGGACAGTCCAGGGTTGAGCTGACCTCTGCTGAACTGTGCGCGCTGGGGCAGGTGCTGCGCCTGAGCTGTGCGTGCCGGGGCAGGTGCTGGGTCTCCCGAAGCCTTGGGTTCCTGCCGTGTCTGAAGCTCACGATGCTGGGTCTTGGGCTTCCTTGCCAAATTGGACAGAAAATCTGTCCTAATTATTGGGAATAATAAGGCCCTTGGAATCTCTTTGCTGTGGAACTTGAAAGACCATCCCCCCCCACCCCCGCACCCATTGCCACGAGGGTGATGGTCACTTTATGTGTCCACTCGGCTGCACCACGGTGCCCAGCTGTTGGCCACACACCTGCCTCGGTGCTGCTGTGCAGGTGTTTTCTGGCAGGATGAACACTTAGCTCAGCAGGTTTTGAGGTAGGAAAGTGACGCTCCACCATGGGGGTGGGCCTCGTCCCAGCAGCTGAGGCCTTGAGAGCAAAGACCGAGGTTTCTGGAAGAAAACGGGATTCTCCTCCACAAGATGGCAATGTGGAAGCCGTGCTGAGTTCCCAGCCTGCCGCCCTGCGGAATTTGGACTCAGATGGCAGCATCAGCTTCCCTGGACTTCCAGCCAGCTGGCCTGCCCTGCAATTGCCAGTCCCCACAATCATGTGAGCCAATTCATTAAAACCAATCTCTCTTATTCTTGATAGATAGAAAGAAAGAGAGAGAGAGAGAGAAAGAAGAAAGAAAGAAAGAGAGGAAGGAAGGAAAAGAAAGATAGAAAGAAAGAGAAGGAAAGAGAGAGAGGAAAGAAAGAAAGAAGAAAGAAAGAAAGAAAGAAAGAAAGAAAGAAAGAAAGAAAGAAAGAAAGAAAGAAAGAAAGAAAGAAGATGGATAGCTAGCTAGCTAGCTGGATAGATGGATGGATGGATAGATAGATGAATAGATGGATAGATAGATGGACAGATACATAGATGGATGGATGGATGGATAGATGAATAGATGGATGGATGGATGGATAGACAGATGGATAGATGGATAGATACATAGATGGATGGATGGATACATAGAATCAATAGATTGATTCATAAAGACAGAGAGAGGTGGACATGGATCCTACTGGTTCTGTTTCTCTGGGGAGCCCTGACTGACGTGGCTGGTCCCCCACACTGACAAGTAGACTGGCTGTTCGGTCAGGATTGGATGTGGCAGGGTTTGGTGCAATGTGGATGTGGCTGGCTCCTTAGGAAGCTCAGCCAGACATGCACAGGGGGGTGGGGCTGGGCCTGGCACCATTTCCAGTATGTGACCCAGGCAAATTCCTTCTCTCAAACTCAAAGCCATCTCTGGCTTCCCAAGCCCCAGTTTCCGTGGGTCCCTCATGGCTGAGAAACACAACATGAATTCAGAGGGAAGAGAAGAGCTGAGAACTGGCTCAGAGGCAGAGGCCACCCCCCAGCCTCTCGTGTTCCACCCTGTCCTCAGCGATGGGGACACAGAGGCCAGAGAGGCCCCTGCCTTCTTCAAGGTCATGGCTTGGAACAATGAGCAGTTCCAAAATTCACATATGTCCTTCTCCAGGCTCCCCAGCTGCCCTTCAGAGTGCTGGATTTCTCCACCTTTCCACCGTCTTCACCGCCTTCCACTGCCTTTCCACTGCCTTTCACCCCACAGTCTCTCCCGTCGGGGCTCCTTCCTCTCCGTCCCTCCGAGGGTCCGCTGCCCTTCCGCGGGATGGGATGGATCCTTCCAGCCCGGGGGCGGCAAAAGGTGCAGGTGGGGGCGGGGCGCGGGGGCGGGGCGGGGGCTACAATTTGTTAGGCTCCATGTGACTGTGTGCTGAGCTCCTCTAAGAGGCCTGGGGGCTGGGCAGTGACTGGCGTGTGCCCCGGAGTGCGGGGGCAGGGGGCTTGCCTCTCACTCCACGCCCAAGTTCCTGGGTGAATGCGTTCTGGGCAGCCTGGGTTTGTGGGTCTGAATCACAGAACTTCAGATCACACCTAGGCTGGAGGCCAACCCCGGCTGCAGACTCGGGGGAACGTCCTGAGCGCTTTCTTTTTAAACAGCTTTGACATGTGCAGCAAATAAGAGTTGAGTGAGGGATCCGCAGTGCCCTTGTGACGTCCTCCTGGAGAAGGGGCATTCACCACCCTCGCGGGCTGGGTTCCTGGCCACGCCTGCCCACCTGCCGGCCCGCCTGGGGCAGCTCTGGCAAACCCGGGGTGACCTGGGGGGGCGTGGAGGAGTGGCCCGATTTCTCCCGACCTGGGATCTGTACCTCCTCGCCTGAGACTTTCTTTCCAAAATTTCTAAATAAGAGCAGCCCTCACAGCTAGTTTCACATTCCCACCATCAAGAAAAGTGTGGAATAAAACTAAACCTACTGACTCCTCCTGTCCCCACCCCCAAATAGCCTCATTCAGCAGTTTCTCCGAAGCCTTCAGAGCAGTTTTCATTCAAACTTGCATGTAATTGTTGCTGCTTTAAAGAGAATCGCCCACAGCACGTAACACACAGCCTCTGGGTGCACGCAGGCCCAGGGGACGCTCGCAGGCCCGGCATGGGGTGGGGGGCATGCAAGCCCGGGGGGTGCCCGCAGGCCGGGTGCGGGGGGGCGGTGGCGCACGCAGGCTCAGGGGACGCACACAGGCTGGGTGGTGGTGGTGGGGGGTGATGCACGCAGGCCCGGTGTGAGGTGGGGGGACCTGGCGTGGGGTGGGGGAGTACGCAAGCCCAGGGGGTGCGCGCAGGCTGGGGGGGTGCATGCAGTCCCAGCGTGGGGTGGGGGGCATGCAAGCCTGGAGGGTGCATGCAGGTCCAGCATGAGGTGGGGAGCATGCAAGCCTGGGGGGGTGCGCGCAGGCTGGGGGGGTGCATGCAGTCCCAGCATGGGGTGGGGGGCATGCAACCCCAAGGGGTTGCACGCAGACCCTCCGCAAGCGCTGCAGCTACTGCTGTCCCTGGTGTGGCTGTGCCAAGATTTACTCACCGGGTCCCCACTGTCATTGCGGACACCAGCCGAGGGAGCCTCCTCAGCCCAGGAGCTCCCTCCTAGGGATGCGTCCAGGCAGGGAGGGCATGCCCGTGAGGGGGAGGCAGCTGGGCCTGGGCATCCACAGGCCTCAGGGTCAGGGGTTGAGGAGGGACTAGGCTTCCCTGTCAGCCCCGTGCAGAGCTCCCCAGGTTGACTGGCCCATCTCTCCCTCCTGCAGGGAGCTGAGCGCCATCCTCCCTCCCCTGTGGACAGCCCGCGAGGGCGCCTTTCCCGCCCATGTTCTAGAGGTCACCTGCACAGCAGGGGTGCCGGGGCCCAGCCAGGCGCCAGGCTGCAGGGGTGCCACCCTCAACCCTGGTGGTACCACCCCTGCTCTCACCCCTGCTACCATGCCTTGCCCATTCCTGGAGGGCCTCCCCGCTCCCAGATCCCACCCGTCACTGGGATCCCCAGATGGCTCTCTTTGTCCTGAGCCCTCCCACCTCCCTGCTCCACAGCAAATTTGCCTGTTATATTCCCACCCCCACAAGGTGTGGAACCTCAAGGGCAGGTGCTGCCTCAGGGGCGCAGAGCCATGCTGCCCACCGCCCCATGGTGCCCACACAGCGTGAGTGAGGCACAGGGTTGCTGGGCAGGGGCTCTGCTGGTACTGGGATGAGCTGATGCTGCCCCAAGGCCCCTCCCACTGTGGCAGGACTGGCATGGAACTGGATCTGTGCAGAAGCCCCCCATGGGGGTGGGCCTGGCAGAAGCAGCCCCCTCCCCATGTTGACAGCATTAGCCTGAGGCTTAATTTCGTGGAAATCTCTGCCAAGGGCTGAGGTTAAAAGTGTCCTCCAGGGACAAGCCTCTCCTCTCTAAATGAGCCCAAGTCCTCCATGGTCCCTCCTTTCCCCAGCAAACCTCACTCATGGGACAAAGGCTGGCAGGGCCCACACCACTGCAGGGTCTTGCCGAGATTCCCGGGAGATGCGCTCAGGGGCGAGAGGCCCAGTTCTTGGAAGCTGCCAAAATGGAATAAAAGCAGCTCCAAAGACTTTTGTTCTCCAGCTCAGCTCGGGGCCAAGTCACGCCACCCAGGAGAGCCCCTGAAGGTCGAGGACATGAGGGTGTGCAGTAAGCCGGGGGCTCCGAGGGTGTCCCAGCGTGTGTGCAAGGGGGACAGGGCCCTGCAGATGTCCCAGAGAGGGACTGAGGCCATGTGCTCAGGGGCCTCCCAATAAATACCCGGGAGTCGCTGAGACAGAGACAGAGACAGAGACAGAGACAGAGGGAGACAGGGACAGAGGGAGAGGGAGACAGAGACAGAGACAGAGAGAGACAGATACAGAGGGAGAGGGAGACAGAGACAGACAGAGACAGAGGGAGAGGGAGACAGAGACAGAGACAGAGGGACGGAGACAGAGACAGACAGAGACAGAGAGACAGAGACAGACAGAGACAGAGAGACAGAGACAGAGGGAGACAGGACAGAGACAGAGAGAGAGACAGAGGGAGAGGGAGATGGAGACAGGGACAGAGGGAGAGGGAGACAGGGACAGAGGGAGAGGGAGACAGAGACAGAGACAGAGAGAGACAGAGACAGAGACAGAGGGAGAGGGAGACAGAGACAGAGGGAGAGGGAGACAGAGACAGACAGAGACAGAGGGATGGAGACAGAGACAGACAGAGACAGAGAGACAGAGACAGACGGAGACAGAGAGACAGAGACAGAGGGAGACAGGACAGAGACAGAGAGAGAGAGACAGAGGGAGAGGGAGATGGAGACAGGGACAGAGGGAGAGGGAGACAGAGACAGAGAGAGACAGAGACAGAGGGAAAGGGAGACAGAGACAGAGACAGAAGGAGAGGGAGACAGAGACAGAGGGAGACAGAGAGAGAGACAGAGGGAGAGGGAGATAGAGGGAGACAGGGACAGAGAGACAGAGACAGAGGGAGACAGGGACAGAAAGAGACAGAGACAGAGAGAGACAGAGGGAGAGGGAGACAGAGACAGAGGGAGACAGCAATAGAGGGAGAGGGAGACAGAGAGAGACAGAGGGAGAGGGAGACAGAGACAGACGGAGACAGAGAGACAGAGACAGAGGGAGGCAGGGACAGAGGGAGAGAGAGATAGACAGAGATAGACAGAGAGACAGGGACAGAGGCACAGGGAGACAGAGACAAGGAGACAGAAGGAGACAGAGACAGGGAGAGACAGAGACAGGGAAACAGAGACAGAGGGAAGCAGAGACAGCGACAGGAAGAGAAAGGAAGGGAAGGGAGCAGAGCTGGGGGGTCAGAGGTCTGGGCTGGTGAGGGCACTTAGAGGCCCATGTCCAGCCTCTCCGGCTGTCAGGTGGAGGCTGGCTGCCTGGTGGCTGTGTGCTGGTTCTGGAATCTTCTGCCTGAGTTTGAAGCCCAGCTTAGCCATTTCATGGCTACGTGACCTCAGAAGTCACGAAAGTTGCCGTAGCCTCAATATCCTACTCTGTACAATGGGCTAATAACAGTGACCTGCATGGAAGGGTCCCCGTGGAGGTGGAGTCTCACACATGTGGGGGGCTCTGGGCCACACGGCCGTGACGCCTGCCACTCCCCTGGGACCTCTTCTGCTGGGCTGTCACGGTGCGCTCCGAAAGACACCCCCTGCAGACCTTCACTTGTGCAGCAAGCTCATGGCCCGCCCCAGCAGGAGGCGGGGCTGCAGGTCAGGCTGTGGAGTGGCGGTCTTGCCTGAGCTGCCTGAACCCGCCTCGTGGACCTGCCCCGCTCTCCTGTCCCCCGGGGAGGCCCTTGGTGCTAATGGGCACCAGACACCAGAGGAGGTGCTAGAGAGACTTTTCAGGGCAGGTTGGGTGGAGATTCTTCCGGGTTTCTCAGAAAAAATTAATTCTCCCAAGCTCCACTGTGCGGTCTGCAGCTGGAGACCCGCTGACACCCCCCGTGGACGACTGCAGCCAGCGGGTGCAGTGCCAGGCTTCCTAGGGGTGCTGAATCCGCCTGGCTCAATGCAGCCCTCAGGCTGTGGAGTTGGGGCCGGGAGCGATGCTTGGGAACGCAGCAGTGTCTAGAATTTATTCCAGCACTTTCCAAGGAAAGAAATTAAGCAAAACCCTTAGGGGGCAATAATAATAACAGCTACTCTGGGTGCCTGCTTTTGCCAAGTGCTGTGTGCCTGCCCGTCCCAGCTCCCCTGCAAGGTGACGGGGCTGCCGCATCCATTCTGCAGATGACAAAACCAAGGCAGAGCCCAGGGCACAGAACAGCTCGGGGCCTGTCACCAGGAGAAGAGGACCAGCCTGAGCCGTGGCCCCTTTCCTGGGCTGCCACTGCTAGCGGCCCAGAGCTGTCCTGTGCTCTGTCACCGCGGGGACACCTCTGCACAAGGTCTATAGCCGCTTCTCTGCTCAGGTAGACGCCTGGCTGGGCCCAGCCCTCGTACTCCCTCCTCCACACACAGCAGGTGGGGGCGGGGCCTGCATCAGGTGCCACCGGGTGCTCAGGGCCTGCAGGGCGGAGGCACCTTCTTTGGCGAGTTGCACGTCACCCCAGTCCCCAGGGACCGGGCACCAGCCCCAGCCCTGCTGCCCTCCAGCTGCCCTTGGGCGAGTTGCTGTCCCTTGCTCCCCGAAGGCAGGACAATGCCACCTCCCGGGAGGACGTGTGTGAGCAGCAGTGACGTAGCCACAGGGCAATCATTAGCATATTGTTGTTAATTATTAACATATCAATACAATTAATATGATGCGGCATTAATAATTCATGTGTCGGAGCTCTAGTCTGTGGAGGGCATATTAGAAGCTTGGCAGCTCCATTTTCAGACCAGGGAGTTCCCGAATAGACCAAGTCTCTATGTTAACACCCTCATTCCAAATTGCACCCGGGACCATTAGCAAGTCAACATTTTAATGAACTTGCCGAGGCGCATGACTTAATTGCCCTCATCTTCTAGCTCCAGGTTCTTCAGATGTAGCTGATTCTGTCCTCGTGTGGCCAGAGACTCAATTCCTATGGACTCAGAAGCACGGAGGCGAGAGCCTTCCTGACCCCCAGCCGGGGTCTAGGGTCTCCTGGAAGCTTGCCATGCTGGGGTGCACCCACAGGATCGTCCCTGTACTTTGATCCAGCCCAGGGCTCACTGAGGGTCTGGGAGTCAGCTGGGGCTGGGAGTGAGCTGCAGCTGCTGGGAGCTGTCCACAAGCGGGGTCCTGGAAGGACCTCACAGCCACTGCGCTCTCGCCACTCTGCTTAATAAAAATGGTGTGTGCACTCTGCCTGGTGTGGGCCATGCTTCCTGGGCAGGTTTCCCATGGGTGCAGAAGGTAAATGTTGTGCCCAGGATCCCACATAAACCTGTACCCAGGCCTGAGAAAGATCGGCTGCCTTCCCAGACTGAGCTGTCATTGGGGGTCCTGTCCAGTCTCTTCCCAAACCAAGAGCTCCTTGCACAGGGTGAGAAGGACTTTCCTCTAGGGAACGGCGAGGAAGGAGAGGCAGCTATGGTGTTCGAAGCATCAGGGAGGCTGACGGTGGCCCCAGGCAGGCGGGACCCAGGCACACTCAGGAGGCCTCGGCCACACATCCAGGAGCGGGAGATCAGCACTCTCCCAGCATCTCAAGGGCACGGCCTCCTCCGGCACCCCCTGCCTCAGACTCCCCGCCCCACAACTACCCAGGCCAGGCTGGGAGAAGGAGCAGAGGTGGGGACTAGGGGCCTGCAGCCAGCCTCTGCCCAGGCCGCTTGTGCGGGTGGCGAATGTTGATGTCTTTCAACTGCATGGCCCCACCTGACCCTCCCATGAGGAGGTGAGAGCAGGCTTGAGACATTGGTGGCTTCTCCAAGGCCCCACACCAGGACTTTGCTGAAGGGCTTCGGACCTGAGCCCCGCCACCTGTGGCCTCCAGCTAAGGGTGTGGTGAGGGCTCACAGCGCTGTCCTGGACTCAGTTTTATTTGGTGTGAGCCATGACAGGGCCATCCCACACTTAGACTGGGTTCCGTGAAGGGGAGTGATCTGATGTGGCGCCCTGGCCCGCCCCTCGCGGAGCTCACCTCCCTGCAGCTAATGGAGTGGGTGCAGGGGCGGCGGGCTGCAGCCCCCACAGCATGAGCTCATCCAACTGGGCTGATTCACAACAGAGAGTGCCTGCTCTCCCAGGCTGACAGCGGCGTCTAACAAATGAGAAAATAAGACACTTCCTAGGGGCCATTTCCTCCCACTCTTGGTTCCGGGAATGAAAAGAACTCTCCGAGGGGCTGCGGGGCTTTGCTGCTACTGCTTTGCTGTCTGTCCTCAAGTCAGCTTTGCTCTCCTGAAAGACCCTACACATCCACAACCGCCCCGGGCCCGGTCAGGAGGTCCCTGTGTGCACAA
Source organism: Homo sapiens (assembly GCF_000001405.40). Lineage (NCBI taxonomy): Eukaryota > Metazoa > Chordata > Mammalia > Primates > Hominidae > Homo > Homo sapiens. The sequence goes on along the minus strand of NC_000020.11, from coordinate 62,575,831 downwards.
GCCAGTGTGCGTGCAAGAGAGACTGTGAGAGAAGACCCAACACCTGAAACTGCAATTTGGCTCGTTCTGAAGGAGCCTTTGGCCGTGGATGTGATGGATTTATGGGTGACAGGCGCACTTTGCAAAAAAGAAGCGATGAGCAGATGTGCATGCATTATCCACAGAGTGCCACGTGCAGCCTCACGTCCAAAAGATGCAGATGATTTACTCACTGCTGCGTCCACCTGCTGGTGTGAAAAATATGGAAACGCTCCACCCAGAAATTCCCGTGTGGGACTGGGTCTCCCCACCCTGCCCCACCAGGTTCTTTTCCGGTGGGGAGAGCTGAGGAATGGGGTTCCCATAGCAGGAAAAGCCTTGTGATTTGTCAGTGAAACATTTTTATGAAATCACATTCGCCATTTGCTTTTCTCTCAGGTTTTGAGTTGGAGCTCCCTTTGTCTCCCTCATTGCCCCTGGCCATCTCCCGAGAAGCTTATTGACGAAGCTTCACTTAGGTACGGAGGCCCTGGAGGGGCCCTCCTCATGCCCCTGCCCACCTTCCTTGGAAAGCACCCCAGGTAGTCAGGCACCTGCCCCGAGTCACAGGAGGCACCCCCCAGCCCCCCACCTGGGTTCAGTCTCCACTGAACGCAGCATTTCTCCCAGGGGTCTCTTTCACTGTGTCCACAATGCAATCCTGGAAAATGTACAAAATTGACTGTGTACATTGACACACAGATGGTCACCCAGCGTGTCTTCTCCTCCAATGAGGAAACGTGTATTACAGCTGCTATAAAGATACACCCTCTATAGGAAAGTGGCCCCAAACGTCCCAGTCTGCAGTCCACAGCGCCATACCTGCCTCACGTGCCTGTCCCCCGGGCAGCTTGGGCAGTGCCAGCCTTGCCTCTGCGCTGTTCACAGAGCCTGCTTTCTGTCGCTGGCGTTGGCACTCACGTCTTTCTGTTTTCACTCTTAGAAATAAAGTAAGGTCAGAGCACAGGAAAGCAGCTCACCACCCACCCACCACTGTATCGAGACGGCGGGGCTGCGGGAGTCGGCCCACCAGGTGGGAGGGCAGTGCACGGTGGGTGACAGACGCTCACGCGGGGCCTGGCATCAGCACACTGTGGAGGCAACGGTGCAGGGTGGCCTCACTCTGCCTGCCCAGCGTCCCTCCTCCTTTCATTATCAGGTCCCTGGTTTCAATCCGGGGAGCCTGGGTAGTTCTAGGGGATGGCTTTCTCCCACCCCAAGTGGTCAAGTGACCCAAGCCTGGCCAGCGAGTGCCCATCTTGGGACCTTTGCTGGGTTTCTTGAAATGAATCTCTCTCGTGCTTGCTCTTTTGGTGTCTTTTTCCCTCTGTCTCTCTCTTTCTCTTTGTCTCTTTCCCTCCTCTCTGTCTCTTTCTCTCACTCTGTCTCTTTCTGTCTGTGCGTCTCTCACTCTCTGTCTCTTTCTCTCTGTCTCTCTCTGCATCTTTCTCTCCCCCTCCACCTCTCTCTCTCTCTCTCCCTCTCTCCTCCCTCTCTGTCCCACCGATTAGATATATAAGCCTGAAATCTCAGTGTCCATTTTGCTCCGCCTGCAGACAGCCTGCCAGGAGTGAAGCTAGCCCCAAGGAAAGTGGAGCTGAGCTATGGAGAAAGATTTCTGATGACATGGTTTGGGTTCTGGATCCAGCCCTATTTTCAGACCTCTTGGCCACATAAGCAAGTTGATTCATCTTCTGAGTTGAGTTTCTATCCCCAGCCAACCCAGCATGGCAGGAGTGACAGCAACCAGCCCCATGTGGCTCCTGCAGCCCTGCCTCTGCCCTCTGCACCCTGTGGAGGCTGAGACTCTCGAATGCCCATCAGCAGGCCAATGGTGTCGTCATAGAATGGAGCCCTTCTCAGCAAAGAAAAGGAACAAAACCTATGGAAACACACAACAGCGCAGAAGAGTCTTAAAATGATGTTGAAAGAGGCCAGGCACACAGCCCACACACTGCATGATTCCATTTAGAAAGTTCCAGCTGAAACAGATCTGATCCATGCTGGCTAGTCCATGATTGCTGGGACAGAGGAAGGGGATGACTGCCAAGGTATATGAGGGAAGTTTTTGAACTGATGGAATCTTCCAGATCTTGGTTGTGATGGTGGTTGCATGAGTGTAAAACTCAACATTTGTTAAAACTCTACAAACTTCACACTTAAAATCTGTGCATTTTTTTTGTATGTAAATTATATGACAACCAAGCTGACCCTGAGAGAGCACGCAGGACGTGGGGTCCACCCGATGAGACACACCTGGCCAGAGACAGGACGATCTGAGCTGCAAAGATGATAATAATTGCAGTGGACTGAGACCTACCAAACACGTTTCGGTTCATGAATCCATAATGATACATATTTCTTTTAAATTCAAAGGCAGTCACCATTTATTAACTTACCAGATTACAAAAATAATGATGTAGACCTGAGTTCATTCTGCTAGAAAGCCTGCTGGTCTGGTCTTCCTGGCTGCCAGCACCCCTACCTTCTACAAAACGAGTGGGCTTTTTCTTCATTTCACCTGGTGGAGAAGAGAACTTCAGCCCACAGGAGGTAGTCTGCTTCTTTGAAGTGTTTTCCAGCAGCGTAGATCTCATGCATCAGACCCTCCACGCAGACGATGCCGTATTGACCAGGAACTCCAGCAGTGGAAGAGCGCTCTCCAAGGTGGCCCGCTTCCTGTTGGTGTTGCCGGAGCCGTGCCTGGAGACCTGCTCCTCTACCGACTTCGTGTTCAGGCCCCCGACACAGTGCGGTGTCTGCTTCCACGTCCTGAAGGCACGTTCACTGAAGCCTTGCTGAGATGGACAGATGTGCCCCTGAAGACACAGTAAAGGTGAACAAGCTGCAAGCCCACACCGGGGACCCCCTGCTGCCAATGGCCAGGCCAGTCTGGGCTCCCAGGTGCGTACGACGAAGTGCCTCTGTCCCAGTGCCACAGTGACTCGGATCCCAGCTCTGGGCTCTGTATTCCTTGCGGTGGTGCAAAGCTTTCTCATAACTCAGCTTCCCCCTTGGCTTTCAAAGCATCTTTTTAAAAACTCCTGTCTCAGGCACCTGATCTTTAGTTCTGTGAAATCCTTCACTGCTCCATAAGGGGCTTCTGGTGCAGCAGGAACCTTCTCTTCCCTTCGATGCCGTCCACAGTTCCTGCTGGAAAGGGGCCTGCGCGCACAGTGGTATCGAGCAAGCCAATCCTCAGGAGGGCTTCGGGGACCTGGTGCATTTTCCTGAAAAGCGGCGGCTGCAGGAGAAGATTTGTGCCTTTATCCTGCTTCCTCTGGACAGTGGCACTGGGGATGAGACTGCGTGGAGGAGAAGAGTTTCCATAAAGGTATCCCGACAAATAAGTGAAAAAGAACTTCCAGACTCAGGACATCACCGTCTTGCAACCTTGATGGATTAGTGGCTTGAGGCACAGAGCAAGCCTGGCCACCATTCCAGGAGTGCACAGCCCTGACCTGTGTCCTCCTGATGGGGGGACAAAACAGAACCTGGGTTCCTGCTGCAGGGATGCAGCCTGAGTGGGAGGAGTCTCCGGGTCCAGCCACCAGCACACAGGAAGCTCAGAGGACAGAGGAACAGGCAGAACTGCACCAAGAGGGCGCCACCAGCAATCCTGATGCATGACACACCCCAGGCCAAACGACCTGGTCCTTCAGCAGACACATTATAAAAAAAAAAAGAGAGAGCAACAGGAGGGACCTACAGACTGAAACAGACTTGAAACATTTTTAAAATCAAGCTGTTATAAAAAGTTAGGCAAAGCTGGCAGGCTGTCGTGGCTCCCTGCCTCCCCACAGGCCCCACTTTCCCACAGGCCCTGCCTCCCCACAGACCCCGCCTTCCCACAGGCCCCACTTTCCCACAGGCCCCACCTTCTCACAGGCCCCGCCTCCCCACAGACCCCACCTTCCCACAGACCCCGCCTTCCCACAGACCCCGCCTTCCCACAGGCCCCGCCTTCTCACAGGCCCCACCTCCCCACAGGCCCCACCTCCCCACAGGTCCCATCCCACTTCCTGTCTACAGGAACTTCCACAGGGTCTCATTGAGGTGCCAGGGCAGAGGGGTGGTGAGGGGCCATAGCTTTGGGGAGGGGAACACAGAGGGAGAGGGAAGGGAAGGGGGAAGCACAGGGTTCACCTGGGAAAGCCCAAACAACCCCCCATGTGACTGCCTCATTCTGAGCTTCTCAGGGAAGCTCCCTCAGCCACCTCCCACCCATCCCCCTCCCCCACCTCAGGGACCCAACCTCCTCCCTCACTCAGCCTCCCCTGTCTGCCTTAGCTCACACCCAGCCCCTTCTCCAAACTGCCTGCGTCTGCTGCCGGAACCCTCTGTTGGCCCCTAATCCTACTGATGGGTGGTCTCACCTGCTGCGAGGCATTAGGCGTCTGTGTGATTGTGTGGTGGGGGGATGGGAGCGTGTGTGCATGTGAGTGTGTGCACATGTGTGCCTATGTGTGTGTGTTGTGCATGTGTGGGTGTGTGCATATATATGTTTGTGCACATGTGTGTGCCTGTGTGCATGCATGTGTACTCATGTATACATACATGAGTACCTGCATTGCTTTGTGTATCTGTGAGAAGCTGTGCATACATGTGCGTTTATGTGTGTGTGGAGGGGTGTGCCTGCATGTCCGTGTGTGGGAATGTGCAGGTAAGTGCATGTGTAAGCATGTGTCTGGGTGTGCACGTGTGTGCCTGTGTGTGCATCGTGCATGTGTGCATTGTGTGTGCCTGTGTGAGAATGTGCATGTGCCTCTGTGTGTGTGTTTGCACGTGTGTGTGTTTGCACATGTGTGGGTGTGTGCACATGTGAGCCTGTGCCAGTGTATGGGGTGTGTATGTGCTTGTGTGTGTTTCCCCAGCTGTAAGTGCTTGGCATTGGACTGAGCCAGAGGCGCACTGACGAGGAGAAGCACATGCCAATGCTGCTGGTGCTCGGTGGCATGACCGCTGTCATTCTGAAGTTTTTGTCTGACAGTGGAGGGATCTCCCCCAGAACACACTGGGGAGCTGGGGAGGATAAACAAGGTCTGAAACTGGGAATGAGCAGCTCATCTTTATTAAGGGTGGGCCTAGATACCCGTTCAGGGGCCATTGGTGGCATAGGTGCCAGGTGGAGTCCCTTCAGCAGTGGCTCCAGCCATAGCAGAGGAGGCGTTCCCAGCTGCACGGACTGGCATCGCCTCCAGCCCTGGTCAGCACAGATGTGCTGAACTTCCCCGTCAGCTGTTGCCCTTCACACACTGGAGCACTGTGGGGCTGGGGCTGAGAGAATGCCTCAGCATTGACAAAGAGAAGAATTTCTTTCAAATGAGCATTTTCCTTTTCTTTGTGAGTAATGGACATTTCAGGGCTGACCTACAGGAAAAAAAAAAACCCAGGGCAGGAGCCAGGACCAGAATTCTGTCCTAGAGCACCAGCCTCGCCCCCAGCACGCTGGGACAAGTGGACACAAAGTGAGGAAGCAGGAGACGGAGTGGCCGGGGTGGGAGCAGGGTCTCTTCTAAGGGCTCAAGATCCAGGACTGAAACACACAAACCCAGGTGGTCGGCCCAGGGGTCCTGGGGAGGGCGTGTGGGTGTTCCCACTGGAGGCAGCAGAGCAGGGATCTGGAATCCTTGGTCCAACCCAGGTCATTGCTCCTTGTCTTCAAGAGTTTCCAAAGCTTCCAGATCACGGGTTGTTCCTGAAACTTGGGAGGCCGCATTGGCCATTCTGCCTGGGACCCCGCCTCCTGTTCAGGCCCTCGGAGGCTTGTCCACACCCTGCCCCCGTTCTCTGGCTTCCTCCACAAATACACCTGGAGGAAGTCCCAGGCCACGGACACGGGAGCAAGGGGCTGGGAGAGACAACCTCGACAAGCGACCCCACAGCCTAGCGCTTGGTGGCCCGTGTGCCCTGCTGCAGACCAGAGGCCGCCCGGTCAGCAGGACCTGAGGAGGGACAGGGTGCTGGGGTGGGAGATGGACAGCGCCTGAGCGAGCTGCTGAGGAGAGGGAAGTAGGGCCCTGCAGAGGGACGGGAGCCACGGCAGGGGCGGCAGGTGTGGTGGGTGCAGGAGGTGCGGTGGGCGCAGCAGGTGCGGTGGGCGCAGCAGGCGTGGTGGGTGACCCACGGGAGGCTGCTCAGGCCTTTGCCTCCATCCCATGCTCAGGAGGAAGGAAGTCAGGATGTTTTTGGTGATGCCATGGAACCACAGGCATGTCAGAGCCAGCAGAGTTTGGACAACGTTGTGCCCAGGGCTTGGCACAGGAGCATTTGTGGACAGCAGTGAGGTTGCTCGCATTGGTCATGGATGGCGTGTTGGCACTGCATTGACCCCAGGACCTCGGGCAGGAAGGTGGACAGAGCCACTGATGATACAGGAGGGGGCCCAGGCACTGCTCTGCAGAAAGGGCTGTTTATCAGCCCTGTGGCCGCTGCCTTAGTGTGTGTGGTGGGAGGTGGGATGGGGATGAACTGAGCTACGTATGGAAAAAAAGTCTGGAAGGAAGTGCCTGGCATCTCACCAGGGGCTGCTTGGGGTCGCAGAATTTAACCTTCTTTCTGCTTGTTTGTGGTCAACACCACTTTCTCCCAGAACAAGGAGACGCACACACACACACTACGTTACTTCATCCCTTGACATCTGGGAAACTGCACACACCTCCCACCCTCCACCCAAGGCTGCGGGGAGAGGGGAGATTCCACAGTGACCCACTGCAGCCAACAGGGTCCCGAGTGTGATGGCGGCTGCTAGAGTATAGAGGAGAGAGACGTACTGCTGAGAGGCCGGGGGGCTTTCCAGAGGAGATGGCCCGCTGAGGGGTAGGGAGGAGAGGGAGGGGACCTGAGCAAGGTGTACGCAGGGCAGGTGCGGGGCCAGCAGGCATCAAGAGGACCAGGTTGATGTGGCTTGTTCATAAGACTCACCAAACACACTCGGTAAAAATTCAGGTTCCCAGGCCCTTGCTCTGGAGGCTCTGACTGGGGTAGGGGTGGGTACGGGGCCTGGAATCTGCATTTCTAATGAGCTCTTGGACTTGTCTTACAGTGATACAGGACCCAGGATCTGCAGATCCTCAGCCGAGGTTGGGATGGGCCAACTCCTGTCACCTTTGCACCTGGTGGGGAGAGGCTTTCCCACAGCACCGGACACTTAGACCCATCCTCTCGGTCACTGAGCTGGCAATGTCCACTGCTCACTCAGGTCCACATTCTCACCCCTCCCAGGGAGATGAAAAGACAGATGGCAGAGCGCCAGGAAACATAAAGCCCGTTCCCCAGCATGGGCCCCCCTTCTGCTGCCCCCTCTCCCCTTGAGCCCCTAAGGCAAGATGCTCCAGGGACCCCCCACGCAGCTAAACACACAGCAAAGCATGGAGACCAGGCGCGGGCACTGAAGGCAGGAGCCCCCAAACTCAGGGTCCCAAACTCAGCCCAGCCAAGTCCAGCCAAGTCCAGCCAAGGGCCGCTCATTCCTGAGGGGAAGACGCAGCCCTGGGGCAGACAGCCCTGTGTTCCCATTCTGCTCTGGGCTCGCCCAGGGCTGGCTGTGTGACTGTGGTGAGCTCCTCACCCTCTCTGATGCCCAGGCACTCCGCAGCATGCCCAGCCTGGCAGAGCTGGCTCCCGTGCACCCCAACCCGAGGTTGCTGGGATCCTGGGATCCGAAACTGCGGTCCTCCAGTGGGCTGTGTCCCATCCCTGACCCCACTTCCTTGACCCTGGGGAGTAGCCTTGGCTTGGCTGGGCCCTGTTCCCAGTGGGCACCTGCTCCAGAGATGGGCATCTGCTGGGGGCAAGTTCAGCCCAAAGCCAAGAGGCTGCGGGGGGGAGCAGGGGATGTGGCATGAGACAGCCCCACCCCAAACCTGGAGGCTCCAGGCTCTGTCCTGCCCCAGCTGCCTCCTCCTGGTTTTTCTCTCCTGCTGGGCAGGCTGGGGCTGTTCATAGCGGTCCCACCACTGTGAACACTAGGGCTGCCCTGGGGCCTCCACCTGCACACTGACCAAACATGCAGCAAGGAGCTGGGAGGAGCAGTGCCGCCCTCGGTGACCCTGTGTCCCCGGCCCTGTGTGCCCAGCACCTGTTGCTCATGTATCCTCTTAATCTAGCCTGGAGGTGGCAGCTGCAACCAGGGCCAAATCCCCCCTGCCACCTGCTTTCAGACAGCCCCGAGAGCTCAGGACAGCGTTCACCTTTTTAACGACTAGGAGGAAAAAATCAAAAGACCCATTTTGTGACCCATGAAAATGATACGTATTCAAATTCCCGCGTCCGCCAATAAAGTTTCACTGGGACACCCGGCCGCGGTCATGCATTGCCTGGGGCTGCTTAGGGTCAGCGCCCGTGTGGCCCCTCGTGCTTGGCCCGCCAGGCATGGGGGCTGCTTCCAAGTGTTCCCTCATCTCCATCCACATGCCCTGTCTGTCCACACTGTGCGTGGCCTTGTGCCGGGCTGCACTGTGATTTCAGTGGACGAGGCCCCGTCCTGGGGATGGCAAGGCGGGTGCAGTGGTTTTTACTGGGGACCCCATGAAGATGCCCCGGGTGGGTAGGCCAGGAAACAGCCACAGTGTCCTACAGTCATCTGGAGCTGATGTCCTGACCATGGTGGAGCACCGGAGATGGTCTTAGCCTCATCTCATCCTTTAATTTACAGGAGAGACGGGAGGCCGGGAGCAGGAGGCCCTGGCTCTCGGCTGGCTGGGACGGAGCCTTCATTCCCCTCCGTTCCTGCCACCCTCCTCGGTACCCCGAGGCCCTGCCTGGCAGGGCAGCTCCCACACAGCTGTGGGCTTTCTGCAGCTGCATCACTGCCCTCAGCAGGTGTCAGTGCCAGAGGGTCGGGCTGGCGGGGCCGTGGGTGGCGAGGAAGGGCCAGGCGGGCAACACGGAGCAGGCGTCCCTGTTCACGGCCGGCGTGGTGACCAACAGGAACCCCAGGCTGCACTGGAAGGGACTCCAGTGGCTCCAGCCTTCCCTGGCGGGTGCTGGGTCAACAACAGACACTGTTCTTGGCATGATGTTTGCACAAATCCCTCCCACAGGCCCGGGAGTGGTTCCCTGAGTCCTCACCCGGGTGATGTATTTGACAGAGGACCTCAAGCTGTTGCACCCCAGCCACCTCACCGCCCTCCAGGTAGGAGGGAAGGTTGAGGGCAGGCCGACCAGGTCCTCGGCTGCGTGGATGTCCAAAGTCTCCCCTCCAGGACAGGACCAGGCCTCACCCAATGGACAGATGTCCCTGGCAGGAGACCCCGGCACCACACAGCTTGGGGTTGGTGGGGTTGGGGTCAGGCCACCCTGAAAGGCACGGCCACACCCAGGCCATCCGGCTGCCCCCTGTAAAGGGCTCAGCAGTGGAAGCCCCCGGAGGCTCCCAGGAGGCGGCGCCTGGCCAGGACCCCCAGCAGGGGCTGACCACTCTGCCCTCCACTCAGAGAGGCTTGAATAAAGGCTGAGGCCATGCAGCCCTTCGGGAGCAGAGCCCATGGATCCCGCACACTCTGGTCTTCAAACTCCAGCCCCAGCCCTGTGCTGAAGACTGGGCTGCCGTCCACTACCCCAGCCTCTCGGCCACTCCCACTATCTGGGGACATAGCGACTCTGTGTGAAGAGGGGTGGTAACACGGTGCCAAGGTTAGGGTTAAGCTGACCCTAGGAATTAGAGGCACTAAAGCTGGGCAGGGTGTGAGGAGGGAGCCGTGGCTTCCTGAGCCAGGGCCACTGTCTTCAGACCTGGTCTTCTATCCGTCCATCAGTCCAGGGGGTGTCTGCCCTTCTGCCTACCATGCCCCTTCCCTCTGCTCATCCCTCCCAGGGTCCTGACCCTCGCCTCACCTGCCCTGGGGCCGGCAGCTGGTGGCCCCTGAGGGGAGGCCCCACGTCTGCAACTCTGGGCAGAAGTCAGGGGTCACTCCTGACAGGCCCTGGAACCCCAGGCCTAGAGATGCCCAGCAGGAGCCCCCGTGCCTGCCCAGGCCTCCAATCTGCTGGCGCCCAGCAGCCTGAGCCCCTTCATGCCAGCCCCTGCCAAGGGAAGGGCACATGGTCGGGGACCCCCACAATGGGTCCTGGGTGCCACCTGGCCTGCAGACCCCCTTGCAGATCTCTGCTCACTGCAGCTGTGCCCGTTGATGGCCCAGCTTCCCTGCACATGGGCGTCACTGCCTCCCGCAAGAGGGTGGGGAGATGGGGAGCCCCTGGGGGCCCCAGCAACCTTCACAGGCACCTCCCCAGCCACGGGCCATGCTGAGGGGCTCCTGTTTGGTAGTCTCCCTGCCAGGCCCAGCACCCCTCAGGCCATCTGGAGAGATGCCACCGGCCCAGGCCTCCCCACTGAGGACACAGACCCCCACAGGTCACCAGCGCAGCATCCGTGCTCACCCCTGTGGGTCCCTGGAGGTGCCTTAGAGTCCAGGCCATTTTAAAGGAGAAATCGAAGAAGGGTCCTTGGGAAGAGGACAGGGCGGGGCCAGCCCAGGCCCCCGGCAGGCCCAACCCACAGGGCCCAGCTCCTAAGCCCACATTTTCAAGCAAAGCTCTTGTGTGAGCAATGAACATTGGTTTCATGGTGCCCTGGCAAGGAGGAACAAGCAGGAGCACCCAGCTGTGGGGATGACCCCGTTCCTCAGCCACCCACTTTCAGGGGGAAGGGTCTCGGGCTCTGCACTGAAGTGTTCCGGGGGCGGGGGCGGCACTCAGGGCTTCACTTACTTGGAGCTGACCACGTGCCGAGCCGGGCTCTCCCCGCGCCACCTGCTGGGTCCTCTCCACGGCTGCGGGACCTGCGGCCGGGCCGCACGGCGCCATCAATGCACAGCTACAGCTGGTTGAAGGGGACCAAATCCATTGGACAGTCGATTTGGTTCCATTTTACCAGCTCTAGCAAAGCATTTGGCTCCCAGATCCGAGGAACAGCGACGTCGGTGAAGAAGGCGGCTCCACCAAGCAGTCCCGATGGAGATGGGGCTTCGCGGCCAGCATCAGGCCCTTACCCCAACTCCCGGAGGGCCCCCACCCCGTGGAGTTTCCCTCAAGCTCTGCAGGGACTGGTGTGAAGGGCCACACGCCCCAACACACACACACACTCAGACATACACAGACACACACACCCGCTCACACGCAACTCACCACCCTCTCGCTCTGCCCGGGCTCCCCCATCGGGGACCCGCAGGGGTCTGGGGAGGGTCGGGGGTGCCAGGCGGCCTCCATGCTCTGGAACTGACACTCACTGCTCTCTGCCTGTCACCGCCCGATTCCTCCACAGCCCTCGCTTCACCAAGTGCCCACTGCCCCCAGCACTAGCCTCAGCTGTGGGATACAGCTCAGACCATCGGGCCCCGCCCCAGGGGGCTCACATCTGTGGGCACAGTGATCTTGCAGGTTTGAGGCCCTTATTCCCCTGCAAACTCCTCCCAGACCATGCTCATAGCTGGAGCAGAGGCAGGACAGACCTCCCAGTGAGCCTTGGGCCCTGGCTAACCATGGGGCAGCCCACCCAGGACCCCGTCCTGCCTGGCTTGCCATGGCCTGGGTGGGACGGGATGGACTCTGACACCACATGGTATCTCTGGGTAGGCAGGACGGGAAGATTCCAGGGACGTCCACATTGCATGGTGGTGGGAGGACAGCCTGAGGGGGCCTTCGTGGCCTGACCCTGGGCCCCATGCCCCAGACCTGCAGCCCTGCCCGCATCTTGCTGAGGGGCATTTCCATGCCCAAGGGAACTGTGAGGATGGAGTGTCAGGACGGAGGTCCGAACGTGACATCACTCTTGCCTGGCTCCCGCGTCCCCCACACCAATGTCACCTTCAGTGCCTTGAGAGCAAGTTCCCTTTTATAAAATGAGTCTCCCTGCAGCCCCCGTTCATCAGGAGCCGTGACAGGTGAGGGAGAGTGTCTCCGGCAGTGCTGGGGATGTGGCACCCATGTGTGTGAGCTTCTATCCGGGAGCACAGGCCGTCCTGGGCAGCACAGGTGAACGCACCTGCTCCTCGCCCACCAGGTTGGCAGAGTGGGCGCTGCGCACTAGGGCCTGTGCCACCTGCCTGCCCGTTGCACACCTGGGGCTGCCCTGCCTGCCTGTCCTCTGGCCTTTCTGTCCCCCTCCTGACATTGCAGGGACAGAAGCTCAGGCCCCTCAGGCAAAAGGGACGGTCGCACAGCACCATGCCCACGCTCCAAGTCCCCTCTGGGAGTGACTGAGCTGGACGACCCCCCACCCCAGCCTCTGCCAGGCCTGCTCTGACCCGTCCGTAGCTGCCTTCCCTGACTGTCCCTGCCACGGTGCCCTCCAGAAAGATCTGTGCCGTGTAGGAGGACCACCTCCTCAAAGTCCCCTATAAGTCGGGGCTGGGCCCCAGCCTTCTCAGCCTCGCGCCCCAAAACAGAGAGGCTTCCGGGCCATCAGCCCACACTCTGCAAACCTCTCTCCTCCTTACTCCAGTAGCACAGAGGGTGCAGGGCAGACCTCAAGGCTCCCAGAGTCCACCCCTCCCTGGCCCTGGAGTGAGGACGGCTCAAAGACCTCGAAGCCGGCACACACTTGTCCATTTATCGCCTGTCAATATTCCTAATGGAGCAGAAGATTTGACAAGATCAAGCCGGGGATTCGAGTCCCAGCCGCGATTCTATCCCATCAGGAGCTGGGAGGTCTGGCATTTGCCAATCAACATAGCAAACAAACTGGTCATTTCACCCGAAAGGCAGCAGAGCACTGGGGCAGGCTGCAAAACCCCCACGGGGAGGCCACTGCGGCCTTGGATGAGGCATCAAGCTTGGCGTTGCAGCCGCCACGGTGGTGGGCGTGAGCTGTGAATAGACACCGAGCGGCCAAGTGCCAGGTGCGGCCCTGAGCACCGACAGCCACCGTCTTCTCCCATACACCCCACTGTACCTCAAGGCCAGTCCTGTGCTGCCCCTCAGGAGGACACTGGGGCTCACAGCAGCGTCCCCTGCCCCGGGGCCCAGGCCCTTCTCTCTTCATGCTGCCCCATGAGGTGGCAGCCAGCCTCCAGGTACCCTCACCCCAATGTGGCCTGGCTTAGGGAGGTTCCCAGTCATTCTTTGCCAAGGGTGTGATCAACACCTTTTCTTGCAAATGTGAAGGAACAGGCCCACAATTCGTGTTCTTGGGACGTGCCGGAACTAGGTCCATCCTTCGGGCAGGACGTCGGGGACCCCTGTGGACCCGGGCACCCCCCTGTTCTGCTCTGCTCCCTCAGGCAGCAGCTCCCACTCACTGGCAGATCCTCTAGCCCCTTCCCCTCTGAACCCTGGGGTCTCACCAGCATGGGGCGAGGGCTGACAAGGGAGGTCCCTGAGGCTCCTCAACTTCCTTGTAAGTATTTTTTTCTTTTCTCTCTAAAAAGGCCAAGAAACCAACACCCCACAAGCCCCAAAACCTCCCCAAGGGCCCCATGGCTCAAAGGTCAGGTGCTTCACAGAGCTCACCCTTCCTAGACCCCCGCACCCCACGCTCTCCGGCCTTGGAGCTTGCCTTCCCCAAACTGAGCTGTGCTGCCTCCCGCCTCCCAGGCATGGGCTGCCTTCCTGCCAAGACCCATCCCCTCACCACAGCGACCGCCCCTAGCTCCTGGGGCCTCAGATCCCCGGGCCCCGAGGGCTCCAGCAGCCTCCGGGTAGGGGAGGGCCAGCCCTGCCTGGCCTTCTCTGGGGCCAGCTGCCACTGTGGTTTCCTCATCGAGTGAGGAGTCCCTGCGCCCCCCGAGTAAAGGCAAGCTCGCCAAGGGAGGGGCAGCTCCTGGCTGGTCCCCTCTGTGTCCCCGGCTGGGTGCCCAGACCTGGCAGAGAGGTGGCCCAGGCGTTTCTGGTGACTTTACCGTTCACCAGGACAGCAGAACTGGGGTTGGAGCCTGGGATGTGGATTCTCCGGAAAACCCACTCTGGGTCCTCCTGCCCCTCTCTTGACTCCAGTGCTACAGAGAACAAGGCTGCAGCTCCTACCGCTAGTGCACTTTATGAACCAAACAATTAAACAGGTTTTAAAACATCTGCTGATGGAGTTGTCCCACACAGGGAAGTACACTCAGCATTTTTAAGCAGCGACGGATACTAGTTGCAGGCAATCTCTGCCGAAAGCACCGGCAGCCCTGTTAAAATCAATACAAAATTAGATGCCATGAAGATACAGTACGTGTCCAATTAGTTATAATTGGAGCAAATAGTGGTGTAGATAAAGACCTGGTAGGAAGTGTCACTGAGACTCACGGCTGCAGCAGCCTCACCCACGGACCCCCGAGGGGTGAGGACACAGGGGAGCAGGAGGGCCAGAGCCACGCCTGCCATCTTATCCCGGAAGCCCCTCCTACCTTTGGTAGGGCCCCAGCCCCTGCGCTGGACCCTAGAGGGGAGGCAGCCCCACAGCCCTGGAAGGCGGAAGTAGGAGCAAGTGTGAAACGCACCGCCGGGCCCTCCCCTGCAGCCGCAGCCGTCCCCAGGTCGACATCTGGTGGGGCAGAGGGGGACCCCGGGCACAGAGTGCCACACACCTAGCCAGGGGTTCTTGGGGACTTCTGCAGCCCCTCTGCGCCTCAGGTCCTCCATGTGGGAGTGTGAATGACCATGTGTAAGCACCAGCCCCGTGTGGCCTGAATCTTGGTCATGCCATGGCCGGGTCTGAGCTTGGCCCGGGGTCCCTGGGCACTTGCCCCTCAAGGGCGGTGGAAGCCAACAGTCCCTCCTGCTGCACCCAAAAGCCCTCACCCAGGACCTCGGGGAACGGTGGCCATTTTGGGCAGAAACCACACAGGACCCCCAGGGGAAGGTGTCTCTTGCCCCAGCACAGGGGACACTACAACCAGCGTCCTTGGTGAAGATGCGGCACCAAACGACTTCCCCTCAAGGACAACCAACACCAGGTCACACCCGCAGCAAAGACACTGCCCTCAGAGACTGCAGAGCACAGCCCTGCCCCTGCCAAAGCCCCCACAGAGACTCAGGGACCCAAGATGAAGGCAAGGGTGGCCCCTCTCCTTCTCCCCCACAATCTCAGGCACTCACCGGGGGGCAGGACAGGGGCCCCTCCCCTCCTCCCCCCTCAACCCCAGTTGCACTCACAGTGGGGCAGGACAGGGGCCCCTCCCCTCCCACCAGGGGAGGACATTGCTAACTCCCATCTGGATGCTTTTTTTGTTTCTTGCTATGAAGCTTTTAAAATTTAAATGTCAATAACCTAATATTTCTCCATGCAGCACCATTACCTATTAGCACTCAGATTCACCACTGAATTAAATTTTAATTCCAGATTTTGGTTAATTATTAAAATAGATAGCAAAGAATTACAGTGAGCCTGGTGTGTGTGGGCAGCCCCCGTTGGGGTTTCTGCAGGAGCCTTTGGGGTTCTGGCTCTCACAGGGCAGTCTGCAGAGAGACCCCTAATTAAAAGGCAAGAGGAAACCCTGCACCCCAAAACGGCTTGTTTCTTATCATCAGCAACGCTGACTCAGCCAAATGCTGAACAAGACCCGCTCAGCCCAAATCCATAACTTTTCTATCTATTCAAAAAAAGAAATGTATTATTTCTCAACACTGATAAAAGTTTAATACAGAGTTGCCCGGGTTTTTAATAAACTTGTCAACAAAAGAGCAAGGCAAATTGATGGGTCCCTTCCTAGAGATAAATTTCGCCTCAAATAGACCCACAGAGCAGGGGGCAGGCTGGGGGGAGGCAGGGCGGGAGGGGACACATGATTATTTAGCTGTTCTTTGCAAAAATGGCAAGATAGACTTTTGTGTCTTATGATCTCAAAAATAGGGCCGCGGTAAAAGCTGGTTTAATTTGAAGAAGGCTGTTGGCTGAGAACAGGATCAGAGAGACCCGAGGTCAAGAGAGAGGGCTTGGCAGCTCGGGGACAAATGAACGGC
Source organism: Homo sapiens (assembly GCF_000001405.40). Lineage (NCBI taxonomy): Eukaryota > Metazoa > Chordata > Mammalia > Primates > Hominidae > Homo > Homo sapiens. The sequence goes on along the minus strand of NC_000020.11, from coordinate 62,559,928 downwards.
CACGTGTCCCAGGATAAGGAAAAGCCATTTGGTGCACAGAGTCTGATTGGAGCCCCCTCCTGTGGGTGGGAGGGCACCTGCCCACCGCTCCTGCCCACCTGCAGAAACAGATCCCTAAGCCAGGACCTCAGGGATGGCCACAGATGAAATGACAGGGGCATCCATGTGGCCACCGCAGGCCTTGGGACACCAAGGAAGGCCCCAGCTCCACGCACAAGTGTGTGTCGGGCTCTCGATTCTGCCGGTGTTCCCTGCCCTCCCTCTGGCTCAGTGAGGCCACCCAGTGTGCAGAGACATTGCGGGACATGTCCTCATCAGTCCTCAGGTGGGGTGCAGCACCCCATGTCTAAGGAACACAGGATGGGCCTTTCCTGCCCACACTCAAGGGCATCAGCTCCACAGGCCTTGGAGGTGTTTGAAATTCTACCATTAGAGAGTCACTTCTTGAGTTAAGGGTGGAGGGAAAGCCAGTTCCCCTGGGAAGGGGCCTGGCAAGCTGGTGCTCGGGCCTGCAAGGCCTCTGGAGTGTGTTGCTACAGCTGATGTGGGAGGAGGGCCGGGACAGGTGAGGAGGTACCCGAGGGAGGGGCAGCAGGGACCCCAGCGACAGTCTCGCCTGCTGCAGGCCTGAGCCCGAGGCCAGGGAACCAAGCAGCTCCCTGCACCCACTCCCAGGGTGGGGATTCTTGTCCCTCTTCACTCTCAGTGGGCAAAGTCCCCGCCATGCCCTGGGGAAGGGACGACAGAAGGTAGCTGGGTCCCTCCTGGACTTGACACCCTCCAAGGGGGCAGGTGAGGAGGGAGAGACAGAGGCAGAGCCCAAGAGCCCAGAGCCTCACCCGGCCTCTGTCCCGCTACAGCTGCTGGCCTCAGGCACTTAGGCAGTGGGCGGGGTCGGGGGCACTCCTAGAGCTCCGGCAGAGTCATCCGAGTTCAGCCTCTCCATGGGACAGCTGAGAACGCGGACTATTTATACTGGCGTGGTGGGCGGGCGGGCAGCTGGGGAGACACATGCAGCCCTGGAGCCATATCTGGGCATGACAGAGGGCATCGGCTTGCCAGGACAACAAGCGCCACACGGTGCAACTGTCCTGGGCGTCCTTCAACCTCAAAACATCCCCACGGGGCCCCCCGGGGACAGGTTCCAGGGACAGCTGCCTTCTACCCCCTCTCCTGCCGCTGTTAAAAATATTCTGGGTCATTGTCCCAGTCATCCCAGAAATCGTCCTCCGTGCATGCCCATGCAAACACACACACACACACACACCTGCCTCCAGTCCCAGCCAAGGAGTCGCTCGACCCTGTGAGGAGTGGACCCCAGTCTCCCACCGCCAAGGCTTCTGGGTGACCACCTCCTGGCCAGGGAGCAGCCAGTGACCTCTGCACCCAGCACTCCTGAAACAGGGCTCTTTCTCCCATGTTCTCTCCCTGGGGTAGACACAGGAGGCCTGAGAGGCCCAGTGTCCCCCCCAGCATCTCTGTCCTTCAGCATCACACACTTGCACCCCAATGGGGCAGCCCGCCTGGTGCAGGGAGCAGACCTGGCCTGAGGCTTAGTGGTGCCTCTGAAACCTGGGTGAATCAGTCGAGCTCACAGTGCCTTTGCAGTGACCGCTGTGTGGGAACCTCGGCCCTGTGTCCCTCTATCTAAGGGAGCCAGCGGTGGAGCTGCCAGAGGTGGCCCTCTGATCCCTGCCCTTGAGACGCGCAGCCCTGCATGCTTCCTGCGGTGTTCTGCAGCATCCCAGGCGGCAGCTCGGCAGCAGCCTGCCCCACTCCTCTGCTGCAGTCACCGCCCCTCCCCACTCAGCAGGACGGGCTTCCAGGGGTCAGAGCCGGCTGGGGACTCTGAGCACTAAAGGCAGAGTCCTCCCCAAAGGCAGAGTCCTCCCTGGGCACCCAGGGGCCTCCGGGGAGGGCCCTCCCAGCCCCAAGCTCTGGCCAGCTGGGCCTGGGACCTCAGGAAGGAGCAGACAGCACGAGGCTCTGGGAGCTGCTGATACTGTCTGCGGGTGCCTTCCCTTCCCAAAAGCCATGCCCAGCTCTTCCTGGGTGCGATGCCTCCAGTTCACAGGGACAGAGGCTGCTGGTTGGCCAAGGACAGTGGGCAAGGCCAGGGCCCCTCACAAAGCCCTGTGCTCCTGTCCAAGAGCCTCCCTTGCTGGGGCCCAAGCCCAGCCACCCCGAGGTCAGCATCCTGCCCGGGGGCATCAAAGGCAGGAGCAGGGCTGCAGAGAGCACGGGAGGCCTCTGCAGTCGGACGTGCACGGCGGGGCTGAGTCAGCACAAAATCCCTCAGGTTGCTGGGTTACCCTTCATGCGAAGGTGGCAGCGACTCACGGCATTGCACCGCCCCGCCCACCTCTGGCCATCCCTGCCCAGAAACCCTTCAGGCCAGCACTGCCCAGCCACGCCCTGGCCCTGAAGATGGCTCGGGCCACTCAGGTTCTCTCATTTTTACTTTAGAGCATTTTTTGGGTAAAATTTGCAATTCGAGTGATGTTCATTTTGATTGACTCCGGCTGCGGCATCTAAAATATCTGTCCTGTGGGTCAATCTAATCATGCTTGATAGCAGTTTATTCTTCGACGCAACGTTCCCCATGTGAGCCCGACAGTTTCACAGAGACTGCCGACGCACCTCTCGCGAATGCTCTCACCAGCCGCTGCGCCTGCTTTGAATGCTTGTGCAATAAAACACTGTATTGCACTTGAATGCACTACTAAGCCAGAATCACCAAAGGCCCCCTCTTTAGAAGGGGGTGCCACTATGTCCTCGGCCCCCTGGCTGCAGAAATGCAAGACCACTCATCGTGACACACGCGTGCAGGCACAGCAGCGGGGCCGTCCCTTCCCAAAGACCGTCCTTCTCCTGCGTGCAAGCTCCAGGACCCAGAGCCGGTCTCACTCACGGGTGGAAACAGTGCCTGGAGCATAGCTAGCTTTTGTGAGCCATAGGATAGAAAAAGGTAACTAATTTGGTCCGCTGAATTTATGAGCTCCACAATTTCTGCAGCGGCTGTTTCCACGAGCGGGAGCCTGGCCCAGCCTCTGATCACCGTGGGGCAGTTTCCAGAGTGTTCTGGGAAACCCAGAAGCCTACACCTGGTGCTACCTGCTCTAGGGAGTGAGAGACACCGGCACTGGCCACCTCCTCATGGCCACACAAACCCACCTGGGTTCCCGAGCTGGCAGGCGAGGGGGTGGGTGTCCCATGTCCAGCCCCCTCAGCCCAGTCCAGGCTCATTTCCCTCTGAGAGTCCCGGCCCCCATGGTAGCGTGCCTAAGCCGTCTCAGGAGAGTCCCTGCGGGCAAGACATAGCCAGTGAGGGTCTGTGCCCCCGCCCTGCCTGCTCTCCCCTCCTTCAAACGGACAGGCACAAAGACCCCCACAGGGGAAAGTCCCAGCGTGTCCATGCCCCACGCCAGTTTGGGGTTCCCGTCCTGGCTGCTGCCCGGGAGCCAAGCTTTAGAGATTCACGCATGGGAGACTCCAGCCCCGGGTCCCAGTGTCTCCAGGAAAGCAGCAGGATCCCCAGGGAGCACCATCAGGCCACACGTGCAGGGGAGAGGGGCTCGGGCTGCCATGGGCGGTGTCCGTGCAATGCTCATTTTTAATTCAGCAGATCAGAGACTGGAGGTGATTTACCGCCAAGCAGGCCGCAGCTCTCTCCCTGTGAACTCTCCAGTTTTACTGCTCAGTCAAACCTAATTCCAAAACACTAATGCTTTTATTTAAACACCACATCCTGCAATAAAGCTTTAATGTACAACAGCCGCATCTAGGGGAAAAGAACGGTGTGTCTGTGGCCACCGGCAGCCTCGGTGGCCACACGCCCGGCTACTTCCCTCCCTGTGGCCGGAGCTGGGAGCAGGCAGGGAAGAGATGACGTCAGCGGATGCTGGGCACTGACCCTCCGGGTCCAGAGGCCGAGAGGAGGCTGTGCCCGAGGTCAACACCCGCCCCCTTGCTGCTACGCCAGATGGGGCTGAGGCTGGGAGAACGAAGTTTCCAGAAGGAAGACCTGAAGGCCAGGAGCCCTGACTGCCAGGCCCTCCCCTCCAGTCACCTCGAGGCTCCCTGAGGGGTGGGAGCCACCTGAAAGCTCAGAACGGCCCCCAATCCCTTTATCCAGCGCTCCCTATGCTGGCCCCAGCTGCTCAGGTGACCTGGCTGCCCCCAGACCCAAGGCCTCCAGCCGCTGCAGGAGGGGGCTGCCTGCCTGTCCCTTCCCGCCTCATTCCTGCCGAAGGCCAGGGTGCGGGAGGTAGGGCACAGGGGCACCGCTGTGGCTGGAGCAGTGCCAAGGCAGAGAGGACACACACCCCAGAAATTAATCCTGAGGCCTGTGGCAGGGTGGGGGTGCCCAGGCAGGGACCTGGCCTCATCCCAGGTGGCAAACGCCTCCAATCTGAGACTCAGAAACGAGCCGGGCAAACGCCCCTCACACAGCAGCCCAGCCGCTGCCTAAGACCCCAGAACCCGCCGCCCATCCTCTCCTTGAAGGACCAGCACTGGGGAAAAGGGTTTCACGGACGGATCCGGACCTGCCCTCATCCCCTGGGCCCCAGGACATCCTCCCAGTCCTTTCTCGGGTCAGGACTGGGATGGCGGCAGAGCAGATGGCTCTCAGGCCCCCGACAGGTGGGGCAAGGGGCCCTGGGCCACACGCTGCTTTCTGCCAAAGCCTCACCTGCATTCACAGCAAAACATGCCTCAGGTTGGATTCGGCGGAACAGAGAGAAAGCTGAACCGGGGCTTTGGTGGGGGTACAGGTTGGGGCGGCATGAACCAGACATTTGGCAAAATCGAACGGCTCCCAGGCCCCTGGGGTGGGCTGTGGGTTCAGGGCTGCACAGACTCAGCTCCTCTGACCCTGTCCCAGGTGCCCTCGGCAGAGGAGTGGGGCCTAAGGGCAGTGGTGGCCCTGACCCTGCCCGCGTCCCCAGCATCTCGTGTGGGCTGCGCCTTCCTTGGAGGCTACATGCCTCCGAGTTCCTCTGCCTTGCCCTACAGCCGGGAGGGCTGGATGCAGGTGCAGGAGGTGCCTTCCCTCCGCAGACTCTACCATGTGCTGCCCAGCCTCTCCCTCCTTTCTGCATCCAGCCACCTGCCCTTTTCCAAACTCGCTCTTGTCTTGTGCCTCTGAGCAGTTTCTGCCCTGGCCACACGTGGCCCTTTCTGCCGGCTGATGGCCTCTTCCAGGATGGCCATCAGTGGAGCCCCCAGAGCCGCCGCCACCACTCCGTGCTTTCCAGCCACGGCCCCGACCCCCCAGCCCTCACCAGCCCCGCGCTGGACCCCGCGCCTGCCGGAGGCCGCCTCCCCTCTGCCGCAGTCAGCAAGCTGAATATTTAATGTCTGGTGAGCACTTCCACCTGCTGACACAGGCAAAGTGACAGAACAATGCTGGCGGGGACACGACCGTCCACCAACGCCCAGGCAGCCTGCCGCCCCAGCCTCACCCCCACCACAGCCGCCTGGCTGGCTGTCGGCCGCGGCGGCCCCCGTGGTGTGGAGTGCCCCTCAGTGCGGCGAGAGAGGTCCCGGCCTGAGATACATACTTCTTTACATTCCATAGCTTAGCAGGTCCATATGGGCATATAAAGAAGTATGTTTCCCAAGCAGGCAGTCTGCATGCAGTTCCAAGACCCCGGGACGCCGCCCCGGTAGAAGCTGACCCCACTGCGATGTAGAGAAGGCAGCTCAGAGGCAGTGTAACTTCTTCCCTGGAGTCTACTGCCGGAGCCCTCTCTGTGTGAGCAGGACAGCCTTCCTGCCACTGCTGCCTGGTGTCCAGCCACCCCCAGGGGCCCAGGACTCCCTGCCCCCTTCTGACCTCGGCGCCCCTCCATCCCTGAATCCATCTCTCTCTGTCTGTCTCACACACTCACACGATCCAGAAAGGCAGAAGTGGACAGTGAGCCCCAGAAAGTCTCGAGCGCCTGTCCCTGGCCCCAGCAGTAGCTCGGTTTTGCGTCCATGGAAGAGACAGGCTGCCCCTCCACCCTCACCCCAGAGCAGGGAGGCATCATCCATGTCCCAAACTTTCAAAGCCAACACTTTCCTGTCCCCCTGGGTCACCTCATCCCAGCCAAGCCCAGAGAGGGCTGGGTGGAGAGAGGAACCTTGGGGGGCGCCCTGCCCAGCACCCCACTCGCAGGACCAGCCTCCTCCTTCTCCGGGAGCTGGACAACTCCTTGCTCCTGAGGCCAGACGAGGAACTGCAGACCAGAGACCCGAGAGGTGTCCTGGGGGCTTACCTGGGCATCTGCTGGTTTCCTGGGCAGGTCCCTGGTGAAGGCTGCCTCCCGGGACCCCGTATCCATGAGGAAGGGCTCAGCACCTCTCTCCGAAGATGCAGGCGAGAAAGACGATGCTTGGAGGAGTCCAGGTTCCCAGAGGGTGGTCAGGATCTCCTGAGAGGCCGTCCACTAGGGGGGCAACTCCCTAGGTGCCTCAGCCTGGCCACAGCAGACACCCAGTGGGCGAGGGAGCGTCGCTCCCCCGGTTCTCTCCCTCCTTCTCTCGCTCTTCTTCACCCTCTCCCCCGTCCCCGCCTCGCAGCGTCACCACCCTGAACCGCCGCGCAGTGCGGCCCACCTGAAGCGGCAGCTGCGCAGAGCCAGCAGCTTACATGGGCACCGGGGGTCAGCAGCCACCGTCACCTGCCCAGCGCCACTGCCGTGGCACCCCCGGGAGGCTGGTCCCACACCTGGCTCTTTGTGGCCAGCCGCCCAGCCTCCACCAGCCCCTGATCAATACCAATTTACAGTCAAATGCAGGGGGCCGCCTTCCTGTTAATGAATTTCCCGGTGCTCACCAGCTCCTAATGAGCCTGTTAAAGAGGGTTTAAGTAAACTTAGCGAGTGGCAAACTAAGCACTTTGGAATACTTAATTGTATCGATATGTTTTTCATTGCGTTTAAAAATGTCTCTGAGTGGGAAGCAGAGGCTGCCTCCTTCCCTGCCAACTTCTATGACCAGCCGTGAAGCCAGACTCTGAAAAATGTGGAGAAAGAGCCAGAAGGAGACCAATGGGACCTCAAGGTTAGGCCCTCACCAGCAGGAAGGGAAGCCGCCCCGAACCTGCTGGGAGCGGGGAGAGGAGGAGGAGGAGGAGGAGGAGGCCTGCAGGGTTTCGAGGCCTCGCAGTGGCCCAGGGCGAGCCTGGCACGTGCGGTGGTGAGAGGTGGAAAGAAGGCTTTGCAGGTGCCTGGGGGGGACGGGGGCCAGGGAGGCGCCAGTTGGGGGTGCAGGCCGGGCACAGACACAGGAGGCTTGCTAAGCGGTGGGGTCCAGCTGGGCCCTGGCCCCTGTCCTGCCACTGACCCTGGCGTGGGGTGGGACAGCAGCCCCGGGACATGAAAGGACCTCCCGTTGTCCTCATCAGGAAGAGAGGTCCAACATGACTCTGTTGCTCCTCCAGGCAGCCCGTCCATGCGAGGGGACAGCCCGGAGCGAGTTGGTTCTCTCTTACCACCCAGGGCAGGGCAATGTCTCCGCAGAGCCTGCAGTGTGCAGAGGCCACTGAGCATGCTGTGGCTGTGTGGCAGTGGGTCTGCAGCTGGGCATGGCTGGGTTGGAGTTTCACGTGGGGGTGGGTGGGGGCGGGGGGTGGGGGTTGTGCTTAAGGCTCTGGAGGCATCCCCTCTACAAAGGAAGGAGCAAATGGCAGACAGAAGCAGAAGCTGATGTCCCATTTCCACGTAGCTGCTGTGATTTATCATTTTCACGTAGCCAAGGATACAAAAAGGGCACCCGACACCGCAGCCTGAGCTTCAACTTCGGGGGCACCTGGGTTCCGCCGCTCATCTGTGCCCTCCCAAGACCTCCGCAATAACCGTCCCCGGAGTCCAGGGAAAAGGCCTCCTCAACGTCCCCAGCTCCCTGGCACATGAGCTCTCAGAGCCTGGGACACTCCCGCAGCCTGGCTCAAGCCCCCACGACCTGTGAGGCATTCATCTGGACGGGGTCTGGGGGTCAAGGGGAAAGCTGGGAGTCCCAAAGGGCAGGAGAGTCACCCCAGACCCAGCCAGAGTCCACAGGACTTCTGCCCACTCACAAATGAATTGTAGTCACTTTTCAAAAAGTTTCCCGTCTGCATAGAAAAAGAGCACCCAGCCGCCTCCAAGCAGACCCCACCGTGAGCCGAGCTGGCTCCTGTGCCCGGGGCCTCCTCCGGGGCTCTTCAGCGGTGAATACCGCCCGGCCCCCGGCATCAGCGCCGCGGGAGGCCACGCGGGAAGTCAAGCTCCCCAGCAGGGACCTGCACAGACGCCGACCACCAGGGCTGCTCTCCCCGAAGCCCCCCTAGTCTCCGCCCACATGTGCCCCCCGCCCCCCACCTCGCCGCCCTGCCCCTGTAAACGCCTCCTGACCCTGACGTGGCTGGGAGAGCTGCAGAAGTGCCGAGTCCCGGCCGGGGGCAGCCTCGCCGCCGCTCAGCTCGGGAATCCCTGCCCCCCACCAGCACCTCAGTGGGGGATACTGCAAGTTCAAGGTAAGTTTAGCCCCACGCCCGGCTGCCGGGGCTTTGTTGCGGAGCGGCAGGTGAATCGCGCCCCCAGCCCAGCCCCGAAGCCCCCATGCCATCCACTGCCCGCGTGGGGGGCCGCTGCTTTCTTGCAAAATGCCCGCAAGTCAAAGTTCCTGCCTCCCAGCTGGACGCGCCCTCCAGGCCCTGCCGGCTGCTGGCTCTGCAGTTTTCCAAATGTGGATGATGCCGCGAGCCAAGAGAAAACTCCACGGCACCCCCGCCGGAGCCGCACGGCGCCGGCACCCGCAGCACCCACCTCGCTGGCAGGCACACCCCCCACCGCGGTGCCCGGCAAGTTTGCAGGGGCCGTCCCGGCGGCCCAGCGGTGGTGATGGGCTGAGCAGGACTCACCGCGGAGCCCAGGGCACCCCTGGGGCCGGGCTGGTGACAGCGGCAGCGGCGGCGGGCGCAGGGTCGCGGCTCCCTAGGAGATGCTGCAGCGGCGGCAGCACCAGCCACCTCCTCCGGGAGCCAATCGCGAATGCAGGGGTGGGGGCCGAAGCTCGATGCGTCCGCACTTGGTGGGGGCAGAGAGAGAAAGAAGACACCAGGCACCCCCTCTCCACACCCCTGCCCTTCCCCCAGCCCTCCTGCAGCAGCGCAGACTTAGCAGGAGGGAGATCTTGAGAGAGAGAGAGAGAGAGAGAGAGAGAGAGAGAGAGAGAGAAGGCGCTGGTGCAGAGTTAGGGAGAGGCGGCCGAGCTGCACACCTTGAGCCCCGGCCTCCTCCGAAGGGAACCCCTGCACCCCAGCGGGGTCAGCACAAGGTAGAGAAGGTAGAGGTCAGGGTGGAACAAAAGGGAAGGTCCCGCGGGTGTGCACGCTCTCGCAGGCACACAGCCGGCTCGCGGAGACACAGGGGCGGGGGAGGGGAGGGGAGGGGAGGGGAGGGCCTGACCTGAGAGGCCAGAGCGGGCGTGGGGGCCCCCCTCGGGTCAGGAGCCGGCCTCACCTTTGCAGTTCTTATATACCCGGCCAAGCATCCCAAACACGCGGCCCTGGCCAAGTGGCCCCCTCGGGCTGCGCTCCCTGACCATATTTAGTCAAGCAGGGGAAAAAATAGCCTGTCAGCTGGGCCGCGGCTGGCCCGGCCACCGGGAACAGGGTGGGAGCACCCACGCCATTGACGGCGGGTCCCGGGCTCAGGCTGCTGTCCTGCCCCTCCCGGCCCCTCCCTGACAGGCCTCCCACCGGCTGTCCCTGCCCGAGATCCCCCCGCTATTTTTAGCCCAGCCAGTACAGAGGCGCCTCCTCAGTAGCCGGGCAGCAGCCTCCATGCCATGCCAGCCGGCTCCTAGGGTGCCCTGGGGAGACCCGGGCATCTCCCAGGCTGCAGGGCCGGGGGTGGGGGGGGCGGGCAGAATGGTACGGCCTCCTTCGCTGCTCTGAGCCTCCAGTGGGCTGAGCCCACCCAGGCCACCAGGAGTGGGTGGCCCCCTCCACAGTCCCATCGGCTCTGCCCTTTTGCCTAGAATTGGGGCCAGGATCAGGTGGTGACAGAGCCACCTGGGTTTCCGGAGACTCTCAAGCCAACCCCAAGTCATGACAAATGCCAGTCGCCTTGGACAGAGGCAAGGTCAACCTGCTTGCCGCCCCCAGCCAGGCCCTGCCACCAAGGGTGTGTGATGGGGAGACCCCAATCCCGGGTGCTGGACGGGCTCAGGAGCTCCCCCTTCCGGGATTTCACGCCCGAATTATGTAACAGACGAGGGCCTGGGACGGGGCCTGACGGGGATCTGTCCTTGCAGGGCCTGGACGCAGAGACCAGAGGCCTGAACTGGCAGACTGTCCTCACAGGCTGTGTGACGCTGGCTGGTCGTCCCATCTCTCTGGGGCCCCACAGGACTGGGGACCAGGTCGTGGAATGACAGTGGACCACAGTGGTCCGGGGACCCCGCTCGTTGGTGGCAGGCACAGGCCCGTGTGATGGGGACAATGAGCTTTGGTATTTGTGAGTCCTGTCCAGAGCATAGGTCCTCCTGTTCAGAAGCCACCTCATAAATGTCCCCAGTGCCTCCCGGACTTAGGAAGGCATCCCCTTGTGGTTCTGGCCAGTTAGGGACACAGGGCCGGGGAGTCTATGCCGCTCAGAACAGGCTCAGCTGCATCTAATCCCAGGGGAGCCCCTGAGGAGCCTGCACACCCCCCAGGCTGGCCCACAGGAGCTGAGGCAGGGCTCTCCTCCAGGTTCACCTCCTGGGCTCACGGCCCCTTCCCCACATCCCAAGGCCGGCTCTGCAGAGTCATGGGGAGAAGCCGGAGCCCCAGCCACACTCGCCACACACGCCGACACCCACTCTGGTGTCCTCCGGCCAGCGACAGCGAGGGACAGAGGGACGCCCCCTGCACCTGCCCAGTGCAGAGGCTTCTTGAGTGATGCCAGGCCCTTCTCCCAGCCCTGTACGCCCCGCTAAAGACCCCATGTCTCACCATAAAGGAGGCCAGGAGGTTTTAAGCTTCTACCTGGTCTGAGCACTTTTCTGGAAACTAAATAGCCACTCGGCTTCCCACTGGCAGCGGGAGAGCGTGGTGTGAGGTGTGGTGTCCAAACTCCCCCTGCAAGGCCCCTCCCCTGCAGCCCACTTCCTCCTGCCTGCCGTCTCCAGGCAGGGTTGAGGGGGGCAGGCCAGGCCTGCAGCTGGGGTCAGGGGCATAGACAGCCACAATGGGGGAGGTGGGGAGCAGTCTGCAGGCCTGGGCAGGCGGCTCTGTAAAGGATGCGGGTGCTTTGTGGTGGTGAGAGAGAGGGTATGCAGCAGACGTGGCCATAAATCACCCTCCTCACGGCAGCCCCACACCCACGGACCAGGGCACGGGCACAGGGCCATCTCCTTCCAGGAGAAGGGCTGGTGTGGGTGGCCAGATCTGACAGCCCCCAGGCCGTAGGACAGAGCCAGAAGACAGAGCAGTTCCCCCGTTTACCCATAGCACCAGCCTCACAGTAACAGCCGGCACACAGCACTTAGGCTGCCTGGTGTTCCAGAAGCTTCTGCAGGGGCTCTATGCTGCACTCAAGGCATCCCTAAGAGGAGAGCATTTTGCTGTCCCCACTTTACGGAGAAGGAACGTGGGCTCAGGGTGGGTGCCTCACTCTCCCAAGGTCCCATACCAAGCACTGATCGGAGCTGGGTGTGTTCTGGCCCCCACCATGTCCACGGCTGTCCTCGCCAGGGCAGTAAAGTCAGAGCCCATAGCCCTCGCCCCTGACGGCCCAGGGCCGTGCTGCCCGTGGCCCACTCCACCATGATTTGAAAGGGAGACCGCAGTGGGTAGGAGAGACGGGAGGGAGGGGAGAGGGGAGAGAAGGGGGAGACGGGGTAGAGGGGGCAGAAGGGGAAGAGAGGGGAGAAGGGCCTAGGCCCCCGAGACTTTCCCCTTGGTGTCTGCAGGTGGTTTAAGGCGTGAATGAATGAAGGAGCAAGCAGTAAGCCCCGACAGCAAGGCCACCACAGCCCTCGCCCCACAGGGACGCCTGAGCAAGGACCCAAGCAGGGGACAAGCAGGCTCACCCCGCCCTTGCGGGGCTGACCACGAGGCCCCGTCCGGTGGAACACGCCATGACGGTGAGTGCTCTGCCCTGTCTCACACGGCTCCCACTGGCCACGGTGGCTGCCAAGCTCTCAGAAACGGGGCTGGTGCCCCTGCAGACCTGGATTTTTTAGTCAGTGCAGCTTTGATTTGTTTCAGCTTCAGGAGGCTCATGTAGCTGGCGCCGTATGGGACAGCGGGGGAGAGAGAAAATGCACAGCCCAGGGAATGTGGAGACAGGCCCAGCGCCAGGCATGGGGGCCGGAAGGAGCAGCCGGGGAGCAGGGGGCAGGGCCTGGAGTCCCGCCTTGCAGGTCAGAGGTCAGAGGTCAGGGAAGGCCTGGGTGGGGGTGAATGAACAGGCCCCCCAGTGATGTCAGAGGGGCAGGCGGGGAAGGGTCCCGGAAGAGCACCCCGGGGAGTGTGTACAGGAAGGCAGGAGCCCGGAGGCGGGAAGGGGGGCCTGGTGTGTCCAGCGGGCAGCAGGAGGCCAGCATGGCTGCCACTGGGGCAGTGGCAGTGGATGGGTGGCCTGGGGCTGGGCTTCGGGCAGGGTCAGACCACGTCAGGCCTTGTAGGCCAGTGCCAGGGCTGCAGGTGTCCTGCTGAGGGGCACAGGCCTGGGCAGGCTGGCACGGCTATAGCAGGGTCCTTATGGCTTATCTGCTGAGGGTGAGGGTGGAGGGCAGAGGCTGGAGCATCAGGGGCCCTGCCCAGCTGCGGTGCCCTGGGGAGGGCTGCCCAGCTCTGGCTGTGCCTTGAAAGTTTGCCCGAAAGATTCACTGTTGGAGCAGATGTGGTCACAAGAGCAAGGGGGGATGTCAGATGGCCTGGGCCCTGAGGAACAGAGTGCATCCCTAGGAGGGGGACGGCCCGTCACCAGGGAGCCTTCTGAGACCATTTTGTAGGTGGGGAAACTGAGGCTCAGGAGGAAAAGCCAGTTGCCCAGCACGCGAAGACCCAGAGCCTATCTTCCTGCCCCTACATCCTTGTCTGTCCCCAGATCTGAACCTGCCCCAGCCCCAGGACTCTGAGTGCAGCAAGAGGGGAGCCGGGCTGGAGAGTGGGGAGCACGGAGACTGTGGCCTGGATGGTGCCAGAGCAAACAGGAGAGAGGCTGCCCAACGCAGAGGCTGCAGCACAGACCAGAGGGTCCCGGGGCTGACTGGGTGGGGGCAGCTCCCAGCGAGAGGCCCCTGGGATTTGGGTAAGTAGAGGCACATGCAGACTCTGGCCACAGGGCACCTCGCGCACGAGGGGAGTTCACCACACAAGCTGAGCGGAGGGCGGACGCAGGAGAGCAGCGGTTTCTCGGAAGCCAAGGGCGGTCATGGAGCCCCACGCCACAGCGCTTCCCACGGGGCCACACCATCCGGTCTGCGGAGGGGGCTGCATTGCCGGGAAGGACCATCTGATTCTGGATTCCAGCCTCACCCTGGGCCACCGCTGAGTGTCCCAAGTGGCCCCTTAGCCCCCAGGGCCAGGCGGCATCCCAATCCCCTAGGGATGTCTGTGCTCAGAATGTGGCACACACGCCCCGGCAGGGCCATCCTCCTCCTCCTGCACCCGCCACAGCCGTGGATTCGGGGTCTCTATCGTGGGCAGAAATTCACACAGTCAAGGTGAGGGTCCCAGGAGCAGCTGTGACCAGGCCCCGGCTGCCAGGGAGAGGGGGTCTTCAGCCGACGGGGCAGACACCCTGAGATGGACCCTTGTCCAGGGGAGGGCCCTGCCACCCACAATTCCTTGGCATTCCTGCACCAGCAGGACGGGCTGAGGGAGGCGCCTCACCAGTGCCAGCGCCCAGCATCACTGTGCCCCGGTGGAGGGGGAGGCCCTTCCGAGCCTGGGCCTGGGTGTGGATGAGGGCAGGTCTCTCACCTCTCTGACCTCAGCTTCCTCAACTGGGAAGGGGGGCCACAGCACCCCCTTAGGGGTGATGAGGAAGTGGGAGCTCAGGGAGGACCCCGGGCAGGGCTGCCTCCTCACCTCTCTTCGGCCTTTGGACACTGGAGCTCAGAGGACCAAGTGAATGAATGAATGACTCGATCAATCAACTGATCCATGAATCCATGGACCCCTGAACAGCTGGACAGCTGGGCTGTGGGCAGGACAGGGGACTCTGGCTGAAGCCGCGTTCATATGTGTTCAGCTTTGTGAGTGGGGCGAGGTTGAGGGCTTATTCAGTGGGGGAGGTGCACGGCAGGGCCAGTACCCTTGGAGGGTCAGGCCACAGGGGCGGGGACACCTGCCAGGATGCCCAACCCCAGAGGCAGTGGGAGCTGTTGGGGAGCCGTGGTCCCAGTCAGCGGTGGCTTGATGAGGGCTGCTCCCACTTCATCCGCAGGATTCCAGCCGCAGCTACCCCACACCCGAGCTGTCCCTAGTCGCCCACCGCGGCCGGACAAAGCCCCAGCAGCCAAGGTGCTCCGTGGGGAGGGTTTCTTGGGTTTCTTGAAGCCAGTATTTCCCATAGTATCTTACGTCCCAGCAGAGGCCTCCACTGTGCCCGGACCAGCGGCCCACTCAGTGAGTCGAGTGTGCACCTGGCACCCCTCTTTCTGGAAATCCACGAACAATGGGCTCCCAGCAGAGGACTGAGGCTGAGCAGGCCACTTCCCTGGAGCTGACCCCACAGCTGTGTAGGTACAGGGTGGCCGTGAACACTTAGGGCTCTCTCGGGCTGTGCGCTTCTTGTTCACTGCAAGGAGCAGGGTGTTGGCTCCTGACCAAGCCCTGTCACTGCTGCCCAGCCACACGTGGGGCCCCTTCACCCACCCCTGACCACCTCATGCAGGTGAAGCCACTGTGGAAACAGCCTGGCAGTCCCTTGAAAAATGAAGTCATAAACCCCAGCAATTGCACTCCTGGGCCTCTGACAGAGCTTGCACGTCCCCTCCAAAGCTCGTGTTAAGCTGTGAGCCCCAGTGCCGGAGGTGGGGCCTGGTGTGTTTGGGTTCTGGGGGTGGATCCCTCATGGCTGGGTGCCATGAACCCACTCACCACAGTGAGTTCTCACGAGATCTGGTTGTTGAGAAGTGTGTCATACCTCCCCCACAACTCTCTGTCTTTTGTTCCGGCTCTGGCAATGTAACAAGCCTGCTCCTCCTTCGCCTTCTGCCATGACTGTAAGCTTTCTGAGGGCTGACCAGAAGCCCAGCAGATGCCAGCACCATGCTTCCTATACAGCCTGCAGAACCGTGAGCCAGCTAAACCTCTCCTCATAAATCACCGAGCCCCAGGTTTATCTTTACAGCAATGCAAGACCTGACTAATACAGCACCAGCTCCCCAAAATAAAAAGAAATATTCAAACAAATAAGCGCACAGAAGTGTTCCCAGCAGCACTATTCACAGCAGCCAAAAGGCGGAGGAGCCACAGGCTTGTCAGCTGATGACAGATAAAGAAAGCATGGCCTGTCATCCCAGCACTTTGGGAGGCCGAGGTGGGTGGATCACCTGAGGTTGGGAGTTCAAGACCAGCCTGGCCAACATGGTGAAACCCAGTCTCTACTAAAAATATAAAAATTAGCTGGGTGTGATGATGAGCGCCTGTAGTCCCAGCTACTTGGAAGGCTGAGGAACAAGAATCGCTTGAACCCGGGAGGCAGAGGTCGCAGTGAACCGAGATCATGCCATTGCTCTCCAGCCTGGGTAACAGAGTGAGACTCTGTCTCTAAATAAATGAATAAATAAATGAAGTGCGGCATATCCATGTGAGGGAATAGCATTCAGCCCTAAAAAGGGATGACACGGGGACACGAGCGGTAACACGAAGTGCCTGAAAACCCTGCTCGGCGGGAGAAGCAGACACAGAGACCGCCGGTTGCAGGATTCCGCTGATAGGAGATGCACAGAGCGGGCAGCTCCATGGAGACAGAAAGCAGATTCCGCGGTGCGGGGGCGGGGAGAGGAACGGGAGTGACTGCTTAATGGGCTCCAGAGCTCCTCGGTGGGGGATGAAAGTGTCTGGGAAGTAGACAGAGGTGGCGGCTGCACAGTGTGGCAAATGTGCTACATGCCACCGAACCACACTTGTTAAAGTGGTCATTGTATGTCGTGTGAATTTCACCTCTGTTTAAAAAAAAAAAAAAAAAAAAGCCCAGCTCAGAGTCCAGCCCCAAACCTCTCTCAGTGACCTCTGCCCTGGGACACAGGGCCACCCAGACCGTGAGCTTGGGGCCCTTCAGGCTGCCCACTGAGGAGGGGCAGCTACTGCTGAGGTCTGACCTTGCCTCTCCTGATGCCCCAGCCACAGTTGGGAGAGAGGCAGGGTGGGGGGTGGCTGCCCTCCTGGCCAAGGACACTGTCCCGGGGCCAGTCACAGGTTTGCCAGGGAGGGCCGTAAGACAACTCAGCATTAGCACTGCCCAAGCCAGTCTGCTGCTGTCATATTCCCTGTGTGGGGACACAGTAATGCCCACTCCCCCTAAGGATGTACACGTCCCAGTCCAAGAACCCGTGGCCGTGCCACCTTATGTGGCAGCAGGGACTCTGCAGGAGGGACGGAGCAGGATCACACTGGATGCTCTCTGTGGGCCCAGTGTCCTCACAGGGTCCTTAGGAGAGGGGGTGGGAGGGTCAGAGTCAGGGGGAGCCTGGAAGACATAGCACAGATGGCTTTAAAGGAGGGGCCACGGGTGAAGGCGCGGGAACCTCCAGACCCCGGAGAGGGCAGGACCCGGATTCTCCCCAGGGCCTCCAGCAGCCAGCCCTTTCAACACATGGACTTTAGATTTATTTCACTTTTGGGACTGCAAGAGAATAAACTGTGACTTTTGTTACAGCAGCCATGGGAGACTCATGACCTCGCCCCTCCTTCACACATCTTTCCAGGAGACCCTCCCAGCCCAGACGAGCGTCGAGGGGGGACAAGCAGGGCTCCCCCGGGAGACTCCCTGTCACTGGCATGGAGGATGGGCCTCCTCAGAGCCTTTAAGAGGTCCCCGTGGACTCGTCCGAGCTCCCAGCAGGAGACGTAGCCTACAGTGGTCTGCCATCGTCCCCTCTGCCTGCCCCACACCCCAGCACACAGCTCACACAAACATGAGGTATCCTGGGAAGCTCCCAGGAGGCTGTGCACACCTGTGTGCCCCACAGACCAGAGCTGTGTGTGAAGTGCCCGTGGGCATCCAGCATGTCCCGCAACACTACAAAAAGGAACGGGACCTCACCGTCCTCCTGCACCGTGCCTGGGAGGCCGCCTCCTGCCCAACCTCAGGGTACACAGGTGCACACGGAGCCAAACAAATACACACGCACTACCTGAGGGGCAGTGGGCAAAGCCTCTCTGACAGCTCATAAAGTTCTATTTCATTGCCATGATGTTAGGGGAGAGCAATTTGCTTCCAGCCACAGACATCCCACTCAGAATGGTGACAGCTTTGCTGTCGCAGACTCCAACACTCCTTGAGGCCCACGTGGCACTGCTTGGAGCCTCCAGCACGGGTCACTCAGAGGCTCTGGGTCAGCGCAGGGCGGCCTCCGGTACAACTGCACCATCCTTGAGTCCAGCCAACCCAGAACCCCCCGGGATGTGGGGAGGACCCCAAGGGGCAGGGGACATACAACAGGGCCCTGGGGGCCCAGGCTGACCTCTGATCTCTCCATGTCCCCGCCCCAGGACGCCGAAGACTTGCTCCTCCCGCTCCGTCCCTCTGCTCGATGCCCCAGCTCAGTGTGGGTGTGTGCGTCGGGTGGGGGCGATAAGTGTTTCTGTGGGTCTGCCTGCTTCTCCTCTGTAGAGGACTCACACTGACCCATCCTAGAAGCAAATAGAAGTCATTTCGAGCCGGCAGAAGTGGGCAGCCTGGGCTCCTCTGAGCTGCCCGCCCCAGCCCCTTGGAGCTGCAACTTTGCTCATCTTTGCAGGGGGTGAGTGGAAGAGCAGGGTCAGGGTTGGGGAGCAGTGCTGGGGCTGAGGGAGGAGCCCCCCTCCATGGACATACCCATGGTGAGGACCCTCCCCAGTCCAGCACTGCTGGACAATCAGGAATGGTGCCCAGCCCCCAGCCACTCAGGGCCAGTCCTGCAGGGGACAAGGACCACAGGCAGGGAAGGGAGCTAGCAGGTCCCTCACCCCAGCGAGTTCACCAGCTCTTGCAGAGTATTTTTCTGGGTTGAGACAGATTTCCATTTCCAGGGAGAAAGAAGGGCCTGATCCTAGCCACCCACTTCTGTTCCCTGTGTCCTAGGCCACAGCGATGCTGCCAGCAAAGCCCCAAGGCTCAGAGGGGACCTCATCTCTGCAGATTTCACCAGCATCTCTTGCAGCTGCCTATAGCTCCAGAACCAAACGACGCCTGGTCCCACTCTGGGCACCTATTCCCTGCCCCTCTCCCAGGGACTGCACAGAAGGAGGTGGCTGGGGGAGAGCTCAGAGCTTCTGCTCTCCAGGGTGGACAGCAGGGGTCCTGGGCTGTCCTGTCCAAGACACCCAGATGGACGCCCACACTGGGTCTTGCCTCCTCATCATCCACCCCACCCGAAGCTTGTAACAGCTCCCAGCAGAGAAGGCCCAATGGCAGCGGCCGAATTCTCAGCTCCCGGCAGAGGAGGCCCGATGGCAGAGGCTGAATTCTCAGCTCCCAGCAGAGGAGGCCCAATGGCACTGGCCAAATTCTCAGATTCTCATTTTGCCCTTAGCCTTGGCCTCCCACCTCCTCCCAAGGGCCCTATTTCTAAGAACATCCCCAGCCCCTGATGCCCTTGGTCATGGCATTAGCCTATGATCTGCTAAGGGTTAGAGGGTTCCTTCTGGGTCTCCACCCTGCACCCGGAGCCCAGCCCTGAGCCCAGGGATGAAGGGAACAGCTTTAATCTCCTGTGCACATCCTCTGGGAGCCGAGGAGTGTTGATCCGGCAAGATCTCAGCCACAATTAGCCGGTTCCCTCATCCCTGCCCTATAAATATTCATTCTGGGATTGTTATAAAGGTGCTTTTTATAAAAAACGCCAAACTCATTTGGAAAGGAGCTGAACGCTGCGCAGTGCAGGCTGCCAAGCTGAGTCCTATTGCGGATGGGACGCCAAGATGGCTTTTTCTCGTGGGCCCAAGCAGGTGCTCTCTGGGGTTTTGTTTCATTTGGGCCGGGGACTTTTTGGTTCCCTGCGTGTAGCATTTACAAATATGGCAGCAGGCTCAGGGTACCCGTAGGGGGCGGTGTCCTCCTCCTCGGGGGTGCAGGCCACAATGGCCCCCTGGAGCTGGCAGCCCCAGGCAGGGTGTGACAATGGCCCATGGGAACGTGCCTCGGGCTGCTCACTGTGAAGCACCCCTTACCCCGAGGGCCCTGGGCTCCCAGCACCTTGGTCCGGAGTCATCCTGGTGCCAGCCTCCACCAGCCCTGCTGAGAATCAGGTGATCGAGACCCCTGGGCGGTCAGTGGATCTGGGACTGAGCTGGATGTCATCTGGTCCAGTAGCCCTCCTGTCACTGAAGCTGGATGCTTCGGTTAAATGCTTATGCAGGTGGGGAGCTCACTACCCCAGAGCAGCTGTAGGAGGATTCAGTGTACCCAGGCGTACCCAGGCGGTGTACCCAGGAATCTGCATTTTCACAAGCTTTGGTGGGGGGTGGTTCCCATTGCTACTGCTTTCGGAGATTCTGAGATGGTGGCCACAAAGCCACTTGACAGATTAAAACATGTGCCACACATGGGGGAGGTTGCCGTTCTGGCCCCCAGACCTGGCTCAAATGGTCAATTCTGGAAGAACCGTCTCCTACCCTCCTCCTCCTCCAGCCCTCGCTCCTGGGGCACAGCAGGAACGAGACCCCTCAGGCAGTTTCCTGATGTGAACCCCATTCCTGGGCCCAAGGAGGCTTTGGGCTCCATGGCAGATGCAGCCCTCACCCCACCTGGGAGCCCCAGAAGCCCTTGGCACAGTGCAGCACCCCCCACCCAGGGGCCCAGCGAGGTGCGGCTGCCTCTCTGCACAGCTCGCCTCGTGTCCCAACGCTGCAGGCGCCTCCTGGCTCTGCTGAGCCAGGCTCCAGCCAGCTCCGGGACGGGATGTTCAGAAGGCAAGGAAGCTGCTGTTCCTGCCTTATGATCTAACCCCCACATTCTGCAGCTGACGGGTGCCCACCACAGGCTGCAGATAGTAGGGAGGCTTGGGTGACCCTTTCTCCCCTCCAGGGTCAGGGCCCTGTGGGCCGAGTTTCCCTCCAGAAGAGGCCTGGTGGCTGGGATATGGGGGTGCTGCCCTGAGCAGGGAGGCCTCCGGCAGCTGCGTTTGGCTGCAGCTCAAGCCGGCCAGGGTTTCTTTGCTCACAGTTACTTGGCTGCAGCTCCCCACCTTCCCCTACCCCCCGGCACCCCCATGTGCCCCTGCCCTGGCTGAATTGCTAATCATCCCAAGAAACAAACTCTCAGGGGCCACACTCTGGTCCCTGGAGGACACGTGGCCTCCTGACAGCACCAACCTCCGTCCCAGCTTTGCTTTTGCCAGGAACCTCCCTCCCCGAAGGGCGCCCGCTGAACAGATGGAGCCGTCTGCCCTGACAAATGGCTCCTGCTCCTCGTAAAACTCCCGAGGAAGTCAAATTTGAGCTCTTCAAACCTTGGAGGGCTGCCTTGAATTTATGATGGGACCTGATAAATGATTGAATTGGAGTCTTCAGGTAGCTTAACTGAGACAGCCGGCCTCTCACGGCACTCGTCCCGTGGATCCGGGGCCTCAACGACCGGGGGCAAGGCTGCCACCAGAAATGCTCCCGCCAGGCACGTGGGCTGGGCATGGCTGCCTGGAGCGGGGCAGGGATGGGGGCTGGGCATGGCTGCCCAGAGCGGGGCAGGGGTGGGGGCTGGGCATGGCTGCCCGGAGCGGGGCAGGGGTGGGGGCTGGGCATGGCTGCCTGGAGCAGGGCAGGGGTGGGGGCTGGGCCTGGGCAGGGCTCATGGGCAAAGCTTCTGTCCCCTCAGCCCGGCATCTCAGGCATTTGCTGAGGGGGCGTCCATCTCAGGGGCCTCCCGGCTCTCCCTGTAGAGCGAGAGGCTCAGAGTCTCCCGACTTCCTTTGGAAGCCAAAGCCTGCGGAGGCAGAATCGGCCAATTCTGGCCGTGGGGTGCATCCCGCCACCATCTCTCCCCGAGTGAGGGCAGGGCCAGCAGGCAAGACGGCATCACTCCCGGGGAGGGAACTTTGACCTCAAGTTACTCAAAGGGAAGGTGGTGCTGGCTGGGCCTGACCCCATCAGGTCATCACAGGGACCAATCCTGCTGGTCTCCGAGGAGGATGCCACAGCCTGCTGTGAAACGCTCCCCGGCACATGTGGCAGGGTCTCCGGGCAGCCTCTAGGAGCTGCGAGCACCCGGCCCCAGCCACAGAGAACAGGGACCTCAGCTCTCCAACCGCGAGGAGCTGGGGTCGGCCAAAAACCTGGCAAACCTAGAAGAGGGCCTGACCTCCAGGGAGGCTGAAGCTGGGTCAACACCTGAATTTCAGCCCAGGGAGATGCTGAGCAGAGAGCCCTGCCGCGCCAGGCCGGGATTCCAACGCACGGAAACCGTGAGGGCGTAAGGTGGTGTTTTCAAGCAGCCAACTGTGTGGCGATTGGTTACCCAGCGCAGAACACTAGTACAAATCTGCCCCTGCCTGTGGAGCGTCGGAACACACAGCCCAGCCTCACCCCCGTAGAGGTGGCTGCTGGTGTTCACGGACACCCCTCTGCCCTGCACCACTCCTCAGGCCAGGGAGGGGCGCCGTCACGGGCTGGGGACCGCCCCGGTGGTGACTAGGGAGCGTGGCACATGGGCTGGGCTTTTGGGGCTTGGGTTCGCCTGGTGGCCAACGTCAGAGGAGCCACGGCGGAGTACTGCGGAGCTTTCCGCCCCAGGCGCTGCCTCTTTACCTCCCACTCCAAGGTGGGAATTCCTGGATCCGTGGTCTCCAGGGCTCCTTGAAGCTGGGAAACACCATGCCTCACATGGCCTCGCATCCCCATCGAGACCATGGGCCACGGCGGCCCTGCCTTCTGCTGGAGGAAACCCCATGCCTCACGTGGCCCCACGTTCCCATTGAGACCATGGGCCACGCCCGTCCTGCCTCCTGCTGGGGGCAGATACCACACTGGAAGCCACAGCCCAGGTGGCTCCACCCAAGAGCTGCCAGGAGAAGCCCCCACTCTAGGACCCTCTCCTTCCTCCCTTCCCTGCTAAAGCCTCATGAAGCCTTCTTCGAGACCCGTGGGCCCCCTGGCCCCTCCACTCCAAGACCTTCTCCTGGGCCACCCTTCCTGCCTCCCCTCCCTGTCCCACCACCATGAGCCAGCTCTTCACTGAGCCAATCCCACCTTGACCTCAGGACGCAAAGTGGGCAATCATGTTCGGGCAATGGCTTCCACGGGGCAGCGTTCCTGGGGCCTGGCAGGGGTGGGGCAGCATTCCCAGGGCCTGGCAGGGGTGGGGCAATGTTCCCGGGGCCTGGCAGGGGCTCTGCGGCAGTGGTCAGCCCCAGGAGCACTGCAGCTACAGTGGGTGGTGTGGGGGGGTTAACCCTGGGGGTTCTGTGCTACACTCAGCCCAGGACCAACGACAGCCCCCAGGGCCTGCCCGTGTTTGGGCTTGGCCTCCGGGGACACTGCTGCCTGCCAGGCGGCCTCCTCTGGGCTCCTGAGTGACCTTCCCAGGGCTGCCAAGCCGGCGGCCACTCTGCGGAGGCACTCGTGTTCACAGTGATGAGCTGTTTTATTGCCCAGTCAGTAAAAGCCTTCTGATTATGTCATTGCAGAGGCAGTTGGAAGCCAAAACACATACATTTCCCTCTGTGCAGCACTGCCCCTCCGCCTCCACACAGGCCTCCTCCTGGTACCTCCGAGTGCCTGTCAGTGATCGAGACCTGGAGACCATGCAGGGGCACCTCCAGGCCCCGGGCTCATTCCTCATGGCCAAGAAACAAGAGGCTGTGGGCAGGGCCTCTGTGGCTGAGCGGGGGCAGGGGCCAAGGGTGGCTCTGGGGTGGGGACGCTGCCTGCCGGCGGCACCTCTAACTCCAACCCCTCTGAGCCCAAGGTGGAGGCCCAGGAGATGGCCCTGGGCCGGGTCTGCCTGTTGGAGTGTGGGCCCCTCCCCAAGAACCAGGGGTTCCAGAAGTGGCGCCAGCCCTTTTGAAATGAGTCCTCGGTCCCACCCTCTGTAGGAATTGTGGCTGAGGTGGGCACACATTCCTTTATTCAGGAGCTACCTGCTGAGGCCACACAAAGTGCCAGGCACACTGCTGAATGCTAGGACAAAGCATGAGCAGGATACAGGGCTGGAGCCAGGCTGCCTGGACAAGGCATCCAACCTCCCAGGGGCTCCCCGCCTCCCCAGGAGGGTCACAGCACCCAGCCCTTGGGAAAGGACTTAGCACAGGCCTCGTGCAGAGTGGCATCCAAGTGCCAGCTTGGACACAGCCCTGTCCTCCCCTCACCAAAAGCCCAGCTCAGAACCAACAACTACATAGTAATGGGGCGCAGGTACAGAGGGGGCCACCCAGGGCCAGGAGGGCTTCCTGGAGGAAGGGGCATCGACCCCCATGTCAGGGTTGTCTTTTCCCCTGGAGGGGAGGGAAGGGCACTTTCCAGCCCTCGCTCTAGTCCCTGGATAAGGGTAACAGCCCCAGCCCGAAGCCACCCCTCCTCGGAGCCAGCCCAGGATGTACCAGCCCCGGAAACGCTTGTCAGTCTCGGGCCTTGGGCTTCTCAGCACTGCTGGGGGTGGAGGTGGCCTCGAGGCCCAGCCAAGACACTTTGGGAGGCTGACATCAGCGCAGACTCATGCTCCGTGCTCGGCACCTGTTGGGAAAACCCGAGAATAGCCTTTCTCCAGAAGCAGAGTTGGGAGGGCACAGGAGGGGCCATGGGGGCCACAGAGCTGCAGAGTCACCCTCCCTTCTAGGCCTGGGGATGGGGGCTCCCTGACCTGGAGCTGAAGCCCCCATTTGTGTCCAGCCCTGCTGCCACTCTGAGTGACGGGACAGGGGCCTCCGCCCTGGGCCTGGGCCTCCCCACCTGGAAAAGGAGGGTGTTTGCGCGCACCCTTCTGTGGCCTGGGGCGGTGGGGCTGGCCCAGCAGTGACAGTCCAGGTGACAAGGCATGCAGAAGTCACATGTGAAGGGCATGCGACTAGTGAGTCAGGAGCCCCCTGACCCCCACCCCCTCAACTGCAATTCTTGGAGGTCAGAGGCTGCAGCAACCGTCCCTGCCCCAGAGCCCTTAGTCCTGTGTGGCTGACTCCCCAAGACTAGCACACTCCCTAGCACATAGTAGGCGCTCAAATCCATCTTCAGGCCCACAGGCAGACGCAGGACAGCCTCGGACGCCATCTGTCTCCCGGTCCCCACCCCTCAGCCACCCTCTTGGGGAGCCTGGCCCCACAGCTGCCCCGGGCCTCTCTCTGGGCTGGAGATGGATGAGTGCCAGGCTGGGGCCTGGGGGCTGCTACTCAGGGAGGGTCTGCGCCCTGGTGCAGAGCAGGGTGTGGGGCGTGAGACTCACCCAGGGCCAGCCTCTCCTGCAGGTGCCGCCTCCTCCCCACCAGCAGCAAGGCCCTGAAGTGATTTCTAATAACCAATTCATGATTTCTAGAAGGGAAAAGAACGAGCCTTCCTTCCCTCCCTCCTTCCCTCCTGCATTTCTTCCCCATGCTCTGCTTCCCTCCCGCCTTCTCAAACCCCTGCAGGCCCTCAAGGGGGTCCAGGGTGTCCGGCCTGCCTGTCCCCACCCTCCCCCCCGTCCCCAGCAGTGCCCCCACCACTGTGATCTCACCCCACCCTCTGCAGGGTGTTGAAGGGCGCTGCCACCCTCCAGCCCAGTCCCCGACGTGGGGCGCCGGGCCGTCCTGAGCCTCCGCCTGGGGCGTTACCTCACCAGCTGGATAAACCTGATGGCCTCACTGCCCCCACACTCCACCATCGGGTCGGGCTCTTTAACTAGCTCCACCAATAGATACATCAGAAGGGCCCCTTCAAAATATATGTGTGTCCTGATGACCAACTGGACGACAGAAATCGGCAGGCACTTAAAATGATGGCAACATTGCCTCAAGCTTCTAACACCGAGTGGCATTAACTAGCCAGGTAGAAGTGTCCCCGCCTGGCTCGAGGGGCCCAGTGTCCACGCACAGCCTCAGGAGGCCAATGAGCCGGTGTCCCCGCAGAGGCGAAGGCTGCTGTGACACTGAGTGTGTGGCCGCCAGGTGCCCGTCTCCACCGGGACAGTCGGGAAATGGGAGCCATGGCAGGCCGGTTGAAGCGTCCGTTTCTGCAGCAGCACAGGCCTAGCCCCATCTTAGTCCTAGGAGACTGGGGGGTGAGGGGCAAGGGCCAGGCAGTAGATAGATGCTCACTGCCTCTCAGTCTCTCAGCCTCCATCTCGTCATCTTAGGAGAGTGACATCCCAGGGAGGAACCCCTCTGCTCCAGCGAGCAGCCCCGGGGGCTGTGGGAAGGGCACCCACCTCTCAGAGCCATCTGCTGCTTATGGCCAGAGGCCTGGCTGATACCCCAGGGTGCTGGCTTCCCACGCCTGCCCAAGCCAGGGAAGTGTCCCAAGAGCTGCCTCCAGCCTCCAGCTGTCAGTGGGTTCCATCCAGTCCCACGAGCCACTGCAAGGGTCAAGCGAGAAGACAGATGCAGAATTTCACGCCAATCCCGATGTTCTAGCCCCTGTTGTCTGTGGGATGGGAGCAGGGGTCACCAGAGTGGCTGTTTTGACTTAAGAGTCCCCAGGAGGCAATTTCAAGAATGCTCTCTACCTCCTGGGAGCAACCGGACCCCCCACCTGATCCCCCACAGCCAGAGAGCTACCTGTTCTGGCCAAGATGTGCAGCACACGTTCAGGCCTAGTGTGAGCTCCATGACCCAGCCTGGGGCTCCCGCCCCTGTGGGTGTCACCCTTCTTGTCCCTTCCCATCCGGTTTCCTTCTCTTGTGGCTGCCCCTGCCGGTCCCCCTGCCCCCACCCACAGACACTGCACCCTCCTCCCCTGCCCCTGGAAGCTTTATCAGATCCCAAGCAGGGATGCCTCGTCACTCCCAGCCTGGCAGCTCCCACCCGCCTCCTTCTTCCCCCATGACTGGACTGTTCCCCTGGCCCTGCCACAGCCCTCTCCCTTTCCTAGATGGGACCCTTCCCTCAACCACCCCTGCATCTTCAAACGTGGGACCCCATGAGAGCCCCGGGATCGCTTGGCCAGGCTGAACAGGGCAGGGGCAGGGGCAGCAGCTCATCCAGGCCCCGGTGCCTGCTCTCAGCACCCCTGCCCCTCGGTGAGAGGCCCACCCCTCTGTAGGGTCGTCACCCAGACCAGCAAGGAAGGAGCAGGGTGGCCTTCGGGGCTTTCGACCGCCCTCAGTGCTTTACCCGTGGGAACTCCCTCCTCTGACCTAAGAGGAGACCTCAGGGAGGCAGAAACCAAGGGAGAAAGACCCTCCTTGGGGTGGGGAGTGAGGGCTTGTTTCCCGCAGGCCTCCTTGGAACTGGCCTCTCTCACAAGCAAGTCCCCTGCGTCTGTCTGGCATCCTGGAGAAACCAGGGAAGACCCAGGCGGTGCCGGGGACCAGGGGGTTCTGGACAGGCTGGACGTGGAGGGGTCCCCTGCCCTCTGTCAGCTGCCCTGGTGACTGTTCTAGCTCACTGCTGCCATCCTGGACGCACACAGAAGGGTCCAGCCTCCGCGGAACCATCCGTGTGTCTCTCGTCAGAAGTCGTGGGCACTGGCCATCTTTTGGGGCTGTCAAAAAATGTGGCTTCGCTCCACCCATGAGCCCAAGTGCACCAGCCCTGGAGCCCAGCCCCGGAGCCTATCTGCGGCCGAGGGAGCCCCCGCCTCCTGTGTCTTGCTTGTGAACCCAGACTGCAGGAGACACATCAGCCCCCACCTTCAGGCCTGGGGATGGGGGCTCTTCTGGGAGGGGAGGGGTCCCCAGAACCAGGCCAGGGCTCAGTGGTTGCTGGATAGATCCTCCGCTGTTACTGGAGGTCTCCAGCTGGATGGGCCCCTGGGTGCTGCCTTGTGCCAATTCAGGTCCTAGTCCCCCAGACATGGGTACGACTCATGCGGCACCCAGACTGGGGGCCCCGGGCCCTGTGACCTTGCACCTTCAGCCCCCCAGCCTGGCTGCCCTGTATCCCACTCCATCAGCCCCACCCCCAGGCCCTCCTATGGCCCCCTCCACAGCCCTCAGCCCATCTCCCCGGATTCCGGATGGGTCACCCCGGCTGTAGCCTGCCAGCTGGGTCCTGGGCATAGGGGCCCTGCCAGCCGAGGCCCGAGCTCCGTGCTCTGCGAGTATGGTATGGGGGGCTGTTTCATTCACTTGCCAAGTCTCTACGCTGTGGGGGCCCAGTAGACTTTCTAAGTGAATGACTGAATGAGCCCTGCAGGCTGAAGGCGGGGGGCCCGTCCTGGTGGCGCTGAGGTGCTGGGCTTCCGTGGGCCTCTCCCTGCTTGCTCCTCCTTGACCACCTCACTCTCTTTCAAGGGGGCCCAGCCCCCCATGAGCACTGACGCTAAGTGGCAAGGCTGCGAGCCTGCAGCCAACTCGGTTCCTGGGGAAGGAAGTATGGAGGTTGTGACTTACTCGAGGTGGGGGCTGAGTTCAGGCTGGAGGAGCCATCTCCCCCGTCCCACTGTCCCAGCTCCTGTGTGTGTCTCTAGCCATGGGAGGAGGGGCGTTCATGGGGAAGAGGCGAGAGAGGGTCAAGCTCCCGGGAGTGGAGCTGACGGAGGCTGGCCAGGCATGGGAGGGCCAGCTGAGCACTGCAGAGAGCGAGGCCCTGGCTGTCCCACAGGCCCTCTCACAAGAGGGGGCTGGATCTGCTCCAACCCCTGGTGTGCTTGGTCTCCTTGAATCAGACCCTCCCCCGGCCCTAGCCCCTTTGGAAAGATCTGGGGGTACCAGAACCGCTGAGGTCCACTGAACCCACCCAGAGGCCACAGCTGGGGCGATGTTGAGGCACGTGGTGACAGCTGTGTCACCATTGGTACGGCCATGGCTATGGGGTGTTTGCTGTCCACTGGGCCTGCGCATCTCGTACCACACAGCATCTTCCAACAAACCCGTGAGCTGTTTCTGTTTTTTTGTTTTGTTTTGTTTTTTTGCCATTTGGAGAGGAGGAAAGAGTGGCATGGAGGGCTCAGGGCCAGCAGGCAGTGCCACCTGGTGACTCCCCATGAGGACAGAGCCCCCAGGCAGCCCCCAGACTCTGCCCCGAAGGGGTTCCCTGCCAGGGCTCCCAGGGCCCAGCACTGCCCCCGACCCTCTCGGACACAGCCCCACTGTCCCCTCCCAGAAGCCCCCATGGTGGGTCCTACCAGCCTCGCTTCCTGGGCACCAGACAGACAGCCTGCTATTGACCGCACGGACTGGGCATTGACTGGCTGAAAGGTGAAACCTGAAATAGTCCCAGTTGCCGGTAAACAGGATTTTTAATTGTTTAGGCAGCTAATCTCTGGTATCGGTCACCTCCCAGGAAGGGGGGTGGCGGGGAGCCATGGGGGCTTTGATCGGTCCACAACCACAAGGGCAGGCTCAGGGAGGGGCAGGCTCAGGGAGGGGCAGGCTCAGGGAAGGGCAGGGCCGTGGTGGGCAGCTGTGGGGGAAGGACAGGACCAGCGGTGCCGGGCATCACCTGGGCTCTGTGTGGGCCCAGCAGGAGGCCGTGGCAGACACTGTAGGGTCTTTCCAGGCCCCTCAGCCAGGATGCCCGGCCCCAGGGCCCGGCTCAGGCCCAGAATGCCGTCCCCGAGGCAGCTGTGGGAGCGGCGCCGCCTCTGAATCCCAGCGTTTGATCCCCTCTCTGCCACTTTCTCTCTGTGACTCCTTGAGCATGTTGCTTACGCCTCATGTGCCTCAGTTTCCTCCTCTGGAAACAGCGTGATGATTGCAGATGATCAGCCGGCCCAGTAGAGCGAATGCGTTGGGTCGCTCAGTGGAGCTTCTGACTCAGGCGTTTGTTCAATAAAGGGCGGCCACGACTTTGAAGGTAAACCGCAAACACATCCCACTGAAGTCATTAAGAATCCTCCTGAGTGTTTCTCTAGATATGCTGAGAGGACACAGCAGCCCCCGGGGGTTCTGCTGCAGAGGCAGTCGCGAGGTGGCCTTCCCTCGAACCCCTTCAGGCCAGCAGTGCGTCCCTGCAGAGGGCATAGAGATGGGAGGTCATGTTGGCGGGGCGTGCTGCTGGGTGTGAGGAACCCAGCCTCTGGGCACCACCCCCAGACCCAGCCAGGCCACGGAGACCCATGCAAACCATGACAATGACGGGGTAGCCAGTGGCCAGGTGTCACATGGTGCTGTCAGCCTGCAGCCAGCACGAGAGCTTCGGTTTAATTCTAAGGGGGCGAGAACCCCCCCTGGAGGTTTGAGGGGAGATGATAGTTTCTAGAAGGAGATGATAGTTTCTAGGAGCAGAGCCAGAGGGAGGCCCTGGGGCCTGGGCAGGGGCAGCAAGGAGCTGGGCCTGGAGCTGGGCAGAGCTGGCTGCTGGCCGCAGAGCCTACAACCTCCCGCCACGCTCTGGGCCTGTGGGCCTTAGCACCCCCAATCCACGAGAGCAGTGACCTCCCACCCCACCCCACCACCACCCCTAATTACCAAACCCACCAAGGTCTGGGGCAAGAGCCTCAGACACCCTAGGACAGCCTGCAGAGGTGCCGGAACTGAAAACAGAGACGCAGCACCCCCATCCCCGGACTTGGACAAGCCCAGACCCCCAGGCCCCCCGAGCATGCTAAGAATGCGGGGAGGAGCTCTGTCTCCACGTCTCAAACTCACGAGGGCCTGGCTAACATTTCTCATTTTGATAACACACAGGGCGTTCCCTGGTGGCCAAGGTCATGACAGGGCTGGCTGCAGCTGTCCTGTGCGCTGTCCCCCTCAGCCCGACCGCTCTGACGGCTGGCGTTGTCGAGACGTGGCTGCATAATTGAAGGAATAAAGAGAGAGAGAAAGCTGCTTTTCTTGCAGAAATAACTATCCGCGCCTCATCAGCGGCAGGGTGGCTGGAGGAGGGTGGACAGGCTACAGGGCGGGAGAGGTTCGCAAAGCCCCACCTCAGCTCCAAATTTCTGGAAGCCCTCGGGAGCAGCAGTGGGGCCGTGGAGAGTTAGGGAGGCTGTGCGTGTGTGGGCGGGGGGTCACCTGCCAGGGTGAACCCCAGGCTGCCGCTGTTTGAGCACAAACTTTTCATGGTCTTCAGCCGGGGCGGAGGTGAACATCACGGGTGCTGGCAGTAAGCGGATGAGCCACGGAGCCCTGGGCTGGGACCACCACCTGGGAGGCAGCCCGAGCACCAAACACAGGGACACCAGCACCTCCCTCCCAGGCAGTTAGAAGCTGCAAGGAGATCCCGTGTGCAAAGTCCTCCCGTGCTGCCTGGCCATGGCCAGCCCTAAACACACAGGCCCACTGGGTGTGTGAGTGTCCAGGGGCCACCAGGACAAAGGACAGCAGACTGGGCAGCTGAACACCAGAAATGCATTGTCTGTTGTTCTGGAGGCCAAAGTCCCAGATCCCGGTGTCAGTGGGGTTGGCTCCTTCCAGAGGCCACGAGGAAGACTCTGTCCCAGGCCTCCCTCCCAGCTCCTGGCAGCTGCCAGCACCCTGGCGTTCCTTGGCTCATAGAAACACCCCCTGGCTCTCTGCCTCCAACTTTCCGTCACCATCACACGAAGATGAAGACGGCCTTCCTGCGTGGGTGTCTGTGTGTCCAGATTTCCCCTTTGTATCAGGACGCACTCACATTGGATCAAGGCCTACTCTGGTATGACATCATCTTAACCAATTACACCTGCAATGACCCTATTTCCAAAGAAAGCCACATTCCAGGGTACTGCGGGTTAGAAACTTAACACAGGAATTTTTTGTGGCCATAATTCAACCCATAACACTAGGACTGAGCACACTGCATCGTTACAGCAAAGGCCTTCCCTGCCGCAAAACAACCTGCACTCAGGTGCTTGCAGCAGCTTCATTCAGAGTCGCCAAAACCTGCAAACATCCAAGATGTGCTTCAGCAGGTGAACAGGGTTAAACGCATAAACAAACTACGGCCCATCCAGACAATGGGATATTATTCTACAATAGAGAGAAATGAAGCCCCACGACGTGGCTCACGCCTGTCATCCCAACCACTCAGGAGGCTGAGACGGGAGGATCGCTTGAGCCCAGGAGTTCACGTCCAGCTTGGGCAACATAGCGAAACCCAGTCTTTAAAAGTAAAATAATCGTAACCAACTATGATATTTGAATATGATGAATCTGATCAAGAATAAAGGGAAACGTGTATCAAGGTCTGAAAAGATCTGAAGGAACTTTGAAGGCATATTGTTAAGTGAAAGAAGCCAGTCTAAAGAGGCTGCATGACGCATGGTTTCAATGAATGATAGCAGGTCCTTGAATAATGTTATTTCCTTTTTTTTTTGTTTTTGAAACGGAGTCTCGCTGTGTCGCCCAGGCTGTAGTTCAGTGGCGCGATCTCGGCTCACTGCAAGCTCCGCCTCCCGGGTTCACGCCATTCTCCTGTCTCAGCCTCCCGAGTAGCTGGGACTACAGGCACCAGCCATCACGCTCGGCTAATTTTTTGTATTTTTAGTAGAGATGGTGTTTCACCGTGTTAGCCAGGATGGTCTTGATTTCCTGACCTCGTGATCTGCCTGCCTCGGCCTCCCAAAGTGCTGGGATTACAGGCGTGAGCCACCGCACCCGGCCAATGTTATTTTCTTTAACGTTGTTTCATCATAATGTTGAGAAAAGCAAATCTGCTCCCACCCAGGGCCACTGTCCGGGGAGCCTGTGCATCGCCCCAGGTCCGCGTGGGTTTTCTGTGGATGCTCCAGTTTCCTTCCGTGCCCCAAAGATGTGCACGTAGGGGAGCTGGCGTGTCGAAGCTGTTCCCGTCGGAGTGCCTGCCCCAGGACGGAGTGTGAGTGCCCACTCCAGGACGGCAACTCCCATAGCGGCGTGCGCTGTGTCCAGGTGGGTTCCCGCCTGGTGCCCCGAGATGGGGGCATGAGCTCTAGTCACCCTGAACTGGAATAAGTGGGGAAATAGTTATCTTACTTGTTTTTAATAATCCTTCTTAAATTCTTGATTAAAAACGCACAGTTCACATTTGTTTCCATGTTTAATATTAGAAGGGCTTTGGACTTTATTTAGAAGTTTGGTGATGTTTTTGTGACCAGAAATATGCCATAGGAACTTAACTCTTGTTCATGTTAATTAGCCTGTGGTCAAATTCATTTTGTTATACGTCATTTTGCTTAAAGTCCCAGTTTCCAAAAACCTATCAATGATATGAAATGAAGCCTTACTGGGTATGACACTCTTGAAAAGACGAAACCACGGAGACAGCAGAAAGACCAGTGGCTGCCAGGGTTAGGGCGAGGAGGGGTGAACAGGAGGAGCCCAGAGGGTGTGAGGGCAGAGGGCAGTGGAGCTGCTCCATGGGACGCAGCGGGAGGGGGAAATCTGTGCCGTTATAAACAAGTCAGACCCACAGAACACCCAGCGCCAAGAGCGAGCCGTGTGGTAAAGGGCGGACTCCGGGTGATAAGGACATGTTGACATGTTGATGCCCGGTCACCTGCTGCAGCCACTGCACCTGTGGTGGGATGTGGACCGTAGGGGGCGGGGGCGGGGGGGCCGTGCACATGCTGGGCAGGGGGCATAAGGGAACTCTGTACTTCTACAACATTTTTCTGTAAAACTAAAACTGCTATTATAAAAAATAGTCTCTTAATTTTTTTAAAGCTCACCAGACGTACACAGTAACTCTCTGTATTATCGCAAATTTTCTGTAAATCTAAAATGGTTGCAGAAGAGGTCTCCTCCTGTACCACCTTCCTAAGCCTGCAGCCTGTGCCTGCTGGCGCACCCCGCCCCCACTCCTCCTTCTCCCCATCGTCCAGCCACTGGGGCCAGATTCCAGGAAGAGTCGCTGTAGGGACTTCCCTGCAGCAGAGGAGGGGGCTGAAGAGAAACCCCTGGTGGCCCGGCGCTCAGAGCCTCCCCAGCTTGGCTTCACCTAAGCAAAAGTGGAAAGGAGCCTCGGGGCCTGGCCCACCTTCATCATCAGTACCAGCGGCTAAAGCAGGGTTGTTGGGGGCCGTCCCTCCACTCAAAGTGGCCCCAGGGAGCCACCTCTACAGTGACAAGGGTTGCCCCAAGGAGAGGAACTTGGGTCCGATGCCCCCCACCCTGAAGCTTGGGAAAGGAGCACGGAGGAGGGACAGGCCGAATGGCCCGCTTGGGGTAGACATTAAAGGGAGCCAGGCTGCAGCCACTGCCCACCCCACCAACACCTGCTCCACAGTGGCTGGGCAGGGGAGGCTGAGCGAGCAGAAATGCAGCATCACGCAGCCAGGCCTGGCTCCCCAGGTCCCCAGAGCCACCCCATCATCCCGGCTACCTCTCCGCAGACCCTCCCTGTGGGGTCAGCGCTGGCAGCACCTCCTTCCTGTCAGGAACCAGCAGAGGAGAGACCTGTAGCAGAAGCAGTGATGTGGTGAGATGACATCCAAAAGGGACATGGCCCTTCCACTGAGAGGCTTCCCCAGAGGCACAACAGGAGACTTGCCAAGGTTTGCAAAGATGCAGTGAGGCTCAGCATGTCGCCAGGGGTGTGTTAGGGCGGGGGTCCCAAGAAATGACAGCCACCCGGCCGTCCCATCATGG
The DNA here is from genome assembly GCF_000001405.40 of Homo sapiens. Classification (NCBI taxonomy): domain Eukaryota; kingdom Metazoa; phylum Chordata; class Mammalia; order Primates; family Hominidae; genus Homo; species Homo sapiens. The sequence continues at coordinate 62,526,200 of NC_000020.11, read as the reverse complement.
TAGCCAAGGCACTGCTACCCACTGAAAGTTCTTCCCTGAGTGGAAGGAAGAATAATGGCTCCAAAGATGTCTTCATTCTAATCTGCAGAACGAACAGGTGGCCATGTCACCTTACATTGCAGATGGGATGAAGGACATGGGATGGGAGGTGACCCTGGGTGGGCCCAGTGCAGATCATCGCAAGGGGCTCAAGCGGTCAGGGAAGGTAGGAGGCGTGCAATGGAGCAGGGAGCATGGGCCATGCTGCACAGCTGGCCTTCAAGATGGAGGCGGGGCCACGAGCCAAGGGACGCAGGCACTTCCAGAGGCAGGGGAGGAGGGAGCGAGCCTCCCCTGAAGTCTCCAGAGGGAAGCAGCCTGGCCCACACCTTGATTTTGACCCAGGGAGACCCATGCAGACCTCTCCAAAACTGTAAGACAGTAAAGCCAGGTGGCTTCGAGCCACTAAGTTTGGGTCCGTTTGCCACAGCAGCCACCAGAGACTGACAAGCCCGGGAAGTCAACCACTCGCGTTGGAGCTGAAGAGACACAAGCACTAATCAGCCACCCACAACGACCACCGTCCACTCCCAAACAGTAGTAGAAACACTGGGGGAACCCCAGGTGACTTTCCCGTCAGAACGGCCATCCGAGCTTCCACAATGGGTGTGTCTCTTTCTCACTGCTGGTGGGCCGTCCCTGTCCCTCATCTGCGTCAGGGGTGGCACAGGACGCTGCCACAGGGACCTAGCAGTGGCTCTCGGATGGCACCCAGGTGACAGGGTGCAGGGCCCATGGATGCCCCCTTCTCCATCGCCTTCCTCTTTATCTCCACCTGAGCAGGGACCCGCTGGGTCCTCACTGCCTTGCATGACATCCCCCGAGCCGGGAGGATCTGGCCCCTGGGACAAGTAAGGAAACGTGCGAGAGAGCCCCCCCCACTCCCCCCGCCATGGCCTGCAAGCACCAGGGTCCAGGGCCCAGCTCCTCCGCCACAGGCAGCCTTGCTGTGGGTTTAGGGGCTCTAAAGGGCTGGCTCGGGGCTGGCTGGTCACTGCCGGGTGCTAGCTGGGGTTAGGGGATGCTCGACCTCTCTGCTTCCCGGAGATTGTGCTTTATTTAACAGTCTCAAGACCCTGGCGTCCCTTCTCCACAAAGAAGGCAAAGGGCCACCCCAGCCGGGGTAGGAGGCCGCAGGGAGCCAGCTACCGGCCGAGGCCCACTCGTCCCCGCTCCATTCCTGCGTCGCGTCTCCCGTGGGAAGGTGCCGTGAAGACGTTGAGCAAAGAGCATCTTGCGGCTCACGGGGATTTCCCTCGCGTCCAGGCGAAGTTTGGGTTGGAAGTTGCCAGATGGAAACTTCATTTTTCCTCAACATTTCCTGCCCAGTTCAGTGTGTAATTGGCTCACACATCCCCTTGGCGGTTTAGCAGAGAGTCCAGCCCAGCGCAGCTTATAAAGAAGATAAATCTAAACAAAGCTGGGGGAGAGCCGTCTGCAGCCACTCACCCTTCTGCTTCTTAAAGAAAAAACATCTCTTCTCTTTGCTGTGAGGCCACGAAGCGGATGCCCCTCCCTGCCCCCAACAGAAGCCTCCGGAGACTTACAGCAGCCTGGGGGAGGGGGGAGCTCCTGGGACCCTCCCCCAACACAGAGAATCTGCAGCTGACAAGGGTGAGCCTGAGCAGATGCTGAAGCCCGGGGGGCTTGTTCCCACCCAGATGGGGCAGGTAAGGGCCACCTGAGGGGGGCTGAGGCAGGCGGGGGGTGGGAGTAGGAGCGCCCCAACTCTCCTACTGTTTACAGTGGGCAGATATTAATTTTTTAAACTGCTTTTTTTAAATCTCCAAAATATTCTTCAATAGCGCACCCCATCTAAAAGATAACAAAATAATCTACTGAAAATGAGAGGCCTCCTTGTTGGGCTTATATTTTTTTATTGAGAATCTTGGTCCCATTGTTGAAAATCAATGAAAGTCCACAGGAGCCAACAACAAACTTCAGTCACTTAGTTTCTTGAAATAATGCAAATGTTTTTCTCCATTTACTGTAAAAAAATTTTAAAGAGAGACTGTACAATTCTGTTAAGCATGCCGCTCATATGTTCCAGACGGGTGGCGGGTAGGGAGCATCAAAGGGAGGGTGGAGCTGCGGTGGGGAGGTGGCCCTGCCTGGTCCCCGCCCCTCTGAGGCCCCTAGTTCCTCTGACTCACCCCCAGGGACATCACCTTGTCACTCGCCCACAAGGGCGGAGATCAGAACGGGCTGGATCCTCGCTCGCCAATGGTGTGAGGCCGAACAGCCGATCGGCTCGTGAAAATAGAGGCTGGAATTCTAAAGAATATTCAGAAATGACCCCATTCCCCGCCATGCCTGCCAGAGAAGCAGCTGGGCAAACAGCAGTGAGCAGGCGGGGTCTCTGTTTGAGTTCATTCCCCAAGTTCCAGGCACCCAGGGGCTCCGGGCACAGACATGGGGGGCTTCCTGCAGCCGGGCTGACACGGAGAGCTCTGTCCAGTGCAACCCTCTCCATCGTGCGGACTCTTACCAGCCCACTTCTCAGATGAGGAAGCCGGTTTCAGAGAAGTGGCAGTGCCCAGCATGGCAGAGCTGGGACTCCAGAGGGTGTCAGCGTCTCCGCTGGACGCCTGCACTCACACTCCCAGGAGGGCTCTGGGGAGGGCCGGGGGCAGATGGAACCTAGAGGGCCTGAGTCCACATCTGCCCAGGTCTGCCCCCAACCCCTCCCACAAGGACTGGCTAGAAAAGTGAAGGCAGCCAGCCATTAGAGAGCATGGGGAGGGAGTGAAATGGGGTTCCAGGAGGGTCTGGGTGGGTGGACCTCGGGGAGGCCTTCTGGGACTCAGCAGTGAGAGAGAGACAGAGACACAGAGAGACAGAGAAGGGGCAGAGGGCACTCTTCCACAACTGGTGGGGAGGCCGCTGAGCTGCTCACAGGACTCTCATTCATGTGGCCCAGGCAGCTCTGACCTTTTTTACCCTGGTGACATTTCAGCGAGTCATGGTGGTGGCCCCAGGCGGGGCTGCGTGAGATCCGGGGCTGCGGGAGACCCAGGGCTGCAGGAGGCAGGGGGCATAGACGGTGTGGGGGCATTGCTAGAAAACCCAGACCACCTGTCCCAATCACTGGACGGCTGTCCAGACAGGAGGTCACAATAGTCCATGGTGCCAGCCTGGCTGGACCAGGCTCTTATCTCCCCGTGCGTCGTCGTCCAGAGCCCCGATTAAGACCGAGGCCACACACCCGAGCTGGAGTCAGGGGCTCCCCCAGCCACGCTGATAGCCCTGGGAATCTCCAGGGAAACCACAGAAGTCACCGTCTCCCTTACTCACTTGGACTTTCAAGGTAGATGCTGAGCAGATGGAGATTCATGGTAGGGCTGACCTGAACCAAATCAGAGTCAGTCAGCCTGGGGGGACCATCCTCTACCCACTGGGTGGCAAAATGTCTACCTATTAGAATTATTTTAGATCCAAGAGTATGTTAATATTTTTTGTGTTAACCAATTAAAACTTTATGTAAAGCTCAAGGTTGTTGTTTTTTTAATTAAAAATTCCAACTAGAGAACTTGAGTTCTGGGGGTCACTTTTCAGATAAACCAGCAAAGAAAAATCTATGAAAGAATTGATAGCTGAACTTCATTAAAATTAACAAATTCTACTCTGCAAAAGACACTATGAAAAGAATAAAAGCCAGCCACAGAATATGCAAAGAGCTCTTAAAACTCAACAATAAGAAAATAAACAACCAGCTGGGCGCGGTGGCTTACACCTGTAATCTCAGCAATTTGGAAGGCCAAGGCCAGTGGATCACTTGAGATCAGGAGTTTGAGACCAGCCTGGCCAACATGGTGAAACCCTGTCTCTACCAAAAATACAACAATTGTCTGGGCATTGTGGCACATGCCTGTAGTCCCAGCTACTCAGGAGGCTGTGGTGGGAGAATCCCTTGAACCCGGGAGGCAGAGGTTGCCGTGAGCTGAGATCATGTCACTGCACTCCAGCCTGGGAGATAGAGGGAGACTCTTGTCTCCAAAAAAGAAAAAGAAAACTAACAACCCTATTAAAAATGGGCAAAAGGCCGGGCATGGGGGCTCACGCCTGTAATCCCAGCACTTTGGGAAGCCAAGGCAGACGGATCACGAGGTCAAGAGAGCAAGACCATCTTGACCAACATGGTAAAACCTTGTCTCTATTAAAAATACAAAAAAATTAGCTGGGCGTGGTGGCACGCACCTGTAATCCCAGCTACTCAGGAGCCTGAAGAACCCGGGAGGTGGAGATTGCCGTGAGCCGAGATGGTGCCACTGCCCTTCAGCCTGGGCAACAGAGCGAGACTCTGTAAAAAAAAAAAAAAAAAAAAGTGGGGGTGGCAAAAGACCTGAACAGACACCTCTCCTAAGATCTACAGATGACAAACCAGCATATAAGAAGCTGCTCCACGTCCTACATCACCAGGGAAACGCAAATTAACAACAACCAAGAGATGCCACCACACACCTACTAGAGCGGCCAAAACCCAGAACACGGACAGCACCGAACGCTGGCGAGGATGTGAAGAAACAGGACCCTCAGCCGTGGCTGCTGGGAAGGCAACATGGCGCGGCTGCTGGAAGACAGTCTGGCGGTTTCTTACAAAACTAAACGTGCTCTTACCACACGGTCCAGCAATCGTGCTCCTTGGTATTTACCCAAAGGAATTTAAAACTTACGTCCACACAAATTCCCACAAGTGGATGTATACAGCAGAAGTGCTTCGGGTGGTAACTGGATAAACCCGAGTCATATTCGGTGCTGAAAAGAAATGAGCCGTCGAGCCGCAAGAAGTCACAGAGAAACCTCAAACGCTATTGCCAGTGGGAAGGAGTCAATCCAAAAATGCTCCATGCTGTGTGATTCCAAACATACCACATTCTAGAAAAGGCAAAGCTATGGAAAAGATCCGAGGTTTCCAGGAGTTTGTGGGGAGGGAAGAAAGGGCTGAATAGGAACACAGGATGTTTAGGGCTGCGGAAATATCCTGTATGATGCAGTAGTGACGGTGGATACAGGACTTTACAGAGTTGTCCAAACCCACCGAATGGGCCGGGCGCGGTGGCTCACACCTGTCATCCCAGCACTTTGGGAGGCCGAGGTGGGCGGATCACGAGGTCAGGAGATCGAGACCATCCTGGTTAACACGGTGAAACCCTGTCTCTACTAAAAATACAAAAAATTAACTGGGCACGGTGGTAGGCGCCTGTAGTCCCAGCTACTCAGGAGGCTGAGGCAGGAGAATGGCGTGTACCTGGGAGGCGGAGCTTGTAGTGAGCCGAGATGGCACCACTGCACTCCAGCCTGGGCGACAGAGTGAGACTCCGTCTCAAAAAAAAAAAAACAAAAAAAAATAAACACCACTGAATGTGCAGTGTTAAGAGTGAAGTATGACCTCTAGTTAATAATGATGGGTATCAGTATTAACTCATCAATTGTCACAAATGTACCGCACCAACATGAGACGCCAATAGTGGGGGAAGGGCACACGGAGGCTTTCCATACACTCGATTTTTCTGTAAACCTAAAACTGGTCAAAAATATAAAGTCTATTAATTTTTTAAAAATTAGAAAATCCAGCCAAAGTTGTTACAGTTTTTTGTTTTGATTTCTGATATAGAGTCTTGCTCCGTCACCCAGGCTGGAGTGCAGTAACGCAATCTCGGCTCACTGCAGCCTCAACCTCCTGGGCTCAGGTGATCCTCCCACCCCAGCCTCCCCAGTAGCTGGGACTACAGGCGTGCGCACCACGCCCAGTTAATATTTTGTATTTTTTGTAGAGACAGGGTTTCGCCGTGTTGCCCAGGCTGGTCTCGAACTCCTGGGCTCAAGCAATCCTCCTGCCTCAGCCCCCCAAAGTGCTGGGATTCCAGGCGTGAGCCCCTGTGCCCGGCGCAGTTTTTATGTTATCTTCAGGATTGAGATCCTCATGTGTACATGGTTTGGGATCCAGAAAGCCATAGTTGTAATAAAATAACTAGAATATGACAGGAGCAAAGCAGGAACGGCCCTGAGGCCCATCACCATCCCCCGCTGGCCGAGAAAGACCGTGTTCTGCCCTGGGGCTGAGGGGCTGCACCGAGGGCTGCGGGGGTTGGGGGTCTGTTTGCCTCATTCCCCAGACATCCCCAATGGACACGTGCACTTGCCCATCACACCCAGACCCAGCTGCCTGTGCGTGGCCAGTGGGACGAGGCCTGGGGGAGGCAGAGGGCAGTGTGTGAGAGTCAGCAGAATTCTTGTGGGGCTTTTACCTCGGCCTCCGGAGACCCCACCCGGTGTGCATGGGCCTCCACATATGGCTCCAGAGAGGCCGAGGCTGGTGTCTACAAAAGCTGAAGGGCCCCAGGTTCTTGGGGACTCCTGCTCCCAATCCACTCTATACCAGGAACAGTCCCCCAAAATCGGAGGTGAGGCTCCTGGCGGGGCTCGAGGGGTCATTGAGGGGAAGAGCCCGGGGTTTGGACTCCAGACCCCAACACTCAAAGGGGTTTCAGGAAAGTCCCTGACCTCTGGGGACCCCATCAACAAAGCGGAGCTGAGGACCCCTGCCCTCCGCCTCCACTTCCTCCAAGACTCACAGATAATGGAGGGGGTGGGGGTGCTAGGAGATACCCAGCCCTCAGCCACAGCTGATGGCCCCAGAAAGTCCGTCCTCTCCACCGCATCCACCAGGGCTTAGGGTGGCCAGCGACAGAGGGCTCTGGACCTTAGCAGAAATGGGGCCTGGCGCTGGGGACCCCGGCAGGCTAAGCCCCACCCAAGTCAGTGTGGTTAGAGTTTTGGACCCCTAGAGACTCAATGCCACCCCCAGCACCAAGAATAATTTCTCAACTGGCCCCGCTCCTCTGGGCCAGGCATCCAGAGCCATGGGTCCCAAGAGCCACCCAGGTATGCGTCCGAGTTCTGGCACAGGAGGGGTTGTGGGGAGAATCCGGCCCTCTCCACTTCGGGACGAGAGGCAGGGGTGTCCACGTACCAAGACCCATGCACACCCAACGGCACAGCGGCTGTGGAGGGCAGGGCAGGGCCCGCTCCTGCTGGGTGACTCAGGCGCCACCCTCAGAGGATTAGAAAGCCTCCTACCAGCCCCGTCACAGGCATTCCCACTGGGCATCGGCCAGGGCAGCTATCTCAGGACCCTTGATCCCAGAAGCGCTTGAGCGGCTGAGACAGGTGGGTGGGTCCAAGTCCCGGCCCTTCCTGCCCACTTACAGCTCAGCGAGCACTCGCCCAGCTCAGCCTCGGGACAGAGCCAGAGCAGCACCGGCCCAGGAGGCCCCACACGCCTGCCCCGAGGTCCCCAAGGGGCTCTCGGCGTGAACCGCGGGCCTCAAGGCCCCAGAATCCTGTTCCTGGGGCAGGGGTGCAGTCAGTCCTCAAGAGAAGACTCTGGGCTGGCGCCCCCCACCCCATCCTCTTTCCGGTGCTCAGGGAGCTACCCCGGGAGGGAACTGGAGAATGTCCAGCCATGACCTGAATCTTGGGGTCCTCAGAGGGACTCAGAATCTTCAGACAGAACCATATGGTCTCAGAAGGGCCATGCGGCTGGGACCCTGCCTCCTCCAAAGTCCTATGGTGCCCGGCTGGGGGCCTTGGTAGGAAGCCCTGATCTTTGCCAGCACCGCCAGGAACAAAGATGACACCTGGGTCCCCCCTCACAGAGGCAGAGGACACACACTCCTGGTGGCTCCTTGGGGAATGAACACTTGCCGAGAGCCCTTGGGGGGCCCAGCCCTGGATGCGGGAAACCCACAGCTGCTGCCTGAGCTGGTAAACCCTCTGATAGGAGCGTTCAGGGGCCAAGCACCAAAACGAAGGCTTGGGGACACCTGGGACACCTCCTAAGGTGGGGTGCAGTGGGGTGGGGTGCCCTGGCCACCTGCCTTGGCGTCCATGGCTCCCCAAGTACAGCTGCAGGATCCGAGCTGGGAGGGGTAGCTCTCCTTCCTGAGCAGGCGCTGGGGTCCGGGGTCAGCCCACAGGCCTGCCTGTACCTGGACCATAATGTCCTCTTCCCCTGACAGCTGAGCTGGCAGCTGCCCTGGCCGGCTTTTGTGTGCTGTGCTGGGGCGGCCCCACAGGACACCCACGTCCTGTAGTCCCAAGGAGACCTCACTGGCTGGGGGCCCAGGGATCCTGGGGCGGACCTGCTGTTCTTCCTGGGGGCATGGGGGAGGCTGTGCGGGGCAATGGAGGAGGCTGTGAGGGGGGTGTGGGAAAGCTGTGTGGGGGGCATGGGGGAGGCTGTGGGGGGATGGGAGAAGCTGTTGGGGGTGCATAGGGAGGCTGTGGAGGTCATGGGGGAGGCTGTGCGGGGGGCATGGGGAAGCTGTGTTTGGGGCATGGGGGAGGCTGTGGTGGGGAATGGGAGAGGCTGTTGGGGGTGCATAGGCTGTGGGGTCATGGGGGAGGCTGTGCGGGGGATGGGGGAGGCTGTGAGGGGGTGTGGTGAGGCTGTGAGGGGGGCATGGGGAGGCTGTGGGGGGGATGGGAGAGGCTGTTGTGGGGGCATGGGGGAGGCTGTGGGGGGCAGGGGGAGGCTGTGTGGGGAGCCGGACCTCATGGCACCAGTTCTGCAGGATGTGGGGTGACTTGGCTAGTTTTGGAACCCCCCGCCCCGTGGCTCTCGGTGAGGGGTGAGTGGAGGGGAGGCAGTGAGGACCCTGCAGCTGAGGCGTGTGCCCCACAGGCTGAAGGTCACCCAGGGCAGCCACGGAACAGAAGATGGCCTGTGATGGCCGTGGCACAGGTGTGGCTGTAACAGCCCGGCCACCTGAGATCAGAGCTCTTCTCTGTGGGAATCGGTCTAGAAGGTCGGGGGTCGGGTGGGCGCTGCCTCCTTCTTCTTCCTTCTCCCAGGACCCCACCCTGCGACCCCCGCACACAGGCACAGGCCCCACCCTCCCCACTTCCCAAAACCCACTCCTCCCCCGTTCAGCGCCTGTCGAGCCACCGTGAGGCCCTGGCTGAGCACTGCTCGGGTGAGGACAGGCTCTCAGCATCAACCCACTTGCAGATCAGAAAGCTGAGCCTGGCACCTTCTCAGAGCTGAACGTGGGGACAGGGCTGGAACGCAGAGGGGCTGTTTCCACAGCCCTCACGACGAACCTATCCCTGCTGCCCCCACTGCCCCACTCATTCATTCATTCCACCAGGCCTCCGCCTGCATCCTTGGTTCAGTCATTCACAAGCATTTTTAGGTGCCTGCTGTGTACCTGGCCCGTGCAGGGTGAGTGGCTCTGGTCCCCCTGCAGCTTCCAATCTGATGGGCCCTGATATCAGAAGCCCATGGCCTAAACCAGCTCTAGACGGGCCTGCTCTGGCCTGCATGGGTCAGTGTCTCTGACCTCCCAGGGCCCCTCAGTGGGCACCGAGGGCCATGTCTCCAGATGGGCAGATGCTCTCCGGCTCCCCACAGTTCTCACCACTCCCTGCCCCTCGTGCCAGCCAGCGTGCTGGTCATGCCTCTGTGGCCTTTGCATCTACAGTGTCCTAGGCAGGACCCTGCACAGGGCTGGGTGTAGCCAGGGCTCAGGGGTCTCAGGCTGGAGGACAACAGGCCCCCATAGTCTCCTGCTGGGTGGGTGTCAGAGGTGGCTGTGAGCGTCCCCAGGCTGCACGCCCAGCACTGATGAGCCCGCAGATTGGTGCTGCAGACAAGCCTGTAGTGGCAGCGGTCGCCATGCATGCACCAAACCTGCTGAGTGGCCGCCACCTGGAGTCTCCACCCAGCGGTCAGCAGAGGGACCGACTCCAGGATGGGGCAGACTCGGGCTCCTGGCTGAATTCATCTGGGATGTGTTTCCCTTCGCAGCGATAAGATAAATGTCTACAGATTTACTCTTAACTTCGGGACCTGGAGAAGCTCTCGGTTTAAGCGGAATTATATCATTGGCTCAATTAATGCCCACCAAAAATTTTACGCCACGTGCGACAGTCACACAGCACCTGTGAAACTAACAGCTGAGGCTATAGCCCGGGAAACCTCAGCTCTCGTGGGCTTGCCAGGTAGTAAGTACCCAAAAGCTGTGACTTTATTCTCACCTGCCTCTGTGGAGGGGGCAGCGCCCCAGGCTGGAGACCCCAGGTCCTAGGAGCCTGTGTGGGCACCAGCAAGGTGGGGACAGGTGGGCGCGGGGCCGCCCCCTTCAGCCTGCGCCCGCAGCTCTGTGGGCCCCGCACCCAGGGCTGCCTTGAGGGAGCACTGGCTCTGTGGCCATGCTTGGCTCTGCGCCTCTCCACCTGGCTTCACTGATTCAGTACCTCACTTCCTCTCCCTGACACGCATTCTGCGTGGAGCTGAAATGATATGGAAGGTCCTCCCCATCCCCAGGCACCTCTGAGCCAGTAAATGTGGGTTCTTCTGGAAGACTTGGCCCCGCCAGTGCACCTACGGAATCGCGACCATGGGGTGGAAGCAAACATCTCCCCTGGGGACACCGAAGCCCAAGTCAAGCCCCAGCACTGCCGACTCCATGTGGGTGACCGTGGACAAAGGGCTGGGCCCCTCAGAGCCTCTGAGATGCAGAGTGGGTGACGTCCAGGTCACAGGCTGCAGCGAGGTTGATGCCCAGGTCCAGCACTGACGCCCAGCCCGCCCAGCCCAGGTGACCACATCCCCACGGCTCTCGTGGCAGAAGCACCTTCCCTAGCACCCCTACACCCCTGGGGTGAACCAGGCCCACCTGCGGGTTTCCAGGTGGACGGGCAGAGCCAGTGAACAGCCTCGGATAAACGCGTCACACTCAGACGCGGGCCGGGGCCAGGGGTCTCTGACGGGGGTGGACCCCCATCTGCAGAAGTTTCTGCACAATCTGTGTCTTGACCTGGGCATCTGTGAACCCTAGGCCATTCCATGGGGCCACCAAGAGTCTCAGTGGTGATTTTAAACTGTCGCCCTCGGCAGCTCAGTGTTCACAGTCAACACAGCAGGCTCCCCGGCCCCGGGGCCTCAGGGTCCCTCTCCCATCTTGAAGTTCAGCCATGCCCTGGACAGAAGCCACATCCTGACTTCCAAAAACGCAATTTCCACTCTTCTGTGAGCCTGGTGACAATAACAAAAACCAGCTTCGGTTTCACGTGGACCTGGTGTCTGGGGTCAGCAGGAGTGAGAGCACTGACCCAACACCGTTCATCTCCCGGCACCTGGCGACCACCCGCCCTGCCTGGTGCATTTCCTGTCTCCTGAGCATCTCTGAGCTCAGGACCCTGGGCAGGGTGTGGGGCATCCGGTACAGGTGGCTCCTCCCGACTCCCCTCACCTCTCCCAGGGAAGGGACCTCCAGCCAGGAGGAACCGGGAGCACCTGTGTGGGTCCCAACACCGAGCAGCCCACAGTCTCCCCAGCACCGACAGGCCCCCACGATGGAGAGAGAGCAGGGCCAGGGTCGGACAAAAGCAAGTCTGGGAATGGCCGGGGCCGCCAGCCTTGACCTCCAGAGCTCTGTTACCGTGACTACTGATGCCATCGTTGTTCTTGTTACTGGTTTTATTTTCATTTTCTTCAAAGACAGTATATCCACGTTTGTTTTTCTAAAATCTAACTGCGCCAGATGGCATAAAAAATGAGTCTCCCTCTCAGCCCTGGAGGTTCACGGCCCCTCCCTAGTGGTCCTCACTGTCACCAGCCTCTCCTAGGCCCCTGGGCATGGATTCAGCTCCCCCAGGTTCCCCATGATGACGATGTTGTTGTACACGTTGATGCCGTCACCCCCACAGAAGCCCCAAGAGGCCAGGGACACTAGGGCTCACAGGCTTTGCTCACCAGGGCACAGGAAGGACCAGACACTGTCTGAGCCGCTGACTCAGTGTGGCCGAGGCCTGGCCAACCCTTCACAGGCAGGTGGATGGTGGTAACCCAGCCCTGCCTCCTTTCCCCGGCGGGCCCTGGGCACCCTTCCCTCCCCTGGCCTCAGCTTCCCCACCTCAGACCCTGCCTCCTCTCCCTGGCGGGCCCCAGGCATCCTTCCCTCCCCTGGCTTCAGCTTCCCAACCTCAGAGTAGGGGCTAGATGGGGTGGCTATCACGTCCCAGCTCCGAGGCCTGGCAGAGGGTCCTCAAGCCTGGAGAGGCGGCGTCCCTGCAGCCTCACGCACCCACGACAGACACGTCCCTTCCCCTGTCCCATGTGTCATCGCCCACGGGATACTGCAAAAGTTAACATCTTTCCCAGCAGAAGGTCACAATGTATTTGCCTCCCTGTTGAGATCAACTGAGCCTCCAAGGCCTGGCTGGAAAATAAAGACCCCAAATGAAACTGCCTCGCAAATCATGTCAAAGGTCACAGGCACACCCAGGAAGGCATGGCTGATGTACCTGTGCCAGCTCAGCCTCCCCCCAGGGAGCCTCAGGAAGGGCCACACGGGGATGGGGCTGGGGCTGTGGGCCAGGGCTCCTTCGCCGGCTCTGATCCAGTTCCAAGGGATGAGGGGTGACACAAGGCCATCCCTGCTCCAGGAAAAAGCCCTCTCCTTCCTCCATGAGCCCTCTCCCTCTGCGGGGCCGTGCCCACCACACAATGCCAAGCAGGGCAGGGAGCTTCCCGGTGGCCCCAAGTGACACCACCCCCATGCTCACCAGAGCCTCCTCTGGCCAAAGGGCCCTTGCCCCGATTCCCGGCTCCCGTCCTTCCTATCCCAAGAGTCCTACTGCCTTCCTTGGCCGTGGACCTGGACCTGGTCTGACAAGAGAAACGTCAAGAGCCTCTTGATGTGCAGAAGACCCCGGGCAGGACACACTGGCAGACACGCAAGCAGACACGCGGGCAGGACACACAAGGAGACAGGGAGCCACTCCCCATGATGACGATGTCCTGGCCTGTCCACGGCGGCCACCATGGCTCCGGGATGCTCAAAGTGAGCAAAGAAATCAACGTTTGTTGTCTGAGGCCACGCGGACGTGGGGCGGGTGTATCTGTTGCTGAAGTGTAGCCCGGCCTGTCCTGACTGATATGCCGCCCTACACCTTCTTCTGGAACATTCTGCACATACTTGCTAAGCTGCTACTCTGTACCCAGCACTGCTCCAGGCACCGGAGTAACATCCATGAACGAGCCAGCCTCTGCCCCGGCAGAGCTCCTCGGGGGAGAAGCAAACGGCAAAGAAACCAGCGCGAGTGCAAAGTGCAGCTGAGGAGGAGGACAACGGGAAGGAAGTGGGGGCAGAGAGTGCTCCAGGCGGGGCCTGCAGACCAGGAGGGTGGGGAGACCCTCTGAGCAGGTACCAGGACCTTCCCTGCAGCGTCGCAGGCAGCCGGCAGACAGGCACCTCGGACTGGGGCCTCTTTACCTCTTAGTTCAAGGATCCCTTTGAGGATCTGACGAAAGCCAGCTCTCTCCCAAAATCCCCCATGAGTTCAGCCCCGGGGTACTTTGCAGGCAACCTGAGGGGGATCATGGCTCTGAGTTAACCCCCAGCTCAATGGTGCCAGGACACTGCCCCAAGACAAGCCCCCCTCACTCCCTGCGAGTGAAGCCTGGGGCTTCACGCTCCTGCTCCAGCCACCACCACCCTGTGCCCCCAATCACCGGGGAACCCAGGCCCAAGTTCTCTTCCCAAGCCATCCTCTGAGCACTAGGCATGACTTCAGAGTTATATTAAGGAGCAGCAGGGGGTGGGTGGGGAGGGCTGTCTGTCCCCAGAGAAGACCAGCGAGAAGCAGTTGTCAGAGGAGCTGGATTTATCCCTCCCGGTCAGCTAATGGGCTTCGGTTACAGTCCTCAGCAGCCTGGACAGGAGCAGACAGGCTGCGTGTGAGCCCTGCCATCCATGCCGAGCAGCTGCAGGGATTGATCGAGGAGAGTGGTTTTCCTGTAGAAATGCATTTACCATACTCAGGTTAAAAATAGCCACGGAGCCACAGCACTGAGGTGCAGCCGCTGGAGAGCAGCCTCGGCTCACTCTGCTCGGGCACAGGGAGGGCCACAGAGGATACTTCCGAGACAGGCCTCGGCCGGGCTCCATGCTCGGCTCCGGGCACCCTCCACCCTCACCCAGACCTGGAGCTGGGCAGGAAACCAGCACAGGCACTAATGCGGGGCTCTACGGCTGCACCTGCCACCTGCCCATGTGCAAAGGGCTTAACCACCACGGCCTTTTGGGGGACCATGGCACCAGGGACTCGGTAGCGGCTACTGCCCAGGCTTCACAGACAGGCCACTCCACTACCATGAGAGCCACCGCCCCAAGCCCTGCCTCTCTGTCCTCTCCAAGGTCGCGGCAAGCCTGGCCTGGACCAAGGCATCCCGGCTCTCCAGCCATGCTGAGTGTCCTCTGGCCATTTTCCTGCTGCACCCAGGACTGGTTGGCCTGCCCATGGGCAGTGGGAAGAGGTGGCATTTTGGGGAAGTCTGTGCTGGCCCCATCAGCACAGGGAGGAGCTGGATAGCTCGTCATGGCTATTTAAAGCCAGGAATGGACAGGTGCAAGGCGTGGGGTGGGGATCTGAGCCAGGCTGGAGGAGGGGCTGCCATGGGAGGCTTTACACCCTGGGGCAGAAGGCACCCCAGAGGATCCCGGACACCCCTGCACTGGGGCCAGGGTGGTCCCACCGCATGCTGCAGTGGGAGGGTGAAGCCTCAGCGCCAGGCAGTAGGGAGGTGCCTGGCTAAGTGGGGGATGGGCTGGGGCGTGGCAGAGCCAGGACAGCCTGACCCTCACAGAAAGCTGAGTCAGACTGCAGCCTGCTGGCCTGGGCCGGCCTGGGGGCCCAGAGGCCATTTACAGGGTCCCTGAAAAGGCCAGAAAACACTTGCTCCCTGACATGGGAAATTCCATCTGCGAGGCCAAGCCTTTCATGCTGTACCTTTCCAAGACATCTTCATCAGCATCAGGGCCCCTGCCAGAGGTGGGCCTGGCCCTTCCTGGGTCAGGTTGTGGTTACTTCACCCATCTCAGCCTCGGTTTCCTCATCTTTAAAATGGGGGCATGGCAGCACCCAGCCTGCCTTTGTCAGGTGTTGGTGGCATCAAAGGGCCCTGGACAGACAGGCATGCTGGCACACAAGTGTGAACAGAGGCTGTATCTCCCCCAGGAGGGGTGGAGGTCAGGAGGGCGAGAGGGCATCGGGAAGAGCGAACAGAGAGGCTTACGGGGGACAGCTTTGCTCGGGCACCGTGGGCCTCTTCCCTGCCTTCCTGCCCCAACTCAGGCCCTGGGGCAGCAGGGGGAGCTAAGGGTTCTGCCTTGCCCCTCTGGCACACCCAGCCCGGACTCCCACCTGGGCCTGACCTTCCTCACCATCAGGGCAGGTGAGAGGACCCACAAGAGGGGATATTCCTAGGGAACGTGCTGAGTTCTGGGAGTAGTTAATCAGCAGAAGGATGGAGGAGTGGAGGGGTAGAGGATGGAAGGGTGGAGGGAGGGAAGGATGGAGGGGTAGAGGATGGAAGTGTGGAGGGATGGAGAGGTGGAGGATGGAGGGGTGGAGGGATGGAGGGGTGGAGGGGTGGAGGGTGGAGGGATGGAAGGGCGGAGGGGTGGATGGGTGGAGGGGTGGAGGGTGGAGGGATGGAGAGGTGGAGGGTGGAGGGATGGAGAGGTGGAGGGATGGAGAGGTGGAGGGATGGAGAGGTAGAGGGATGGAGGGGTAAGGGGTGGAGGTGTGGAAGGTGGAGGGGTAGAGAGGTGGATGATGGAGGGATGGAGGGGTGGAGGGGTGGAGAGGTGGGGGTGGAGGTGTGGAAGGTGGAGGGGTGGAGAGGTGGAGGATGGAGGGTGGAGGGGTGGAGGATGGAGGGGTGGAGGGGTGCAGGGATGGAGGGTGGAGGGGTGGAGGGGCAGAGGATGGAGGGGTGGAGGATGGAGGGTTGGAGAGGTGGAGGATGGAGGGGTGGAGAGTGGTGGGATGGAGGGGTGAAGGGATGGAGACTGGAGGGGTGGAGGGTGGAGGGGTGGAGGATGGAGGGGTGAAGGGTGGTGGGATGGAGGGGTGAAGGTATGGAGGCTGGAAGGGTGGAGGGTGGAGGGGTGGAGGATGGAGGGGTGGAGGAGATGGAGGATGTAAGGGTGAAGGGATGCAGGATGGAAGAGGGACGGGTGGAGGGATGGAGGATGGAGGGGTGGAGGGGTGAAGGATGGAGGGGTGGAGGGGTGGATGACGGAGGGGTGGAGGGGTGGAGGATGGAGGGGTGGAGGGGTGGATGACGGAGGGGTGGAGGGGTGGAGGATGGAGGGGTGAAGGGGTGGAGGGTGGAGGGGTGGAGGATGCAAGGGTGGAGAGGATGGAAGATGGAAGGGTGGAGGGTGGGCGTGGAGGGCGAAGGGATGGAGGATGGAAGGGTGCGGGGTGGAGCAGTGGAGGATGGAGGGGTGGAGGGGTGGACAGGTGGATTGTGGAGGGGTGGAGGATGGAGGGGTGGAGGGGTGTAGGATGGAGGGGTGGAGGGTGGAGGGATAGAGGGTGGAGATGGAGGGGTGGAGGAGTGGAGGGGTGGAGGATAGAAGGGTGAAGGAATGGAGGGGTGGATGGGTGGAGGTGTGGAGGATGGAGGGGTGGAGGGGTGGAGGGGTGGAAGATGGAAGGGTGGAGGTGTGGAGGATGGAGGGGTGGAGGGGTAGAGGGGTGGAGGATGGAGGGGTGGAGGGGTGGAGGGGTGGAGGGATGGAGGGTGGAGGGGTGGAGGGGTGGAGGTGTGGAGGGGTGGAGGATGGAGGGGTGGAGGGATGGTGGCTGGAGGGGTGGAGGGTGGAGGGATGGTGGCTGGAGGGGTGGAGGATGGAGGGGTGGAGGGGTGGAGGGTGGAGGGGTGAAGGGGTGAGGGTGGAGGGGTGGAGAGGTGAGGAGTGGAGGGTGGAGGGGTGGAGGGTGAAAGGTGGAGGGGTAAAGGGGTGAGGGTGGAGTCGTGGTGGGGTGGAGAGGTGAGGAGTGGAGGGTGGAAGGTGGAGGAGTAGAGGGATGGAGGGGTAGAGGGGTAGAGGATGGAGGGGTGAAGGGGTGAGGGTGGAGGGGTGCAGAGGTAAGGGGTGGAGGGTGGAGGGTGGAGGGTTGGAGGGGTGGAGGGTGGAAGGTGGAGGGGTAAAGCGGTGAGGGTGGAGGAGTGTTGGGGTGGAGGGTTGAGGGGTGGAGGGTGGAGGGGTGGAGGGATGGAGGGGTGAAAGGGTGAGGGTGGAGGGGTGGAGAGGTGAGGAGTGGAGGGTGGAGGGTGAAGGGGTGGAGGAGTAGAGAGGATGGGTTTTTGAAGACAAAATCAAGCTGTCAATCACAGCCAGCAAGGCTGTAAACACAAGGTGTAGAGCAGAACCACCTTGGATGAAACAAAGTGTCACCCATGGGTCACCCCACAGGCTCCGGGGTGCTGAGCAGATGGATGGAGCTGCCTTTCCACAAGGTGGTGTGCAGTGTTGGCCATGGTCCGGGGCAGTGATAGGACTCCCGAAGTGCTGGCACAGGACACAGGCAGGTGGCTCTCAGCTCAGGCGAGCTTTGCCTATGCCGTGCACCTTGCCAGCCCCAGGCTGGTTAGCGCCACCCCTCACCCCTGTCTTGGATCAGCTCTGGACAGTAGTGCTGGGAGGAACCTACTTTGAGAATCCTGGGGTGCTTTCTCCCCCAGCTTGTCTCTACATGAGCCTGCTGCCTCGTCCCCCACCCCGCGCCCTGCCTTAGGGCCACCAGCTGGTCTGGCTGGGTCCCTGCATGTCCTGAGCGTACTGGACTCCAGGTACGTGGTTGGCCTGAGGCCCTCAGCTCCAGGGGGGTCTGCCCCCTGATGCAGGGGCAGGAATCCTGCCAGGTGACAGCCGGATGACAAGCTCGCACCCCGTCACACCAGCAACCCGTCATGAAATGTCCAGTGGGTGCTGCCCCCAGGCCAGCAGATGCACACAGAGCCCTCTCCCCTGCTGGGGCCCGTTCTTCCCCCTCCTGCAGGTCCAACCCCACCCACCCCCTCTGCTGGGGCGGACCTGCTCCAGGGGTTCCCCTGCCTTCAGGAGCAGATGCTGGCCCTCGACTCCCTCCTCCACCTGCAGGGCTGGGGTACTCCAGGCAGGGCCAGCACACGGTCGGACGGGCTCCTCCAGCGTCTGCCAGCGACTGACCCTGTGGCAGGGAGCGGCGGCTGGAAAGTGCCCCCACCTCACTGGGCTCCGCCAGGGCCCCTGGGGCAGGGAGCAGCTCTGTGACCAGCTCCCTGGACGCCTCCTGGAACCAAACACACTTCCATCATGGGTCGGTCCAGGAACACCTTTGCGCTGTGGGAACACAGGCGGTGTTGAGTCGGGGCCCTGCTGCAAAGCTGTTGTCTGGCCGCTCTCGCCCCACTTCTGAGCTAATTGAAGGCCGGGACAAGGCTAGGGAGCCGAAGGCCCTCTGGCCACACCGCATCACAGGCAGGGGGTTGCTGAGCGTCCCCATCATTCATCGCAGGGACAGTGGCCAGGGCTGCCACCCAAAGACTGGCCCTGCCAGGATGTGTGCCCAGCCTGTCCCCAGAAACCACTCACTCAGGTAGGGCCCCACTCAGCAGCCCCCATGCCCCACAGTCTGAAAGCAAGGCAGGGGTCCTGGAAGCCTCCCACCCCTACTCAGTACTGTCCCCTGGCTGTTTGTGGCATGGCCCCGGAGGCCAGCTGGTCCCATCATGCAAGAGGTGGACACCATGACCCCTAGATGCCCCCAATCCCCGGGCGTGGTGACAGCTCCAGCTCTCAGCGGAAGCTCCGCCCCTCTCCTTCCTGCTGCCGCCATCAGGCTAAGGCCACCCAGGAGGCCATGCTGGGGGAGGCCATGATGGGGCTGTGCCCACAGGCCAATGGGCCAAAGGGGCAAAGGGGCAAGCAACTCCGGGCAGCCCCATCACTGGGACCTCCCTGGCCCAGGGACTCATTCAGCCAGCAGCAAAGGCCCAGCTCTTGGTCCAACCCCAGAGGGAGGAGGGGGCAGCTCCATGGGCTTTTAAAATCAAAATGTGTCAAAAGCGATTCTTTTATCGTAACAAACGCACCACACTAATGGAAGATGTTAGTTAAAATAAGGACCTGCCGAATCCCATCCTCTCCAACGCTTTGTGTAGCGTGCACAGGGTTTTAAAATTATTTTAATTCGTTGCCAACTTTAAAATCAGGAGACTGAGCATAAAGACCTGGATCCGCCTCCCCTTGGAAGGCTGAAAGACCAGCCGCATGGGGCCAGGTCGAGGATCCGCCGCTCTGGGTGGCTGCGCTTTCCCCAGCGGAGCCCCCACGGCCGCCATCCCCGCCATCCGACACTCCTGGCCAGTCACCTCTGGGACATGTGGGCCTGTCCTGGGTTGGTGGCCTCTGCACTAACCCAGCTCTCGCTAAACAGATGGGGAAACTGAGGCCTGGGGAGGGGTGAGGACTCCCTGAAGTCACCCAGCAGGCAGGTGACCAAGCCAGGACAGGAGGGGGTGGGAGAGAAGACAGAGGGAAGGAACATGAGGGTATCTCAGGGCCCCCCATCTCCCTGGCCATCACAAAGGGCACTGCGTCCCCCGCTGACCCCGCCGCCCCCTATCTCCACCTTGGGAGGGAATCTGCCGGGGAAGCCTCAGAGACTCCTGGGCCTGCTTGTTCCAGAAGCCCCGATCCACAGCCAGAACGACGCCTCTGCCAACTTTTAAAAATCAGCATGGATAAATTTTCAGAGAAACTACATTTCTTTTTTTAAAAGAAAAAAAAAATGTATTGATGGGGTAGGAGGAAGAAGGACCGTGTAATCGCCCCCGATGTATTCCTTCCGGTCGTGCTTGCCGTGGAATTTCAAGTCCACCTGCCATCCTGGCCTGTCCCACCTATTTCTGGGCCCAAGGCTCCCAGGTGGCTGCTCCTCCTGGCTGAACCACAGGGTCTGAGCCCGGGCAGGCACAAGGCCCAGTGGCCTCTGGGGCCCTAGAGCGCACCTACTGGCCGGGCTGGAGCCCAGCTCTATACCTGGGCAGTAGGGGAGGCTGGCTGGGCAGACAACGCCACACACTGGGAGTCTCTTGGGGTCAGGGAGTCTCCCCACAGGACCCTGGGCCACCCTGGGGCCCTGGCCCCCTCATTCAGCACTATCTGGAGAGTCTCTGAGACCCTTGGAATCAGCCACTGTGTGGGCTGCATTTTTTGAAGATAGAGTGTCCCTGACGAGACCTACCTGAGGCCAAATCCGCATGACACGGGCACATTGCAGGGAGCTGTCAGAGTCAGCCTGGGGACGGGGTCTGCCCGCCCAGCGGCTCCAACATTGCGGGGAGTGTCAGAGTCAGCCTGGGGCCGGGGTCTCCCTGCCCAGGGGCCCCACTGGGCAGGTCAACGTGGAGGGGCAAGTAGGAGCTGGCACTCAGCCTCATGTCGGCCAGCCGGGCCCTGTGACGTAGGTCCACCCTTGAGATGAGCCAAACCTCATGTCCAGGGCATGTGGCGGGGACACAGGGACCAGTCCACAGCTGTTCTGCCTAACAGCATGAGCGGCCAGCCCCTGCTCACAGCAAATCCACTCTCCTGGGTGTGGCAGAAGGAGAAGCACAGCTATGGAGGTGAACCTCGGGTGGCAGCTCCTTACCCTCAGAGAGTTTGCTGACAACAAGGGTCGTGGCCCGTCTGTGTGGAGCCGCAACACAAACGTGGCTGGGTTTGGCCTGGGAATCGCTGCGTCAAGAGGTTCTCGTGCAGCCTGGCAGGGCCCATGCGGAGCTGCAGCCAGTGTGCTCTGTGGCTGAGCGTCCCCGGGGCACAGCAGGGGCCTGAGCTCACCCTGTGCTCTGGGGTCCCCACACGCACCTTGAAGAGGAGCAGGGGACACTCAGGCCAAGTGCCCACCTGCCTGAGACAGTCTTTCAGTTGTTACTTGCCTACTTTAGGGGGTAGGGCTCACCCCCTCCCTGGCATACAGTCAACCTCAACCTCCCACTACTCTACAGCGAGTTCCTAGCCCTCCCCTCTGGGGGCACTGAGCAGGTCTGTGACGTCCCCCACACAAGAAGACTGCTGAGCTTGAAACCACAAGGGCCTGCCTCAAATCCCTGGGCACCTGCTGTGGTTCTTGAGCTCTGGAGGGAGTCCCAGCTTCCCCAACTTCACCACCTTTGGGGTCATTGGGCCAATGCCATGACCCCACTGGACCATGAGCCCACGAGGGTGGGAACTGTCTCCTTAGCCCTTGGCCAGTGACTGACCATAGTAGGTGCACCTGCAGCTGGCTTAGAATAGGGCGCCCACCAAGTCCCACCCAAGATGGGGCCAGGCCCAAGCCCAAGATCCCTCATGGCCCTTGGAGGGTGATGGTGGAGGATGCAGAGAGGAGGGGCCCAAGCCCCCACCTGGCACCAAGGAACAGTAAATGGCAGTGACTGCTCCGTGAGAAAGCCCCCAGCCCACAGAGCCATCATCCAGCAGGTGAACTGAAGTTGTAGGAGGGTGTCTCATGGAGTTCAAACATACCTCAGGAAGATGAAGAGGTCTGCTCTAAAGGCACAGGCAGGAGGTTTCGAAGGCAACCAGAAACTAAAGGGTAAAGAGGAGGGTTTTTTTCTGGAATTAATCCTCAGGCTCTGTTCTGACCTTCTGCTATTCAAAAGGCAAAGGGACAGGACAGAAAAGGGGCCACAGCACTTTCCCATGGTGGGAGTGGGTGCTAAGATGATGATGATGGTTGTGATGATGGCGGTGATGGGGATGATGAAGATGGTGATGGTGATGATGATGACGGTGAAAACGGTGATGGTGGTGATGATGGCGAAGATGGTGATGATGATGATGACAGTGAAAATGGTGATGGTGATGATGGTGGGGATGGTGATGGTGGTGATGGTGATGGTGATGATGGAAATGATGGTGGTGATGGAGATGATGGGGATGGGGTGATGATGGTGTTGGTGATGATGGGGATGATGATGGTGGTGGTGGTGGTGATAACCGCGATGTTAGGAAAAGGCTGTGAGGGACCAGGGACAGATGCTTTTTCTCCTACCTGTTTCCCATCTGCTATATGAGGGGGCTGGGCTGGATCATTCTGGCGTTCTATCAGCTCCCGTGATCTAAGACTAGCCAGAAGGAGCTCTCCCCCTGAGCCTAGAGAATACTTCAAACCCTCCAGGCAGGCGAGTGGGCTGGCTGCGGGGCAGGTGGACAAATGAGCAGGTCAGGATGCCTTAAGGACAGGAATAAGACAGAGACTGACAAAGCAAAGTGCAGGTGCCCCCTCCCTTTCACACGATGCCAGCAGTGAGTGTCACGTGGGGAGCGTCCCCATGACACAAACCTGCCTGGGAGACAAGGAGCCTTCCCTGGACTCTCAGAGGCAAGCAGCCCCTGGTGCCTGTGCCCACCTTGGCGCTGCCAGCCCCATCCTGGCATCCAGGAGCTTGCTCTGGTGCCCGCATGGCCGGTGCCTGCTTTGTCTGCCCAAGAGTGGGGGAGGTGACCAGAGCACCTCACGTTCCACTCACCCGTTCCCTCAGGGCCTCCCTGCCTCCCCAGAGAGGATGCTGAGCCCCTCCAGCTGCCAGATCCAGCCTGTCACAATCAGGCCACCACTGGTAAGCCTGGGCCAGGAGCGAGCAGACGAGACGCAACCCCCACCAGCCTCCCCTTCCCCTCCCCACTCTGTCCTGGCTCCTGCTGTCTGTGTCTCCCGCCTGACATCTGACGCCTTTGGTATCAGAGGGGTCAGAGGCTGGGGAAGCCAGGAGTCTGCTGATAAGGGTGTGCTCCCCACTCGGGGCTCTAAGGTCACAGCCCCCATCCACAGCTTGTGGGGGTCTCTGATAAGGTGGCGTTGGAGCACAGAGCTGAGGGAGAAGAGGGGGAGAACCGGGACATCAGGGTCTGGGCATGGCAGGGAGGAGGAGAATATGCAGAGTCCTGAGGCAGGAGCACGCTCATTAACGAAGTCCTGCCGGGACCTCTAGGTGCAAATTCACCTTGGCGGTGTCAAGGATGCTGCTGAGGAGGGGTCACCTGCCAAGGCCAGATGGCCGGTTTGTCAGGGGCTGGGGGAGGCAGCCAGGGCACCCCATCCACCCCGGCTACAGGATTTTGGCAGCGCCGGGCGAGAAGTCTGAGAATCGCCCTCCACAGCTTGGAGAGCTTGGTTGTTTTGAATATTTTCACTTAAAAGGATTCCCACCTGAAGGTTCTCTAGGAGACATGTGGGGACAGCCATCCTCATCCCTTGCACCCAACAGAGGGTCTGTCCTGGGACCCAGGCACTCCTGCAGTGTCTGTGGAGCAGCCCTTCTCAGAGGCGGTTTGCTTCCACCTGCCCATGATCAGGTCCAAGGAGCGGGGCCGGCGGCTCCCTGCACCTCCTCGCAGGTTGAGCAGCTGTTGGCAAAGGCCAACGTAGGGGCAGATGCCTGGGGTCCCGACCATGATCAGGAAGGGCAGCTCCGGGCCAAGGCTGCTCACAGGCCGGGAGGTGGGGAGTAGGGCGAGGTCAAGCACCAGAGGAAGGGGCTGGCAGGGGTGACCAGGAAGAGGAGGAGCAGGGACGTGGAGAGCCAGCGCATAGGAGCTCACAGCCCCTCTCATCTGCTCGAGAGCTTCCATCTGGGAAGAGCTGAGGCCCAAGGCCCACTGCTCTGTGGGAGCCCCACCCGGCCCTCCGTTGAGCCCATGGGTCAGGGCAAGGCTGCGCCCCAGAAGCATGAGCTGGCCCCAGCAGACCTGCTCTCCCTGCCACAGAGCCCCAGGAGCTGTCAGGGAGCTGGGCCCTCTCCCTGACCCTCATGTCCCCACCCTCCATGACCCAGCTCCCGAGAGCCGACCCTGCTGGGAGCCTCCTGGCTGGGCCACCCCTAGCAGGCCAGCCCAGGGCACTGCTCCTTCCTGTAATCCCACCCCACACACCAAGACCCACACCCAGGCAGGGGGATGAAATGGGCAGCATAACCGCGGGTGGCCTAGCCCACCACACTCACTTGAGACCCCTGAGCAGCCTGCGGCCACCCAGCCCCACCTCAGGGTCTGAGTCTCGGTGCATCTACGAAGTGGGTCTTTATGAGGCCTCTCTCACACTGCTATGAAGAAATACTCAACTGGGTAATGTATAAAGAAAAGAGGTTTGGTTGACTCACCGTTCCGCCTGGTTGGGAAAGCCCCAGGAAACTTACAATCATGGCGGAAGGCACCTCCTCACAGGGTGACAGGAGAAAGAATGAGCACAGAGCAAAAGGGGGAAAAGCCCTTATGAGACCATCAGATCACATGAGACTCATTCACTGTCTTGAGAACAGCATGGGGGAACCGCCCCCATGATCTCATCACCTCCACGAGGTCCCTCTGCCAACCAACACATGAGGATTACAATTCAGTTACAACTCAAGATGAGATCTGGGTGAGGACACAGAGCCAGACCATATCAGGGTCCATACTCGGGGTGGTGAGGGGCCCATGCCACATGCTGGGAGATCTCAGCCCTGCCGGGCACAAGCTCAACTAACAGGGTCATTGCCAAGTACTCACAGCCATCCTCAGAGCCACAGGCTGCCCCTGGGCCCAAGGTCCCGCTGCCACACAGAGACTATCCTTGACCTCACAGGTGCCCTCATCTCTGCTCACAAACCCTCTGGAGATGTCAACACAGGGCCAGGTGCAGGGCCAGTCTGCTGGGGTCACCTGGAGCCAAAGAGAAGACCCTGGTCCTGGAGCCTGCTGGGGGATCCCCACTACACAGCCAAGCCGCCTGAGATGCCGCCGTCACAGGCCAGCTGCTCAGAAAGCTGGGGCTTCGGGGCTTGCGTGGCATCCACGGCTCCCAACTCACGACAGTACACGCAGACACACGCTCACCCGCACACATGAACACCCACACTAGCAGTACACTCAGACACACACTCACCTGCACACACACTCACACTAGCAGTACACGCAGACACTCTCTCACTCGCACACACGAACACCCACACTAGCAGTACACGCAGACACACACTCACCCGCACACACAAATCCCAACCCACGACAGTACACGCAGACACACGCTCACCCGCACACACAAATCCCAACCCACACTAGCAGTACACACAGACACACGCTCACCCGCACACACGAACACCCACACTAGCAGTACACGCAGACACACACCTGCACACACAAACACCCACACTAGCAGTACACGCAGACACTCTCTCACTCGCACACACGAACACCCACACTAGCAGTACATGTAGACACACACTCACCCGCACACACAAATCCCAACCCACGACAGTACACGCAGACACACGCTCACCCGCACACATGAACACCCACACTAGCAGTACACGCAGACACCCGCTCACACACACACACGAACACCCACACTAGCAGTACACGCAGACACCCACTCACCTGCACACACGAATCCCAACCCACGACAGCAGAGGCAGACACCCTCTCACCTGCACACACAAACACCCACACTAGTGCAGGAGGCCAGGCCTGCACACACCCTCACACGTATGGACATATGTATGACACAAGTTCACAGACACCCTCACACCCACACATACACAGTAAGACATGCCTGCACACACCTTCACACGCATGGACACACACGCTGGCTCACACCCTCACACACATATACAGTAAGACACACAAATACACCCTCACACTCACACATATACACCCCTGCACACGCCCTCACACGCATGGACACACCTTCACATGCACAGACACGCTCACAGAGACACCCTCACAACTACACGTATACAGTAAGACATGCCTGCACACACCCGCACACGCACACAGGCTCACAGACACCCTCACACCCACACATACACAGTAAGACACGCCTGCACACACCCTCACACTCATGGACACACAGACACGCTGGCTCACACCCTCCCCCCGCCCTCCCGCACACCCACGTTGGACACGGCCTCGGACTCCCCCTGGTGGTGAAGCTCCGCACACACCGGGCGTTTTCTCCGGGGACCGACGGGCAGGGGCAGCCCTGGGCCCACGCTCTGGATTCTGACCGCCTGGGGGTTGGGGGACGGTGCGGCTGTGACCCTTCCTGTTCACTCTGAGCTTCACTTGAGTCTGAGCTCCTGACTCCCCCGGGCTCCGGCCCATCACACACACACAGCCGTTGCAGGAATAAGGCTTCTCCCACAGACGCTCAATCACATTGCTGAGTTACGAATGGAGACACCTAAATTTATTTTCCCAAGCACCTTGTGAATGGAGCTGCTGGGGCTCCGGGCTGGTCACGGCATCTGTCCAAAGTGGAGGGGGTGTGCTGGTGTCTTCTACGCCAAGGGGACAACTGTCCAGGTTAAGCGTCGGCCCACATCCCGATTTCGGTTCCTGGCCTGGCTCCCTGATGCGGGACAGAGCTGAGCACGCCCGTGCGGGGCTTACTGAACGCTCCTCTCTAGATCCCCGCACCTTTAACTTGGGGGAATCTATTGTGCACGATCAGTTCTTCCTGTTTCTTCTCTGTCTCTGCGTTTGAACGGGTATAACCCCAGGA
The DNA here is from genome assembly GCF_000001405.40 of Homo sapiens. Classification (NCBI taxonomy): domain Eukaryota; kingdom Metazoa; phylum Chordata; class Mammalia; order Primates; family Hominidae; genus Homo; species Homo sapiens. The sequence goes on along the minus strand of NC_000020.11, from coordinate 62,499,767 downwards.
AGATGAGACCTCCCTACGCCAGGTTCTCAGAGGCAGCTGCTGCTCAGTTTCTTTGACGTCCTTAAATAAATCTTTCTAAAGGAACCCACCATGGTGGCCACAAGAGGTGAAGCAGCATCACTCTTGACCTGCACAGCGACCGCAAAAATAAACCAGGACCTTCCTGCAGAGGCTCGCCCATCCCAGCCTGCGGCTCCTTGATCCCCAGGACCTGAGCTGGGCGTAGAAAAGCATTAGGGACCCATGGCCCCAAGAAGGCTTCCTGCTTGACAAGGCAGAGACGGAGAGAGGACTGGGATGTGTCCATTGCTCCCACATCGGGGGTCCCTGCCCCATGCCGAGACCAAGGACCCCCCTTCGTTCCTGCCCTGCCCTTCCCCAGGCAGGGGGATGGAATGGGCAGCATAACCGTGGGTGGCCTAGCCCACCACACTCACTTGAGACCCCTGAGCAGCTGCTCTCAGCTCTGGAAGCTGCTGGAAGACCCCAGCCCACCTTCCTGGCACCTTTGCTGCCATAAAGAGATGCCTTCCCTACCTGGAAACTGTTGGTGACTGACTTGTAATGACATCGCAGCTGTCTCTCTCCCTCCCTGTTTCCCCAGCCTCACTTCCCTAACTGCTCTCCTCTGCTGCCCGCTGCATGCCAAGCCCACCTCTCTCAGACTGTCAGGGTCTGGGGAGGGGTCAGCCAAGGTAGGTCCCAGCTGCCCCCACCCTCCAGCGGCCATCCCAATACTGACCCATCCCAACACCGACCCACCCCAACACCCACCCATCCCCAAAACTCACCCACCCATTGCCAACACGGACCAACCCCAACAACCACCCATCCCCAACACTTACCCACCCCAACACCCACCCACCCCAACACGGACCCACCCCAACACCCACCCATCCCAACACCCACCCACCCCAACACCCACCCACCCCAACACCCACCCATCCCAACACCCACCCACCCCAACACCCAACCATCCCAACACCGACCCACCCCAACACCCACCCACCCCAACATAGACCCATCCCAACACCCACTCAATGCAACACTCACCCATCCCCAACACCCACCCATCCCAACACCCACCCACCCCAACACCCATGCACCCCAACACCCACCCATCCCCACCACCCACCCATCCCAACACGGACCCGCCCATCCCCAGCACCCACCCATCCCAACACCCACCCACCCCAACACCCACCCACCCCAACACGCACCCATCCCCAACACGGACCCATCCCAACACCCACCCACCCCAACACCCACCCATCCCCAACACCCAACCATCCAAACACCCACCCATCCCCAACACGCACCCATCCCCAACACAGACCCATCCCAACACCCACCCACCCCAACACCCACCCATCCCAACACCCACCCATCCCCAACATGGACCCATCCCAACACCCACCCACCCCCACACCCACCCATCCCCAACACCCACCCATCCCAACACATACCCACCCCAACACCCACCCACCCCAACACTCTCCCATCCCCAACACCCAGCCATCCCAACACCCACCCACCCCAACACGGACCCACCCCAACAGCCACCCATCCCAACACCCACCCATCCCCAACACGGACCCACCCCAACACCCACCCACCCCAACACTCTCCCATCCCCAACACCCAGCCATCCCAACACCCACCCACCCCAACAAGGACCCACCCCAACAGCCACCCACCCCAACAGCCACCCACCCCAACACCCACCCATCCCCAACACTCTCCCATCCCCAACACCCAGCCATCCCAACACCCACCCACCCCAACACGGACCCATCCCAACAGCCACCCATCCCAACACCCACCCACCCCAACACCCACCCACCCCAACACGGACCCACCCCAACACTCTCCCATCCCCAACACCCAGCCATCCCAACACCCACCCACCCCAACACGGACCCATCCCAACAGCCACCCATCCCAACACCCACCCACCCCAACACCCACCCATCCCCAACACCCACCCACCCCAACACCCACCCACCCCAACACTCTCCCATCCCCAACACCCAGCCATCCCAACACCCACACACGCCAACACGGACCCACCCCAACACCCACCCACCCCAACACCCACCCATCCCCAATACGGACCCACCCCAACACCCACCCACCCCAACACTCTCCCATCCCCAACACCCACCCATCCCAACACCCACCCATCCCCCACACCCACCCCCCCTTCCCCTGCTACACAGGATGTTCCTCCAGAGACCCCAGAACCACCCCCTGGGCTGACACTTTAGGGCTCCACAGACAGAATGACACTGTGGCATCGCCCCCTTTGACGTTTCCGACTTTCTGAACTGTCTCCAGCCAGCGCATCCTCGGAGCTGCTGTGGAGACGAACACGCTCCTCTGGGTATGCGAGGGCAGCTGGGGTCTGTGCTCCGCTCCCGTGGCCCCTCCCCCTGGTGCTTTTCTCCAGAGTGATTTGGTGGCTGTGGCTCTGCGGGAAGTTATGCTTGGGAGACCCGTCCCCAAGTATCAAATACTTCAAGACCTTCCTCCTGGCCCTCCCCTGAGGCCCGGGTCCCTGGGGGCCTGACATTGCAGCCACCTCAGAGGTTGCAGAGACTCAGCAGCAGCTTTGGAGGACACAGCACTGAGCCCCTGGCCCCACAGCAGATCCCAAGGCACCAAAGGCAGCACTCGTGCCAGGTGGGGACAAGTCACACGGACGACCAGGGCCCGAGCCCGCAGCTGCGCCTCCCACAGCCAAGGGTGGCAGACGGTGCAGCCCTGCCCACTGGGGCCTCGCCCTCCGCCAGCCTCCCCGAGGCCGTCCTCTGACCCTCTGACCCGCACACCCCCGAGGTGGCTGCATCAACAATTTCTCCTCGTTTCGTGTGAAATAAATGGTCGTTTGTGTCTAAGCATGCTGGCATTTGCCTGGATTTAATTTGGCAACAAGAAATGAGAGTTTCGGGGCCCATCCATGCTCTGTACACGCTCAGGTGCTGGTGGCCCTGGGAGAGGAGATTCAGTCTGTTTGCAACGAGCTGGAGTCATATTGGGTCGGGGAGGGGGGCTCCTAAAGCCCTGGCGCTGTCTGGGTCCCGAACGCCCGGCGCCTCCTGGAGACCCTCGCAGACCCAGGTCCCAGAGAAGTGCCCCGCGAGCCACCAGGGGCGCGCATCGCCTGTCAGCCCCCACCCCCACCCTGCAACCCTCCAACCCATCCAGGAGGGTCGGGCGTCGCCTGCCGGAACCGCCACCCCCACCCCGCAACCGCCCATCCCTCCCAACCCACCCAGCAGGGTCCGGGGCTCGGGAAGGGGGCTCAGGTGGAGGACGCACAGGCCCTGCGTGTGGCTGCTCAGACAGGGAGGGCGGACCAGGATCTCCCTGGTTCTGGCCCTGCGGGGATGGAAATACGCCACTCAGCCGAGGCCCCACAAGCCCAGTCCTCCACTCCCCAGGCAGCCTCCCTGACCCCCCTGCACCTCTGCGAGACCACCATCCAGGCACCGCTTGAGAGCCCAGATGACAGAGGCAGGCCAGCTCCCAGAAAGCCGGGAAAGCCCTGCGGATGTGCTGAGGCCACTGGCCCTGCGCTTGACCCCACCTGTGTCCACACACCCAGCCCTCTGCATGGAAATCGCCACTGCTGACCCATGGGACGGGGCCAGGTGGAGACACACGGGTCACCCGGCCCTCCCTACAAGGGGGAGTGGGCGGGAGGAGGAGCGGGCACGAGGCCTGAAGGGCCAGACTCAGGAGCAGCCGGGAGACGCCAGCAGCCAGGGGCTGGGGCTGTTTCTTTCTCCTCTGCAAACTGAGCTGAGCTGTGGGCAGCCTCACCCCCACCTGTGAGAAAACAGCCTGGGGAAGGTAAATGGCCTTCTGGGAGCCTTTGGAGTAATCACCTTCCTGGGTGCCAGGTGAGTCCAGGGGCCGCCAGCTCCACGGGAGGTGCCGGGAGCCCGGGCCGGGGCTGGGAGGAGCAGGGAGGCCACAGGGGCCAGAGCCTAGGGAACCTCTGTCTGTACCCCTCCCTCCAGAAGCCTCCGTCTGTCACCCACACGTGCTCAGCAAACCTCCCTCTGTGGCAGGTGGTGAGGGAGGTGGACGAGGCCTGGCCTTGGTGGGCTAATCTGCTTGGGAAGATGGGAAGGGGCCTTCACCAGACAGACTGGGTGGGGTGAGGGCCCCTCGAGGCCAGGGCAGGCAAGGAGAGCTTCCTGCAGGAGGCAGTGATTGCCCCACAGCAGAAAGAGGCCACGGCTTCCCTGCGGCCTGAGCTCCCGTCCGCCCACAGCCTCCTGAGGACGGCCTGATCCAACAGGAGGGTGCCAACCTCAGCCAGTCTTGGCACTTCAGGGGGCCAAGGACGTGCTCGCCCGCATCCATCTGTCTGCCCTGCACGTCCATCAGGGACCCCACATGCCTCCTCCCGGTGACGACCCCCCGCCCACCCCACAAGACATTCAGAGTGGATTCGGCTTTCTGGAAGACACTGTGTGTTGTTGAGCATTAATTACTGGACACTTGGAATAATGTGTTCCGGGAAGTTTCACAGCTATATTTAGTCTGGCGGTTTTTCAAGCCAACTGACATCTCCCTGAGCCTCAAAGGAGAAGAATTGAGTGTCAGGCCCCATCCTGGCGCTCGATCTGCACCCAAGGCCAGCGCCAGCGTCCCGGGGCAGGGCCCTCCTGCTAGAGACCTGGTGTGTACTCGGTTTTCCTGTCTGTGATGCTCATGTCAACCTGTTGGTTCCAACTGCAACCCACCAGCGCCCCCAGCATTCCTGCACCCAGGAGGCCGGTATCTGAGGCTCTGCAGACTTCCCAGGGCCTCTGTCAGGGGTGCTGTGTGTCCTGTCCCAGGGCCCAGGTCGAGGTCTAACCATTTTAAATCTCCATCTGAACAGCACTCACAGGGGACAGGAGCCCTCAGTAAACTCCTGTCGCAAACGACCCCTGCCAACTTCCTGTATCTGTAGCCCGGCCCTAAAAATAGTCTTGGGATGGGGGCGGGGACTGTGTGAGGCAGGATTTCACCTTGAGAAGGCACAGTGGGGGAAGACAGGAGCGACCATTTCACACACTTGGGGGGGTGAGCTCAAGGCCTGGGCTCCCACCCTTGCACTGACCCTGGCAAGCTCACAACCTTAGGTTACCTGCCTTCCCTGAGCCTCAGTTTCCCCTCTTTGGGTCTCCAGCAGAGGTCTCGTGGCCTCATCAACTCTGCCCTGGTCTGATGGGGTTGAGGAGCTTTGGTTTCAGGATGTCCTGGGCTCAGATCCCAAACCCATCACTCCCCGCTGGGGGACGCCTGAGCAAGTACCGTGGCCTGTCTGTGGCCTCCTGGTTCTCATCTGTAAAGTGGGTGGTGATGATAATATCGCCTCCGTGGGAGACAGAATAGCAGCTCCCCAAGATGTCCACATCCAGAATAACAGCTCCCCAAGGCGTCCACATCCTAATCCTAGGACCTTTCAGTATGTCCCCTGAGGTGGCAAAAAGGACTTTGCAGAGATGGTTAAGGACTTTGAGATGGAGAGATGACCCCAAATTATCCAGGGGGGCCTACATGAGACCACAGGAGTCCTTATAAGAGACAGGCAGAGGGAGATTTGACACAGACAGAGGAAGAAGAGGCCCCATGGAGACGCAGGCAGGGACTGGAGCGACGCAGCCTCAAGCCCGGGAGCGGCCGGAGGCCCCAGCGGCTGCAGGAGCAGGAAGAATCCTCCCCCAGGGCCTCCAGAGAGAGCAGCTTTGACTTTAGTCCCTTAAGGTTCACTTAGAACTTCTGACCCCCAGAAGTGTACCCTGAGGAACTGGTGTGCTTGAGGGCCCTGAGTGCGCGGTGATTTGTCAAAGGAGCCTGGTGACTAACACAGCCGGGGCTTCTGGAAGGTTCCACAGAGGCCCTGCGCAGAGGCACTCAGTCCATGCATGGAGGTCCCTGCCTTCCACCTGCCGAGGCCACCCGGGGAATCTGGTCCACCCTCACCCTGCTGGGTCCAAGCAAGACACCGCCCCCCCCACACCTCCCTGCCCTCTTCCCTGCACAGCGCTGCTGGGACCCCTCCAGGGCTGGGGGCCTCACCACCTAAAGCAGCCTGCCCAGAAAGCAGAGCATGACACCAGCGTGGGGTCACCTGGGGTCAAGGTCACGGGCCCCCGAGGCCAGCCCTGCCTGGGAAGCTCCAGAGTCAGTCCTTGAGCTGAGCCTATGCCAGCCTCGCCCCACGCACCCACGTGGCATGGGAGTCCCTGGCAGCCAGCTCTCTGGTCCCCGACCTTCCCTGGCATGTTCTATCTCCCCACCCACTCCTGGCTTTGTTTCCAGAGCTCTGGATTCCTCTGATTTCCCTCCCAGGGTCCTGGCGTGTGTGCCCGGGGCAGAGATCCCTATCTGATGCCACAGCCACTGGGCACCTGCTGTGTATGGACACAAGAAGGCACTGCCCGGGCCTTGGGGAGGTGGTCTCCAGGGCCCTGGGAGCTGGGTCTCCACTGAGGTTCCAGGGCAGGCAGAGAGACTGCCTGGAGGGGGTGCTGAGCGGGCCTGGCACAGCTGCTGCAGGTATGAGGGGGCTGCCCAGGACACCCTTGGCAACGGCACAAGAAACCCCAACGAGAAGGGAACAGGAGGAGCAGCTCCAGGGAGCCGGCGGGAGGCAGGGCTGGCTGGGCCTTCGGAAGCTTGGCTGTGCCTAGAGAAAGTGGGGGGCTCTGGGGGTTCCAGCGAGGCTGGCAAGAGCTGTCCGCCATCCCACTCTGCAGGCCCCAGGGGCTGTGGGGTTTGGGAGTCACATCAGGCCCTGCGAGGCAGCCTCTCCCCAGGAGCCAGATGCTCCACTGGGCGGGAGCCCCATGCCAGGCCCCCCACAACTGTCCTGCCCAAACAGGAGGGGCTCAGCACCCCCCAGTGTTGCACGGCCCCCGTGCTCCAGGCCTCTCTTGCAGCTGCGGCCCCTAGAGGTCTTATGTCTCACCAGTTCCCCTGCTCGGGGGGCCTGCTGCGCTGGGAGAAGAGACCCTCACCCACAGCTGGCCTGGCCCAGGAAGCCCTGTGGCCCTGTGATCAGCAGCTCCCTCCTCCCCACCGCCTCCATCCCGGCCTCAGGCGTGAGTGGCTACTGTGCAGCAGCTGGGCTTGGGCTGTGCTGGAGCTCTGGGCCCTCATCATCTGTCCTCAGCACCCGTGTCACCTTCTCTGGGAGGCCTCCCTGATCACCCCTCAAATGTCAGCCCTGAGGCTCTGCTGTTTCTGCCGTGCCCTCCTAGCCATCTATCCTTCTTTCCATGTTTATTCTTTCCCCGCCCATAAGCCCGGGGACAGGGGCTTCTCTGCAGGTCTCTGCCCCATCCGTCTGCAGCACCCAGCCCACCACGAGGTCCATACCTGGAGGGCCTCCCTGTCACCACCACAACTGTGGACGCATCCTGCTAACCCCACCACTCAAGTCCTGGGTCCCGGAGAGCTGCAGGGAACCTCAGAAGACTCAGGCCTCCACCTACAGCAGGAGGGGCTTGGGAGAGGGGCCATCTCCTCCATCTGCAGAAATGACAGATAGATTCCAGGGCTGCAGGAACCCCTGTGCCACGAGAGAAAGAAACTTGGCACTTTGGGGAAGAAAGAACAGAGGCTGGAGCAGTGAGGCCATCAGGGTGGAGGCCCGCCCCGCACAGTGGCCACTCTCCCTGCAGGCCTCCAGGCCTCCGCTACTGCTGTGCCTTTTCCAGGAAAACTCCTACTCAGCCTCTGAAGCACAGCACAGAAGCCCATTTCCCTTGGGAAGCTCCTCTAGATCCCCCCCGCCATGTCACACTGGGAAAGAATCCCCATCCACACCACAGCAGGGGCACAGTGGGCACCTGGCAGGGCCAGGGAGAGGCTCCCCTGGGAGCCTGGTGGGGGTGGGGTGGGTGGGTGAGGGTTCAGGGGGCCTTCCTGCAAGAGAAGGGCCTGCAAATAGAAAAGGGGGCAGTGAGGACGCCTGGCACAGATTAGAGGCTCAAAGTTGGCTCCAGGTAGGCAGAGAGGAAGGAGAGAGGGAGGGAGACAGGAGCGTAAGTGCAGGCGGTGGGTCCCCAGGTCATACCCTTCAGAAGAGCAGAGTAGTGTGAGGGTGGGAGTCGGGCTCACAGCTGAAGTGGGGAGCAGGCACAGAGAGGAGGTTGCTTACCAGCCGCAGGCCCTAAAACCCATCTGGAGTTTCAAGACACACGTCTTCTCACTGGCTGGGCATCCCCTCCTCCAGAGCTCTCTGGGGCCACTGTCCTGGGCACTGCACCTGCACGCAGGCATTCCTTCCAGCCTTCCTCTGGGGTGGGGGTTCAGAGTCACACAGCTCTCCAGGCTACGCTGCTCCCCCCACCTCAGGACTCAGTTTCCCCAGAGGTGACAAAAAGGTTGGAATGGGCCAGTTTCTGTGATCACTCTGTGTCCAGAGCTCCCTGTGGCATGGGAAGGAACAGGCAGGGGCGCTGGGCACAGCAGGAGCAAGGGGGACAGGGCCAGTGTGAGGGTGAGGGGCGTTGTATTCGTCAGGGTTCTCTAGAGGGACAGAACTCACAGGACAGATGTATATATAAAGGCGGCTTTATTAAGGAGTATTAACTCATGTGATCACAAGGTCTCATAATAGGCCGTCTGCAGGCTGAGGAGCAAGAAGAGCCAGTCTGAGCCCCAAAGCTGAAGAACTTGGAGTCCAATGTTCGAGGGCAGGAAGCATCCAGCACAGAGAAAGCTGTAGGCTGGGAGGCTAGGCCAGTCTAGCCTTTTCACGTTTTTCTGCCTGCTTTATATTCTAGCAGAGCTGGCAGCTGATTAGATGGTGCCCACCCAGATTAAGGATGGGTCTGCCTTTCCCAGCCACTGACTCAAATGTTAATCTTCTTTGGCAACACACTCACAGACACACCCAGGATCGATACTTTGCATCCTTCAGTCCAATCAAGTTGACACTCAGTATTAACCATCACAGGAGGGGAAGGGCAGGGCAGGTGCCAGGGGCGGGATAAGGGGGCAGCGTGAGGGTGAGGGTGAGGGGTGGGCAGGGCAGGTCAAGGAGGCAGGGCAAGTGTGAGGGGTTGGGGGAGGGAGTGACAGGCGGGCAGGTTGCACAGGCGTCACTGCCCCAGGGTCTCTATAGTTAGAGCCCCGCAGTTCAGGGTGACCCTTGAACTACAAGGACCCCAGGCCCAGTGGCCCTATTCCTGGCCCCGCAGAGCCTGGGGACAGCGTCAAGGGATCCCGCCAAGGCTCTGCACAGTAGGGCAGCGCCCATCCCTCCCACCTGCTTAGTCCCTGGGAGACCCCGCTATCTGGTGAGGAGTCACCCCTCAGGGCCCTTCCCGTCTCTGGGAGAACATACAGGCACCCCGTAAATCATGATCCTGCCCCACGGCATCACTCACCAATCCCCAGACAGCCCAGTCGGGAAGGAGCTACTATGAATCCCACTTTACAGACGAGGAAACTGAGGCACGGAGCGGCTCAGCAAGTTGCCCGGTGTCAACAGGGAGGAAGCGTGGGTTGAATCGGACACCATGGCCCCAGGGCCCATGTTCTTGGATCTGTCCCCGCAGCCCCCAGGAGCGTGGAAGGCCCTGGGCTAAGCAGAGAGTACCCGCTTCCTCCAGATCGCAGCCTGGACAGGCCGAGCATCCTGGCCCTGAGCTCTGCAGCCCACACTGGGATCCCCTCCCGCAGTCCACACTGTAAAGTGGGGGACAGATGACCTGTGGACTCTGACACTGTTAGTTCTCCATCTACCCTTGCTCCCCCTCCCTGGCACTCAGTCTCCCCAGCAGTAGCAAGTGAGTTGGAATGGGTGGGTCTGGAATGGGTGGATGGTCCCAGAGTGGCCCAGGCGGCCCCCCTGGGGAGGGAGCTCTGCCCAGCGCAGGCTGCAGAGAAGGGAATGACGTTGGGGCAGGGACTCCAGGGAGCACGGCTGGGACACTGAGCCTATCACCCTGACTTTATGGCTGGATGAGCAGTGAGTCACTGCCTGTTATAGGCTGTGTCATGCACCACCTCCCTGGGGCGGCCCCTTGCCCTCCTGCCCCAACCCTTGGGGCACCCAACTTTCAAGGCTAGCACCCCCATCTGCAGTGGGGACGTTGCTAAAGGTTAGGGTAGTGTGTGCTGGGGGTCGCCCTCTCCCTGGCTGTCAAGGGCCCAGGCTCAAAGTCCAGAGGTGCCTGCCTGCTGCGCCAGGCTTCTGTCTCAGAAGTGCTAGGCTGGCAGGAGGGGCCCGGAGCCCACTGGCCACGCTGGGCCAAGCCCAGGCTCAGGTACAGAAGGCCCAGATGAAGCCCGAGGGCCGAGCCACTTCAGGACAGTGAGAGGTGCAGGGCGCGCTCAGTCAGGATAATAAAGTGCCTCAGGCACAGGTGAGTGTCTTCACCCCTCCAGTGGCCAAACATTTTAAACAGAAACTTCAGGTGTGGAGGGGGAGGAGCCAGGCCTGCCAGGGCACGGCTGAGATGTTCTTCACTTCTGGAAGGGGATCTGCAGCATTTGTTAAACGACATGTCTGTAACTGTCCCCCACACGCCCCCTTCGGGGAACTTATAAAGGCCACTCACTGCACCCATTTAAGTGGGCTGGGGAAACTGGACACACCAGCACGTCCATCTCCAGGGACTGGCCAAAGCCCCTCACACCCCACCACAAAACATCCTGCAGCTGTCAAGGGAGGGAGAGCAGACCCCCAGCCTTCTGGGGGCTTGTGGGGAAAAGGTGGGTGTGGGAGAGGCAAAGGATCATTGCTTTTCTTTTAGAAACTGTATTATCTAAATGGTTACTGTCAGTGTGCATTACTCTTTCAAAAAGAAAGTCCAAAAGGAAATCCTATGGAGGGCTTTGCTTTGGCAAAAAGAAAAAGGAATTGGTTCTTCTTGCCTTAGCACCCACCATCTTCCAGATAAATCCCCAACTCCTCTGGCACCCCCGACCCCCAGATGTCCTTCCCCATCTTCAGTCACGCCAGTTCCAACCACTCACTCATAGCAGTCACTCTCTATGGGCCTCAGGACCCTTCTTACCACCCCAACCTGTTCCCTCTGCCCTGAAAACCCTTTCCTCTCATTTCATTCAGCAAACTCCTACTCATACCTCAAAGCCCTGCCCAAATGCCTTCTCCTCTGTAAGGCCAACAGACACATTTCCATGGTGGGTAAGCTCCAGGCTGGGGCAGGCTGACGTGGGGGGCCTCTAGGTTCTTCCTTATGGAGCTTGAATTCTTTGGTTTCAGCTATAAAACAGGGCATGATGGAGGGAGCTGTCTTCATGAGCTCTAAGTGGTTGACAAGGAGGAGGATGATGATGATGATGATGACAATGATGCCATCATTGTAAGGACCACAAGCCAGACCAGGGTGAGCTCTTCCCACCTCCCAGCTCCCTGCGAGGCTGGGCTCATCAACCCACTTCTTGGATGAGAACTCTGGGCACATGGGGTGCTCACTTGCTCCAGACACAAAATGAAGGAAGGGCTGGAACTTGCACCAGGAGGGCCTCCTGCCAAGCCTGAGTCTATGTGCCCAGAAACCTGTGTGGAGGACCTGGTCTCAAACTCCTGCTGAGCCTGAGTGTATGTGCACAGATGCCTGTGTGGAGGACCCGGTCTCAAACTCATTTCCTAATGTGGAGGACCGGGTCTCAAACTCATTTCCTAAGGTGAAGGACCGGGTCTCAAACTCATTTCCTACTGATTCCCAGGGCTTCCTGGTCAACTGGTCTGTGGCCACAGGGCCAGTGCAGCTCAGGGCCACAGCTGGGAGGTGGGCAGTGGAGGATGGCTCCCACTCACCCGTGCCCCAGGTGAGAGGTTCCTGCCCAGAGGGGCCTCTTCAACCACCGGCACCCCTTGCCCTGTTGGAAGAGAAAGAGCAAGAGGAAGGGGGTATTCACTCCACCTCCCTCTCCCTCCACCCCCAGCCCCAACGGCCTGCAGGGGCCAGGGAGGGGGTAGGGAGGGCGGACTGGGCAAAGCCCTGGTGTTCTCCAGCCAAGGCCAGGGGATTAGGCGGCCAGATAAGGCCTCTGGCTGGAGCAGGGTGCTTATCAGACCTCGGGCAAAACCAACAAAGGAAAATGCGGCAGCAGGGGTGGGTGAACGCCCCATCTACCCTCCCCCGGTGCAGCCCTCTGTAGCCTTCTGTCCTCTCCTCGTCCCCGGGTGGGGACCAGCCCTGACTTCAAGGCTAATCTCCAGGGAAAATGTTCACCTCCTTGAATCAGGTGCAAATGCTGCCAGCTGCGTGACTTATCAGCCCCCCAAGTAAAGAAAGTGTGAACAGCCTGGGGGGAGACACCAGGAGATCTGTGGAGGCCGGGGAGCCCCCGATCTGCCTGGTGAACAGGCTCCGCCTCACCCAGAAAAGGAACCCGCGCAGGGAGAGCCCCACTCCTCCCTCCCCGCGGCTCTGAGACCCCAAGTCAGCTCACAAAGATCCCGTCCCTCCCCCAGCTCTCAGTGGGGAGGGGGCAACAGATGGGGCGGCGGGGAGCGCAGAGCCACAGTCAGACCTGTCCCATGGCTTAGTCCAGCGCCGCTGAAAGATGTCTGTCCGGAGGAACACTCCTCCTCGCAGAGCCACGGTCAGCGCCTCAGAGAACGTAAAGTATCCGAGCTCTCGCTCCCAGCCCCAGGCAGTGCTCCTGAGCCCACGAAAGATGGAGGGCAGACAGGCCTCCCAGAGAGACCCTTCCTAAGCCTAGTTCTGTTTATTTCCCGCTTGGGTTTTTAACTCCACAGCCCTTTTCCAGGAATGCCTGTGAGGCCCCACCAGTCTTGCTTTGAGAATCCTGCCCCACGGATTCCATTCATCCAGGCCTTTAAGGGTGAAAGAGGGACCTCCGAGGTCTGTCCCCAAGAAGACAGAGATAAATGTATCCCCTCACATCCCGATGGCTCTCTAAGCCATCTCCAAACCTCCCAAGCACCAAAGCTATGGAGAACTTCCCCCACCAAGGGAGGGGCTGCCCTTCCGCCACAGGCCGTTGGAGAGCACACATAGAGGCCCGCGTTCCAACCCAGGCAGCCACCGTCAAAGGCTGTGCAGTTTACACATTGCATCCACAGCACAGACATGGGCACACACAGCGTTGCCCTCTGCAGCGGGAGTTGGGCACACACAGGGACCTGTGGCACAGGGGCCACCCCCAGCTGTGAGCTCTGTGCTTAAGCATGAGCAAGCCTACTGCTTCTGAGCGCCTCGGGACAGTCCCACGACACAGGCGTTAGCCCCTCTTAGGATGGAGAAACCGAGGTGCAGAAAGGCAAAGTCCTGCTCCAGTCACAGGGTGACCAGTAATGAGTGTCCAGTTCCGAGTCCAGGCCAAGCGACCTTCCTGAGAAGGATGGCCTCCCCCTGGGGGGGTGGGTCTTTGAATGAAATATCTGAACCAGGGGATGGGCCACAAAGAGGCCCAGCAGGGACCGGGTGAGATGACAGGGAGTGGGGGGCGTCTACGGCAACTGAGAGCACTGCCTGTTCCGAGGGAAGAGCCCCCAATGCGTAGAAACAAGCCCACTGTGGTCACAGTTGGCTGTCAATTTTTTTCAAGAAAAAATGAATCTGGGCTTTTACATGAATTGTTCCAATTTTAAAAAACATGGTGGGGTAACCGCAGCCACAGGTTTGCAGCGCTGACCTCAGACAGGAAGGGATCCCTAGCCAGGGCGCCCATGGTGCTGGAGGTGCCAGGGGCCAGGTGGGGGTCTCTGCCTCCGCCCAGGGAGCCCCTGACAGTCTCTGGGAACTCCCTGGCCCTTTCTGCATCGCCTTGTACCTCGGCGAGACTCCAGGGTTTCCCTGTGTGCCTCTCCACACCTGCCATCGCGCCCTGGAAGGCTCCAGAGGGCAGCCACGTCCACTCGCTCACTCTCGTGTGCCCCTGTCTGGCCCATGGCAGATGCCATCACAAACTTGGAGAAGGAGTCAAGGACAGAACACGTTTGCTCTTCCTCGGCTGTGCCCAGCTCCAGCCTGCTCTGACTGGGAGACGGTGCCCCCCGGAATGAGCCCTCCCTATGTGCTGGGCACGCTTCGGAGCCCCTCACTCCCGGGTTGGCTGGAGTGGGCCACAGCTACAGAGCAGTCCCCTGGCTGGGTGGGTCGACCTTGGGCCCTGAGGGCTTCTTTCTGCAACAACAAGAGGGGAGGGGCTGCAGGGGCTGAGGCCGGTCTGCGGCTGCCTCTGGCGCCTCCCTGTCAGCGTGCTGGGCGGGTTCTTCAGCCTACAAGATGTCAGGAGCCCCTTATCTCCCCTCCAGAGGAAGCCAAGCCAGGGCAGGGGATCCAGGGCTCGGACGCCAGCCCATGTCTGCAGGAGGAGACAGGAGACGCTGGTTTCCCTCGGAACGACCCATCTGGAGACAAGTTCCAGCTGCAGCAGCTGTGGCTGCTCGGGAAATTCTTTGTACATGAGGAATGGGCTTGGCCATCTCCAATCAGGCACTTGGAGGCAGGCGCAGCCTGGGACGGGTAGATTCAGGGTGGAGCAGGGCGGCTATTGTGGGGGTCAGCCTGGGAAGGCGTCCACAAACCTGCCAGCCCTGCCCTCCTGACGAGGGGACAGCCCAGCCAGCCTGGGAACTGCCCAGTGATCTCAGCGGCCCTGGGCCCCTGAGCTGGCTCTTGGCAGGGGTGTGGCCAGGGCTGCTGCCTCTCCCGGGCTGCTGCCTCTCTCCAGGACAGCGGCAGCCGTGGACTTTCTTACTGCCCTGCTGGTGCAGGGCTGGGGACTTTTCCAAGAGTGACCATGGTGGCTCCCCCTTGCTGCCCTGCAGCGCCAGCCAGTGCTCCCTGGGTGCATTTCTCATTTCCTCACGTCAACCCCACCACAGATTGGGAAACTGAGGCTCAGAAATGGCAGGACCTGACAAAGGCAACCCTGCCCACAAGCAACAGGGCAGGTCCTGATCCCAGGAACAGAGTCACATTCCAGCAGGGTCTGGCCGCCCACCAGAGCAGCCCCGAGAGGCCGCCCCTGGACTGTACTCGAAGCACCTGGCAGGCCTGGGGCCCTTACCCTTGAGATGCAACCATCGTCCCCGGAGATGGACAGCACCGCCCTCCTCCAGGGTCACAGACCTAGGCACAGAGCACGGAGTGGCTCCCCCAGGGTCCCAGAGCCCAAGAGGCAGGGCTGGGCTTGACCCCAGGTGGCCCCCAAGGGTCCCGCACATCTCACAGCCACTCCAAGGTGACACCCCACTGCCTGCTCAAAACTGCTCTGTGCAGCCCCCAAGCAATGGATGGCACCTGCAGGCAGGTATCCTGTGGTGTTGGGGGCAGCAGCTTCAGGCCGGGTCTCCAGCCACCCTCTCCAGAGGACCTGGGGGTCCTGCTGCCTGCAAAGTGCCCTGGAACACAAAGGCCCTGCTTGGTCCATCTGCCTCCACCTGCCCAGACCCTGGGCCTTCGGGACATCGCTCAGGACCGCTCTGGCCCCTCAGCATCAAGGTGTCAGTAGGCCTGGCCCCAGCTCCTGATCACTGGGAATGCCTGCCCTTTGCTCCACTCAACCAGGCCTCCACCTGCCATGGAGAAGTTTCCGTAAGGCCAGACCCGCCCACAGGTGGAGCGTTAGACATTCTTTTGCCCTCCGGGACCCTCACTGGGCACTGAGTCAGGGACTCAGAAGATGCAGGAAGGGCTCTCGTGGCCCATCTGGAGGTCAGTGCCCCAGCTGGCTGCCCACCTACGTGACCAGGCCACTCCAGGCTACTCACCCTCCCACCCTGAGCCTGACGAGGGTGAGGAGTGACGGCCAGACTGGGGCACGGGAACAGGCAGCAACGCGGCTGCTCCCACCGAGCACGGCAGCCATCGTCGCGTGGAAAAACAGCACCTTCCAGGCCTCTGTGAGCACACGTGCCCATGGGCGTACACGTAGAGGCATGTGTGCGAGTGTGTGGGTGCATCTGGATGTACACACGTAAGTACACACAGGTTTGTCATGAGCACTGGGTGGGTGCATAGGAATGTGTGTAGGTGTGCATGTGCACATGTATGTGCATTAAGTGTGGGGGCACAGAGGTATGCATGCATGTGAGCACGGGCCTGCATGTGTGCACATATATGAGCATATGCATGTGTGTGCACAGGTGTATGTGTGTGGCTGCACACAGGTGTGCATGTACAAGCTCAGCCCTTGCTATCCCCACTCCTTCGTTGCTGAAGGAGAGTGGCTTTCCCTCTTTGCTCAGGCCCAGCCAATGTGTGTCTGTTGCAGATCCTC